>NC_000009.12:68845552-69470552 GCF_000001405.40 Homo sapiens
ATAGGGATCCCGAAGGCCAGGGAGGAAAAGCCAGTGAGTTTGGAGCGTGGGAGCTGCAGGCAGGTGGGAGAAGCTGAAGGCCTAACGTGGCTGTTTTATTTGTTTAAATGTACAGGGCTCAGAAATAGAGGATTTTGGAAACTGTATTCCACTGTTCTAAAAGAGAAAGTGTGTAGGGGGGAAAATAGCATCTTGACTACAATGTAATCCTAGATCTTGAAACGTGAGGTTACATGGACAAAAAATGCTTAATCCCAACTTGAAAGTATGCATAATATTCAAAATTATCCCCCACCTTCAGTGCTTTACCCAGGTTATGGAGATTCTTGAAAAACATGTAAATGAACTTTGTGTATGTTAGTCTATGTACACATTTAGGAAGAGTTCCATTTAATAGTCTTTTTGTAAAACATGATCTAGGATTTATCTTTCATATGTACAATCCATCTGAATTTAAGTTTCCTCATCTGTGGGGGTAATATACGGGTTATGGTGAGAAATAAATGTTGCAAATAACTTAATCTTACACAAAATAAGCACTTAACACAATAAAATATATGTGTATTAAAATATCTCAATGGAAGTCATTGCATTAGAGTCTTCAAATACTCAAAACCAGTCTTTTTCTACCCAGGAAACACCTACATTCTAAATTTTAAAGCCCCTTTAGGTAAATACTGATATTAATGTTTCAGATTGTTTTGTTTAAAATTCTCTTGGCATTGTTCTTCTGTGGTTTTCCAGAAATATGGCCAGAACTACAAAGCACATGGTACTGTAAACAATTGCTATGCCAGTCATTTAAAATAACTCAATTATTAAAGGAGGGATGTCTTCACCCCCACTCTTTCAGAAAAGACAGCTTGGCCTCTAAATTCTTATGAATTTAGAGAGAAGCCATTTTCCTCATCCCTTCTTGATGTCATTCCTTAGTCCTTACATCTGCTGGATCTATTCTATAAGGAGTGTTTAGGGCTGGCATATGGAAAAATGATTTGAGATTGGTAAACAGCAAGTCACAGCAAGTGATGCCTCTCACTGTCAGTCTATAAAATCACTGCATCGTCAATTTGAAAGTGTTTTTGTTCTATGTATGATTCCATCTCATTTAGCAACAGTTACCCTGCCCCTTTCTTCCTTCTAAACCTTGGATCCCTGAGCTTTGCTTTTCTATTTCGTAAATGTTATTTATTCCTCTAACATAGATAATGACATCTGTGATATAATACATGTATGTATAATTCCCTATCATCAACCCTTACAGCTTACTATGAAAATTAAGAGGAGGAAGAATTAAACTGGTAGAGATTTGAAAGGAAGAGAAAAACTATTTTGATTTCTTCTAGGCCTGTTTCACTACCATTTATTATAGTCCTCATTATGTCTTTTATATATCAAGAAAAAAACTGCAGGACCAAAATTGAGGCACAAGTGGGAAAAAACATCCAGTGATCCCTACCCCAATAAGAAGCTTCATTTTTATTTTTTTCTTTTTGTTTGGGTAAATGGATAGCAATTAAGTCCTCCTGTCTTATGAAGTCAGAGATTTATCTCTTGAATTAATTAACTGCAGAATAGTGACGAGTGGCCCAGTGAACACTATCAGAGCACTGAGAGATGCTGGTTTATTTCCCCTCCTTAGCTAAATACATTCTTCTTTTTAAAACTGAAGAGGTCAGTTGGTGGGATGAAAAAGAAAGGTTTGCAGTCTCTTGGGATAGGCGGTAAAAGATAACAACCAGATCTTGTATGCCACTGATATTTCCAGAGTATATTAAGTTTCCATGCTGGTTTCCACCTTTTTAAGGGAGTTATAATCATCCCCTCTCATTCCCTAAATCAGCAACAACAGCAGTGGTTTTGTGTGTGTGTGTGTGTGTGTGTGTGTGTGTGTGTGTGTGTGTGTGTGTGTAGGTGGGGATAACATTAGGCCAGAAGGGATGGATGAGAGGGTGGAGGTTGCTGAGGGTTTCTTTGAGGGGAGGTTGGTTGTCCTAATCTTGTTTTACTTAAAGCTGGTAAACAGCCTAGATTCTAATTCCTATTCTAAAGATTCCCAATGTTATAGTGAAACCTTTCCACTTTGGCCCCATATAGGACACCTTTTCAATTAGTGCCCATGTGTCTGTGCACCTGACATGGCAGAGGGCTGTGATATGCCCCTGGAGAACTCTGTAGAGCAGAGGTTTGACTTTGGCCCTGACCCATCTCCACACCTATGGGCAAAGAGTTAACCATGGATTTGCCAGTCAAAGGAGAATGCAAATTAAAAGAGTAGAAGCTGGCTTGGTATTGCTTGGAAACAGGCCCATGTAGCCAATAAACAAGCAGTTGGAGTAGCCACATATTTTAGCTGGGCCTGTGCTAAACTGAAACACAAAACTACAAAGCTGCTATTTCTGTAATTCTATGTGGGGTTATGACATCAGGTATGACAGTTATGAGCATGGACTCAGGGTTAACAGATCTAGGTTCAAGGGCCAGCTTTGCCACCTCCTCACTGTGTAGCCTTGGATAAGCTGATTTGTCTTTCTGGGCCAGTTTCATCTTATGTAAATCAAGAGTAAGTAATTTTGTACAAGGCTTGGACTACAGTAAGTACTCAGGAAAGGCCAGCTAGCTAATAGAATGGTGAAAAGAGCCATGAACATATTCCATTCATTCCCCATCAAAAGAAGAGTGAGTGGAGTTATGGCAAGAAAGGTACTACCGTAATGTGAAAAGATTCCACCTAAAGATACCTGATCATTTCTTACTTCAGGGAAGCCCATCTTACAGGTCCTTTCTGGCCCTACAGTGTAAGACTTTAAAAGACATAGGTAGGCAGGCACAATTGCAGTTTCTCCATATCTTTCTGCCTAGGTGTGTTTCTCAACCCCCACTTCACCCACAAGCTGCTGTTACATGTTCCTCCAAGAGTCCAGCATCCCAGTGAGCCAATTAGGGAACACACTCCTTATTTGTTATTGCAAAAGTATATATTTAATTGTGAATATGGGTGTAAATTCTTCTAAAGGACTATTTTAAATTTTAAATGAAAAAGGCTAGAGAAGTGTAAAATTTTATTATAAAAAGGAATAAACAAGAACCTTATTTGGTAGATGATAAAGAATAGCTATAGTTTCTGCCCTGTGAGAGCATACAATTTTAATAATCAAAACTCTTAAGAGAAGGCATGGAAATTTTATTGTTTTAGAGCTTCCATGGGGACTATTTTACAAATGCAGTTTAACTTTAATTGCTGTAAAATAATTGAACATGACTATTAGTGTATAACCATAAAAAAATGAAAATTATAAAGTTAAGAGCAAATAATACAATTAATACACAAAAAGAGAATCTGTCTCACTAGTGATCAGGAAAATGGAGACTAAAACAACAAGACTGGCAAAAGTTAACAATATTGATGATACTGGTATTGGTAGGAGTATGAGGATAGAATCATTCTTACACAGCACTCTGTTGGTGAGTATGTAAATTGATGAAATCCGTAGAAGACATCTTGGCAGTACCTACCAAAAGTATAAATGTGCATTTTTTTAACTCATCAGTTCTTCTAGGAATCAAAGCTGAAGAAATATTCAAGAAATAAATGTATAGGAGTATATGAACAAGGATATTCATCACCACATTATTTTCTATTAAAGAGAGAGAACAAGAACCCTAGTGTCTATCAATAAGAGAGTAGTTAAAACAATTGTGGTACATACAAGCTATGAAAATCTATGTAACCATTACAAATAATGAGATCTGTATAGATGGAAGCATAGTATTTGGGGGAAAAAAAAGCAAGCTGAAACAAAGTATGAATAGTACAGTCTCATTTTAATTTTATTTTTATTTTTGAGATAGGGTCTCCCTCTGTCAACCCAGGCTGAAGTGCAGCGGTACGATCTCAGCTCACTGCAACCTCCGCCTCCCAGGCTTAAGTAATCCTCCTGCCTCAGCCTCCCCAGGCAAGAGCCACCATACCCAGCTAATTTTTGCATTTTTTGTAAAGACAGGGTTTCACCACATTGCCCAGGCTGGTCTTGAACTCCTGAGCTCAAGCAATCCACCCACCTCGGCCTCCCAAAGTGCTGGGATTAAAGGCATGCGCCACCACGCCCAGCCTCATTTTTATCTGTAATGCGTGTATACAGACATGTATTTTTCAGTGTGTAGAGAAAAAAGCCCCAAACACACACTAAACAGTTGACAGTAGTTAACCCTCAAGAATAAGTGTGAGAAGGGCACATTGGTGTTTTACTTTCTGTAGTTAAGAGTTTTTTTTTAACTTTTTCTCAATGAGCATGGGCTACAATTTACCTTTCTAAATTGAGCAATGGTATCTTTATGGATATTTATCTTTCAGTCTGATATATTTTTGAGCCTATATTGTTTTTCAGGTAAAAAGCATTTGGTTATAGGTCCATAGGGTATATGCGCTTGGAATATAGATCAAAACAAGAACCAGAATGACCATGGCTTAAGCTAAGTTGAAGTTTATTTCTCACACGCATGAAGTGCAGAGGTCATTTACTTGCCTCTGCAGGGTATTCAGGGGCCTAGGTTTCTATCTTGTTTTTCTACCATTCTCAATGTATAGCTAACAAAAGCGATTAAAGAAGCCTACTTCATCTCTGTCCATCACATCTGTACACAGCACACCCCTTCCTGGTGAGGACGTGACCTAGGAGTCGGACACATCATTTCCTGTCCCAGCTCAATAGCCAGAAAATAGTAATGTGATGATACCTACCTAAAAGAGAACCAGGCAAAATACCCAGTTGAAATCCATTACTATATCACAAGGTTTCCGAACCTCAGCACTATTGACATTTGGGCTAGATAATTGTTTGTTGAGGGGGGCTGTTCTGTGCATTGTAGGATGTTTAGCACATCCCTGGCCTCTGTCCAATCAGTGCTAGGAGCACTGCCCAGGTGTGACAACCCAAATTGTCTCCAGACACAGCCAGATGTCCCTGAGGGTAAAGTCAAGCCTCTTGAAGAACAACTGCTAAGTAAGAAGAGAATAGATGCTGCAGACAACCAGTAACATCCGCTATAAGCATTGTGTTATTTCCCCCAAAACAGTGCTTAGCACTGAACTAATATATAACCTTTCAAATAACAAGTCCTCTACCAGGAAATCAAACATGCTAAGATTGTGTCAAATTTTATTTTGGTTGATTCTAGGATGAAAAGTCAATCCTGTCTTATTTTAATCTATTGAATCTAAATTGATATTTATATCAAATAAATAACAATTTTTATTTGAATACACAGACAAATGAAATATTCTTCCCTAGTGTGTAAGAATAGTATTAAGGATATTATACTGTGTTACATTTATAATGAATATCTCAGTTTAAAGTGTAATATTTCTGAAAGACTAATATAACAGCAAATATATACAGCAAATATAACAGCTCTATCCTAAATCAAGAATTTCATCTGCAGTTGATGGCCTGTCTCTTTTTAGGGCAATTAAGTGTCCATAATTTGATGCTGCTGTATTATGAATACTTTAAGAGTACAGTATTTTTCTGTTAATGAGGAGTGTTTACTTAACATGCTCTTCCTTTCCAATGAGGGAACATGCTTTGCTGCCAATCAAATTAAGGTGGAGATCATTTCAAAGAAACCATGAAACACTTTTTCTTTATTCTGCCTCTCCTATTAAATGTTGAGAAGCAAATCTTCTATCAAACAGATGGATATACTGGGATCTTGTTAAAAGGCTGCTTGATAAAAAGGGAAAGTTAAATATAAAGTGGATCTGTGTTGGGCTTCTTCCAAGGTTGTTTAGTGCCTAGTGTGTCAGAATAACCTTGTTATAAGGCAAATTCACCACATGGAGTGTTCGTGCCAGCCTAGGGAAGGCCATCATTTAATGGAACTCCAGTATTCTTATTTTTGAAAATGCAGATGCTGCAGAAATTATATCAGAAATGTCGTTGCCAATCATGAAAATAACAGAATACCCCAAAAGTCACGTATGAAATGATTCATACTGGGAGACGGGAGTAACCGGTTTTAGCTCCTGTAATGAACAGAGGCTGTGTAGAGGCATGATTGGTAAAGCTGGACCTGGAAGAGTGGGTAGGATACTGAAAAGAGAATGGAAAAGGACAGCATGGAAAGCCCAGAGATCAGTGGATGCAGAGACCAGAAATCACAAGGCAAGTTTAAGTGGGACAGTTTGGCTAAAGTGGTGGATTTGCATAGAGGCAAGAGGATCTCTGGCTTGTGGCCAAAACAGTAACTGGTCCACCAGAGTTTGTGCCCCCTCTTCCAAAGCACAGCTGGGTCTGGAAAGCAGCTGCAGAGCCGGCCCTCCTTGCATCTGAGCCAGGCCGTGTGGCTTATCCTTACTGGTGTGCTATGAATGAGTCATTGTCTGTAGGACCTGGGCAGTTAAAGGATGACACACTTAAATCGGATAATTTGGAAGGAATTTAAGAGGGACTCTTTTTATGAGAACACATGGACACAGGGAGGGGAACATCACACACCGGGGCCTATCGGCAGGTGAGGGGCAAGGGGAGGGAGAGCATTAGGACAAATACCAAATGCATGCAGGGCTTAAAACCTAGATGACAGGTTGATAGGTGTAGCAAACCACCATGGCACATGTATACCTATGTAACAAACCTGCATGTTCTGTACATGTATCCTAGAACTCAAAGTAAAATTTTAAAAAAGAAAAAAAGAAAGACTCTGTTTGCAAAGATGTGGGAGAAATGCAGGGAAACCATAAGGGGTAGTTCAGTGTCTTGAGGCAAAATGTACCTTGTTACCCGCCTCCCCCACACCGCCCCCCAAGCCATAAAAAGGTAAGAGAATGGCACTATTTCTAGATCCCAGAGTAGGAATCATCTGGAAAGATCCACAGAGAGGAGCTGTAACCTTTAGAAGGACACAACCAGACCGAGTCAAACCCTTAAGGAGGGAGGGATGGAAGTAAACACTTTGACCTCACTCTCAAACCTCCGTCCAGTCTTCTGCCATGGTGTCCCATTGGCCAAACCCAACTAGAAGCCAGAGGGAGCCCTTTGATGTGGCCTTACTGATGGTAACCCAGGGCACAGAGCAGGGTGAAGGAGGGTTGAGGGACAGGCCTGGGGTAGATATCCTGCACTGTCACTTCCTGGCAAAGGTAGGAAGAAGTGGATATTCTCTCACTTCTCCTATCAGCCAGCTGGACTGGGGGGATTTTACGATCCTAGGGGCTACTAGAGCTACAGGGATGCAGGAGCCAGGCTCTCTGAATCACCTGACAAAGGCAAGTGGATTATCATTCAGAGACACTCACTGTGGACTAGGTCCTATCAAAAAATAAACTTCTCTTGAATCAAGACATTGAATTTTAGGGGTGTGTTTTTTTTTATAGGACTTGGTATTTGAGGATTGATTTATTACAGCATTTAGCATTAACAGGAACTCAATTGTAGAAAGTTTTGAAGGCCAAGCAAAGAATTTGGATTCATTTCTACAGATGGTTAAAAATTAGTGGAGGCTTCTATGCTGGGAGGTGGTTTTAAAAGGAAAAACAGAAAGAGAGCCTTGGAATGATGAGTCTGGCAGTCACATGGCAGGTGGAATGGAACACAGTGAGCAATCCATTGATGCAGCTGGCCCAAACCCCATGTGATCAGCGGGACCTGTGAATCAGTCCCACACAATACAAGCTGAAGGGATGGAAGCATAATCATATTCCAAGTTCAGGTGCCAGCCTGCCATGTAGAACTTGGGGAAGGAGGTGGTCTAAGACCAGTTGAATGATCACCCCACTCTATGAAAGGGCCTGGCTGGCCCACTGTGAGATATGGAAGAGGAAATTTGGAAAGAGTTGTTGATATGTCATGAGTAACCCACATAAGGGAGAGGCTTGGGAGAGGGTCTGCCCACCATCTCAAGCCTAGAGAAGGGGGCTTCTGTGAGACCACTGAAGAGTGTGCTGTGTGCTCCCTGGAGCCTGGAGGATGCAATAGACTATAGTATTTTTCTGAAAAATCAGAAAGTTTTCAGAAGAGAAGTTTTGGTCAGCTGCTCTGATGACGGCAAAACCAAAAAAGGCTCCTTGGGGAGGGTGGGTGTTCCAGGCAAATGATATGTGACCATTGGAGGACACTGAGCTCTAGAGAGAGCTAATGTGGGGTCACCCCAGTCCTGTCTATGTGAAGACCTGGAAAAACAACAGGAAACTACCAGGCAGAGGAATGCAATAGCCATTTGCGGGGGAGAACTGCAGACCCCATGAGAGCACCTCACAAGAAAAAAAGATACATACCTGGACAGCCTTTTCAGTTCCTGGTACATTTTACAACTGTACTCTTCAAAAAACACCTTTCCTACCTCTTTTCTCCTCCCTCTAGCAACCAGTCAGAAAAGAGAAGAGAGGCTCCCAAGCCCCTCCCACTGCTGGAGGCCGGCTTGTGCCAGGCAAGCTGGGGGAAGAGAGAGATGGCTACCAAAAGCATATATAAGTTTTTATTATTATTATTATTATTATTATTAAGCTGGACTGTACATACCAGATGTCTAGATGAGACCATTTTTACAGATCTATGACTGGGAATAAACAGAAAACTTTTTTTTTTTTTTTTTTTTTGAGACAGGGTTTCATTCTGTCATCCAAGCTGAAATGCAGTGGCACAATCACAGCTCGCTACAACCTTTACCTCCTAGGCTCAAGCAATCCTCCTGCCTCAGCCTCCTGAGTAACTGGGACTACAGGTGCCGCCACCATGCCTGACCAATTTTTTGATTTTTTGTAGAGAAAAGGTCTTACTATGCGGCCCAGGCTGATCTCATACTCCTAGGCCCAGGTGATCCTCCTGCCCTGGCCTCTCAAAATGCTGGAATTACAGGTGCAAGCCACCATACCTGGACAGGACCTTTTATTCCAGAAGCCACCAGAAGGGTCATAGACCTGCCGTATATTTCATGCTGGGGCAGAAGAAAAATCTAACCCCAGAATACATTTAGAGGAACAGTGGGAGACAAAAATAAACTTGTTATGATTACATTTTATAAAAGCACAATCATTACATAGGTTTGTTGCATTAAGGCCTTGACCTAAAAGAAAAAGCTAAAAAGATGAGCAACTCCTAAACATGCCTTTGTCATGCCTCAAAATGTATTTTAAAACATAGTAGCAATACCTTCATTGGAGGACATTTCCATCCCAATATATAAAACATAAAATTTAGAAAACTTGGGAAGTACAAAACTTGAAAGCAAAAATCACCTAATATCCCGCTATCCAGAAATAATTGTACATTTTGGTATATTTCCTTCCTGTCTTATTTTCCTCCGTGGATATGTACACGTGTACTTGGTTTTTCTTGTTTAAATTTTATGATCTGTATTGTGTCCTGCTTTTTAAACTTAACATAGTATCTTATTTTTCTAAGTTAAGGATCACTTCTAAAATATGATTTAAGTGATGGCATAATTTGACGAGTCCATCAAATAATTTTGTCAAATATGCTAGATCCAGATTTAGGTTTATATATGAATTAACAATATGAATGAGAAAAATATAGAGAATTTGACTCATAGCTTTAGATATTCCATCAAGTTGTAGTATTTATATTATCAGATGAAAGAGCTACTTGTGGAGACGGTTGTCACCCCTTTCTTCAAACTCTCTTTTCTTGGTTTCAGTGAAGCCATATTTCCCTGATTTTCTTCTACTGTGTTAGTCACTCCTACGTCTCCTCCAAAGCTTTTCCTCCTTCCATCTATTTTCTAAATGTTGTTGTGGTTTAGGACTCTCCTTGGATACTCCCCTCTCTCTCTTGGTTTTCTCATTCAACCCCTTGGTTTTCAATATCATTTATATGCTAACAACTCTCAAAATGAAATATTCTCTCTAACCTCTATCCCAAGCTCCAGACTTGTATGTTAGCATCTCCAGTTGGATGTCTCATTAGCATCTCAAATGGAACTCTGAATCTCTGCTCCAAAATAGGTACCATCTTCAGTTTCCTCAGCTTGGTAAAGTGACTTCAGTCCTCTCAACTGCTGAAGGAAAATGCCAGGAGGCATTGCTGGTACTTTTCTGTCCCTTATTTCTAGTTTGCAGCAAATTCTGTCTCCCTCCCTCCAATATATCTCAAATCCACCTCCTCTGCCCATCCTCTCGTTCATCACCCTTCTCTAAGCCATCAGTATCTCTATATGAACCACTACAACTGCCCCCAATCACTTTCCTGCCTATAATCCCTCCAATGAAACTGGTTGTAGGACTATGGAAATGATACAGTTTGTGGGTAGGCAAACCTCCTCCTCTCTGAGAGGAAGTGGGACAACCTCTTGCTTCTGAGTTCTTCAAATCATTTCTCAAGTTCTTTCCTGTATTAATTTTCTATTGCTTCTATAACAAATTACTACAAGCTCAGTGGCTTAAATCAATGCAAACTTATTATCTTATAGTTCTGGAGGTCAAAAGTTCTAAAATCAAGGTGTTGACAAGGCTGCGTTCCTTCAGAGGCTCTAGCAGGGAATCAATTCCTGCTACGCTAAGTAGCAGCCAGAGTGAACCTTTTCAAATAAGAATGCTGTTCCCTCATTGAAACACATCAAACCATTAGGATGGCCTATAAGACCCAGATCTCAGTCTGTCCAGTCTTTCCAGCCTCCAGTTCTGGCACTTTCCCTGTTACCCGACTAATGAACTCATATGATTTGCTTTCAGGTCCCCGAACCTTACTGCTTCTCTATCCCTGGAAATCAACTCCCCTAATTTCCTAATGTGCTTTGTCTTTCCTCACCACACATAGTAATCCAAAATGTCAATTCCTTAAGGGCAAGACTCTGTTCAGGTCACCTTTATGTCCCCAGTTTGTACAAAGGACACAGCCAGTCTTTGTTGACACGACTTGTTGACTGGCCCATTCTCACTTTTCAGGTCTCAGCCTACAGATCATTCCTCAGAGAGACCTCTGAGACTCCATCATTCTTGAGTGGGTCTCCGCCCTTCTGACCTCAATTATTTCACGCTGTTCTTTCTGTCACTGACTTCATTTGTCTTTATGCATGTGTATCTTTGTCTGTTTAATGTCTCTTTCCCCCACTAGACTAGAAACTCCCATGAGAGCAAGAACCACGTCTCTTTTTCGGCTTATGCTTCGCACAATGCCTAAAATAATGCCTGGCTCATACTAAGTGCTCAGATCTTTGCTGGCAGAATGAACAGCCTCTGACTGAATGGGGTTCTGAGGGAACCTCTTCTCTCTGCTGGGGGCAACACGGGAAAAAATGCCAGGGTCAATCCTGAAGTAGAGGAGTGTGATCCACAGAATAATGGGACCCCAAAGAGATCTATGTCCTAATCCCTGGAACCTATTAAGAAGACATTGCCAATAACTTCACACACTTGGCAGGTGTGATTAAGTTAAAGATTTTGAGATAGGGAGATTATCTTAGATTATCCAGATGGGTCCATATAAAGCGAAGTGAGAAGATCAGAGTCACAGAAGATGTGATGAGAGAAGCAGAGGTCAGAGGGAGACAGAGATTTAACAATTCTGCTGGCTTTGAAGATGGAGGAAGAGGCCACAAGGAATGCGGGTGGACTCTAGGAACTGATTCCCCACCAGAGTCTCTGAAGGAACGCAGCCTTGTCAAAACCCTGATTTTAGGACTTCTGACCTCCAGAACTGTAAGATAATAAGTTTGCATTTTTTTAAGCCACTAAGCTTGTAGTAATTTATTATAGAAGCAACAGAAAACTAATACAAGGAAGAACTTGAGAAATGATTTGAAGAACCCAGAAGCAAGAGGTGGTCCCACTTCCTCTCAGAGAGGAGGAGGTTTGCCTACCCACAAACTGTATAATTTCCATAGTCCTACAACCAGTTTCATGCAATCTCTCTCTCTTTTTCCTTAGTTCTCTCAGTGGGAATCTATCCCTGTTTCTTTCTCCTTAATTCTCTCAGTGGGACAAATAAGTGGACTATGACTTGTTTCTTGAGTATAGGTTCACGGAGAGGAGGGAGAACCTGGAGCTGGGTTTGAGCTGTAGAAATGAAGGAACGTGGACCAGGTGTGGCGGCTCACGCCTGTAATCTCAACATTTTGGGAGGCTGAGGCAGGAGAATCTCTTGAGGTCAGGAGTTTGAGATCAACCTGAGCCATAAAATGAGACCCTATCCCAACAAAAAATTGAAAAGATTAGCCAGGCATGGTAGCATACACCTGAAGTCACAGCTACTTGGGAGGCTGAGGTGGGAGGATGGCTTGAGCCCAGGAGTTTGAGGTTACAATGAGCTGTGATCATACCACTGCACTCCAGCATATGTTGTAGAACCGGGGTGGTTACCGAAGAGGAATGAAGGAGAAATAATAAATAAATGGGGAGGCTGGTCAGCATCTCCCTTCCCATACACCCATATAAGAATTACTCTCTTGCTGTTTTGTTGTTGTTGTTGTTGTTGTTGTTGTTGTTAAGACTGAGTCTTGCTCTTTTGCCCAGGCTGGAGTGCAGTGGCGCCATCTTGGGTCACTACAACCTTTGCCTCCTGGGTTCAAGTAATTCTCCTGCCTCAGCCTCCTGAGTAGCTGGGATTACAGGTATGCGCCACCATGCCCGGCTAATTTTTGTATTTTTAGTAGAGACGCGGTTTCACCATGTTAGCCAGGCTGGTCTTGAACTCCTGACCTCAAGTGATCCACCCTCCTCAGCCTCCCAAAGTGCTGGGATTACAGGCGTGAGCCACTGCACCTGGCCCTCTCTTGCTGTTGACAGGTGATACTGAACCATTTCTTTATGGCCTAGTCTAAGGCACCTTGTCAGTGAATATCTCTGATTTAGAATTAGACTCTCAAAATCTATGGTTTTGGGAAAATAGATCTTCTCAGAAACAGAGAAAGCATTGGACCTCATCCCTGGTAAAAATGCACACAAGCAAAAATTTTCACATGTAGTTTTTAGGGGTTCATAAGGTCAGCTTGCTCAAAGGATAGAGTATTTGGTTTTTAAAATATATATCAGGCGTGGGAGTTGGTGGGAAGCAGACAGGGAGTAATATTCTAAGATAGGCTTCCAGTGTTAAGCTAAGGGGTTTGGACTTAATCCTCCAGGGAGGGCACTGAGAACCCATTAGAGGGCTTCAAGCAAGGCACTGACATGATCAGATTTGTGCTTTTGAAAACAATCACTCTGCAAACATCTATATTGGCCATAATCCCAACATTTGTTCATCCATTCACCTTAGGTGGAAAAATGCTGTTGACATGAAATGTTTTAATATTTCCTTTTAAAGCCAGTGATATCAGATGGCATATTAAGTGACCTAATTTTATAGATAGTGTGCTGTAGAAAGCAGTTTTGATGTAAGGACGTCAAAATCTTGTCAGATCATTGCTTTTCTAAGAGATGGTTTGCTTAGGCATTTGGTCTTATTGTAACTTTCATCATTATTATCTCATTGTTCGCTGCTTCTCAGCTTTTATCAGATCCATCTCTAGCAGAGAAAACTCCGGTAAGTAAAGCAAAATTGTAGAATGCCGTATTGGGAGCCTTCTAGAAGACCAGCGTATGCACACACTAGCTAAGGGATTTAGACCAAGTTCATCTCCTGGAGCCACGGTTTCCTTATCTATACTATGGCATTAGAAACCCTATGTAGCTATGTAACAGTTGTGACAATCAAATGTGATCGTTAAAAGACAGTGCTTTGAAAACCATAACATATTACCCAAATGCAAGCTGATATTCATTTTCCTCTTAGTATTACCATCATATCTGAACATGTTTGGGTTAATACAGAGGAGCTGTGAAACTAAACGTTTGTGGTTTGCCTTTATGATGTTATATGGTTCTCCCTTTCTCCAAGTATCAAATGCTTTAGAGGTTTTTCTAGTATCCAGGCAACATATTGCCTCCACTTAGCCCTTGCAAAAACCTGAATTAAAAATAGACTCTGTTTGCTGTGTTCTGAAACTTAAACCTATATGTTTTAAAGGAGTCAAAGGTTCCCCTTGGCACTCAAAGGGGCAGTAGTCCTGTCCTAGCACTTTTAGAGCATATGCCAAGCCATGCAGAGGAAAGTGGAGAAGCTCAGTTGTGCAAAGCCGGCAACCCACCACCGTGTCACTGGTCTGTTGGTGGTATCCTGGAGGAAGGAAGGGAGCTCTGGCGGCTTAGAGTTTTCAGGGAAAGGACTATTGGTTCTAATACTGCAATCACCAACACTTCACACAGAAGGTTCTTTGTCATCATCATGATTTACTAATCTCATCAGAGACACTCCAGGTAGTGTTTCACAGTGTTTTTTCACAGTTTCAAAGTACATCTGGCTTAATATTAGGATGTGCCTCAGACATTTCCACAAAGCAGACAAGATGCTTTTTTTCTATTTTATTTTTTTAATTGACAAGTAAAAATTATATGTATTTATTGTGTACAACATGATGTTTTGAAATATGTATACGTTGTGAAATGGCTCTGTTGAGTTAGTTAATTGAGGTAGTGTGCATTTCCTCACATAGTTATTTTTTGTGATGAGAACACTTAAAATCTACTTTCTTGGTGATTTTTAACATACGATCATTGTTATTAATGTAGTCACCATATTGTACAATAGATCTCTTGGACTTATTCCTCCTATCTAACTGAAATTTTGTCCTTGGACCAATATCTCCCCAAGCCCCCAGCCCCCAACCAGCCCCTGGTAACTGGCATTCTACTTCGAGTTCAACATTTTTAGATTCCATATATAAGATGCTTTTTAGTGATACCCAAATATATCACTATTAAAGCATTTAATTTTTACACAGACCTGGGGAGGAGGAAACTTTGAGGTGTCATTCCTAGTATGTCAGCAAAATGCCGCCTTTTGTTAATAGTCCCCATGTTACCAGTGGTGACATTAACGATGGTGTTTGTACAGCTTTACCAAGAAGTTTACAAGTTTTTCCTTGGCTTACCCGTGGGTGGGTATGATTGGAAGAAATAAAATTTTTACCCTTTTTTCACCAAAAGGAATGGCTCTCTCAGAGCTTTTGCTTTGTTGAGGTCAAACATTCATACTTAAAAGAGAACTTCCGACTTTGATTCTAGGCTCATTTTGCAAACACTGATATGGAGGCAGCCTGAATTTGGCAGTCAGACTCCACCACATACTAGCAAAGGGACTTGGGCAAGTCACTTAACCTTGCTGAGCCTTAAATCCACCTCTGTAAAATGGGAACAGTTGTTACTATGCCTCACGGTTCTGGAGAGGGTCAAATGAGTGAGGAGATTCTGATTTAGAGACAGTGGAGTGTAACTTGGGACTCTGGAGCCAGCCTCCCTAGAGGTGAGTCCCAGCTTCACCTTGTCAGTAGCTGTGTTACCTCGTGTAAGTTGCTAAACCTTCCTGAGCCAATAGAAATAGTAAGAGTGCCTACCTCATACAGTCGTGAGGATAAAAGGCTTAATATAACCAGAAAGCACTTAGAACAGTGCCTGCCATTTAGTAGTAAACACTACATTAGTATGTGCTATGATTATGATAGATTATGATCATAATTGTTATTATTCATATATCAAGTGCCTGGCATAAATTAGTTGGTCAAAAAAGATTAATAACTACTTTTATTATTTCTCCCATCAGAGCACCTGAAATTTAAATGCTCTGAAAGGAAAGTAATATTATTACCAGTCTGTTTTTGATTTAACTAAATATATAACAGCAGGGTTCTTTTCAAAATCTTACTCCTCAGGGACTCAAAACTTAACCTTACACCAGAGGAGAAAGATTTTTTCTTAGAACAAGAGCATATATTTGGTCCTCACTCCAGACCTTTGGAATCAGAAATTCTGGGGACATGACCGTCATCTGTTTTAGCAAGTATACCCAGTGATTCTCATGTTCCTGAAGTTTGATAACACTAGGTGTAGACTAGTCACAGCTTTGACTACCTTCTGTTGCCAGGGTGGAGACAAGAATTGGTTACTCTCTTTGGCAGGCTGTTCCAGCCCAAGAAGTGTTAAAATGATGTTATCGTGGTGGTTTTGTGAGTTAAGCAGATACAGATAGTTCTGGAAAGCAGCGTCAGGGGTGCGGTGCGGGGGCTGCAGAGCACTTGGGCAGCATGTGAACCTGTTGATAGATCTGGCTTAGAACAGTGTGGCGTATCGGGCCCTCTGGGAAGTGCTTATGTCACGTCTTGTGCCTTACCAGTCTGAGTGACGCATGGGAGAAGAGATGCCTTTTGAGTTTTTATGCAAGGTTAAAATGAAGAAAATCCATTTCAGCCTTTAAAAGTCAGAGCTACTGGTACAAAAGGTCACTGACGCCAAATGGTGGCATTGCAGAGCTCCGAGAGGGAGCATTAAAATAGCAGGGGGTTTTTTTGTTTGTTTGTTTTTTGTTTTTTTTTTTTAAGAAACACTGAATGCACTGTGGGCTTAAGTCTTAGTCTTTTGCCATCTTGCTGCCCTAGGATCTTAAATAAAAGGGCATGTGAAAAAAGAAAAACACGAAGACATTTTTCTACCTCCTTAAGTGTCAAGGATGTAGATAGTCGTCCTCACACTAAAGGTGACATAACCTTTATTGTAGAATAAGCAAAGTGATGAAATGATGCCCCTATGAGAAAGTAGTCTGTAGATGGACTAGAGACCTAGCCCTGCTCTAGATGTAGTCTGTTTGGAGGTCAAGTTTGGATAACTGAAGATGACACTGCCTTGGGAAATGAAGCCAGTCTCAGAAGTGGTGTGGAGAGGTTGTAAGATATTAATCTGGCTCTGTATACACTGCATTCGTGTTGACAGAACAGCATCCCAATTGATTGAAAAGAATCTGCGAGCCATCTGAATAGAAACAGTATTTAAGTCATTAAGAATGGATTGATTACCAGGGCAATTAAGGAGACCTGAGGATCAAGGACCGAATTCAGGGGACACTGCAATTATAGCAAATACAATATGAGAGGTCAGAGAAGAAGTGACAGGAGAGACTATAAGAAAAGCTGGAAGTGGGCCGGGCATGGTGGCTCACACCTGTAATCACAGCACTTTGGGGCTGAGGTGGGCAGATCACATGAGGCCAAGAGTTTGAGAGCAGCCTGGCCAACATGGCGAAATCCCATCTCTACTAAAAATACAAATATTAGCCAGATGTGGTGGTGCATGCCTGTAGTCCCAGCTACTCAGGCGGCTGAGGCATGAGAATTGCTTGAACCCGGGAGGCAGAGATTGCAGTGAGCCGAGGTTGCACGACTGCACTCCAGCCTGGGCGACAGAGTAAGATGCTGTCTCAAAAAAAAATAAAAAATAAATAAATAAATAAATATATATATATATATAGAAGTGGCTCCAGGACCATATTCTATCATAGAAATCAAGAGAAGACATTTTTTTCCAGAATAGACAGGTGTTCTCTGGTGTTAAAAGCTTGAAGAAATAAAAAGATATAAAGCATGTGGGGAGGTGGGGATGGGTCTTAGATTTGCTAAGTAAAAATATTAAATCAGAAAGAAAGTATCTTTTCTATAAAGTAAATGATCTTTATTACATCCATTCATGTCAGGGTTTCTTAACCTGAGCATTATTGACATTTTGGTCTGGATGATTCTTTGTGGTGGGAGCTGTCCTGTGCAGCATCCCTGGCCTCTACCCACTAGACGTAATGCCACCACCTCCAGTTGTGATTACCAAAAAATGTCTTCAGATATCATCAGATGTTCCTGGTGAAGAACCACTGATTTAAGTATTTAATTCCTACCATGTATGTAGCACTACATTAGGCAGTGCAAGGCATAAAAAGTATGACACACTTCACCGTAAAAAAATACATTCTAATTGTCCTAAATTGAGTTATTCTGTTATTTCTCCTATTATGTTGGTTAAAACTATATATGTGTATACTCATACACACACACATACACACACACACGCACACACACACGTATACAGTAGTTATTCTCCAAGTTAACATTACATCAGCTTAATTATTGGATGATATTAGAAAAGTAGTAAATGGGAAATATTGGTGTCCCCATGCTGTATGTTTTAGCACAGATTAATGTAAGAAATTATTATGGATCTATGGTGGGACTAGTAAGCAATTTCCAAATTAAATTATAAGAAACATTATCACAAAAAACATTTGAAAAGAAAGAGCTTTAATGTTTGGAATAGATTCTGCATCAAAAGAAGCAACTTATCATCTTGCCAAACCTCAGCCTCGTCATTGTTTTGGAGCAAGAAAGAGAATTGAACCTCACTCATGTTTTGTTGCCTGTACCATTGAACAAGGCCCTGACTGTTAAGACTAATGTTGAGACCCTTGTTTTCTTTGCAGACTGCATCATCTGCTATTAAAGGTGCTATTCAGCTGGGAATAGGATACACAGTGGGTAATCTCACTTCCAAGCCAGAACGAGATGTTCTTATGCAAGACTTTTATGTGGTGGAAAGTGTGTTCCTACCCAGGTAAGAACATTTTTATTTGTGATGATTTCCATGCTAAGGAACCTTCTTTGTGACAACCCCATATTGAAGGGCTTTTCTACTATGTACATGTTTATATGTACAGATGTGAATATTGGGCCTTTGGCAGGGCCAAAGGCAGTCCAAATGATGTTTACTTCCTGTTTCATCAGGATGTCTCACAATTTTTATGTGGAGATGGTAAATAGGTTTCATCTATGGACTAATTCTAATTAGTTGTGATGAATGCCTGGAAGACCATATGGAGAAAGATTTTGAGGTTCAGTGGGAAAGAGTGCAGTAATCACAGAGTAATGTCCGCCAAGGGTTTATAGAAAGAAGGCTTCCATGAAGCAGCAACTGGTGCTAGGTTTTTGCTCCCCCTAATTTAAAAGCATGGGCTGGTAGGCCCATAATTGGGCCTCAAATCTGAGTTTAGTCTTATCTCTTCTCTTTTATGATGACTTTAACTTAACTTTCCTCGAGAAAACATGGATAATCCTGCTGTTTGCAAAAATACCAAAGTTACCCATATATGTTGTCTCTAGCTTTCATCATTTTAGGGTGAGGGGATCAATTATTTAAAAACAAATACATCTGGAAATGGATGATGGTAATATGAATGTATTAATGCCACAAAACTGTACACTTAAAAGTGGCTAACATAGTAAATTTTATGTTGAGTATATTTTACCACAATAAAACTAATTAATTAAAAATTCTATTACTACGTTCATTTAGGAAGAGAAGAAGTAATCATTAAATAAGTATCACCACAAGTGACAGGATTTTTCAAATGATCCAGAAAATAAAAATAAAGATATTCAATTTGGGGACTTGTCTTTGGAGCTGTGAGAATTGATTTTAACATTTCTCTTAAAAATAAGTCATGTTATTACCAGGCTTGGGTAAACATAGCTAAAGTGACACTTTGTTTACCACTAGTGTCCTCATCACCTTATTAAAAATCTATATGTATCTTTAGAATAATTGTCTTTACACATTTATCTCTGTGTCTAGGTGTCAACTGCCTAAAAATAAAACCTGTTTGTGGACATGCAGTAACCCCCACATAGTCACCAAGGAGCAGAGCCCATAAATTTTTAAAAGTCAGCTACCTCGTTTTGCTTTAAATGCTCTTAGCTGCAGAATAAAGTTGGTCTACTGGCCTTTTGAAGTCTGCTTGTCTAGGGTCCTCTAGCAGCCATGAGAACCAGATTCCAGGCAGAAAATGGACAACCGCAAGGCCCAAGATATAATCCTTGCTTATGATCCTACTCTTCTTTCTATAGTTGGAAATGTTCTCTGTGTTTGTTTTTAACAGCCTACCATTCCAAAAAAAAAAAAATGTATATTAACTACATGTTTTTCTCTTAAAAGCCAGGGGGTCATGAGTTTATCTTCATCTTTTGGTATGATTTTTTTAGGCTCATAATGCTTGTAAGTGTGTTTGCAGGATGTTTGTTTGAGCTCTCATGGTCTCCAAAGGTCTCTACCCAGACATTTCAACTTTGTTGTTCTTTGGCTACAAAGAACAGGAGAAATGGAGGACTTCTGTGGGAGTGTGGAGACAGTGAGCTCAGGGTGCTGAGAGCATTACAGCTGAAGGTGGGGGTATAAAGACGTTCCATGTGCTCCCCCTATCCTCACTGACTGACCTCTTCTACTTCCAGTGTCCAATCAACACAGCCAACCATTGACGGGCACTTGGGGAAAGCATGGCTCAGGCATGAGGTCCCCAAATCCTAAACACTGGCACACCTGGAACTTGCTAGACATGCAGATTCTTGGGCTCCACCCAGACCAACTGAATTAGAAACTCTGTGGGTGGGAACCAGGAATCTGTTTTAACAAGCCGTCGGGGTGATTCTCAGCACAGAAAGGTTTGAGAACCACTGGCCTCGCCCATGACTTTCCACTTGAGAGAGAGAATCTTTCTGGTAGATAACAAATTTTGTTCTTGGAGTTATTACACGACTCTTACAACTAATAAAACTCAAATCATTTTTTAAAAGCATCTTAAATGTCAAAATGACATCTATTAGCACTTTGCATCTTTGGCCTTCACTGTCATCCAAGGTAGCAGCAGCAGGTGTGTCACTGGCAGAGGAGTAGCTAGCTGACTTTCCCTTATTTAGAGGCATCCATTGTCACATTTAAAATATAGCAATTTAGAGTA
The DNA here is from genome assembly GCF_000001405.40 of Homo sapiens. Classification (NCBI taxonomy): domain Eukaryota; kingdom Metazoa; phylum Chordata; class Mammalia; order Primates; family Hominidae; genus Homo; species Homo sapiens. The sequence continues at coordinate 68,866,144 of NC_000009.12, forward strand.
TTTGCAGCCTATAAATGTGCACACCTGTAATCCCAGCAACTCAGGAGGAGGCTGAGGCAGGAGAATCTCTGGAGCCTGGGAGGCAGAGGTTGCAGTGGGCTGAGGTCCTGCCACTGCACTCCAGTCTGGGCGACAGGGTGGTACTCTGTCTCAAAAAAAAAAAAAAGAAAAAAATTACCTCCCTCATTTTCTTTATAATAATATTGTGTAAAATGAGTAAAAGTCTATAAGAAAAACTTTAAAAATTATTAAGTGATACACGTGTGTGTGTGTGTATACATATACACTCATATAATATATATCTACACACATATGCAATGGAGTAATAAAAATACTACATAATAAATATAAAATAGAATAAAACTATTTAAAATAGATGCATGAAATAGAAAGGCTAAATAGATATTGATGTTTGCATGTAGGCACATTTAGTTGGATTAAGTTAGATTTAAATTGTCCGATAGAGAACTGTGCATACAATTACAATTACAAATCAACCCTTTCTCTGGGCTGTCTAAAATAATCAGGTACTAGACCAAAAAATGACATGCTGTCTGCCTTACCTTTTAGTGACGATTTGTAGGAAGAGGAAGGTGGGGGCTGGTGAGTGGAAAGATAGTAGAGTTTGTGAGGGAATGTTCTGTGTGACTGAAGACAAAGGCTGGAGGTTCATGGACCAGAAGGTGTGAATCTACTCTGAAAGACAGGCAAGAGTCCAGTCCAGGGAAAAAGGTGCAGATGGTAGGATTTTGGTGGGTACTCGAATTAAAAAAATGGATTTGTGAGGCAATATTGCTGGGGTCAAAACCAAAAAATCAAATTGACCAGAGTGAAAAATAGCCTGGGTCCTAGCATGGCTCTGCTGCCACGTAGGATGACTGGACTGTCCCTTCAGGTTCGTGTAACAATCCATACTACTTATAGTGTACATGAAATGCTTTCTATTCATTCAAGCAACCTTACTAAAAACACCCCATGAAAATAAAAGTCTATATCTTCCCTTCAAAAAAAAATGGCAATACAATATTTAACATTTGATGCATTTTTTTTTTCTTGTTATTTTTAAATGAAAAAGAATTATTGTCCCGGTTTGGCTCTACACCCTCGGACTCCGGCTCCCACGCCACCCTGGCAGGTGCCGGCCTCAACATTTGATTCAGACCAAGAATTTCTTTCAGCAGATGCTATCTTGTTTGTTTAAGTAACACAGGCACACCAGATGGATTTACAGTAAACAGAAGAAACTTATGTTAGTCTTGCCTCAGTTTCATCATCTGGACTCAGTGTCTTCGTGGATTTAGCAAAGGGATTTGGCCCAGTGTTTCTCAATGGAGGTGCTATTGGCTTTGTTGGATAAGACAACTCTGTGCAAGACAGTACCTTTCAGGAGATCTTTGGTCCCCAGGCCCTGCCAGTAATATCTCCTAGTTGCTGTAGCAGTCAAAAAACCCCTATAAAGTGATGGATAAATTTAGTATCATGATTGTGGTGATGGTTTCACAGGTGTATATACACATGTGTAAAAGTAACAAATGGTATACTTTCTTGTATGTCAATTAAACTTCAATAAATCAGTCAAATAATGCTTTCTCTCTAAGTATTTCCAAGCCCATATGGGGATGAAGAAAGGGGTAGGTGGGCAGGACAGGCCCTGGTTGTAAGCATCCAAAACATTCTGCAGTCTCTGATGGCTCAACGAGTCTATCTGGGTCATAGAACTAATTACTTGAGGTACCTTGAGATGTTTTAATTTACTGCTTTCTGAAGTTGCAGAATCCGTTTCCCCTAGCAACCAAATGCATTGTGTTTTTTTCTTATTTATATATTTTGAAGCTGCTCAAAGTTATTTTTAAATATCAAGTACATAATTTGTCCTATGAATTATTTCATTTTGGAGATGGAAAAAGCCCTGGGCCTTTTTAAGATTTGAAAGAGGATATAAAAATCTCTTTTAACTGTTTGGCTCCATGATCTTCCAAAATGTGTTCCAAAATCTCAAAGTAGATAAGTAAGAAAATCATGATCATATCTTAATATTTTGACCCCAAATTCTGTGTTGGGATCAGAAGCTCAAGGTTATAGATAGGTTTCATGCATTGATAGGATAAAGAAGAAGGAGGATGGTTTATAAAGCTTGTACCATGTAAACAAGGACCTAAGGTGGCAAAGGGAGGCAACATTTTTAAAAACTAATTGTGAATCAAGCATAGTTTTATTCATATAGTAAATTGACTTATATAACATATATTAATTTTTATTATCTTTCATCTTTATAAGAACACTATTTGGTATATGAAATAATTTGACCCTAAGACATTAAGTCACTTAGCCCAAGGCTATCCAGCCAGTAAATGGTAAAGCCGAGATTTTAACTCAGGGTTAGCTGGCCCCAAAGTTTTGTTTTTCTCTACATTGTGGCAATAAAGCATGGGAATGGTATTTCTGCTTTATTGAATCAGAACAAGTGTCCAGCTTTTATCTTAGAATTATAGACCTCAGTCTGCTTCTTTGTTCCCCTAAGAGCCAGCCCTAATCTGTTCTCCAGGAGACACTATCACTACCTTACCTGGAGGTGGCAAAAATGGTTTAAAAGCTGGTGGTAAAAGTTTAAATATCTTTCCATATTCAAGAATAATTACACAGCTGAGGAATTTTTAAAGCCCCTATATTTCAGTCTCTTCACTTGTAAAACAGGAGTTTACCCTGATGTAAAGATCATTACAGAAAACAGACTGCCCTTGGGTTTGACCCACATGCACTTCAGGATTTATTTGGACAGCCAGGGAATACCCACCTTTTGGAAAAGAATTCCAAGAAACTACGGCAAGGGTAAAACATTATCCTAAATGATAAGCAAACATATATGTCAAAGATTCATATAAAATATTGCCTCATATCATCACTCAATGTTACAGGTTTGACAAACTAGCCAACTGCCTGCATTTCTAGGCATAATGACATAAACTTATCCAAGAGTCCATCTTATACCAGGGATTCCCAATCCCTGGGCTGTGGACAAGTACCAGTCCATGGCTTGTTAGGAAACCAGCAGCACAGCAGGAGGTGAGCAGAGGGCAAGCAAGTATTACAAGGGCGAGCTCCGCCTCCTGTCAGATCACTGGCAGCATTAGATTCTCATAGGAGCACAAACCCTGTAGTGAACTGTGCATACAAGGGATCTAGGTTGTTTGCTCCTTATGAGAATGTAATGCCCGATGATCTGAGATGGAACAGTTTCATCCCAAAACCATCCCCCCATTTCCACTGTCTGTGGAAAAATTGTCTTCCACAAAACTGGTCCCTGGTGCCAAAAAGGTTGGGGACCACTGTCTTATATCATGTGGGTCAGCATACAACAGCCCATGGGACAGGCCCCGCTAACTGCCCGTTTTTGTAAATAAGGTTTAATTGGAATAAAGCCACATCCATTCATTTACAAATTGTCTGCGGCTGCTATCTACAATGGCTGCAGAGTTGAGTAATTGCTACAGAGACTGTATGGCCCACAGAGCTCGAAATATTATCTGGCCCTTTATAGAAAAAGATTGCCAAGGCTGGCTGCAGTGGCTCACGCCCGTAATCCCAGCACTTTGGGAGGCCGAGGTGGGAAGATCACATGAGCTCAAGAGTTTGAAAGCAGCCTGGGCAATATAGTGAGACCTCATCTCTTTATATTTAATAAAAATAAAAATAAATAAAAAAGAAAAAGATTACCAACTCCTGATCTATACAAACATTCTGCACCAGTTTTTATGTACATGTGGGTAGAAGACAAAGCTGCCAGCTTAGTCTTCTTGGGAGAAAATGAGAAGTGACTGCTGCTGGGCAAGCCATAATATGATGCTCCTTCAAATCAAAACTCTTTATGTCTTTGTTCAGCGTGTATTTGGTGAGGATGGGGAGAAACTGATTTCCTATTACTAAAAGCCATATACCTCTTCCTTTAGCTCAAAGGATTTATTGCATGCACTGGATATTATACAATATTCTACTTTATTTGAAGTTATCTTCAAGCACGGTTTTCCAGTATGGTAATAACTTCTTGGATGGTTTAATGTTTATATAACCGATGATGTCACATGTTCCCAGTAAATGACATCCCGGAATGCACTGTTTGGTTGGGGAATTTAAGCTGTCTTCAGATGCTGACTTTTACAGATTGGCTGTCAGCTGGTTGGTCTCTGAAGATGGTGCAGCCTCGTCTTATACAATGCAGTTCATGTGTACCCATCACAGAACTGCTCAGCAACAGGAGGTTGGCACCAGCAAGGAATGTGTCTTTTGTTTTGCTTTGTTTTGTTTTTCCATTCATGAGCACTCTCTAATTTGGCAAAAAAGAGGACCAATTTCTGTCTCTCTCTCTCTAGTTACGTAAAGAATTGTATGTGGAAACCAAGGGATATCCACCTTGGCTGAATTGGCAGAGGCAATTAATAATACCTTAAGGCCGCTTTTACAGACTGCTGTGTACGAAGGTCCAACTTGAAGACTGGGTACCATCAGTAGTTTGTTACTGGATTGTAGTGGCATTCACCCAACTGTAGTGCCACTTAAGCTTTCCTAATGTCTGCACATCAAGACAAAGCACCCTTCATTTATCCTGTCATACAGAGGGTAAGGTCATGTTTGTTGAATACAAGTGAGGGCATTTAGCATCCTTTAGCGACACTGACCACTATCACCCAGGAGTTGCGTAAGTACTAGTTTTGTCAAAAGTCCTCAGAGCCACTATTGATGGTTTGGTTACAATTTGAAATAAACAAAGCTCACTAAATGGAAAATGCTGCTCTAGAGGCAAGAAAGCTCTGAGTCTCAGCTCCAAAACTGGTCCCCTTGTGTTGTCTTTGAGATGCTAAATTAGTTTTACCCCATTGCTTACCACCACATCTCTCAGTCCAGTGCCACCAAAACTAGCACTTGGTCATCAGGCTCTAAAACCCCATAAACAAAGCTGTGTTGTTATTAGTACATAGAGAGGAGAACACCAACTGACCAAAGCTTCTGTAAGTGAAATTCTACCCACCAGCCCCTGTGGTGTGAAGGCCTCATGTGGAAGTAATTGGGATATTTGGGCAGGGAGAAACCCCTGAAACTTGTAACAGAATCCTGAAAAGGAGGAATAACAGAGGAACGTCAAGTCTAAGTTAAGCCATTCCTATCTGCTTATGACTTTTCTGCTGTTCTGATGTGAGTCTAATCTCCCAATCTTGTTTGTTCCTGATCAGTTTGGGCCATTGTTTTCCCTCCCTGGACTATGATTTATCTGCTAAATGGGGAATTCCAGATGGCGGCTAATGCTTCCTCAAGCTTCAACATTGTGTAATTCTGAACATACGTTGCCATTAAGATATATGTATTTTTAGACTAAGACAAGCAGTAGCTTTGGCCTTAAAAATGAACTTGCCTCAGAAGAGGTGAATATCAGAATGCCAGAGCTGGTCTGTGATTGAACTTTAACTGCTTCTTAGTGAATAAGTGGGGAAGAGGACAGAGAAACTTCTGTTCTTTATTTGAAATTTCTTTCTCCTTTTTTGGAGCTAAAAATGCCCTGATGTGATAGGGATTGTAACGTGTGCTTGCTTAATTGTTTAGGTTCTTACTTGGCAAAATAAATTTGGAAATCCAAGGTTGGATTCCAAACTTTTGTTGTCGAAATTTTACTGGCCCATGGGATCCAAGCATCTAGAACCACTGCTCAAAACCCCATAGCTGAGATTTCCAAAGCTTCAACTTACGCCAAGACAAGAAAGTCAGTTGTCGGGTGTTTTTTTTTTTTTTCCACACCCTACATAAGTGCATTGAAGAAATATAAGGTAAATCTTAAACTGTGAGGAGTTCTACTCTTTTTCTGACTTCATTTTTGCTAAGTCTGGATGCTGAGCACAGTTACTCAACAGGTAACTCCAGTCTCAAGCAAGGAAAGCCTGTGGACTTCAGGAGGCAAACGTTGATTGCGGTCATTGTGTTTGAATGTTGGCAGTTCTGCCATGGTGGAAGTTGCTAAGCACTTGGTACCTGTGCTGTGGAGATTCTGTGCTGAACGCCTGTGGGCTGGCACCCACATCTACACACAGTAAATGTGCCAGCGTGGGGCCTCAGAGAACCAAGGTTGTTGCCTGCTGGCTGACCTTCACTGGACTTGCTGTTTTGTTCTCTGCACTCGTGCTCCCCTGACAAATATCCGGGCCCAGCAGGGGCCAGCGATCTCATTAATTTGCATTTCCTTCACTAGAGCTTCATTCATGTCAAGCTGGTATTTGTTATTCATTGGAACAGCTTAAATATGCAGAGGTAAACAAACCTTCTGCTGTGGTGCTGAGCACGGAGGGCTCAGTTTGGGGGAAGAGGAATCAGTTTATGGCTTTTAACCTCTAACTTTTTAAATTTATTTAATTTTGTGAATGATAATACACAGCAAGGCTTGTCCTGTTCTTAAAAGGAATACTGTGAAGAGTTCCTTTTGTCCCTGTGCCTTTTTTTCAGTGTCCAGCTCCAGTTATCACTGTTACTTGTGGCTGTTTTTTCCTTCAAGGATTTTTTATGTATATGCATGCCAAAAGAATATTTGTTTTCTTTTTTATGCAAGTGGTGACATCCCCTACACAGCATTCTGCATCATGTTTCATCCACTTAACAATTTATCTTAGAGATCTTGCCATGTCAGTACATAATAAGCACCCTTATTCTTTTCTTAATACCACATAGAATTCCATTGTGTAGCTGAATCATAATTAATTAGACAAGTTCTCTCCTGAAGGCCATCCAGGTTACCATAATGAGTAACCATGTTCACATATATTGTTTTGGACAAATGCTAGTTTATCCATAGGATAACATAGGCATGCATTTGCTGGATCGAGGAGTTACATGTTTGTAATTTTGATAGAAGTTGTGAAAATGTCCTTCATGGGGAAAAAAAGTCTCAATTTACATTCCCACTAACAATATTTCAGAATAGCATTGCCCCTCAAGCTACATCACAGTCGTGGATTTTCACCAATCTTCCAGGTAAAATGGTCTCTCGGTGACATTTATTTTATGAATGAGGTTAAGCATCTTATGTTTGAGTCATATCTTTTCATTTCTGTGAAGTGCCTGATCATATCGTCAGCTATTTTTTTAAGTTAACTTTCTGATCTTTTTTTTTTTTTTTTTTTTGTCTGAGACAGGGTCTTGCTCTGTTGCCCAGGCTGGAGTGCAGTGGCGCGACCTCGGCTCACTGCAGCTTCAACTTCCTGGGCTCAAGCGATCCTTCTGCCTCAGCCCACCAAACAGCCGGGACTACAGATGTGCACCACCATGCCCAGCAAATTTTTGTATTTTTCATAGAGACAGGGTTTCACCATGTTACCCAGGCTGGACTTTTTGGACTTCTATGCAGTTCATTGGAGCTCTTTATATTAGGAGATTAGCCCATTGTCTGTGATATGAGTTGTAAATATTTTCCCATTTTGGCATTTATTTTTCTTATTTTTTTTTAACTACTTTTTCAATACATTCCTCATGTGAAGTGTTTGGCTCAGGGCTGTTTCCTATATAGTCTCAATCATCCAAATGTGTTAGGGGCTCCCTGCATTCAAAGTACTTTACCTTTCACCTTTTCATTTACTAAGCCACTTAATTTGTAGAGGTTCTGTACTGGGCCTCGTGAAACTCAGCTTTTAAATAACAGAGATAATTTGAACCCAGGTCTCCCTGGACTATAAAATCCATCATCTTAACTACCACACAGTGTATCCAGTAGGACTTAAGAGAGTACAGCCCAGTCTTAATATTAACCAAAGGAAAACAGAAGCCATAAAATAAAACCTACTAGGAGAGAAAACAAACAAGAAGTTTTGATGTACTATGAACCTAATTTACAGAAGGCACTATTTGAGAATTTTCCTTTCCATTCACGCAAATACAGAGGTTCAAGAGTGTGTAACCTCAGCAATTAATTGTTATTTCCTGTATGTTAATTACGCCATGAAGCAACATCCATTCTGTATGATGCCTCCATTAAGTATTATGCCCACTCCTTTTCATTTTCTCTGTTTATACAAATATAATTTCTTGATTATCCCATGTAGGTAAGCCTGCCTCACAGTTGGCCCATACTTCTCCATGTCTTAATATGGCCCAAAGATAGCTAGATTTAATTCTTTTTCATGGAATGATTTAGTGGTTTTTTTGAATGACCAAATACCTGTTATTATTTCTGTATGCCTAAGGAAATAAATGTTCCCCTTCTCTACCTGAAGCTGCTCTGCTGTGTGTACATGAGCATTCTTGTGTGTATGGGTGTACGTGTGTCTGTGTGTCTGTCTCACCTCCAGGGAAACCTAACACTATCGTTTTATACCATAACTGAATAAATCACAGCAGTCAGAGAGATGTGAACCCAAGGAAAATTATTATAATTAATGGAAACTTCAGGGAAAGATGAATAATCCAAGGAGCTCAGAACTAACCCAAAATGAAAATAATAATAGTAAATGCAGCATCCTCTCTGATAAAATCTTGGGCCCAAAACTGCAACAAAATGAGAAACTCCATTTAGGTGGAACATGGGTGTTTTATCTTACCTCTTTGAATGTTGAAGGAAATCTGCTCCAGTAGAATGAGTTACTTTGTATGGGATAGAAGGTGAAAAAGAGAGAAGAAATTGGCAACACTCTTAGCCCACTGAAAGCAGCCTGCTTCAGAACCTAAGGCCTTGTGGTTATTTTTACTCGCTTGCAAAAGTGAGGAAGGATGTTATAGGTCTCTTTGAGCCTCTTTGCTTTTACCCTTTATTTCTATATGATCTACATTTATATTAATAAATTATTACATGCCATATAAGTTCCAGAATCATTCCTTTTGACAGTCCCATGGGATTTAATCCCCTCCTAAATCCCAAAATATAGAAAGAGAAAATGTTTGGGTACAGCACTGGGGCATCATGCATACTGAATATTCAACAATAACCATTTGAATGAGTGGATGATTTGGGGGTCATTCCTTACTATGTGACTGCTCTTCTCTCAGGCAGTCTTAGTCCCTGTGTCACTCTCCTAGTGTGTAGCCGGGCTGCTGCCTGAGTGTAATCCTAGCCTTTCAAGATAACCATTTATTATATGGTGCTGACCCCTAACAACACAAGCCAGCTCCATCCTCTGGTACTCAGCAAAAAAAAAAAAAAAAAAAAAAAAAAAAAAACAGTCATCTGTAATCGTGCAGGAGGAAAAACTAGTTGCGTTGGTTATATTGAATAGATACTTCCTAAATAGTTTTCAAGGGTGACCTGTGACTATGCTGAATTTCTGCCTTACATATTGATTTTCTAATGTAAATTCCATGTAATAATCAAATCTTCTCTGTTAACATTATGTTGAAGACTCATTCCTTCACTCAACAAATACTTATTGAGTGTCTGCTATGTGCCAGGCATTGATGCAAGAATCTGATTGATCTGAACAACTTAAACTATAGTAGATCCAAAGTGTTTATTCTGTGCTGAAAGCCTTTGTCATTTGCCCAGTCCTTTTTGTGTGGTATCCATAAAAAGCAGACCATGATAAACTTGCATAGGCTCTCAATGTCCCACCTAGAATGTAGATCAAAGGGATTTTGAACCTTTACATAAAATTCTATTGCATTGTTCTAATTTTTCTGAAAATTTTAAGAACAAAAACACTGAAAAATTTAAGAATGAGTGGCTTAGGTGGTTTGACTGAGCTCATGTATTAGGTAATATTGTATGGAGTCAAAGAATAAAAAGGATGAGATTGATAAACATCAACATTTAGGCCAGTGGATCCCTCTATGGATCTGAGCAGTAAAAAGTACAGAAGGGGCTTCAACTGTATGGATAATGTTTTATGTCTTAAGCAGCATTTTGGATTCATTGATATTCACTGGTTTATTCTTTGTACATTTTATATATCATAAATATTGTGTATAATTTTTCAAAATGAACCCAGAAAAAGGAAAAGAAGATAATGATATATTGAGGAATGGAAATCAGGTTTTAAATTTTTTAAATATGTAAGGTCTCCTTTTTTGGAAAATGTAAATAAAAGAGTTCAGATTGGGGTCCTATTCCATGTGATGGTTCTCTCTGTTGGTAGGATGTTTTAAGAATTATTTCACTTATCCCTGGTTAACAATGTTTGTCAAATATCCAAAATTCGTGGTTAAAAAAATGCATTTTTGAAATTGCTCCACACTCTAAGGCCTAGATCTTTTACCCAAAGCATTACAATGTGGTTACACTGGTGATAATGGAGTGATCTTCCCAGGAAGAAGGCACAAGGGGATAAATGAATTTTCAGGCATGTGACACTGATTGACAGGGAAAGCCTGCACGGAGTGACCTCACTAACTAACGTCTTATTCTGCCTGGTTATCATTGGCCTTTATGACATGAACTTTGAGAAACCCGCTCTCAGGGGATGATTTTTCTAGAGATAACATTGGCCCAGGACTAATAGAGCTACAATTTGCGGTCAAAATTGTCCTTGCTAATGTGTTCTTTCTTTCTCTCTCTTTTTAATATTTTGACTTCAGCGAAGGGAGCAATCTGACCCCAGCACATCACTACCCAGACTTTAGATTTAAGACATACGCTCCATTAGCATTCCGATATTTCAGAGAACTTTTTGGTATCAAGCCTGATGATTACTTGGTAAGAACCTGTCATTTTTCTTCCTTCTATAGAAATGTGTGATGTAAACATTTGTCTCATAGCAACAGCAACAAGTGGCTTGTGTCTCTCATTTTATAAAGCTCTGGGGCGTAGTAAAAGTTCCAAGTTTTATAATGATTATAAATTTAGCTTCAAGAAATTTGATGTGACTTTGTAGCTTTTACTGATAACTGCAAAATCTGTGGTGGTAATTGATATTTAAATAACTATAATATCAGTTGTGACTTCAGATAATTATTCTAACAGATATGTTATAATTAGTTCTAAATACTCCTGTGAATTTTGCTGATTAGATTCTATTTGAAAGCCTTTCTATGTTAATTGCCTTATTTGTACCATTCCTCTCAACTACCTTGGCCCACAATCATTTCACCTTGACCTACAAATTTGAGTAAACATTGTAAAGAATCTGGATAGTTTTGTTCTCAAGATCTCTTCAGGCAGACTTTTTAAACATATTTTTAGTTGGTACAAGGGCATATTTTATCCTCAGATTTGTCTGTGCTCTTCATCTGCCTTCTGGCACACAAGAGGTACAGACACAACAGCCTTTTTGTAAGAGGTAGTCTGATGTGACCTCAGAGTTTTACCTCATTCCTGTTCAAGAAGCCAGGAACTTTCTGTTACAAGTGAAAAAATGGTTTGTTTCATAATTTGATCACTGTTAACACCCTGGGGGCTCCTCAGAATTGGTTTCAAAAGACTGTAGGAAGAATGCCATCAAATATTTATTGTTCATCCCATTCTGAATGATCTTAATAAGACTTGAGCCAGATCCTGGGATAATGCTTTTCAGAGGAAGTATAGCAACACGTGTAACAAAGAGTGCTTAATATGCATCTTATAATTTGGATAAGATGTAAATAATTAAAAGCTGATTCTACTCTGTGCTGATGAAGACTCTCGGATGTCTCCTCTGAATCTTCTTGTAAAGGAAAAAAGAAAATCTGTGAATGATCTTCTTTATTTGGTCCCTAAGAAAATCATATGACTTCTGCCTAATGAAGCAATACTGCTTCCTCAAGGCACATCAATAAGTCTCCAAAGAATGGTGAGCGCAAGGTTGAAAGTCCCTAGCATACTGCTGCCCTTAAATGTATATATTACTCTCTTTCTCTCACCACTCCCCTTTCATTGAAGCCTCAGGTGCCTCTACCCATCACTACCAATGCAAGTACACAAGCACACGCATTTGTTCTGTGTGTGTGTGTGTGTGTGTGTGTGTGTGTGTGTGTGTGTTAGAGAACACCCTTTGGTTTCTAGCCATTCTGTAATTACTGAGGGTTGCCATCATTCAGGAAATATATTTGAGAAACCCAATGGGGTTTTGATATTATATTATGGAAAACAAGATCTCTTATCTTCTGCCACACACTCAAATTTAATGGATTCTCTTTCTGAATTTCCTTGAACTTCTCACCAGCTGAAGAGATGCCTTAGACTTGCGTTTCACACTGTTGATCCAGTCAATATGACCAGATGGATGCCTGTCTTTAGCCCTCCCATATCCATTGCCCCAAAGGCTGGAAGTCCATTCTTTCATTCATCTGGACCTCACAAATTTGCTTTCTTTGGGGAAGATCCTTTTCTGAACAACTTCCCACACAGCCTCCCCAAGTTTCCTAATGAGTCTTTAAGCTGGAAAAATTATTTTCATAATGTGGTTAGAGTATTTACAAAGGAGCATAAGAATCTAAGCTCATCACTTCTCACAAGAAAAGTCTTTGTCCCTGTACCTAGCAAAAGGTAAATTAATCAATCAGTGGACACTTTGAACACCAATTATATCTAAAATGCTTTGCTCATAGTTGTAGGGAAATTCAAAAAACTGCAAGTCATGACACACAAAGAACTTAAAATCAAACTGGAATACTAATTTGTCTATGTAGAAAACCAATCAACTCTACCAGGCAATAAATGTAAAAACTGAAGCAAAACATGAAATACTCTAGGGTTGAGGTAGGGGTCTTTCTCTTTGTTGGGGTGATGATTAGGAGGTCTTCTTATGAGCATGATGTGGTTTTAACCATGCCTTAAAAACTACGAGGGATTTTAAAAGGTAGAAAAGAGATGGATGCTCAGGGGGTGAAGGGTTGGAAGGGGCACTGTAGAATCAGAGATGTGGATGTGTTCAGTTTTCGAAAGGACATTTAGTGGACCAATATGGCTGGAGGGGAGAGTTTTTATCAGGAACATTATTAACATTATTAAGAGATAGGTCCAGGCAACTCAAATAAACAAGCTTCTAAATTATAGGAAACTAAGGAAATATAAAGATTGACAAGATATTTGATGGTGTTGAGAAATAACTTTTTTGTGGGATAATAATATCATGGTTCTATTTTAAAAGGAGAATCCTTGTCTTTTAGAAGATATACTGAAATATCTATGGATGAAATGGTTTGATATCTGGGATGTACTTCAATAGTATCTGAGGAGTTGGTCAAAGCATACAAAATGTGAATTAGACAGCCAGGCACGGTGGCTCATGCCTGTAATCCCAGCACCTCAGGAGGCCGAGGTGGGAAGATCACTTGAGGTCAGGAGTTTGAGACCAGCCTAGCCAACATGGTGAAACCCCGTCTCTACTAAAAATACAAAAATTAGATGGGCGTGGTGGCACATGCCTGTAATCCCAGCTACTCGGGAGGCTGAGGCAGGAGAATCACTTGAACCTGGAAGGCAGAGGTTGCAGTGAGCCAAGTTCGGACCTCTGTACTCCAGCCTGGGTGACAGAGCAAGACTCCATCTCAAAAAAATAAAAATAAAAATAAATAAAAAACAAAATTTGAATTAGAGAGGAGGAATAAATACAGGAGATCTATTCTACATGGTGACTATAGGTAATAATAATATATACTTGAAAATTGCTAAGAGAGTAGATTTTAAAGATAAATGCTTGAGGTGATGGATATCCCAATTACTCTTATTTGATCATTACACATTGTGTATAGGTATCAAAATATCACATGTACCTCTAAAATATGTATAACTATTATATATCATTTTTTTAAAAAAGAAAAAGTTCCCACCACAAATAAAGTGATGAATATGTGAGGTAAATAATATGTTAATTAGCTTAATTGAGCCATTCCACAATGTATACATGTATCAAAACATCATGTTGTATACCATAAAAGTATACAATTTTATTTATCAATTCAAAAATTAATCGGAAGGATTGTGTACTCTAAACGGGTGAATTGAATGCTATCTGACTTACATCTCACTATAACTGTTAAATTGAATGCCCCCCTACAAAAAGAAAAATCTGAGGGAAGTAGGGCAGCAGAGTGGTTGGAGGTCTAGAAGAAACAAGATTGGCCATGAGTTGATCATTGATTGATCATGAATGAGTTGTCCATGAGTTGACGCTGGAAGATAGATACATGAGTGTTAATTTCACAATTCTTTTCGCTTTTATGTACGTAAATATAACTTAAAAGGTAGAGAGAGGCCAACTGTGGTGGCTCACGCCTGTAATCCCAGCACTTAGGGAGGCCAAGGTGGGTGGATCACCTGAGGTCAGGAGTTCAAGACCAGCCTGGCCAACATGGCAAAATCCCGTCTCTACCAAAAATACAAAAACGTTAGCTGGGCACGGTGGCATGAGCCTGTAGTCCCAGCTACTTGGTAGGCTGAGGCAGGAGAATCACTTGTACCCCGGAGGCAAAGGTTGCAGTGAGTTAAGATTGTACCACTGCACTCCAGCCTGGGCGGCAGAGCAAGACTGCATCTGAAACACACACACACACACACACACACACACACACGCATACACACACACACACACACACACACGCATACACACACACACACACAAAATAGAGGGAAAGATAGAGCCAGGTATGTAAGTGTGCTTTTGTTTGATTCCATTTGTCCACCTCCCTCATTCACCACACACATGGTTCAGTGTCTAGACACATCTCTGGGGCTTGCAAGAAACAGAACAAAGGCAGTGGCCTTAGCTAAACATAACTACCTGGTCCCCAACAGCTGCTGCCACCCACCTGTGCCTGCACTGGGGACACCTGCAGCACAGGACTGAGGCAGCTCCCCAACAAACTTTGGAGTCTCTGGAAGCTCACCTCCAAACCGCTCTATCTGGGACTGCACCTAATGATCTGGAGTGTGATAGATGAGGAAAGGGTCGTTTGCATGACACAGCATGCTTGAGTGTCAGGTATAATAACCTTCAGCGACTTTTTAGCTCAATCCTTCATTTTACAGATGAGGAATCTGAAGCTGGGATCAGCAAAGGGAGATGCCCAAGGTTACACACATTGGTGGGGGCAGAGCCTAGACCAAACAGTGGTCTCCCCATCCTTCCCCAAGAGCTTGAAGACCCTTCACCAGCTGGCCTCATGCTTTCCATATTTGATGAGAATCACAGACCTCTTACCAAATATGTACTCAAACTAGCCTCTTCCTAGCCCATTGACCTGTGATTGTCCATTCTGAAGAATACAGCTGAAAGAAGTCAAACACCTTTAACAAAACACATTGTGGAAGAGTTTAGCTAAAGGAAAGCACAGAAATAGGAAATAAGACATTGCTTGAAAAACCCTGTGAAGAAACAAAGGATACAGTGCCAATCACAAAGTGCATCGTGGTGGCTGTCAAACTGGGGCTACTCAAACCCACACTTGTAAGATACAGTGAGTTAAGTTGGAGGTGTGGGAACAATCTCTAGCCATTGGTAACTCCATACTTAGGTGTGATATTGAATACCTGCGATATGTGTGTATTTCTACTTAGCTTTTTGCTGTTGCATCTGGATTCCTGCCTGAATTACTCTGTTTATGCCCTCCATCCCATTAAAATTCACCCTGTGCATGCTGATTACAAGTTTCATGTTGAAACATGCATAATTTGGATTGTGAGACAGTATGGTGAAGGGGCTTCTGTACATACAGCAGTGCAAACTTTCCTTCTTCCTTATTCCTAGACAAACACCTCCCAAGGCAAAGCCAAAGGGCCCCAGAGCATTCCCATCTCTGCTTGGGCAACCAGCTATGGGTTCTTTCCTTCTCCATCATGTGCCTGGATATTCAAAAATCCAGTAGAACTTATATGAGTCTTTTCAGGCTCACCTGCGCCAATAAGAAAGAGAGCAGAGTGAATATTTCATACTATCGGGGGAAGAAATGGCACATAAAATTATCTCCACCACATGGGGCAAGTTTACATTGTTAATTTACACTGGCAGGGCCCAGCTGGGTTGTGCTCTGCTTTTTCTTTTTCTCCAGTGAATATAGCAGGGAGACCCTGCAGGAAATAGAAGCAAGAGCATGAATACATTAGAACAGCTTGCACAGATGACAAGTGCCTGGAAGGTGCATAAAACCCAGGAGCACACATGGGGGCTTTTGATCATGACTAATTAAAATGTTCCCATCTCTCCTCTTCATTTGCTCTTAAGAGGCAATGTTGCAAAGAAGGTGGCTTAGAAGAGAATGTGGTAACCAAGTTGTAGAGTGAGAAACCATAGAATTCTACAGCATAATGGTGATACTCCTGTTCAGTATCATAATCACAGTTTATTGCACATTGATGCTAGTCTATGAATAGCCCCCAAAGGGTTATTAAAGTGGATCAAAACAATTTATTATTTCATTCGTGTTATGTATAAATGACATAATAAAAGAATATTTGACAATGTAGTAACCAATGAAATAGTCTTCATATTATGTCACTGCATTTTTTTTTAATGTCACTGCTTATAGAAGAATTGGAGACTTTAATTGGGAGCAGATGTTCAGGTCTGAATCCAGTTTTTTCTAGACACCTCTTTCCGGATCACCCCCTAATTTCTCAATTTGCAACCTCTAATTTCTGCATCCTTTGTTGTTTTCATATTTTCACAACATAAACTCCTACCCATAAGGAAGTTCTGTGTCAGGAATTCAAATGCCATGGAACAAAGAATCCAAATTCCTAAAGAGAGTCTAGGGTCTGCCTTTACTTTTTATGAGAGCTTGGAGTCCACACCTTTATATTCCAGGGTCCCAAATTCGTGAGTAAATGAGAAACCCAACATTTTCTTGCTTCACTCAGAATGTTTTAGTGTCTCTTTGGATCACCCTGAAGTCATGGGCAGTAGGCTGAGAACCTCAGTGTATCCTAGGGTGGTATCAGCTCTTCCTTACCTGCCTGTGGAATGAGTATATTGTAGGCCGTGTGCTTCTCTCACCTGTGTGTGATCATGTCATAAAATTAACAACAGCAATACATGGTCACTCTTTGCCAGGGTTTTCAAAAGCATTCACTTTAAAAACTTCCAGTGACTTTCCAGTAGATATTATTACCTTTATTTTAGAAATGAAACTTCTAAAACTCCAAGATGCTAAATTCCTTACTCAGAATCACATAACTAGCAACTGATACAAATCTCACGCCCTTTTCACAAATCGCTCTTCCACAAGGACACTTTGTCTGCACACATGGCTGGGCAAGTGCTCTCTGATTCCTCTCGGTTTTTATGGTGTCCTGTCTGCAGTCTGATAGCTATTTTTGTTTTCCTAACTTATCCTCAACTCATCTGTAGGCTTAGGCTCTAATGCTGTTTAGCAAGAGATTGTCAAGAAGCAAGGCTAACAGAAAGAAGGGGAAGTGGACGATCAAAGTTGCCAATGACTTAGGAAGCCAGCAGACACTTGCTTCTTTCTTTTCTGGGATAATTTTGTTTCCTTTATCCTCAGTATTTTCAAAGCAAAATAATGTAAAAGATGTATCTAGAAGCTACCTTTTAATCATGTTTCTGCTAGTTTCTCTCTCCCTCCTCTCCCTTTTTCTTTCAGTCTCCCTCCTTTCAGGTTTTTCTATGATAGGGACTTAAATATTCACAAGCTCAGAACAAAAATTGTGGGATTTTTAGCCTTGATGTTTTTTCAGATGCCTACATCCTCAAGATATGGCTGTTTATATTACAGAGCTGTAGTATCAAAACAGCATGGTACTAGTATAAAAACAGACACATTGACCAAATAGGATAGAGAGCCCAGAAATAAACACACACACACACACACACACACACCCTATAGTCAATAGACTTTTGACAGAAGTGGCAACCACACACAATGGGGAAAGGATAGTCTCTTTAAGAAATGATGTTGGGAAAACTGGCCATCCATATTCAGAAGAATGAAATTGGACCCTTACCTCACATCATAAACAAGAATCATCTCAAAATGGATTAAAGTCTTAAATGGAAGGCCAGAAACTGTAAAACTACTAGAAGAACACATAGGGGAAAATTGCGCAGTATTGATTTAGGCAGTGATTTCCTGAATGCAACCCCAAAAGCACAGGCAAAAAAGTAAAAATAGATCAAAAGGGTTGCATCAAACTAAAAAGCTTCTGCACTACAAAGGAAACAACAGAGTGAAGAGACAATCTACAGATTGGGTAAAAATATTTGCAAATAACGCATCAGGTAAAGGGTTGATATCCAAAATAAATAAGGAACTCAAACTACTCAATAACAAGAAAACTAATAACCCTATTTAAAAATGAGCAAAGGACCTAACTATACATTCCTCAAAAAAAAAAAAAAAAAGATACACAGGCCAAGCATGGTGGCTCACCCCTGTAGTCCCAGCACTTTGGAAGGCTGTAGCAGGTGGATTGCTTAGCCCAGAAGTTTGAGACTAGGCTGGGCAACATGGCAAAAACCCATCTCTACAAAAACACAAAAAAATTATTCGGGCATGGTGGCACGTTCCTGTGGTCCCAGCTACTCAGGAGGCTGAGGTGAGAGGATCACCAGAGCCTGGGGAGGTCGAGGCTACAATAAGCTGTGATCAGCCCACTGCACTTTAGCCTGGGTGGCAGAGCAGGACCTTGTCTTTAAAAAAAAAAAAAAAAAAGACATACAGATGGCCAGTAGATACATTAAAAAATGGTCAACATTCTTAATCATGAGAGAAAACCACAATGAAATATCACCTCATACCTGTTAGAATGGCTGTTATCAAAAAAGATAAAAGATAACAAGTGTTTGGTGAGGATGTGGAGCAAAGGGAACTCTTGTATACTGTTGGTGGGAATGTAAATTCATACAACCATTTTGGAAAACAGTAGGGAGGTTCCTCAAATAGCTAAAAATAGAGCTACCATATGATCCAACAACCCCACCACTGGGTATCTATCCAAAGCAACGGAAATCAGTATGGCGAAGAGATGTCTGCACTCCCATGTCCACTGCAGCATTATTCAAAATGGGAAAGATGGAAGCAACATAAATGCCCATCAAAGGACAAATGGATTTTTTTAATGTGATGTATATACACAATGGAATACTGTTCAGCCTTTAAAAACAACAAAATTCTGTCATTTAGAACAGCATGGATGATCATAGAGAACAATGTGCTAACTGAAAGGAGCCAGGCACAGAAAGATAAATATCACATGATCTCACTTACTTGTGGAATCTAGAAAAATCGAACTCATTGAAGTAGAGGAGAATGATGATTACTAGAGGCTGAGGTGGTAGTGGGTGGATAGAGAATAGGGAAAATGTTGGCGAATGGATATGAAGTCTGCTGGATGGAACAAATCAGCTCTGGTGATCCATTGTACAGCGAGGTGAACACAGTTAATGTATATCTTTCTAAATTAATTTAAAAAGTGGATTTTAAATATTCTCACCACAAGGAAGTGTGTATGGTGATGGATATGTTAGCCATCCTGATTTGTTAGCCATTCTACAATGTATTCATGATCAAAACATCACATACCCAATACATATATACAATTATTATATCTCATAGAAAAACAAATACTGCATGTTCTCACTTCTAAGTGGGAGCTAAGCTATGGGTATGCAAAGGCATGCAGAGTGGTATAATGGACATTGAAGACTTAGAAGAGGGAGGGTGGGCAGGGGATGGGGAATGACAAACTGCCTATTGGGTACAATGTCCACTACTCAGGTGATGGGTGCATTAAAATCCCAGGCTCCACCACTATACAATTAATCCATGTAATCAGAAACCACTTGTACCCCTAAAGCTATTGAAATAAAAAAACTAAAATTAAACAAATCATTATTTGTCGATCGAAAATTTAAAAATAGAAAAATTTGGCCAGGTGCGGTGGCTCACGCCTGTAATCCCAGCACTTTGGGAGGGCGAGGCCGGCGGATCATGAGGTCAGGAGATCGAGACCATCCTAGCTAATGCGGTGAAACCCCATCTCTACTAAAAATACAAAAAATTAGCTGGGCATGTAGTGGGCGCCTGTATCCCAGCTACTCGGGAGGCTGAGGCAGGAGAAGGGTGTGAACCCGGGAGGCGGAGCTTGCAGTGAGCCGAGATTGTACCACTGCACTCCAGCCTGGGTGTCAGAGCGAGACTCCGTCTGAAAAAAAAAAAAGAAAAATTTAAAGATGATGTGGTTCTTTAAGCCCCTGCTTCTGCTAGGCTGGGTCTGTCTCACACCTGCATGGCCTCCTTATCTTTTTCTCTGCCACCCAGTGTTTCTCTAGTCAATTATGTAGCTTATTAATTAATAAACACTGAGCTTAATAAAACCAAAAACAGACTTCTTTGCTGGTTTTAGCATTTTTTGGTGACATTTACAGCCATACAATTATTGGTGGAGTTCAGCCATCTGACGGAAATTTCTTGAGTACCAACCATGTATGTAGGCACCTACCATGTTCCAAGGCACAGGTCCTGGAACTGTATCACAGTGTAAGATAGTCACAGTTTCTGCTGCACCGAGTTTTACAGTCTCTGCAACTCGAGGAAAAGGAAACAGGCAATTGCAGGATTTTGTGGTGACTTCTGTGATGAGAACATCCAGGGCCAGGAAGCAATTGATCTTTTATCCGCGGAACCAGGAAGAGTTTTCCAGAGCAAGTGCTGCCTCAGCAGGCACTGAAAGCTGAAGCTGTGGCAACAGTCTATGAATTATGCTCCCTACATCTTCCCCTTGTCCTTCTACGGTGGTTTCCTAACCCAACAGAGTGGTCCTCTGCTCCAGACCCTCCAATGGCTTTTCGGCCCCCTTAGAGAAAACAACAAAGTCCTTCCAGTGGCCTATAGCACTGGATGTGGTCTGTCCCCTTGACCTCTCTGGCTCCATCCCTTTCAGGGCTCCTCCTTGCCCTCTCTGCTACAGCCACTGGCCTCTGCTGTGCCTTGAGCCCACCACATCTCAGGCCTTTGCATTTTCTCTTCCCTCTGCCTGAAGTGCCCGTTCCCCAGATAGCCATGTGGCTTGCTGCCTGGTCTCAACCTCTGCTCCAATGTCACCTTTGCAAGGAGGCCTTCAGTGACCACCCTATTTAGAATTTACTGCAACTCATTCCTCACTCTTTGCTGGTATTCTCTGCTGCTTTTTCCATGATCCATTTTTTTCTCCACTGCACTTACCACTTTCTGATGTGTAATGTATTTACTTGTTTACTGTCTGTTTCCTCCTACTGGGATATAAACTTTATGAGTGCCTGGGACATAGCAGATGCTCAATAGTTATTTTTTAAATACAGCAATGAGTGGTAGGCAGGTGAAAGTAGAAGGGAGGTTGTCGCAGGCACAGGAAAACACAAAAGCCTGGCTGTTGAGAGTATGCAGCACTTTTAAGAACATGAGAAGTTAGTCTCTGTGGCTAGAGCTAAAGTTGAAGGAGGAAGTCATGAGAGAGAAGGCTGGGGAGGAGGCTGGGTCATTCATGGCCTTGGAAGCTCTGTTAAGAACCATTGATTTTTAGATCTCACAAATAAGTGAGAACATGCAATGTTTGTCTTTCTGCAAAAGATGTGAAAGCCCAGAAAAACATGAAGAGATTTGCATTTTAGAAAGATGCCTAGTTTCCTGGTGAATGTACTAGAGGGGATGAGAGTGGACAATTAAGACCAGAAGCTTGCCATAACAATCCAGGCATGAAATGATGAAACCTTTGAACTAAGGGTGTTGGCAGAGGCGGGCAGGCAGCATCAACAGTCTGGTTAGGAAAGATGAGGAAATGTGAGGAATCAAGGATGATGCCCTAGTTTCTGGTTTGGGGAATAAGGCAAATAATGCTTCCATTCTCTAAGGGAAAAGGCAGAGAACAGGGGGCAGATGATCTAGGGTCACCATATGCAGTTGTGCAGGCTGTGCACTGCTCAAGCTCTCCTACCTGGCCGAGGGGAAGGAGTGGAGACTGGAATCCAGCCTTTTTTTTTTTTTTTTTTGAGCAGAGTCTCGCTCTGTCGCCCAGGCTGGAGTGCAATGGTGTGATCTTGACTCACTGCAACCTCCACCTCCCAGGTTCAAGCAATTCTTCTGCCTCAGCCTCCCGAGTAGCCGGGACTACAGGCACGTGCCACCACGCCCGGCCAATTTTTTGTATTTTTTGTAGAGACAGGATTTCACCATGTTAGCCAGGATGGTCTCGATCTCCTGACCTCGTCATCCACCCGCCTCAGCCTCCCAAAGTGCTGGAATTACAGGCGTGAGCCACCACGCCTGGCCCCAGCCTTTCTTCTACTCACCAACTTTGTATCCTAGCCCAGAGCTGCATCTACCAAGATAAAAAGTTGCATCTTTCTAATTACCACAAAGGCACCATGTGGGCTAACCACAGCCTTGAGATGAACTTGATTGTGAACTTATTGCATATAAATTGTGTGTGGTATAACCAAAATAGAAATGTCTATTAAAGTGTTAGATGAACAGGTCTTGAGCCCTAGCGAAAGATCTGGGCTAGAGATACAGATGTTGAAGTCATCTCCTTGTTGAAACCATGAGTAGATGACATCTTCTGGGAAAATCATGAAAAGAGAATAGGGTTGGTGTTCAAGTGATAAAACACAGTGCAGTTCACATCTTCACTTGTTATTTTATGGACATTTGCTGGAAACAAAGCACCTTAGTCAACACAACTGTTTGAATTATCTCATTGGACTGATAGGATGATTCATGATTCTATCGCATGACTCTGGGGGTTAGGAGTGTATGTCTGTTTTTCATCATAGAATTATTAAGATAAACAGACCAATTAAATCTTTAGAAATCTCAAAAAGAGCCTTCTCGGTATACGTGGAGCCTCTTTTAAAGCCCGTAGAGAGGCTTCTTGTTTCAACATAGCTAAGATGTGCAATGCTATGATTGTCCTCCTTGGAGGCATCACGTACATCAAGTATATGTTTTAATGTTTATTCATTTACCCTTTTAGTATTCCATCTGCAGTGAACCTCTAATAGAACTGTCTAACCCTGGAGCCAGTGGATCCTTGTTTTTTGTGACCAGTGATGATGAATTTATCATCAAAACAGTTCAGCACAAAGAAGCTGAGTTTCTTCAGAAGCTACTGCCAGGCTATTACATGGTAAGGAACTGCACATCATTAATGCTTCTACTTGAAGTTTAATTACTTTCCTCAACAGTTTTTTTCTGTTGTTTTTTTCAGTGACTCAGGCATGTTTCTTTCTCTTTGGTAAGCTTTATTCTGCATTTAAATTATGCTATGACATTCATTGAATAGATTTTTTAAAGTAAACTAGAACTGAATGGCAGAGCATACTTGTTGAATCCCACAATCCTGAGTTCAAATCCCAGCTCAGCCAATAATTAACTGTGTGACCCTGAGTAAGCAGCATAACTGGTCAGCCTTAGTTCCCTCAGTCTTTAAAGGCTGAGAAATACGTGGCCAGGCGTGGTGGCTCACGCCTGTAATCCCAGCACTTTGGGAGGCCGAGGCAGGCAGATCACAAGGTCAGGAGATTAAGACCATCCTGGCTAACACAGTGAAACCCCGTCTCTACTAAAAATACAAAAAAATTAGCCAGGCGTGGTGGTGGGCGCCTGTAGTCCTAGCTACTCAGGAGGCTGAGGCAGGAGAATGGCATGAACCCGGGAGGCGGAGCTTGCAGTGAATCGAGATCCCGCCACTGCACTCCAGCCTGGGCGACAGAGCGAGACTCCTTCTCAAAAAAAAAAAAAAAAAAAAGCTGGGAAATACTTATCTTACATAGTTGTTGTGATAAAGTAAGGATACAGGATATAAAATAAAGGAAAGATAAAGGAAGCAATGTGTTTCAAAGCTCTTTGCAGCCAGTACGCAGTAATAGTATAAATGGTTAACTTTCATGGATTGCTTACTACATGTTAAGCAAGGCCTTAAGTGCTTTGCATTCATTAACTCATTTAATCCTCACAGCAACCTTGGATACTACAATTATCACCTTTTTATAGAAGAGGTAATTGAGGCAAAGATAAATTAAGTAACTTGCCATGGGTGATTCAGCTGGAGAGCTGCAGAGCTGGGGCTACGCAAGCAAAAGGGCTCCAGAGAATGCATTTTTAACCCCTACACTAATACACCGGAACATATTCTATATTAGCTGTTCTCAGCTACTAGACTTCAGAATTTAGAATTTCATGGGTAAATGTGATAGTGTGAAAAATCACCTTTCATGTAATATTTTAGAGACAAAGGAACAGTAACTTAGCCTAGACGGATTTACTACACGTTTACTCCAAAATTTTCAAAACTATCCCCACTGTTCCTAAATAGTCCAGGCATTTTCATACCTCCAGTTTCATTGTACTTTGATAACAGTTCTTAATTTTCTATGATTGGAAGGGCTACATGAAGCTGTCTGGATTTCAGAAGCCCAAGTTCTGCCAATCACTTGCTATGAGTGGTGATAAATATCATCTTTGTTTTTAAAAATGCATTCATCAGATGCCATGTTATCTTTTTATGTAAAAATATTATTTTAATTCCAAAATCTGCTAGACACAGCATTAAATACTTAAATTAATCTCATATAGAAGTATAAAAATAAAAAATCTCAATAAAAATCTTAGTGGCATGCAGGCAGATTTTAAAATATTTCAATACTGAGCAATTATTTTTTTTTGGAGGAACAGAAAATATAGAAAAGCCAAAAAAAAAAAAACTAACTATAGTTTCTTTCCCAGAGATACATATTACTAAAATATGGTGTATATGCTTTCAGTTATTCTTTGTTCATGCACACATTTTAAAATTATCTAAAATTAGGATCAAATTGATATAATATTATTTGATAACCTGCTTAATTAGTAAATCTTAAAATTCCATAGTTCTGAGCTCAGATATACTTGTCCTCTTGTAAAACTGCATTGGCCATATTTGACTACTTATATTTAATTAAAATTAGATAAAAAGTTAAGGGCCAGGAATGGTGGCTCACACCTGTAATCCCAGCACTTTGGGAGGCCAAGGTGGGTGGATCACTTGAGCCCAGGTGTTCAAGTCCAGCCTGGGCAACATGGTGAAACCCCATCTCTACAAAAAAATAAAAAATTATCCAGGCATGGTGGCACGCACCTGTGGTCCCAGCTACTTGGGAGGCTGAGAAGTGGGAGGATCACTTGAGCCTGGAAGGTTGAGGCTGCAGTGAACTATGATCAAGCCACTGTACTCCAGCCTGGGAGACAGAGCAAAACCCTGTATCAAAGAAAAATTAAATTTAGCTGAACAAGTGATTTTATCCCAATTATGTAAGCTAGTATAACAATATAATCCACCCCATTAACAAGAAAAAATGTGAACGTCACGTGGTTACCCAAATAGATGTTGAGGAGAAGCTAAGGCCCTCAAAATTCAACATCTTCACTTAATTAAAATTCTAAAAATTGGCAGGGGAGTTTTTTTTTTTTTAAAAAATGATAAATAAATCAATGATTATACAAGTTGTACATTTATCAGTCTTCCAAAAGTTCACATGATAGCTCATGGAAAAATACAAGAATCCTTTCTCTAGAAACAATAGGAATAGACCAGAGTGCCCCTCCCATCAATAGTCCTTTCTGATAAATTTGCTAGAAATTCTGGCACTGAGTCTTGAGTACAAAAAGAAATAGAAAAAAGTACAAGCACTGTTCTCTTTAAATGACAGAATTCAAAATGAGCAAACCTTCATTTTGCTCATGAAAGTAAATCAGGAATTTTTAGAAGTGATATGACTCCAGCAGATTTGCAGGATAAAAGGTAAATCTACAAAATCCATTATATTCCATTATATAGATGATATAGAGTGGGAGAATATAAGGGAAAAAAGAGATCCTGTTCATGATGACAACAACTTATAATGAACCCTATTAGAAAAATAAGTAAATAAAGTCATGTGAGTACTGTAATTCTGATTGGGAAAGCAAGATATAGTAAGTGGAAAACATAAACAATCAGTTCAGAAAGAATGTAATAAGAAAAATTCTAAAATACTTGAATCTATAAAAACAAATGTTACAAGACCAATATGAAGGAAACTACAAAACGTTATTGAAGGACATAAAGAAGATCTGAAATAATGAAGAAATCTGCATTGTTCCTGAACTCAGTATTGTAAAGATTTCAACTGCTCCCAAATCAACTTATAAATCCAGTCTAATTCCAAGCAAAAATTCTAATAGGATTTTTCACATAGCTTGACAAAGCCAATTTCTTTGAAAGTGAGAGCAAGTCTCATTTGAAGAATGTTTTTTAAAATGAACAATCACACAGAAAGATTGTAAGAATGGAGAAAACATTTTTGAAAAAGAAGAAAAATAGTAGGCCTGCTATAGCATATACAAAAAATATATAAGGCTGTAACTAATGTTAAGGATGTAGGATGAGTACAGTTTTAGACAGATAAATTAATGGATTCAAATAAAGTGTCCAGAAATAGATCTATGTGAATTTGTCTACTTACTGTATTGACATGGAGGGATTTAAACTCAATTGGAAAATGTCAGACTGTTCAATAAGTATCCATTTGAGGAAAAAATTAAATTCTCTATTTCAGATCTTTCACATACACACAAAATTAATTCCATATGGAGTAAAGACCAAATGTAATGACCAAAACTATTAAAAATTTGGAAGAAAATAAAAGTTTATGACTTTGGGATATAAAAAAGCTTTGTTAAACAAAAAGCAAAAAGCAAACACACACACACACAAATAAGAAACAAGTAAATAAACATGACCACATCAAAAGGCAACACATTTAGGCCAAGTGCAGTGGCTCATGCCTGTAATCCCAGCACTTTGGGAGGCCAAGGCAGGAGGATCACTTGAGGTCAGGAGTTCGAGACCAGCCTGGCCGACATATAGTGAAACCCTGTCTCTACTAAGAATACAAAAATTATCTGGGTGTGGCGGCACACACCTGTAGTCCCAGCTACTTGGGAAGCTGAGGAAGGGGAATCACTTGAACCTGGGAGGCGGAGGTTGCAGTGAGCCAAGATCATGCCACTGCACTCCAGTCTGGGTGACAGAGTAAGACTCCGTCTCTCAAAAAATTAAAAAAAAAAATTTAAGGCAACACATTTATATAACCAAAAATACCAGACACAAAATTAATATAAGCACCTTGAATATTTCTGGAATGAAATAAAGTGAGAGCAGTGGTTTTCTCAAATGTTGAGAATTGGGGGAAGAATCAAGGATAGCAGAGACACTTTTCATTGACTACATGCCGTTTTGTAAACTATTTTAATTTCTTATCTACTTTAAAAGGGAACAAAAGTAGGCATGTATTCCCTATTTTTTTTCTTTTTTTTTTTTTTTTTTGAGACAGAGTCTCGCTCTGTCACCCCGGCTGGAGTGCAGTGGCATGATCTCGGCTTAGTGCAACCTCTGCCTGCCGGGTTAAAGCAATTCTCCTGCCTCAGCCTCCCGAGTAGCTGGGATTACAGGCATGCGCCACCAGGCCAGGCTAATTTTTTAATTTTTAGTAGAGACAGGGTTTCACCATGCTAGCCAGGCTGGTCTCGAACTCCTGACCTCGTGATCCACCCGCCTTGGCCTCCCAAAGTGCTGGGATTACAGGCGTGAGCCACAGTGCCCAGCCTCCCTGTTTTTTTAAATAATAAAAAAGACAACAGACTAGAAGAAACTACCCCATATAGATGAGAGAAATGATAAATATCCAGAGTATATCAAGAATTTCAACAGTGACAAAAACCTGCAGAAAAAAATGAGCAAAATTATCTTTAAGGTGACTAAAAATACATAAGTAATCAATGGCATTCAAATTTTTAAAAACAGGTTTCTATTTTTCACTAATCATGCTTACAAAGATTTTAAAGTTTGGGTACTATTCAGCCCTGGTAAGAGTAATGGGAAAATCTATGTACAGTCTTACATAGTGTGGTTGTAAATTGGTCTGCCATTTTGGAAGACAGTTTTGCAGGAGCTATTAAAATTTTAAATGTTCATCCCTCATACCTTGGCAATTCGTTTTCTCTTTGGCTACCTTAGAGAATAGTCACTCATGGCACCAGTCAATTCCTTGCCTGTTTTTAGTTGGAGCCAATTTGGGACATTATGTCCAATCCAGTCACTTTCACTGCCCTGAGTTTAGAATAATAAAATTGCTGTCCAGTAAGCAGACTTAAGAAATAGATTAGAAACAGCAAAATTTTAGTAATGAACATTAATAAAGATAATCACATCCCATTTTTAATTATTATATCAGCATGAAAACACATCTTTAGTGGAGCATTATTTTGTCAAAATAGAAGATTGTAAATATATTTTTCTTTTTTTGGTTTCTAGAATTTAAACCAGAATCCAAGGACTCTTTTGCCAAAATTTTACGGACTGTATTGTATGCAATCAGGAGGCATTAATATCAGGATTGTGGTGATGAACAACGTTTTGCCACGCTCCATGAGAATGCACTTTACATATGACTTGAAAGGCTCAACGTATAAGCGAAGAGCATCCCGTAAAGAGAGAGAGAAATCCAACCCCACATTTAAGGACTTAGATTTCCTGCAAGACATGCACGAAGGGTTGTATTTTGATACGGAAACATACAACGCGCTTATGAAAACACTTCAGAGAGACTGCCGGGTAAGGAAGTTTGATTGTTGTGATTTCCTTTGAACTCTGTGCTCATGTAAACTGTGGCTGCCACTTATTGAAAGCATAGAAATAAGGAATGTCCAAAGTGGCAGACATGTGGAATCCTATCTTTCCCAATCCTGGCGCTGAGCCATGCTTCCCTGATATTGAAGGAATTGGTAGATGATAAGGGAGTTATCTAGAGTCCTTAACCTACATCTCTGTTGATTTTACTAATAAGCTAAGTCAGCTTTCTTTGATAAAATGAAACAAGAAAGCTTTGTTTTCTTTTCTTTCTCCGCTGTGGGGAAGATAGTTTAACTAGAAAGAAATAGAATTTAGGTTTAATGTGGTGTTGAGTAAGAAAAGCCGTATAGAAATCTTGGAAGAAGTAAGACTCGAACTGGGGAGACAAGTTTAAAGAAAATGTACTTGGGATTAATAATGGCTCCCTAGAGATCAGTGTGGATGCAAAACTATGATATGAGCAGCACGTTTGCTGAAATTATTTTATGTGGTCTGAATAAGAGGTGAGCAGGAATGAAGCTTGCCAATTAGGGCAGACACCATTCCATGCAAACTTAGCTGGAGTGATTGTCCAAAGTGGGGAGGAATTCCCCCAGGCTGCAATGCTTTAAAAAAAAAAAAAAAAAAAAAACTAAGGGAAGATTTTTTCTAACATGGTGAAAAGAGATAAAAATTTTTTTAGAGAAAAGAAAAATGCAGTGCTAATAACTTCTGAAGGATAATAATCATGGGAGAACCGTCCAGCCACTTGGCTAAGTTGGGTAGTGGAGGTGGGCAGAAAGCATGATGGCACAGGCTGTGGTTTTCTGCACTTTCCATGGGCCTGGACGGATGACCCATGTTGTTATAGGGGAGGGGAGACACTTCTCTGCCAGACCCAAACTCACGTGAAGGTGAGGAAGACAGTCTGACACCCCTTCTAAGGTATAAAGTAGGGAATTTCCACTAAGGAACACAGGTCTACTGTTTCTGTTTTTTTTTTTTTTATTTCTTCCTTTCTGCCTGTTATAGCTTGCATGATTGTGCACAAAAATGTGTCCTTAGAATTGTTTTTCTTTATTGACAGAGATGTTACTCCTATTGTTTAGCTACCGTTTATTGAATGCTTACAGTATGCCAGGTTAGTCTAAGGTTTTTTTAATGCATCATTTCACTTAATTCTCTCAGCAATTCTTTGGAGTCAGTACTATTCATACTTCCATTTTAATTGCTGAAGAATTGGGTTCTTAAAGAGATTCAGAAACTTATCCAGCATTACTTACCAAGTCAATGACAGAGCCCACATCTGTTTGGGTACAAAGGCATGTGCTTCTAACAACTAAAACTTAAAGTCTCACTCTGAGGATTTTTTTTTAATTATCTTTTCAGAAGTCAGGGAAGGAGCAGTAGGAACCAAGCAAACAGACGAACAAAAAACGTCCAGCAGATATTCAGATATCTGAGTGGATTTGAGTGATGCATGTTTTTCTATTCAAAAAACGTAAAAACAGAACACACATATTTTAGTAGAAATCTTTTTCCTGTGTTTTTTCTGCCCTTTACAGGATGTGGGTAAAAAGTGACTCTCAATTCCCCAGAGTTTAGTGTCAGCCTCTCCAGTTTTAAGTTTGCTTTCTCTTTTGTGTGCTTCTTGCCTCTTTAGTATGGAAAGCCTTTATCTGCTGCCTTCTAATACCACATGCTTCTCTGCCAGAAAAAAAAAAAAAAGCAAATGTAAAAGAGCCATTGCTCAGGATTTGTCTATTTATTAGTGTTTCCTGAGCTCAGGACTGAGACCGCGAGGTCAAACCAAACTTTTCATCACAAGTGAGACCCTGGAGATTTGCCTTTTTATTTTTTATTCTTTGGCAGGTTTGTTGTTCTAAGGAACATAAAGGTCAAGGTAGAGGTATCCTGAGGCTAACTCCCTCTTACTCACTGCATTTGCAGTTGTACAAGACACAGATCCTGGACATTCTTCAAAATATGTACATCTGCCTTCAGAAAGGCTTCTCTTGGGCTGGTATGGGAGTGTGTAAATGCTGAGCTGTAGGGGAACTCAGCTCCCTTCCCTGATCTGTCCTGACCATGACCAAGTCCTCTGGGATCTGGATTCAACAGCTGGTGCTCTGAGCAGAGCTGCCTCAAGGAAAGCCTATTTCTGGAATGGTGAATATTAATATTTAATAGTCAAGGGCCTCTTAGTAAATCGTATGAATGCTGTGAACTCTCCTCCCCCCAAAAAATGCCCATCCTCGTGATGGATCGTGAATCTCTTGGAGCCCGTTGTTCCTTCCCTTCCTTCTTCCCCAAGGCTCAGAATCCCCTTCCTAGAGTTACCTCTCTCTCTCTTCAGGTCATCCTCTGAAAGGCCAACTCACTGGATGATTGCAATAGGATATGTGGTTGACATCGCCCCAATATTGCCCTTGCTTTGCAGAGCTGAGCCTCAGTGCTGGCTGAGGGGCTGCAGAGACCCAGAGGGTCTGCAAGGTTAGTCTGAGCTGAGGCCAGCACCTATCAATCAGGAATCTCCTCTGCTAAAATTCCTGTGAGACAGTATGGCTAAGGCTCTAGAAACAAACCAGTTAGAGAAATGTATTACTGTATCAGCACCCCAGGCAGAGAAAGGTGAACTAAACCTATATTAGGATATATGCTTCTATTCACTTATCAGCACATATTGCAAGCACACTACATGCCAAGCATGAGGTGCACGACCTTTATTTTTTATCAATTGCCATACAGTCTAGTATGTGCAATGATATTATATTGTGAAGATTAGAGTAGGGAACATTGTAGCTTGCTTTTAAAGGATGAGAAGCTTTCTCCGGATAGGCAAAGCAGTAGAAGCATATTTCTAGGATAAGAGAACAATAGGTATGAAACAATGGGTGTGAAATAGCACAATGTGTTCCGGGAGCTATAGTTGTTTGGTTTTGGGGCAGTTAATAGGGAGAGCATGTGGGGTAGAAGAGGAAAGTGGCCACATAATATGAGAGCCACATATTGTCAGAAGACCCTTTCTGGTGGTGCCAGGGAGCTCTTAAGGACTTAGCAGTAGCAAATCCAAGAATCCCAGACCTTTGGACCCCAGCTTCTTTGTTGTTCCCAGACGGATTTGTTAAGCCTCTTAACCTATGGCTGACCTCCCCCTGCTTCTTGGCGCCCCCACCTCTCCTTTCATATTTTGGCTTGACATCTCAGACCCTGGAATTCTATTTCCTTTAGCATGAGTGCTGGCCGGAAGGGCCAGCTTGACCTAGCTTATTCCCTGCTCCCCATGGACTGCTTCCCTGACTGCCAATCAGAGCTGCCGTTTCTGAGCTCTGCGTCTGAAAAGACCTGAACAGCCTCATCCTGCACTGAGTCCTCCTGACACATACCATCTTCTCCTGGCATCCTTGTGGCAGCCCCTGAGTCCCTTTGCCTGGCTTCCCCAAGCCCAGTCCCAGACCCCTGTGTATAATAAGCCTGCCCTTTGGGATGGTTCATTCCTGACCAACTCCTCCATGTAGCACATTGGCCACTTGGAACTATTCTAGAAAACTGATCTTCTTTTATGCCTCAACCCTGCTGAGCCCAATTCCCCCACAGGATCAGAGGGCTCTTTCCAAAAGCAGGCATCCAGATGTCAGGTTCTGCACCCCATCTCCACATTGCTATTCCCCATTGGCTGTGTGTGGTGGGGGAGAAATGGATATGTAAATGATGAGTCCCCTTTCTTGAAGGCTTTCCTATCCCTTGGTCTGACCCTCTATATGCTCACTGCCACAGCCATCCATACCCACAAGTTAATTTGAGCCAAGGAAAGAGTGGTGACATTGAGTACTACAAAGACATCACAGATCACTTGCTATCAAAACCAGAAAGCAGGATTTATTCAAACCATCCCCAATGGCTCCCACGTGACAGACAAGCTGAGATGCGTGTCCTATTTGAAAACTGCTCATCCCAGGTACCCCTTCATCTTCCGCCAGGCCTGCACCTCTTCTAGTCTTCTGTGACCCAGGGAACATGACCATCGTGCAGCCAGATACCCAGATCTGCACCCTGAAGCTACTCCTTCCTCCCTCCTCTCCCTCTTTCCCTGCATGCAGTAAAATCACCATGTCCCAGTCTGCCTACCAAATAACTCATGGCTCTGCCCCCTCCTCACTGTAGGCACAGCCACTGCTTTTATTGAGACCGTGGTTATTCATCACCTGGAGTTTTGCTGTAGCCTCTTTGCTGGTTTTCATTATCATTGCCTTCCATCACATCCCCACCACTGCTGCCAGACTGATCCTCTGATCAGAAGACTTAACACTCTCTGGCCAAGGTTCCCCACTGCTTTTGGGCGAAAGCCAGTGATTCCCAGCTTGGAACATTAATATCCTTCCTGATCTGGTCCCTGCTACATTCTCCAGATGCGTTCTTCAGCTTCTGTCTCCAGCCTTCTCTCTCCCCTCTCCTCTGATACAGATCCCCACTCTCCAGCTCTTCTAATCTACTGGCCACATTCTCTAAAGGTTTTGGTTTTTTTATGCATGCCTCACTCTGCTGGACCGTTCTTCCCCTCTTCTACACCTGGCCCTCACCTGCTCGTCTCAGGACTACTCAGGGATCAGTTCCTCCAAGACCGTGCTGTTGTGGTTCCCCATGCATCCTGGGCTTACTTCTTTCATGGGACTTAATACACTGTTACTTTTTCACATGTAAATCCTGGAGCCTGAGGAGCAAGGCTTAATCTATCTTTATATCTACATGCCTGGTTCTTAGTAGGTACTTAGTAAGTGTTTATTGGAATATGTATTTGAACAGAGGAATAATCAGCTGTCTAATGATTTAAAAAAAGAGAAAGAAAGGTTTAGGTAAGAAACCTGTCTTTGGTGATTTTTGTGTATCTAGCTATTTTTTAAGTTCTGCCTATTTTGGAGGAAGTATCCAGTTTCACTGCAATGCCTGCCAAAAATTGCACTGAGAATTTAATAAAGTAGATTATCTCCATTTTGAATCACTTGGGATTATTTGAAAAGTTGTACTGGTTGTCCTCCTATCAAGAGTCATTTGTGTAACAAAAGTACATTTATATTGCAGTGAGTTTTCCCATGGAAGCAATGTTGTAAATGGTCATTAGACTTTTTTTCTTTCCAACTTTTATTTTAAGTTCAGGGGTACATGAGCAGATTTGTTACATGGGTAAATTGTCATGAGGGTTTGCTGTACAGATTATTTCATCACTCAGGTAATAAGCATAGTACCTAATAGGTAAATTTTCCATCTTTCTACCCTCCTCCTCCCGCCCTCCACCCTCAAGTAGGCCCTTGTGTCTGTCATTTTCTACTTTATGTTCACATGTGCTCAATGTGCAACTCCCATTTAGAAGTAAGAACATGCAATATTTGGTTTTCTGTTACTAGGTTAATTCACTTAGAATAATGGTCTTCACCTCCATCCATGTTGCTGCAAAGGACATGATTTCATTCTTTTTATGGCTACATAGTATTCTGTGTTGCGTATGTACCATATTTTCATTATCCAGTCCACTGTTGATGGGCATCTAGGTTGATTCTATGTCTTTGCTATTGTGAATATGGACTTTATTTTATTAGCACTGACCCCTGTCTTCTTTAGGTGTATGTACTGTCTCTCCAGCGAGACTTTAAATGTCTCAAAGGGCAAAGCTCATTCTTTACACCTCTCTGCAGCTGCAGCACCTGGCTTATTCTATACACTCAGTACATGTTGCAAGATTGTGATTGAAAACTCTTTTGAATTGAAAATGTATATATTAATTTTAAAAGAACAATTAGGATCTATTTTTGTATTCATTGTAATTTACCATGATTATTTTTTCTCTGATATAAGTTATCTATGTAAAATCTAGAATCCCATATCATTTAATTAATTTGATAAATTTTTATATGCTGAAATATTTATTAATAACTCTGGGAAATGACTTTGAGACAAAGTATATTAGTGAGAACTTGTGTTTACAACCCAAATATTTTTAATCCTTCAAGTGAGAGTCATTTCAGAGACAGTCTTGATAATTAATGACCTAATGACTTATTTTACATTTATTATAATTTTTGTTGAGCCGCATGTTATTAATTTTTAAAGAGTGTGGAACCAATTTTCTTTTTTCACACAAATGACTGTAACCATAAATATTAATAGGTTCTCAGAATTTAATGAAACCAGTCTCAAGAATACTGAAACTTTCTGATGTGCAAAGAAGGGTCTTTCTATGTAAGGCAAGTTCTGAATTTATGAATCAGATTCTTAACAGCTATGGGCATGTTTGCATGGGTTACAAAATGGGTTATTTTATATAATATTTAACATTATGGCTATTGCTTACCATTCAGCTATAATTTTGCTGGTAGTAAACTTTTTACATTTTGTTCAGACAGTTTATTTTCTTTTTTTGATATTGCTTGCCTTCTCAGTTATCACTGGGGAAGAAAAAATGCTTTAGACCTAATACAAAGGAGACGTACATATCCTGAAGGTAGAAATACTTCAATTTAAATTATCCTCTCATCAATAAGGAATTCGATTTTGTTTTTAGACTTCAATCAAAACATGAAAAGGGTGCAGGGACATCATTGACTCCACACTCCTAAATTACTTGTTTTGTTTTTGTTTTTGTTTTTTGAAATGAAGTCTCACTCTGCTGCCCAGGCTATAGTGTAGTGCATAATCTCGGCTCACTGCAACCTCTGCCTCCCAGGCTCAAGGGATTCTCCTGCCTCAGCCTTCCAAGTAGCTGGGACTACCGGTGTGGACCACCACACCCCGCTAGTTTTTATATTTTTAGTAGAGATAAGGTTTCACCATGTTGGCCAGGCTGGTCTCGAACTCCTGATCTCAAATGATCCTCCTGCCTCAGCCTCCTAAAGTGCTGGGATTACAGGTGTGAAGCACCATGCCCAGCCAAATCCACTGTCTTTCAAAGTGTGTTTTACAAACACTGTAAACCCATGAGATATTTGATTTGCTCCATTGTCTTAAAATTATGAGTTTTGGCTATCTGTAATAGTTTGATATCATAGCAGTATAAGCATAAAGCAAAGTTAAAGTTGGTGAACAAATAAAACCAACTCATAGAATCAAAGATTGTTCGAGTTGGAAGGAATCCTAAGAGTTCCTAAGAAACAGTAAAAGAATGCCTTCTACTCTCTGGTCTTAGAAAAAATGATTTTGGACTTACCTAGCCAAGCCAGGTTTTATTGTGAGAACAGAAATAATGATGTCATATCATATATGCAAGGGCTTTGTAAATTTTTCTACCTGTAAATTTTTTTACTTTGTATTTTGAGATAATAGATTCACATGCCGTTGGAAGCAATAACACAGAGAGATATCATACACCCTTCACTCAGTTTCCCCCAGTGGTAATATCTTGCACAATCTTGCACAACCTTAGTACAGTATCACAATGAGGAAATTGACTTTGGTACAACCTACTGACGTTTTTCAGCTTTTTTCAGATTTCACCAGTTTTACATGCACATGTGTGGTGGGGGAGGTTCTGTGCAATTTCAGACGTACATAGATTTATATAACCACCACCTTG
The DNA here is from genome assembly GCF_000001405.40 of Homo sapiens. Taxonomy (NCBI): domain Eukaryota; kingdom Metazoa; phylum Chordata; class Mammalia; order Primates; family Hominidae; genus Homo; species Homo sapiens. The sequence goes on from NC_000009.12 coordinate 68,902,200, forward strand.
GTCAAGTACAGAACAGTTCTTTCTCAAAGATGCCTAATGGTACCCTTTTATAGCCACAGCTACCTCCTTCCCTCACAACTCTTCCTAATCCTGTGCAATTACCAATCTGTTTTCCATCTCTGTAATTTTATCTTTTCGAGAATGCTGTATAAATGGAATCATACAGTATATAACCCCTGAGATTGGCTTTTTTTTACTCAGCATAATGCCATTGATATTCATCCAATTATTGCCTGTATCAGTAATGTGCTCCTTTTTATTGCTGAGTGATATTTCTTGGTATGGATGTATCACAGTTTATAACATTCACCCGCTGATGAACATGTGGGTTTTTTCTAGTTTTTGAGTGTTACAAATAAAGCTGCTGTGAACATTTGTATACTGGCTTTTGCGTGAGCACAGGTTTTCATTTCTCTGAGATAAATGCCTGAATTCAATTTCTATGTCATATGGTAAGTGCGTGTTGAATTTTTTAAGAAACTGCCATACTCTTTTCCAGAGTGGTTGCACCATTTTACATTTCCACCAGCAGTGGATGAATGATCCATTTTTCTCCTTTTCCTCACTAGCATCTGCTGTTGTCACTATTTTTTATTTTAGCCACTCTGGTAAGTGTGTATTTAAGTCTCTTGCTAAAAAATTACTTGAGTATATGCCCCAGAAAAGCTAAAGATAAATCTAATAAAGCAGTTTGGGGATATAGAAAAGAGTGGTGAAAAGAAAGCGGAAAAACTCAGTGGTTAAGTTTAGTGCCTGGTGATATGCCTGTGAGACTATGCAACTGACAAGATTCCTAAGAAAAGGCCTGCGATACAGGAGTTTAACGTGTGTGTTTCTAATAATAAGCACTCCTGTGAGACTTCATCTAAATCTATTCTACAGCCATTGGTGTTGCTTCATTATATTGTAATTACTTGATTACATGTTTAACGTTTGCTACTAAAAATCTGCTCTGTGGGAACTGTGGAACCTCATTTTCCCAGTCTTAGCTCACTCGAGAGTTCTTACACAGCATTTCTCTTGGTGTCAATCTTCTGATGAAGCCTAGGAAATAGCAACAGCAAACATTCTTGGAATAGTGAATCTTACCTAGTCAATGCACATAATAAAAGCAGGTTTTAGTAATAACCTACACATGGTTTGTCTGGAAAGAACCAAGGTAAATCATGTCAACATTGTGAATTTGTGGATTAATTGTTTGGAGTACATTTGTATTGCTCATTTGTCCAAGGTCTGTTAAAGGCCAGTGAATTACTAAATTGCAACTGTGTTGACCTCTTCATCCTCTCAGTTTTTATTTAGGTGGCAACTGGTGTCGCCATTGAAGACCATCCATACACCACAACTGTTCAGTAGTCTTGGGAGGGGGCTGGTGTTTGTCTAGGCTTTTGCCGCTTGCTGCAGCTTAGTTCTGCTGAAAGTAGGGAATGGAAATGAGCTGCTGGCAGCAACAGAAGGAACACAATAATCCATGCAAGATAGTGTCAGGGTAGCTACAAAAATCAAAATAACTCTATGCTGTTGTTCATGCCTGACTTTCTACTAAGTAAGACAATTCCCAAATTTTACAGAATATGCTCTTCTGGGTTTTGGTGGAGAGAGGGTTCCATCTTGGATATAACCTATAGATACCAAAGTAACTTAACATGTAAAACAAATCATATGTAATATGTAATCATCAAATACGTATATACAATACAATACATAATACTTTATTGCATGGACAATAAGGATGCATTTCCAAGGCTTACTTTATCTGTGGGTTGGTTCAGGTAACATTTATTTAAACTTTGAGCCAGACAATCTATTACATATAGGTTCTCTCATTCATCTTCACAACAGCCATGTGAAGTGAGTGGTATGATTACCTTTTGACAGATAAAGAAGTGAATCCTCAGGAGAGGTTCAGCTTCCGCAGGTCCACAGAGCTCACAGTGCTGCATCCAGAATTTATACCCAGGTCTCTCTGACTCCAAACCCATGTTCTTTCATCATTACACTCTCCTTAAGGAGCTTGTGTGTAATGGTGGTAAGGCCACTGAAATGAAAACATTAAGTAATAACATGGACAGATATAGGCAGCATGGGCTAGAAGTGCTCAATGACTGGTCACCTAACTCTGACAAGGAGATACAGGGGCAGATGCTGTAGGAGTCAGGAAAGGGCTCAATCCTAGTGGAGAGCTTGGTTTGGACAGGACAATGAGTTCATGAAATCTTGCAGCCTATTTCAAGGAAGGAACACAGTGCCAAGTGACTAAGGAACACAAAGTAAAATAAATAATCCAAACATTTAATTTTAAAAATTTAATGAAAAGCATAATCAAGCCCATTGACATTTGCCAACTGTTACCAATGTGCATGCACACGAAATCCTATTAAGTTAAAAGCGAGGCTTCCTTCTGAGCAATGCAGCGGTTACAGGGGGGTTGATTGTTTTTGAAATCTTGCAGGGGAGGAGATTAGGGACTCAATGTGTGACGTTGAATCCTGTGTGAGCAGCTTTTGAGAATTCTGATTCACTACAGAAACGGAAGGATTATCAAGTCAGTAGTTTGCTTTTTTTTTTTTAAACTCTCACTGCAAACCAAAGTATTATCAAAATTTCTATAGAAAGAATGAAAATGGGAGACTGAAGGTAATTTCCTCGGCTCTAAGAAATAAACTCCTTTTCCTTTCTTCCTAAAAGAGATATTACCTAAAGATTGGAGAGTTGAAGCATTTCCTGAGTTTGTTGTTATGTGTCTAGCAAGTTTTCATTTTAAGTAACTTGTCCCACAGAAATTTATATATGCAATAATTCAAGTTAAGGAGAGCTAAAATCTTTGGGCTTATGAAATAGAACAATGTTATATCTACTACTTAGAGTTTCTGGCTTTTTTGTAAAAAGAACCTACTGGTCTCTGATTAGATGACCCTAAGTGTAGGAGTAAGGTCAATATAGGCCCCAAGCGGAAAGACCCACAAAGTATTTGGGGGAGGGAGCAAAGGGAAGGAAATGCCCCCAAGGACCCCTCTTCTCCTCCCTGTTGAGAATCCTGGGAGTGCAGAGAGGAAAGCTATGGCAGGAAGGGGAAGTGGCCACACGGGGCCTGATGGTAGCAACTCTGGCTTTGAAGATGTATCTGGAAAGGCTTTGAGGTTGGCTGCTGTGGATCTGGTTGTGGATTCTGACGTAAGCCAGTCATACAGATCATGATGCAAAACAGGGCAGAGTTGCCAACAGCCAATCCAAAAGAGATGTTAGGGGCAGCAAACCCTGGTGATTTACAAAATGGAATTGAGGCTCCATACCTTGGGAGGAACTTCTGGAAGCTAGTGAGGGACTGAGTTACAGAGATTTAAGGCATATTTGAGAGTTTCCAAGGTCTAGGAAAATATTACAAAGTTTAAAAAATGGTTCAGAAATGTGCCTTGTGATACATTACCCAGTGCATTGTGTACCTGTCAGACATGACCTTGTCTTCCTCCCAGAAGCTTTCAACTTAGGCTTAAAGAATAAAGAGTAAAATCAGTTTGATTTTATAGGGCTTAATTTTATTCATTCAACATCCAGGGCACATTTATGGAGTACCGATGGTGCTGTAGGACCAGGGCCTGCACGATTACCTTGTGAAAAGTAAAGTACTTTGGACATCCAGTGGTTCTGAACCTTTCAGAAAAGATCACCCCATACTGGCTTCTGAGAGGTTTGGGGCCACGTATATGGCTCTTCATCCCTGTCAGTATCAGTCCACACTCTTTACATGCCCTTCTACCCTGCAACTGAGTGTCCCTTTGATATCACCAGTGTTCTTCCTTCAAAGACATTTTTCAATTTAGTGTTTTTTTAAATTTTGAGACAGAGTCTCATTCTGTTGCCCAGGCTGGAGCTTGGTGGCATGCTCATGGCTCACTTGCAACCTTCTCTCCTGGGCTCAAGCGATCCTCCCAACTTAGCCTCACAAGTAGCTGGGACTACAAGCACATGCCACCACACTTGGCTAATTTTTGTATTTTTTGTAGAGAAAGGATTTCACCATGTTGCCTAATTTGGTCTGGAACTCCTGGGCTCAAGCAATCCACCTGCCTTGGCCTGCCAAAGTGCTGGGATTACAGGTGTGAGCCGCTGTACTCGGCCAAATTTAGTGTTTTGATCGAGCAAGGATAACTCTTCTCTCCTCATTTTTGTCCCTTCAAATACTGCATTTCTAAGTGACAAGGTAGAAAATGTCCGTGGGGGGAATGTCTCCCTCCATGAGAATGAAATGGCCAAGGACAATCTGTTATTCATGAATTGATATATAACATTCAACTTTTCATAAAAAGGATACATCTGCGAACTTTCTACATGTATACATCAGAAATGTGTTTTAAAAGGGATATGTACTTCACTGGACAGATCAATTGTCCATAGCTACTCAGGCTACAGAGAAGTTAAAACTGAACGTTTATTTAAAATATCTTCATCCAGCCTTAATGCGAGCCTGGCTGGAATGATTCTACATCTCGTTAACTTCCTCTCTTCATTTCTCCACACAAAGACCTCATTTGTAAACTTTGCCCATATTCAGCCAGCTCCAGATGTTCCAAGGACAAACCATTATCACGACCAACTCAGTGTTTGCTGCATTTTCATAAGCACTTGGTGATCTCTCTTCAAATGATGACGGGAGTTCTTTAGACACAGAGATTCTCCATCCTCTGATATTCCTCATTCTGAATTGGCTATCCAACTTTTTTTTCTAGTTTGTTAGCAATTTCAGAAAAAGGTCTACAATCAAATTTTCAAAGACCAGAAAAAGCAGTGATTCCAGATTGCAGATTTACTCTCTGTCCACTCAGATGTGCGGGGAAAATGTAGTTACTTAATTATCTATGAATCCTTTTCCCTACTAGCATCCACTTCCTCAAACTGAAACTTATCAGTTAGTAATATTGCAGTCTCTTCTGGTTTAGACAGTCACCCCTCCAGTTAAATATTCTGTTTATTCAAAGTTGAACTCTCTCAGGGTAGGTGTGAACTGTCCCTGTTTTATCCTCCATTTTTTAGGTGAGCACCATTGGAAACATAGGGTCCTTGTCCCATGTGGACACACAGAGCTGAGAACATTGCCACAGGCCTCTCCATACTCACGCATTCCAGCTCTGCCTTAACTGTCACCTTCATGCTAAGTGTGGCTTTCAACTGTGTCATGTTGAGCCACTCTTGTACCTTCTTTAGTTTTGATCATGTGCATATATTAAAATAAATATTTAAAAAAATATTAAAATAAATATTAAAAAGTAAATAAGACTCCAAATGATTTTTTTTTCTAATGATAATTCTCAGAACCTGGATTTTCCATCACTTCTTTTAAAACTCACTCTGTAGGTACTTGCTGTTCTTAGATATTGTTTCTCAATACCGATGGTGACTTTCCCGGGCCTCAGATTTTTCCTGCTCTATGAAAGCTTCAACAATCCTAGAGCATGGATCAGCCAGTTTTCTTTAGCCTTAAACAACCACAGGAATCTCAGTTGATAAATTCTGCCTTACCTTCCTGCCGAATTAATTACATGTTGTTCAGCAAACAGTTCCGAATTTTCTCTCTGTAGAAGGCTCTGTGCTAAGACCTGTGGGAGGTACAAAAAATGAATAGGATGTAGTCCTTTTTCTAAGAAGCTTAGAGTTTAAACACTAAGTCTAAACCATCAAGGTCTTATTTATCACGGACAGATTCTTCCATTCTTCTTCTCTTTCTTTGTCCATAGAGTAATATGAAAGGTGAAGGGTAAGTACTTTTTTCTTTTTACCAAGAAAGGCAGTTTACCAGAGTTGGTGGGCTGTAGCAGACAGTGGTGAGGGTTCCAGAATTTTACCTCACACATGGACGTGGATGTGGGTGCTTGGACCAAGTGTGGCCTCTGAGTCTCACAAGACAGCTGGCCTATGCCTGGGCTCTCTGCTGACGTACCAGTTAAGCCACAATGAAGTAAATCATTCATAGTAAAGCCAACAAGAAGATATATCATATAATGAGAAGGATGTGACATTTTAACATAAAATATTACTTTTAAACCTGTTTACAAAATAATTTATGAAGACATCTTTATTTGAAGAAATGAAGTGTTTATAAAGAAAACAAACCAAATTCATCCAGCATAGGAAGCTGGTGAATATATATATATATATACATACACACACACATACACACACATTATATATATACATGTATATGAAATCTTTTTAAATGATGGATGGCTATTTTTAAGTGTGGAAAAAAAAAAAGCCTTGGTACAGGTTAATCCAGTACAGCCCAAGTTCTAAATCACGGCATACACACCATGAAAAACACATTATTGCCAAAACAAGGATTTAATATTTATTTCATTCTGCTTTGCCAGCCAAAATTGTATGGCTTGTCACAGCCTGTATTTTCTCATTATGACATTAGCAAAGAACACTGAGCTTTACTGAAGAAATTTAATTAAATTGAAAAGAAAGTGTTTGGCTCTAACTAAACTGGCACAATACAAGGAATTCTAGAACTGTATTCTGAGGGGTCTACTTTGTGAGGAATGGCAGGCCCTTGGATTCATTTTTCCCTAAACCAGTATTTTCAGAAATGTCTATTTGCATAAAATCTCCAGGACACTATTTTGAATTTTCTGACATTATTGAATTAACAAAAATGTATTTGCCAATCATTAACTCCTTGTTCAGGAACTAGATTCTAGGCCAACTGGAAACATTACTCAGGACCCTTGATACATCTTCCTGTCAGCTCCACATTTTGTTAATTTGGTTATTTTGCAGATCTTCCATCAAAGATTGATCAAGTGAGATGGAACATAGCAAGTTTTCTGCTTTAACCACTTTAGTTAAGATCCCAAATTATTAATTTCTGTTTTTTTCTCTGCCATCTCTAGCTCATCATTGGCAAAGGGTAAGTTAATGCTAAACAGGTATAGACGTGCATTTTATCTAAGCATTTCAAAATAGCACGCTAAACTTTAATTTTGAAAAGTTTATACAATAAAAATATGTAAAAGTAGACCAAATATTGTAATGAATCCACATATACTCTGTGCTCTATTTTTAACTCATGGCCAATCTAGGTTTTTTTGTTTGTTTGTTTGTTTGTTTAACTGCCTCTCTTCCCATATAATTTGAAACACATCCAAGACATCACATCATTTTACTCATATGTACTTTAGTAGGAATCCCTAAAAGCTAAGGACTCTTTAAAAAAAAAAAAAACTACAATACCATTATAATGGATTAAAAATATTAATAATTCTTACTAATCATCAAATGTCAGTGTTCAAATTTCTAATTGTTTCAGAAACAACTTTTTGTGGTTTGGATCAGGATTTAAATAGAATCTACTTGCTAAGTTCCTTGTCACTCTGATTTTTTCATTTTGAAAGTATTTGTTGAAGATATTGGTTTGTTTATCCCAGAGCATCTGGATTTTGCTGATTACACCACATTGTTTCATTTAACACACTCCTCTCTTGTGCGTTTTTTCTGTAAATGGATTGTAGGATCCTACAGGTTGAGTCAGTCAGATTTAGGTCTGACTTCATATTTGATGTCTCCCCTCATCAGGAGGCACATCATGTCAGAATGCCTTTCTTTCTGCAATGTTAGTACCTGTTGATGACCACTGATTAGACTCATTCATTCATCAGGAGTGGTAAAATGGGGATGTTCTAATTTTATTATATGTCTGCTAGACTGCACAAAGGAATTTTAAACAAAAGAGTACCTGTCACATAGTAGGTGCGCAATAAAATACGTATTGAATGGGTTAATTTCCATAAGAACCCCTATGACAAGGGAGCAGAGGACAGGAAAACTAAGAAGGCCTTGAGATGTGTTCCATCTTAGGGCCAGCACCAAGCGTTCTTGGATGATTAAAGAGCCTTCACAGTTGACCAAGCCTGTGACATGCTGTTCTTGCAAAGGCTTCCTAAAGAAAAATGTGATAGTCTTACTAGACTCAAAGCTCAGCCTAATTTATAGCAAAACAACTTTGCCTTTTATCTGCCATTTAGCTGTATGCCTACTAAACAGTAAATCAAAAGAATCTCTATAAATATCAGCTTGATTTTTGCCCTTGACACAGTGTATATAAAATACCTATGGTGTGGGTAGGTTTGAAAGCACTGTAGGCTTTTATCTTTATTTTTCTGACAACACAGAGCACATAATCACAGTAAATGTTTTTAGTGCCAAAAATTTGTTCATGGGCATTGTAATCATGATGCACAGGTATCAAGTTCTTATATTTAAGATACAGGGTGTAGTGTTTTACATTCTTTATTGCTGAATATTTTGGTTTTCACTTACTTATACATGTGGAAAGCAGTATAACAAATATTCATTCCTACTGTGTTCAGAGCACACAGCAAAATGCACTAAGTCAAACCAGTCTTTGTTGAGAAATGAAGTCTTGTGTGTATGATACAAAGAATATAGGTGTAACCTGAGGTAGAATTTTATATGACAGAGGGACACTAATAATGTGCTTGGGTCTTCAGAGGGGAGACATATCCCAATAGTTTGTTGAAATCATTAGTAAATTTGCATGGAGTGGGGACAGGCTTTGAAAAAACAGTAGGATTTGAAAAGATGGTAAGGACCATCTAGAAGAAACGACATGAGCAGAAGCATCAGAGTTTACATCTTCAGAGCACATTCAGGGGTAAAGAGCTCCAGTTAGACTAGCCTGGCAAATGTCTCTAGCCAGGCATTAAGTAACAAAAAGACATTGGCTAGGGCCATATTAGTGAGGACTTTCTATGTCAAATTGAAGCACTGGCACCAAGCAGTGGTGAGAGACTGAAGGCTTTGAGTAGGGATGTGATGTGACCTGGTCAAGCACAGATGTCAGGAATGGGTTTGTGAGGAAAGAATGGGAAACTGGGCCAGGCATGGTGGCTCACGCCTGTAATCCCAGCACTTTGGGAGGCTGAGGTAGGTGGATCACTTGAGGTCAGGAGTTCGAGACCAGCCTGACCAACATGGAGAAACCTTGTCTCTATTAAAAATACAAAATTAACTGGTCATGGCGGCACACGCCTGTAATCCCAGCTACTTGGGAGGCTGAGGCAGGAACATTGCTTGAACCCGGGAAGCGGAGGTTGCAGTGAGCCGAGAACATGCCATTGCACTCCAGCCTGGGCAACAAGAGCAAAACTCCATCTCAAATAAAAAAAAAAAAAAAAAGAATGGGAAACTGAAATTAATTCATTATCATTAGAGAGAAGGAACGTTTTGATAATAGAAGCTGCAGGATTGGGTGACTCAGTGAAGGAAAAGTAGCCATGAAGTATGAAATCGCATTAGAATGATTTCAAATAAAAGAGGGAAGTGAGGAAAAAGAACTGCTTTGGAGTGAGGTAAGAATTTAGGGTTATAGCATGGCCATGTGTAGACATTTAGATGGTCATGGTGGCTCATGCCTGTAATCCCAGCACTTTAGGAGGCCGAGGTGGTTGGATCGCTTGAGCCCAGGAGTTCAAGACCAGCCTGGGCAGCAAGGCAAAACCCCATCTCCACAAAAAATTAGTCAGGTGTGGTGGCATGTGCCTGTAGTTCCAGCCACTCGGGAGGCTGAGATGAGAGGATCACTTGAGCCCAAAAGGTCAAGGCTGCAGTGAGTCATGTTTGCACCACTGCCTCCAGCCTGGGTGATGGAGTGAGACTCTGTTTCAAAAAAATATTTTTTTAATTTAAAAAAGAAGTTTAGAGATGTTCTGAAGGAAATATATTGGGCTGCAGCTTAGGAATGAAGTCAGATTAAATGCAACAATTTAGGAATTTTCTGTAGAAAGATGGTAATTGGAATCTACCTTTAAGAAGATCTCAAATCTATCCACTTCTCCCTCGAGCTCCCCAGCTGCCCCTACTCATTCAAGTATTACCCTCTCTTACCTGGACTGCTGAAATACCCCCCAGTCGAAAGTAGGTACTTCCTGTGGGATCTTCCCACAGCTCTCTGATTTTTCCCTCCAGGCCTTATTACAATGTGTAATTCGGGCTTGTTTAATGTTGAGTATGGAATAATTATCTGTTGTTTTATCCCTGAAGATCCATCAACTTCCACAGTGCGTGGCACTCAAACATTTTTTTTTCCAACAAAAGAGTCAATGAATGTAAGTACTAGAAAGTAGAAAAAACAGAGAGCTTTGGGTGAACATCTTTAGGGCACAGGAAGAAAAAGTGGAAAAGTCAAATAGACAAAGAACCAAGAGAAGCCAGGGCACAATAGCTAAGGGAGAGGGGAGATTCAAGGTGGGCTGGTCATAGGGATCGATTCTGCAGGTGGAGGAATAACATGAATAGCTGACATTAATTGAGTGCTTTTTGTGTGCCTAAGACTTGGCACGGATTAACTCAGTTAATCTTCACAGTAACTTTGGTAGGAATTATTTGGTAGGAATCCCTATTATAGAGATAATACAGGTGAGAATAGATACCAGAAATGTTAAATACTTTGCCCAAAAACAAGCAAGTGGGGGAGCCATGAGTCAAACCAGGCCATCTGGTTCCAGAGCAAGGAGACTGAACCACCCTGCAGCCACACCAGCTCCTGCTAGCAGTAAGACAGAAGATAGTTTGCAGTGTGATGTGGTGTTAAAGATGTAAAAGCAAAAGGAGGACCAGCTGCTCTTTGTAGCCTTTAGTCATGAAGAGAGGATGGCAATGCCTATGATTCTGAGTTAGGATATTTCCACATTAGGTCCCCAAATCTACAGAAGTTACAGGAACACTCATGCATCACCAGTCATGAAAACCTGAGGAATATGCTCTCATTTCAAGAACAGGTAGTTTTTGATTGTGTCTTCAGGGTACTCTAGCAGCTGCTTTGACATTGACTTTGACATTGACTTTTTTACTACATTCCAATGTTGTTATTGACTTAAATTAGTCCTTGAGAGAGAAGGAAGAAAGAATCTGACTTTGGCAATAGAAAGCCTTGCAGTATTCCAACTTGCTTTCAGTTTTAAATAGTTCTGTGAATCATTCCTGTTTCCTTTTTTTACAAGTAGGGAAGTAAAGTCCTGCCAGAGCTAGACGGAAAGGCACCTGTATTTGCATTGTAACCTGAGTTTTGAATAGTAAATGCACAGGTACAGAATATACTAGCAACAGTAAGGTCAGGCAGACATTCTGGAAATGTGCACCTGAGTGATGAACTGGACTAACTGGTGTCTGTCATGTTGCAGAATGTTGCTAACTCTTAAAGCTCACACATGTTAAGTTGTTGGCAGATTTATCAATTCTTTTAATTAAAGGACTGGGATGATATGAGTAACGGAACTATTTTGTTCCTAATTGATGCAAATCTTAAAAGTACGTGACTAAAATCTGTTCCCAGAGTTTCTCATTACAGAAGCCTTTTAATTTGTTTTAAAATATATGCATATACATTTCTCTTTTTGTTCCTTCAGATTTCTTAATCGATGGTGATTTTTCCCAACCCAAACTCTAACTGCAATGGCCAGCTTTCCACATATGGGGATAGAATTTCTTTTTTTAAGCCTTCCACACTGAAAGTAGGGGTCTTGGCCTCACGAGGACAACTCAGCACCCTTCCCAGATGCTGGCAATCCAAAAGAAGAGTACAGAGGAGATGAAGCTCTTTTTAATATTTTTTATCACTTTTTCAAAAGTTAATTCTCTCTTGGAATTTATTCTTTAAAAAAAAAAATCGGACCCCTTACAGGATCAGGATAGTGTCTTACTTTATCCAATAGTTCAGTTTGGACCACACAGCCTGACTTTGTCTCACCTGTAAAATTGCACAGTTCTCTTAGGCCTGTTCATGGGCCGGGAAAAAAGACTGCAAGTACAAAACACATGGTTCAGGTTGAATATTGCAGGAAAAATATAAGAAAAAGTATTTCATTTTTAAAAAAATCTTCTTAACAATTAATTCATGGATGCTTTGCTGAGGAAAATGCTTTGCAGAGGTTGAATATTGCATGACAATATAAAAAAAGCATTTTTTTAAAAAAAACAAAGGTTTTTAACAAGCAGAATTCATTCATGGATACTCTGTGGAGGAAAATCATGGTGTCCGGAATGTTTTTAAGCTTGACCACTCCTAACTTGAGTAAATGATTCTGGGTGCCTTTTGGGAACATCCACAGTATTGTCAGAGTCTTCTTAGGACCTGCTTTTGAAGCCAGCTTACTGCTTTGGAGGATGCTTTGGGCTGTGCAGGGCAGAAGACTGTGTTTTTGCCAATTGAAAATTCCTGGCCAGGCACAGTGGCTCACGCCTGTAATCCCAGCACTTTGGGAGGCTGAGGCGGGCAGATCACGAGGTCGGGAGATTGAGACCTTCCTGGCTAACATGGTGAAACCCCGTCTCTACTAAAAATACAAAAAATTAGCAAGGCGTGGTGGCAGGCGCCTGTAGTCCCAGCTACTCGGGAGGCTGAGGCAGGAGAATGGTGTGAACCCGGGAGGTGGAGCTTGCAGTGAGCCGAGATTGCACCACTGCACTCCAGCCTGGGCAACAGAGCAAGACTCCATCTCAATAAAAAAAATAAACAAATAAATAAATAAATAAAAAGAAAAAGACAAGAGAAAATTCCTGTGTTGTCAGCCATCCAGGCCATACCCCTTGGTATCCACAAACCCAGAGCTTCTAAAGGAATTAGGATTTGCCAGAATGACACTGGTAAGCAGGCCAGCAATACAGTTCTATTTTTGTTGGCTAATTTAGTGACATTTGTTTTCAGAAGTGTAATTCTAGGAATGTTTACTTCAAGCGAACACCTGTTGTCTCTTGAGCTAGTGTGAGGGATGAGTCACCGTGAATTATAATCATAGTGATAAGAGCTAGCAATTAATTAAGCACTTTATGCTAGAGACTTTTCTAAGCACTTGACTTGCATTGTCACATTTAATTTTTACAAGCACCCTATATGATATGTAATAGTGTCAGCATTTTACAGATGAGGAAACTGAGACACAAGGAGATGATGTGACCTGCCTAAGGTCACAGAGTCCATGCTCTTCATCCCTCATCCCCCATGTCCTTATCCAAGTCTCTCCGAGAAAGGAAGCGCTAGCACTGATAAATATGAGTAGGGAAGTTAGCATCTGCAAATGGTCATTCATTGTGAAGAGTTGTTGAAGCTGTCTCGGGGGGTACTGTTGCCAAGCCATCATTTCAGTATGGTTGAGAATTAGAAAGGTTAAGGCCCTTCTACCACTTGTTTCTGTCTGAAGAAAGCATCTAATATCTGTTAGTGTTTTCTTTTAAGAGTCTGGCCCTTGGTGCTTCTGACATAAAACAGTCTTTCTTTCTCCCATGGTCTGTGCTACTGTATGGTGCAGTGAGGCACTGATAACACCTCCATGGAGAACCAGCCAAAGGGTCTGGTACTCAAGCATTGGATCAGTGGTAAGAAGGATTTCCTATCACCCCTCCCTTCCTCCTCCAACTTGACATCACTCCTCCTTCCATTAGGAAGGCTGGTTCCACATTGTTATCAAGCCATTCTTAGATCACTTGGGTTAGGAAATCCCACAGCCCAAACCTCTTAAGTGATAAGATTCTACTCTGAGCTCCTGCCTGACTCCCTTCTGAACTTGACTTTTTGAAAGATGAAGTGTGAACCCTCTGGAATAATTGATACCCATTTGCAGCCCACTCTCAGTTCTCATTGATGGCAAAGATGCCTGTAATACAGAATAACCTATTTCTTGAAGGCCATATGCCATACTTCACAAAGCCTTTTCTCAGGTGGCATCCATGAAGTGGCAGCCACAGGTAACTGAATCTTCAGGCCTGATCCCCTCTTTACTATATCATAAATATCAAAAGGCAGTTGGGCTGAACAAGAACAAGAAGCACAAGAAATTCTGGATTATTTTATCCCTAAACAATTATCTATAGGCTATGATCCTTCAGGGTGTTTCCTAGCTAAAGTATAGGAACAGCTTCTCATGTTGGTTCAGAGACAGCCGTTCTGACAACCAGGGTTGTCTTGCTTTTCTGAGCAGCTTTGTGTGAGAAATACCAGGTATTAAGAAGTCTGTTGTAGGGGAGAATCATATACAGACTAGTAGAAAAAGAACTTTATCATAGAGGAAAACACCCAGTTTGCAGGCATTCTTCCTGAACACTGCTCTTCCGTCTGAAAAGGTCCTGAGTGTCAAAGCCCCACCTATACCCTGAAGCCATCTCAACAGACTCGGACCCAGACCTTTGTCTCCTGTCATTTTCTTTTCAGAGCATTGCCATCTCTTTTGTCTGGCTGCATCCAACTATTTTTAATTCCCTTGCCTCCCCACTGTCTGCTGAGTGGATAATTAAACATGAAGTACTATGCTTTGTTGAGATTATATTTTTAAAGGACTTGCTACAGGGAACTGAACGGCACCTTCGAAAGACAGACTTTGAGGGCTGGGTGCGGTGGCTCACACCTGTAATCCCAGCACTTTGGGAGGCCGAGGCAGGCAGATCATGGGGTCATGGGTTCGAGACCAGCCTGGCCAACATGGTGAAACCCTGTCTCTACTAAAAATACAAAAATTAGCTGGGTGTGGTGGCGGGCACCTGTAATACCAGCTACTTGGGAGGCTGAGGCAGTAGAATCGTTTGAACCCGGGAGGCAGAGGTTGCAGTGAGCTGAGATTGCGCTAGTGCACTCCAGCCTGGGCGACAGGGCGAGACTCTGTCTCAAAAATAAAAAAAAAAAAGAGGTTTTGAGAAGAAGACCACTAACTTCCAAGAAGTTTATGAGAACAGAATTCAGACATAGAAAAGATACATTCAGCTAGAAAAGATACATTCTAGCTGTGTCTTCATGCTGAGGAAGATACAAGCGTACAAACTTACAAGCTTGTAGAGACTATTGGTTGTTGGTTTCTCTGCTCTACTGCTTAAGAGTGTGGACACCGGAGTTGACTGCTTGGGTCTCTGTCACTTATGTGCTGTGTGATATTGAGCAGATTACCTTATCTCTCTGTGCCTCCAGTTTTTCATCTGTAAAATAGACAATAGTAGTACCTAGCTTATAGAGTTGTTGAGATTGAATGCAAATGAGCTTCCTAGCACTGGCACATGGAAAGTACTCAATCCGTGCTATTAGTGAAACTTTCATGGAGGGTTGAGAAAACATGTGCTTGTTTCAGATTTGCATAAAATTCCCATCTTGGAGCCATTGTGATAATCCTTCCTGCATGTGGCCTAATAATAACCTCAAGTGTTTTTATTTTGATTCTTCATCTCTCAGCCACCCCGCTGGGAGGAATAACAGGAGCTGTGTGTCTGTATATCTAGAGCTCTCTGATAATGAGTAGATGAGACGAACAGGCCTTTGGGTTGACTGGCTTCCTGGTTCTTTTTCTCATTCAGGTGCTAGAAAGCTTCAAGATCATGGATTATAGCCTTCTGTTGGGAATTCATTTCCTGGACCATTCCCTCAAAGAGAAAGAGGAGGAGACCCCACAAAATGTGCCTGATGCTAAGCGGACTGGGATGCAGAAGGTTCTCTACTCAACAGCCATGGAATCTATCCAGGGTCCAGGGAAATCTGGAGATGGGATAATCACAGAGAACCCAGACACGTAAGTGCAGCCACACACCTACCCACCCTCTTGACTGTGGCAGCCCACGTCACTGGGTAATTATAGACAGTCACATTCACCTTAGGGTGGGACTCTAGGAATTAATTTCTACTTGGTGCTAAAATGGGTTAAACTGGTCTCCATTTCTATTCATCTAAAGATAACTAGATGAGTGGCAGTTTCTCCAGTTATTACTCCTTCACCCACTTGGTTTCTTTTTTTAACAATGGCTGAAAATGTTTTTGTCCCCATTAACTACATATTCAAAACATTCACCACAAGAGGAAGGAATAGACTTTGAATTTGAATAAACATGTTTTATTGTTTATTTATTTATTTTTTTTTTTTGAGACAGAGTCTCACTCTGTCACCCAGGCTAGAGGGCAGTGGTGCCATCTCAGTTCACTGCAACCTCCACCTCCCAGGTTCAAGCGATTCTCCTGCCTCAGCCTCCAAAGTAGCTGGAATTACAAACATGCACCACTACACCTGGCTAATTTTTGTATTTTTAGTAGAGATGGAGTTTCACCATGTTGCCCAGGCTGGTCTCAAACTCCTGGCCTCATGTGATCCACCTGCCTTGGCTTCCCAAAGTGCTGGGATTATAGGTATGAGCCACTGCACCCAGCCTGAGTAAAGATGTTTTAAGCAAATACACAATAAGAATGATGTTCGCAATTCAGAGCTTTTTGTCTGCCTAAGGGGATTCTGTTGTTCTAGTCCTGCACCCTGACAGATGTGGTCTCTCGTCTCAGCCAGATGTGGTAGTAACTACAGGATTAATTTGCATGTGTAAAATGCATATTGACTAACAGAAACAACTGCAACCAAAGTAAGTTATTGAAATGGCAGACTGCATCAGTTATGTGTACTAGCTGAGCAAGGAGACTGAAAGAAAGCAATCATTTTCCAAGGCCATAAGTGCCTGCCTTCTAGAATTCTCCAACGATGACTAAACCATGGGCATATTTCATTTTTGTAAAGGAAATTAACACATATTAAATATTTTTTGAAAAGTTCTTTCTTGCAAATCGATCTAACTGTCCAATAATCAGTTAAATTATCCTATATCAGTATGGTGAAATACAATAAGGCTATTAAAAACCACGCTAGCATTGAATATAAGGAAATGTTTGTCATTTAGCAAGTAAAAAAATCAGGTTATAAAACATGATAAATAATACCTTTTCTTGACTAATAAATACATACACACACACACATACTAGAAAAGCATACCAGATATTAAGTAGTTATCTTTGCATCCTAGGAATAACTGTTTAATTATATTTTTTCTTTGTGTTTTTCTGTATTTTATTTTTAAAAGTAAACATACATTACTCTTTTGATCAGAAAAAAGTATTGCATTTTTTAAAAGGAATATTTTATAATGGTCTAAAAATTCTTGCTCATAGTTTTAAAGTAGGAATAAGTTTTAAATTGGATTCTTCCCATCCAACTCTTCACGGTTAGCAGCTACGATATTATTCTCCTTTGTAGGGAAGTATTAATACATCATTCTGGATTCCCAGGATGACCTTAACTGATGGCCAAAAAACAAAAACAAAAAGGAACAAACAAAAAAAAAAGATGAATGGGAGATAGCCCAGAATTCTTAAAAATTGTCAATTTTTATTTTCAGTCTATTTATTAGAAATGATTTTTTAACTTCCTATTCTTATAATATGTAATCAAATATTTTCTCTTTTGCTCCATCAACAGAATGGGAGGCATTCCAGCTAAAAGCCATAGGGGAGAAAAACTACTTTTATTTATGGGCATTATTGACATTCTGCAATCATATAGGTAAGAAGTTTGAGGAGTGGTCTTTTATTATTTCAAAATCAATCTACAAAAGGTTCTGAAAAATCACCAAATGAGAGTGATTTTACATTCTCATTTCAATTTTTCCATTTATATTTAGGTTAATGAAGAAGTTAGAACATTCCTGGAAAGCTCTTGTTTATGATGGGGTAAGTGACTTATTTTCCTTATTATACTGTATATATTTCTGCTTTCTCAGAGACTTCAGAGTATGTGCAGGAAACTGTGTTGCTAGACTCTAAGAGGAAATGAAACAACGGTCTTTATAAACTCAGAATCTTAGGTTAGTAGATCAGTTCAAATCTAAGAATAAGGACAACATAAATTTGAATAGCTCTTCAAATACATGACATCCAGCCTAGCGGCCAGAAAAACAAAATGATATCTGTGTCTATGTGAAATCCAAAGGACCTAACTTTGAGAGAGGTCTTTTTTTGTAGGGATGATCAGTAGGGCATTTGAAATGAAGTTCTCACACAACCAAGCTACAGTAAGTGTGAGTCCTGACTCTGATGGTGAACAGCCTGGATTTGAACTCTGCATTCACTGCTGAACTAGCCATGTGACCAGGCACAATGCTGGTTATTTGGCCTCTTACCCTTGTTTCTCACCTGTACCAGGGGGATAGTAATGACACCTGCTTGGTGTGAACATGGGACAAAAAAATGCATTTCAGTGTTCAACACAATGCCTAACAAATACACAGAGAAAGTGAAAACTTTTTAATTGGTATGGATTTCTACATCAACATTTATACATGCTGGCTGCCTGAGGTTGTCTTTTTTTTTTTTTTTTTTTTTTTTTTGAGATGGAGTCTTGCTCTGTCACCCAGGCTGGAGTGCAGTGGTGCAATCTCAGCTCACTGCAACCTCTGCCTCCCAGGGTCAAGCAATTCTCTTACCTCACCCTCCTGAGTAGCTGGGACAACAGGTGCGTGCCACGACGCCTGGCTAATTTTTGTACTTTTAGTAGAGACAGGATTTCGCCATGTTGGCCAGGCTGGTCTCGAACTCCTGACCTCAGGTGATCCACCTGCCTTGGCCTCCCAAAGTGCAGGGATTACAGATGTGAGCCACTGCGCCCAGCCAAGAATGTCTTAATTGATGTAACTGAAGAAAAAAATCAGTTAACAAAGAGCAGTTTCTCCCATCTTTCTCTCTCCTTCTTTCTCCCATTCCGTCTCTGTCTCTCTGTCTCTCTCTCTCACACACATACACACACATACACACACACACACACACACACACACACGCAGTCCCATCTAGACATTAGATTTCTACTTCCTGCTACTAACAACATTTATTGGCCTAAGTTAATAACTTGAAGTAGCAATTCCAAAGAATATTTTGGTCAAGGATTTGGTCACACATTTCCTTTTAAGATGTTAGCAGATACTTTCTTTTGAAAGAGAATAAATTATAGATGATCTTCTTCTTCTTTCTTGGAAAGGAGCCCATAATTTCTCAGTTCTGTGGAAGACTGTTAATAACCTTTCAGCATGAAAGATCTACATTTTGTCCACCGCTAAGGACTGACTTCAGTCATAATGCACTTTTAAACAACAGGTTCACACATTTATTTCCAAGAATTAACCTCTAAGCTGGGTGTAGGGGCATGTGCTGGTAGTCCTGGCTACTCAAGAGACTGGGGCAGGATGATCACTTGAGCCCAGGAGTTCAAGTCCAGTCTTGAATATAGCAAGACCCTGTCTCTAAAAGAAAATTTTTTAATTAAAAAAAAAAAGAATTAACCTCAATCTTACTGAGATCAAAAATTCCTCCTATGAAAGAAGGTCAATATGGTAGGTTAATTTAATGTTTCCTTCCAGCTGAGAAAGGAAGGGACTGCATACATAGTACCTCGAACATTGAAGGGGAGAGAGTGAATACCCTCATTCCATTCCCCTCCTGTTTTCTGAGACCATTTCAATTTCCTGTTACCAGATGGATCTGAATCGTCTAGTCTTGTACCAACCAGGTGCATCTAAGGGCCCCCCACCTTTCTCTATTTAAAACCCAACACTTTGGGGGGAGACCAAAGCGGGCGGATCACTTGAGGTCAGGAGTTCGAGACCAGCCTGGCTAACATGGTGAAACCCTGTCTCTACTAAAAATACAAAAATTAGCCAGACGTGGTGGCACATGCCTGTAATCCCAGCTATTCGGGAGGCTGAGGCAGGAGAATCGCTTGAACCCAGGAGGCAGACGTTGCAGTGAGCCAAGATCGTGCTACTGCACTCCAGCCTGGGCGACAGAGCGAGACTCCATGTCATAAATAAATAATAAATAAATTAAAAAATATACCTATCATCTGCTTTTCTTTTCTTTTTAATGAAAATTTCTGTGCTGGTTATATATCATGAACCTATTTTTGTTTGTTTTCAGACATGGCTCTTACTTAAACAATGTTTATTCATGCCAAAGCGAACAACAATGTAACTTCTCTTTATAGGCAACGGCTGAACTTTAATCCTCTATGGATACCCCTCAGGCTCTTGCCTTCTGCTGATATTTCTAAATTACTGCCTTGTTGGAAGAATGTGTCCACTTCAGGCAGATACTGCCAGGATACCAGAAAGAGTACATTTTAAAAGATGTAGCAGGGCCAGGTGCAGTGGCTCATGCCTATAATCCCAGCATTTTGGGAGGCCGAGGAGGGCAGATCACTTGAGGTCAGGAGTTCGAGACCAGCCTGGCCAACATGGTCAAAACCCCTCTACTAAAAATACAAAAATTAGCCAAGTGTGGTGGTGGGTGCCTGTAATCGCAGCTACTGATGATGCCGATGCAGGAGAATCACTTGAATCCGGGAGGCGGAGGTTGCAGTGAGCCGAGATCCGCCACTGCACTCCAGCCTGGCGACAGAGCAAGACTCTGTCTCAAAAAAAAAGAAATTTCTCTATTGGAATCCATAAGCCTGAATTCAAAATGAAGCATTATAGAAGCAAATTTACTATGTCTACAAGTGTACAGCTTGGATACATGATTTGGATAAATGATTACTAAATAAACATAGAAAAGTAGCTCCTTCATCCACCTCCTTTCCCTTCATCTATCCCCTTTCCTGGATTTGTAATCAAATGACCCTTCAGCCCTAAAGACTCCTGCCAAGCATGAGAGAAGAATGGAGTTAACAGTTTAATTCAATTCAACTCTATGCAATCAGCAGATAATTCAATGCAAAGGAGTCATCTGTTAGCCTTGTCTCCTAGGAATCCTCCTAGCATCTCCTCACCTTGCTATTGGGAGATGAAACCAGAACTTTTTTTAACTTAAACGTCAATGTCACTCTTACATTAGGATAGTTTTGTTTATGTCTCCAATTTTTGTTCATGATTAAGGGAGTTACCCTTCATTCCAGATGACATTTGATGCACTGGTTGCCTGTATGTAAAAAAAGAACTTAAAAACTCCTCCTGGGACACAATGTTATGAATAAGGGCAGCTGTTTTGATTTATGTAGCACAGTTTTTTTTGCTGACTCTCCTCTGCTCAGTTTGGTCTTGAGTGTCTAGAATCTTTGTTCCGATTGAGTCTGTGCCCTCCTCCCTCAGCCCCAGACTCCTGGGCCCCACGGGCTACAGGACATTCCTGTTTTCTATCTCTGGGCCACCTTTGGTTAAGAATGTTGGCTAACAGAGAACCAATTGCATAGATCTCTCTTCTGACTTGAGATGAACATTAAGAGGTGACCCTGTGATCCTGGGTTTTTGTCTTTTCAGGACACTGTTTCTGTTCATAGACCAAGCTTTTATGCAGACAGATTTCTTAAGTTCATGAATTCCAGAGTTTTCAAGAAAATTCAAGGTAAGATTCTTATGAATTTTTTTTTTTACTTTTAGCAGCTAATTTCATTATGTATCTTTGCAAGATTTTTATTGGAAGAACTAACACATTTCTCTCCCTGCAGCAGTAATCACTTAGTAATTATGGTTAAGTAACCCAGTCAGGTGTTTATTGATGCCATAATCATTAGAGTCCTGCTTAGTGGTGAAAAAATTTAGAAGGTATCTAAATGTCCAACCATATAATATATTGGTTAAATATATTATGATACAGTCAAATAATGGAATAGTATGCACCCAATAAAAATGATGTGTTAGCACATTTAGTTTGCTAAATATAGATGTATTTACCTTTTATGTAGTTATCAGTCTGTATACCTTAAATGCACAGCAGAATTCTAAGGGAATATACAAAACAGCAGTTATTCTCATAGGACATTCTCTAGGATGGATCATATGTTAGGCCACAAAACAAGTCTCAGTACATTTTAAATGACTGAAATCATACAAAGTATCTTTTCTGATCACAATGGAATGAATCAATAAACAGTGAAAACTGAAAACTTCTCAAGTATTTGAAAATTAAACCACACACTCTTAAACTAGCAATGAGTTAAAGAAGAAATTACAAGGAAATTAGAAAAACCTCAAGATGAATGAAAAGGAAAACAAACATACCAAAAATTTATGGGATGCTGTGAAGGCAGTGCTCTGAGGAAAATTTATAGCTATAAACTCTTACCTTTAAAAAAAAAAAAAAAAAAAGGAGGCCGGGCGCGGTAATCCTAGCACTTTGGGAGGCTGAGGCGGGCAGATCACTTGAAGTCAGGCGTTCAAGACCAACTTGGCCAATATGGTGAAACCCCATCTCTACTAAAAATACAAAAATTAGCCAGACGTCGTGGTATGCACCTGTAATCCTAACTACTTAGGAGGCTGAGGCAGGAGAATCGCTTGAACCCAGGAGGCGGAGGTTGCAGTGAGCCGAGATCATGCCACTGTACTGCAGCCTGGGCAACAGAGTGACACTGCGCCTCAAAAAAAAAAAAAAAAAAAAAAAATGAAAAAAGAAAAATCTCAAATCTATACCCTAACTTTAAACCTTGAATAACTAGAAACAGAAGAGCAAACTAAACCCAAAGCTAACAGTGCTTATTCCAGATCAAGGGAGTATGTGGGCTCTTATTTTCCTTTATATTGATATTTATTAAATTTTCTACAATGAATATGTTGTATCTGTGGGAAGTTTTTAAGATATGTGAAAGGAGAAAATAATCCTATATATAGTTATTTTATCATTTTGCTATTCTGTGGTCCAATTTCATAAACTAAAACATGATAATTTAGCCATACACAACTGAAAAAGTAGAATGTTCATGTTTTATATTTAAATAAGACAAATTTTCCTGGTAATATTTATTGGAGATTTTTTAATTAATGAAAGTCAAACACTTGCAATGTAAACATTTTGGAAAATACAAGAAGATGAAAAAAAAATGAAAATTCTTGAAATGCCACAACCCAGAGATATCCACTGCTAATACTTTGATGTACTTTCTACCAATCTTTATTTCTATACTTTATGTATTTACGTTAAAATGATAGCATAATGGTACACAATTTTAGGTATAGTCCTCTTTTTTCACATAACATTATAACATGAATAGTTTATAATGTTATATTTTTCATATCATTGTATATTCTACAAGGCACCATTTGAAGTTGCAACACATTAAAATTGTATGAGTGTGACGTAATCTAATTTTTTTTTTTGCCAGAATCTATTTAACCATTCTTTCAGTATTGGGCATTTACATTGTTTCTCCTTTTTCTATTTCTTAATAGTTTATGAACATAATTTCAGATAAACGTTGTGTCCAAATTTAGGATTATTTCTTTAGAATGGATTCCAAGAAAGGGGTACTAGGGTAATAAAATGCACGTAACTGCGCAGATAGATTGTGCCACAGAAGGTTCCCACGAGGCCATGAGAGCCCGTATTCTGCCAGCCCTTAGCCAGCATTGTGGTTTTTAAATTATGCCACTCTGATAAGTAAAAAATGTTATCTGATTGTTTTATTTTGCATGTAAGTACTGGTAAGGTTCAACCCTTATTCATGTTTATTAGCCATTTGTAGTTCCTTTGAGAATTGAGCTTTGTAACATTTGACCATTTATATTGGGTGTTTGTTATTTTTCCGAATTATTAATATCAATTCCATGTATTAAAGATATTAACCCCTTTTTAAACCTTATTTCACTCTAAGGGAAACTTTCTTCCACATTTGACTCTCTCAGTGGTATCTTAAAATTGCTGTCAAATTGACATCACCGTAAATTATTTGCCCAAGGTTTCTTTGGCCTAAAATAGACTATAAGATAGTGTTTATTGAGACTGCAAGCCTACATGAATACCAGCTTGTGGTTCCAATTTTTTTTTTTTTTTTTTTTGAGACAGGGTCTCACTCTACCACTCAGGCTGCAGTGCAGTGGCGTGATTTCAGCTCACTGCAACCTCTGTCTCCTGGGTTTAAGCGATTCTTCTGCCTCAGCCTCCTGAGTAGCTGGGATTACAAGCATGCATCACCACACCCAGCTGGTTTTTGCTTTTAGTAAAGATGGGGTTTCGTCGTGTTGGCCAGGCTGTCTTGAACTCCCAGCCTCAAGCGACCCACCCACCTCAGCCTCCCAAAGTGCTGGGATTACAGGCTTAAGCCACCGCGCCCTGCTGTGTTTCCAATTTTTAAGAAAGATTTTTTTCACTTTTCTTAGCCCTGTGCCAAGGTTGGAAAAACATGGGTTTCACTGCAGCCCCTGGTGCGTTTTGGAGGATCTAGCCCTTTAATGTTCTAGCTTTGGTGAGCCTCCCTTAGGAGACTCCCCATCTTGGGAGGTTTTTCTTTCTTAGGGGCATATAAATTAATGGTACAATCAATGGCATCTTCAGTTTCATAAAATATGGCATGTGTCGCAGATTTTTCCGGTTTGGATAATTTTTCAGGTTTTTAATGGAACAAGTTGTTTAACTCACGGGTAATCAAATCTATTGACATTTTCTCATTTTGATTTTATTATCTATTTTTTAATAATAGCTTTATTGAGATATAATTAAGATGTGTATGCTTCACCCTTTTAAAGTGTACAGGCCTATGATTCTTGATTTATTCACAGTTATGCAATCATCACCATTTTCTAATTTTTTAAATTTATTTATTTATTTATTTTGAGATGGTGCCTCACTCTGTCGCCCAGGTTGGAGTGCAATGGCGCAATCTTGGCTTACTGCAACCTCTGCCTCCTGGGTTCAAGTGATTCTCCTTTCTTAGCCTCCCAAATAGCTGGGATTACAGGCATGAGCCACCACACCCAGCTAATTTTTGTATTTTTAGTAGAGATGGGGTATCACCATGTTGGCCAGGCTGGTCTTGAACTGCTGACCTCAGGTGATCTACCCGCCTCAGCCTCCCAAAGTGCTCAGATACAGGCATGAGCCACCATGCCCAGCGATTTTCTAATTTTAGAACATTTTCATTACCCCAAAAAGAAACCCCATACCCATTAGCAGTCACTCCCCATTCCGTCCTCTTCCCAGCCCCTGGCAACTACTGATTTACTTTCTGTCTCTATGGTTTTGCCTATTCTGGCATTTCATATAAATCATATAATGTGAACTTTTCTGTTTGGCTTTTTGCACTTAACAGAATATTTTTGAGGTTTATCTGTAGCCTCGTAGCATGTACCAGTAATTTATTCTTTTTATTGCAGAATATTCCATTATATTGATATACCATAGTTTGTTTATTCATCAGTTGATGGATATTTGGGATGTTTCCATTTTGGCCATTATGAATAATGCTGTTACGAACATTCATGGACAAGGTTTTGTATGGGCATGTATTTTCATTTCTTCTGAATATGTACCTAGAAGTGGAATTGCTGGGTCAGATGGTAACTCTCTGATAACATTTTGAGGAACTGTCAAACTCCTTTCCAAAGCAGCTGTGTCATTTTACAATCCCACCAGCAACATATACGAGTTCCAGTTTCTCTACATCCTCACTGACATATGTTATTGCCTGTCTTTTTTTCTTTTGGCTATCCTGGTAGGTATGAAGTAGTATCTCACTGTAGTTTTGATTTGCATTTCTCTAATGACTAATGGTATTAAACATCTTGTATGTGCTTATTAGCAATTTATATCTTCTTTGGAGAAATGCTCACTCAAACCCTTTGCCCATTTTTAGTTGTCTTTTTATTATTGAGTTGTAAGAGTTCTTTGTATATTCTGGACACAAGTCCGTTATCAGATATATGATTTGCAAATATTTTCTTCCATTCTGTGGGTTGTCTTTTTACTTTTTTGATAGTGTCTTTTGAAGCACAAAATTTTTTAATTTTGATGTCCAATTTTTTTCCTTTTGTTGCTGGTGTCTTTGGTGTGATCTAAGAAAGCATTGCCTAACCCAAGGTCATGAAGATTTACTTTCATGTTTTCTTTGAAGAGTTTTATAGTCTTAGCTCTTACATTTAGGTTTGTGATTCATTCTGATTTAATTTTTTTGTATATGATATGAGGTAGAGTCTATCTTCATTCTTTTGCATGTGGGATAGCCGGTTGTTTCACCACCATTTGTTGAAAAGCCTATTCTTTCCCCTTATTGAATTATCTTGGCACTCTTATTGAAAATCATGAGAGAACATAAACCAGACAAAAAAAAAAGGAAAAGAAAGTCGATTGACCACAATTATAATAAGGATTTACTTCTTGACTCTCACATCTGTTCTATTGATCAATATGCCTACCCTCATAGCAGTACCATACTATCCTCATTACTTCTGGTTTGTATTGTTAAGTTTCATAATCAAGAAGTGTGAGTCTTTCAGCTACTCTTTTTCATACTGTTTTGGCTATTCTGGGTTCCTTGTATGTCCCTATGAATTTTATAATCAGTTTGTTAATTTCTGGGGGAAAAAGGGTAGCTGGTAGTTTGATAAAGATAGTGTTGAATTTGGGGAGTGTTGCCATCTTATATCTTACATCCCATAAATGTGGGATTCTTTTTAGTTAAGCCTTATGCTTACAAAGGACTTCACCATTGAATAATCAGATAAATGTTCACCCATATTTTTCTTTTACCTTTTATAGATTGTTGTTTATGTTTTCTTTTCTTTAATCTATGTTGTATTCATTTTGGTGTATGAAGTGAGGGAGATCTAACCTTGTTTTTTCACAGGTAGTTAACTATTGTCCTAATACCACTTATTGAATAAGATATTTCACTTCAAAGCACAGTCAAGTACTTTATCACTTTTGTTTATTGCGTAGGTAGTAGTGATAATGTTTATAGTGCTGCTACAGTGGAAAATAGTCCTGCTACAGTGGGAAAGGTGATTCCTATCTACTTTTCTTGCTTTATGTTTTCTAACATTTATCATGACCTATAATGACCTATACTTTAGGTCCTATGCTATAGGTTTTACTTACTTAATGCCTGTCCCCTTTATTTAAATGTAAGCTAGCTGGGCACGGTGGCTCACGCCTATAATCCCAAGACTTTGGGAGGCCGGGGTGGGCGGATCACGAGGTCAGGAGTTCGAGACCAGCCTGACCAACGTGGTGAAACCCCTTCTCTACTAAAAATACAAAAATTAGCCAGACGTGCTGGCACATGCCTGTAATCCCAGCTACTTGGGAGGCTGAGGCAGGAGAATCACTTGAACCTGGGAGGCAGAGGTTGCAGTGAGCCAAGATTATGCCCCACTACACTCCAGCCTGGGTGACAGAGCAAGACTCTATCTAAAAAAAAAAAAAAAAAAAAAAAGTAAGGTGACTGCTGTATCCCCAGCACTTAATGAAGCCATGTGGGTTTGGAGGGTGCACATATTGTAATTTTTATTTGTTGAATGGATGAATATACCATGTATACTGGGTCCGATCTTCTCCTTAAGGTCCAGGACAGATCCCTGTAGAGATTATCTCCACTACAGGGTAATTTTAACCATTCACTCCCTCTTCTGGCTCCACACCTCATCCTTCTATCTGCTCATTCTCATATATCATAGAAACAAACCTCCTCAACGATCTGTCTCTCTTCAGTTCCTGGTGTATCTTTTTCCTCCTTCACTGTCACCCTATTGGAGATGAGAGTTGGATGTACTTGCTGTCTCACTTTTTTTATTTCTTGTCACTATTCAGTGTTCTCCAGTGGCTTTTGATCCCACCACTCTACCAAAATGTTCTTTTTGAAGTAATCAACAATCATTGCTCAAGCCATTGAACAACTTTCAGTTTTTTTTGTTTTTGTTTTTGTTTTTGTTTTTTTGAGATGGAGTCTCACTCTGTTGCCCAGGCTGGAGTACAGTGGCACTATCTCAGCTCACTGCAACCTCTGCCTCCCAGGTTCAAGTGATTCTCCTGCCTCAGCCTCCAGAGTAACTGGGACCACAGGCATGCGCCACCACACCCAGCTAATGTTTGTATTTTTAGTAGAGACAGGGTTTTGCCATGTTGGCCAGGCTGGTCTTGAACTCCTGACCTCAAGTGATCCACCCACCTTGGCCTCCCAAAGTGCTGGGATTACAGGTGTGAGCCACCGCACCCAGCCTCTTTCAGTCTTCTTAAAACTCTCCAGCATGTGAGACCACTGATAGCAGTTCTCTGTGAAATAACGCTCTTCGCTTGTCTTTCGTAACTCAGGACTTCCCTGGTTGCCTTCCAGCCTCTCTTCTCCTCCTTGGTATCCTTTGGAAGCTTTTCATCCCTGCTTACTCTTATTGTGGTTGCTCCTCAGGGTCCAGGCTCTGACTCGGTCTCTTCTTATACAGCACTCTGGGTAATTCCCTGTTCTCCCAAGGGTTCAGTTACCATCTGTGTACTTGCAACTTACTCCCCACACTTCTAGCAATTCCCCTTGCCTGTCCACTCCCCAAACTTAAGCATCCACTAGATTCCACAAGCTCAGCATGCCCAAAATTGAATTTAGCCACTTACCACCCCAGAGTCTGCCTCTCTACCTGGGTCCACGTCTTATGGAAGACCACCACAATCCACCCAATTACCCAGCCAGAATGCTGCCATCATCCCTTGACCCCTTCCTTCTGCTTACCACCCACGTGCAGTTACTCAGCAACACCTATCAGTCCTCACTCTGCAGTATCAGGATTGCAGCCCCTTCTCTCACAGTACCTCTCCTGATTCAGCCACTGTGTTTTTTGGTTTGCAGGTTTTATTATTATTTTTTTTTTTGCATAAAGTTGTGGCCCCAAACAGGTCTCTTTGCCTCCCATCATGTACCCATTCAATCCAATTTCCACACACACACACTGCAGCTAGAGGAATCAGTTTAAAATATAAATCTGCTCTTGCTGATTTCTGTTAAAACCCTTCCATGCTAATAATAATAATAATAATAATGCTAAAGGAAATAAACGTCCATGGATTCCCTGGTGCCCAAAGTCCTTAACTTTCACTTAACACATTTCCTGGCACACAGTAGACACTCAATGGTTATTTGATGAATAATGCAATGAATGAATGGAATTTTTATCTAACACCACCATTTCAAAGGGTAATTAAATTATTAGAAAAGTAGACACTTGAGTTAACTTTAAGATGTTCCATCAACCATGGTTAATTTAAAGCCCTTAATGCCTAAAGGCATACTCCCCTCCCACCAAGAAAATAGTACCTGGTCTTCAAGTTTCTTTTTTGAAGTCAGTGTTTTTTAACCTTTTTAAATCCCTTCATCCCACCCACAAGTGAGTCATGCTGCCGGTGTAATAATGTCTACAAAATCCTATAATATTTCCTGGAAATATTAGCCACCATTATGTTGAAACTTCACTGAAATTCTCCATACGAATAATTTGTCTAAAGTACTAAAGCTTAGTTTCCTGAATAGAATATAAGAGTTAAATTAATTTGTTAGAGAAAATTAACTGTTCTAAAACTTCAGAACAATAATGCATTCATGAACAAACACTCGTGCACCTATTATGTATCTAGCACTACACTAAGCACTGATGATATAGAAAGCTTTTTAAATATTGATTAGTTCCTCCCTCAATAATTTAATAGTCTCTTTTGAGCCGGAGATTGAAACATGTGACAGATCTGTAATGAAACAATTGCTAATATTTCTGCATATGCTACTATGGGTACGCGGAGAGAAATAAGAGAAAAAAAGACCAATTCTTCCAAAAGAGAGCTCACAGAGAAAAAGATATTTCAACTAAATCCTGAAAATGTAACCCAGAGTTCATTAAGAAGAGAGACAGGAAGGGCATCTCAAGGAGAAAGAACAGCATGTGCAAAGGCCTAAGGGCAGAATGAACATGGTAGGTTCCAATATGGCAGAAGGGTGAGCTGAAAAGTGAACATGGAGGCAGTCGAGTGGCAGAATGCAAGGCTAGAAATGGACACAGGATACCTACTGCCAGCCATGGTTGAGCCAAAGACAAATCTAGGCGTTTCTGCCACACAAAAGGAAGCAACCAGCCACCCAAACCAGCTCTCAATGTTACCCAGTCAAAAGAGATCCTGAGAATTAAATTTCTGCAAAATCCAAGCTCTTATCTGCTGAGTGAGATCATTCCTTTAAGGAAGAAACTCACCACTTGAGACAAAAGTGAACTCTTTGTTGTGGTGCTATGTGGTCTTGGCAGAGGTTTGTTTTCCGGTCTTCTCTGCTCCTCATTATACGTGATGCTGATAAAGAACAAAGAGTTACTTCTTTTTCCAGTCTTTTGGCCCTCACTCCATGAAATGCCATGAGTATAGGTCTCCTGAGTATCTTTTCCTCATTACACGGCTCTCACCCTGATCGCATTTCCTTGGTACTGCCGAAAACCTTTTGATCATTGCTGTTTCTTCGTTTAGAGAAATAACATTGACCTAAGAACTATGATGTAGAAAAGCAGTTCTCAAACCTTTTGGTCTCAGGGCCACATTACACCCTTAAAAATTATTGAGGACACCAAAGAGCTTTTATTTATGTGGGTGATAGCTATCTATATTTCACATATTAGAAATTAAAATTGAGAAAAATTTAAAAATATTTATTAATTCTTACCAGTTAACAAAAAAAATTGCGTGTTAACATCAGTCAATTTTTAACATAAATAATTACAAAATATAATTATATTTTCCACAAATAATTTAGTGAGAAAAGTGGAATTGTTTTACCTTTTTGTTTGAAATCCTTAACGTCTGGCTTAATAGAAGATAAGTTGGAGTCTCACATCTGCTTCTGAATTCAATATGTGGTGACATCACAGGTCATGTAACATCTAGAAAACTCTACACATATGAGAGAATGAAAGTGAAAAAGGCAAATAATGTCTTATGATGATGATGAAAATAATTTTAACATCACAGATCTTCTGAAAGGGTCTCAGAGACCCCTTAGTTTCCACCCCACATCTGAGATCCTCTGATTTAGAAGTTTTAAAATACAGCTGGGCACAGTGGCTCATGCCTGTAATCCTAGCACTTTGGGAGGCCAAGGCAGGCAGATCACCTGAGGTCAGGAGTTCGAAACCAGCCTGACCAACATGGAGAAACCCCGTCTCTACTAAAAATACAAAATTAGCCAGGCATGGTGGCGCATGCCTGTAATCCCAGCTACTCAGGAAGCTGAGGCAGGAGAATTGCTTGAACCTGGGAGGCGGAGGTTGCAGTGAGCCGAGATTGCGCCATTCTCTCCAGCCTGGGCAACAAGAGCAAAACTCCGTCTCAAAAAAAAAAAAAAGAAGAAGAAGCAGTTTTAAAATACTATATTGAAAGACAGGAGTTTATTGAAGGTCTATAAAAGTTAGCAGATAGAGATGATAGGTTGATAGGTGTAGCAAACCACCTTGGCACATGTATACCTATGTAACAAACCTGCATGTTCAGCACATGTATCCCAGAACTTAAAGAAAAATAAAATAAAATAAAATAAATAAAAGTTAGCAGATAGAATGTTAAGGCAGAGGCCAGTGTGACAATAATGGCTTCTTCCTTGTAAAACAAGTGTAACCACTGTTTGAGAGAGTGGAGAATTAAGGTAAACATAACTTATTTTTTAAACATTCAAAAATTTCTTCCCCTCAAAGAAAAACAAATTCAAGGTTTATCTTTTTCTCCCCTCAGTTTAACCAGAAAACAGAATGCTAAAGAACTAGAAAATGAACCACCTAGAAAGCAACTTAAGAAAAGAAAGACACCTGAAATTCATGCTTGCTAGTTCTGTGACCCTGAGCAAGCCACAATCTTTCTATTCTCAGTTTCTGGGCCTAAAAAAGGGCCTTCCTCTTCCTCATACATGTGGATGGTTTGAGATATGCAATGTGAATGTTGGATTCCAGACTCTAAAGCCCTCCACAAATGTTATTTATTAGGATGATGATATTATTATGATTCTAAGACTGCTCGAGGGACAAATAAACCTTCCCTTCTCTTTAAGTGGAGAGATTGTCCTCCATTCTTCTCTCATTTGTGTGTCCCAAAGTCCTTCTCCAATTAAGTTCTTGCAAGCAGCCTCTGGGAAGGCCCCAGATGAGCTGTGTAATCTAAGCTCTGAGATTCCCAAGGCTAAACACAATTACTCTAATACACTTACTATCAGGCTACCCCTTTATGCAAACTTCTAAAGGAAGAGAGACACTGCCAAAAACATATTCAGGGGAAAACATAAAGAGGCCTCAACTTCCCTCTCCCCCTCCCTCCAAGGAAATTCTCAAGCAATATTAAGCCAAGAAGAATTATTGCAGCAAATAGTGAATGTAAATAAGGATGGCCTTGCTGCCGCTTAAGCAGCTTCCATGGACGTGTCCTCCATGAAGTCCCAGGCTTCAGCAAGCATGATTGATGGTGAAGTACATTTTCATTAGTTCAGGTTCCCAACACACTTCTGAAGTTGTAGACTGCTGTTTAGACAAAGATTGGAAGTGAATTATACGTCTGACATAAAACCATGACCTAGAAAAGAGCTAAAGGGTAGGAAATGTCAGTGGAAAGTCACAGAAAGAAAAAAGCAACCAGAAGTAACTTGGCTAAATTGGGCAACATGAGTAGAAGATTAAACATTGGCATGTTTAGAAATTCCCAGTCCCAAGTTAATAAAACCAGGGTCGTGAGAATTCTCTATACTTTACCATCTGTGCTTATCAACTCACCCATCCTCCTCCC
Source organism: Homo sapiens (assembly GCF_000001405.40). Classification (NCBI taxonomy): domain Eukaryota; kingdom Metazoa; phylum Chordata; class Mammalia; order Primates; family Hominidae; genus Homo; species Homo sapiens. Next base: position 68,934,535 of record NC_000009.12, read on the forward strand.
AGCACTAGAAAAACATTGTTTGGAGAGGGGGGAATGATTCTTTAGCAATAAAACATTTGAATTTTACCTCAAGTAAGACTTTATTGCAAAATCTGGAGAGAAATTTTAACTTTTAATTTGCTCTAGGAAATTCTGATTTAAGTCAAGTCATTTTGGACAAATAATATAGCCAATTCATCGTATTCATCAGATGAAACAAGTTCATCTCCCTTTCCATATATATAAAATAAGCGTCTTGTCTTCTATTCAAATAATAACTAAAATGTTAATAAATAATAAAATATTCACTTTTAAATAAAATAGTAATGTGATTTTACAGTAAATATCTGTATTTGTCCTTTTCCTTTCTGTCTAGCTTTGAAGGCTTCACCGTCTAAGAAACGGTGCAATTCAATCGCCGCCCTAAAGGCCACTTCACAGGAGATTGTGTCCTCAATTAGCCAGGAATGGAAGGATGAGAAGCGGGATTTGCTGACTGAAGGACAAAGTTTTAGCAGCCTTGATGAAGAAGGTAAAGATATGTAACTTTTTTAAAAAGACAAACGTTCTTGTGATTTATTTATACAAGTAAATTTGCAGAAGAAAAATTTAAAAATACCTGCTCTAAGAAATAAAATATATTAATTAAGTTTTTAAAGGATAGCTGCAGTGGCCGGGCGCAGTGGCTCATGCCTGTAATCCTTACACTTTGGGAGGCCTAGGTGGGTGGATCACTTGAGGTCAGGAGTTCGAAACCAGCCTGGCCAACATGGCGAAACCCTGTCTCTACTGAAAATACAAAAAATTAGTCAGGCGTGATAGCGGGCGCCTGTAATCCCAGCTACTTGGGAAGCTGAGGCATGAGAATCACTTGAACCCAGGAGGCGGAGGCTGCAATGAGCTGAGATTGCACCATTGCATTCCAGCCTGGGCAACAGAGCAAGACTCTGTCCCAAATAAATAAATAAATAAATAGGATAGCTACAGTAAGATGCAGTTCATGCACATTTTAACTACCACATAAAAAATACAATTTATGGTTTACGATAAAAATTAGACAATACTAATTCAAAAAGAAAAATGTCTGCTTCCACTACCTGATGGTAACAAATACTAACATTTTGTTGCTTTTACTTCTAGACCTTATTCTGTACATGTACACATACACATATGCACGAGTACACATACACACACATACACTCAATGTAACAATAAGTTGTCTCTTCATTTAGGTCTTCTTTAATGATTTATTTTTTGGTACCCACTGGTAATACTCAGGAGGTACTACACGTTCTTTACTTTGAAAGCTTCATAACCATGAGCAGGTACCAAGAGAAGGAAAGAAAAGAGGCAGAAAGGAAAAATATGGAACGTTTCACAAATTTGCATGTCATCCTTGCACAGGGGCCATGCTAATCTTCTCTGTATCGTTCCAATTTTAGTATATGTGCTGCCAAAGTGAGCGCTTTAATGAATTTCAATAAAGTTTTATAATATTTTTCTTGTGTGGCTTGTACATATACCTTTTGTTAGATTTATTTCTTGGATAAATGCAGAGATATTGATATAGATTTTTTTCTGGATTTTTAAAAACAGTATCTTTTTTAAGAATTGAGTTTTCTGGCCATTTGTTGCTATTGCATAGACTTCACACCCTTTTTGTCTTTTTTTCTTTCTTAACTTGCTGGTTAGGACTTCTTGTACAATGATAAATAGAAGTGGTGATTGTAGACAGCCTTGCTTTGTCCTGATTTTAAAGGGAGTACTTCTAATGTTTCACTGTTGAAAAAGAAGTTTGCTGTATTTGATACCCATAATCAAGTCAAGGAAGTTCCTTTTTTTATTCCTACTTTGCTAAAAGTTTTTTTTTTAATTAATCAGGAAGGAGTACTGAATTTTATCAAATACTTTATCTGCCAAGTTAATCATTTGTTTTTTCCCTTCTAATCAAATATGGGAGAATGACATTTTAGATTTTTCTATTAGTATATTCTTTGGAGAATCTCAGCATTTCCTGAAAATGTCTTCTACTTTCTACAGAAGTTAAGACCTCTTCTAGGGGTTTTCTTTTCCTCAGAGTCTTTAAGATGTGGTGTTATTTCTATTCCTTCTTCAGCAGCACTTATCCATATGTGCTGTTTGGTTTCTTTCTTTCTCATCTTCCCATAAACCAACTTTTACCTGGAGTTAATGATTTCAGCAAGAGAGTTACAGAGGTGCCCTTGATCCTCTCCGAATTGGTGTCTCCAATTCCTAGCAGACATTCATCCCTTTCTCCTAAGCTCCCCTGCACTGGCATCTCCCACACTATACTACCTGATTTTCTGATAGCACATGCAAAACTGCAGGTGCCTGTAGTCTGGGAAATAGGATAAACTTATTTTAAAATTATATTAGTTTATTGATTTGCATATGTTGAACCAGCCTTGCATCCCAGGGATGAAGCCGACTTGATCATGGTGGATAAGCTTTTTGATGTGCCGCTAGATTCGGTTTGCCAGTATTTCATTGAGGATTTTGGCATCAATGTTCATCAGAGATATTGGCCTGAAATTTTCTTTTTTTGCTGTGTCTCTGCCAGATTTTGGTATCAGGGTGATGCTGGCCTCATAAAATGAGTTAGGGAGGATTCCCCCTTTTTCTATTGTTTGGAATAGTTTCAGAAGAAATGGTATCAGCTCTTCTTTGTACCTCTGGTAGAATTCAGCTGTGAATCTGTCTGGTCCTGGACTTTTTCTGGTTGGTAGCCTATTAATTACTGCCTCAATTTCAGAACTTGTTGTTGGTTTATTCAGGGATTCGACTTCTTCCTGGTTTAGACTTGGGAGGGTCCAAAGAATTTATCCCTTCCTTCTAGATTTTCTAGTGTATTTGCACAGAAATGTTCATAGTATTCTCTGATGGTAGTTTGTATTTCTGTGGGATCAGTGGTGATATCCCCTATATCATTTTTTATTGCATCCATTTGATTCTTCTCTCTTTTCTTCTTTATTAGTCTGGCTAGAGGTCTATCTATTTTGTTGATCTTTTCAAAAAACCAGCTCCTGGATGCATTGATTTTTTTGAAGGGTTTTTTGTGTATCTATCTCCTTCAGTTCTGCTCTGATCTTAGTTATTTCTTGTCTTCCGCTAGATTTTGAATTTGTTTGCTGTTGCTTCTCTAGTTCTTGTAATTTTGATGTTATGGTGTCAATTTCAGGTCTTTCCTGCTTTCTCTTGTGGGCATTTAGTGCTATAAATTTCCCTCTACACACTGCTTTACATGTGTCCCAGAGACTCTGGTACGTTGTCTTCATTCTCATGGTTTCAAAGAACATCTTTATTTCTGCCTTCATTTTGTTATTTACCCGGTAGTCATTCAGGAGCAGGTTGTTCAGTTTCCATGTAGTTGTGCAGTTTTGAGTGAGTTTCTTAATCCTGAGTTCTAATTTGATTGCACTGTAGTCTGAGAGACTGTTATGATTTCCGGTCTTTTGCATTTGCTGAGGAGTGTTTTACTTCCAATTATGTGATCAATTTTAGAATAAGTGCAATGAGGTGCTGAGAAGAATGTATATTCTGTTGATTTGGGGTAGAGAGTACTGTAGCTGTCTATTAGGTCCGCTTGGTCCAGAGCTGAGTTCAAGTCCTGAATATCCTTGTTAATTTTCTGTCTCGTTGATCTGTCTAATATTGACAGTGGGGTGCTAAAGTCTCCTGCTATTATTGTGTGGGAGTCTAAGTCTCTTTGTAGGTCTCTCAGAACTTGCTTTATGAATCTGGGTTCTCCTGTATTGGGTGCATGTATATTTAGAATAGTTAGCTCTTCTTGCTGCATTGATCCCTTTACCACTATGTAATGGCCTTATTTGTCTCTTTTGATCTTTGTTGGTTTAAAGTCTGTTTTATCAGAGATTAGGATTGCAACTCCTGCCATTTTTTTTTTCCATTTGCTTGGTAAATATTCCTCCATCCCTTTATTTTGAGCCTATGTGAGTCTGCACATGAGATGGGTCTCCTGAATACAGCACATTGATGGATCTTGACTCTATCCAATTTGCCAGTCTGTCTTTTAATTGGGGCATTTAGCCCATTTATATTTAAGGTTAATATTGTTATGTGTGAATTTCATCCCGTCATTATGATGCTAGCTGGTTGTTTTGAGCTGGGCTGAGTTCTTATCAGGAAGTGCTGAAGACGAATCCTCTTCCAAGCTCATTCATGTTGTCGGCAGAATTCAGCTCCTTGTAGCTGTTGGGTGGAGATCCCTGCTTCTTTGCTGTCTGACAGCCAAGAGCCATGTTTAGCCCTGGGGTCCATCCACATTCCCTACCATGCTGCCCCTCTGTCTTCAAACACAGAATGTCCTACAAGTCAGCCCCAAACACTTTGTCTCTCTGACTTCTTGTCTCTGACCTCTAGACCCAGATTTAAAGGGCTCGTACAATTAGGTGAGGCTCCCCTGAATAATCTTCCCTTTGACTAACTCAGTGTTAGCCAACTCAGGGCAACCTGAGTTACATCTGCAAAATCCCTTTTGCTAGGTCACATCACATAGCCACAGGAATAACAGCTCATCATGTCTGCAGGCCCCACAACAAAGGGAGAATTTACAAGAGTGTGGGTCATTACGGGTCATCTTAGAGTTCTACCTACGACACTGGCTTTAGAAAAAAGCATATGGGAGCATGAGGAAACACTTCTCTCCCTCAAAGAACTGCTCCTCATGGGTTGAGGGGTCACCTTCCCAATGATGTGTGACCTGAGACTGAGTCACTGGACAGATGTGTTTTGCTCTGTCACTCAGGCCATGTCTACTTTGTGAAGTAAAGCTGGTATGCCCAAAACCTAGGTCGAAGACCAGCTCCACCTACCTTATAAGGAGTGGCAATTCATTGGAATCTGATATCAGGTTATTTTTGACACCCAGTTTTCAATGTTATGGAGAGTTTTCATGTTTTTCTTTCCATTTAATGAGAAGTTGGGATCAAGAATATTGAAGATTGCAAGCCAGGTGTCACATTAAAGTTGAAGCCTTTCTAATTTTTGAAGGTTGAGCACTTTGGTTATTCATGGTTTTATATGACGATCATCTTTTATCCATCGCTGCAGTTTTCTATTTTGACTTGAATTGGAGGCAGAGCTCCACCACCCCAGTGTGTCGTCTGATTTCCCAGACTAGAGTCCAGCCTTTCCTGTGCTTGCCTGGCTTCCCTCCATGTTGCTTCCTACCCCACCATCTATACCCTTCACATCCAAAATCCAAAACCTCACACTCATACGAGAATCCCTGTTAGGGTCGGTTTATATTTACACACTAAAAATCTCTAATTTTGAATTTGTTGTGCCTATAAAGGAATACCAGGAATACCTTAAAGTTATAATTGTATTTATTAGCATCTATTTTAGGTCAGTCTTGGGGGAGTGATGGAAAGAATCCACATAGACTCCAGAGAGATGGGCAGGGGTTACTGCCCAGCCTTGAACATTCCTCTTTCCTCACAAGGATGGGCTCTCGCATAAGTAATTTCATGGGCCCCTAAGTTTTAAAGAAAAAATAAGTGTTTTCTCATTTTTAAAAAAGGCAGCTTTGCTGTTAAAATATGTCAATAAGAGTCCTGGATAATGTTTAAAAGTATTTATGGGCTCAGATGGGGTTAAGGTAGAGCTGACTGTTAGTCTGTTGAAGTATTTGTTTCCCAGCTCTTGAAAAGCCTGGGTTCTTAGATCCAACCTGAGAATCATAGATATGTGCATATCACAGGGAGGGCAAAAAGGTTCACTGTCTGTTTATACACTTGCCAGTCATCCTTTTAATCTCTGCCAAATTGTCTGCTTTAACTCCTATGAGTTTTTTTATGCCATCTTTTTGAAATAGTAAATCACTTTATTAGGTTTTTAAAAGAACATTCATAATGTCATTTCCATGAGCCATTTTGTAAATTAATGCAATTTCCTTCCTGTTTAACCTGTTTGCAAGAAGCTATTTTACATTTCTGCTGTAATTCAGAAAAAAAAAGTGCAGTTAATTCATAATTGAATTTGCAGCCTGATAGGTAAAATGAATGCTTTTGACTCATTTCAATTATTATAGATACTAAAGCTGCATTTATCCTTGAGATTCATGAATGTGTGTGTTGCTTTCGTTCCTAGCCCTGGGATCCCGACACAGGCCAGACCTGGTCCCTAGCACTCCATCACTGTTTGAAGCTGCTTCCTTGGCAACCACAATTTCATCTTCTTCCTTATACGTCAATGAGCACTATCCACACGACAGGCCTACACTCTATTCAAACAGGTAATACTTAGTGCAGTCAAATAACCCATCAGGCTGTTACCACATCAACATCAGGCCTGAACCAGTATCTCTGAATGAGGACACGTCTCTAACAACCAGGATGTGCCTGTCATCTGCCTCATAGGTCGGAGAGAGAACATGCTTGATTTTTACTGTGGCAAAAGAACATTGGAGGGAAAACCCTCATGATTTTTCTTTACAGTTGATCATTATGTCATGTAGAAATTATATACTTGGCTCAATGGAAGAAGACAAATCTTTCATCATTTTTATTTTAGTAAATTTTTTAGGAATGGGTTTCTTCAGAGTGAGCACTCTTAGTTAATATTACACAGGTAGCTGCAAAGATATTGTAATATTCTCTTTTGGTATGTGTGATCTTAGTGACTATGGTAAACAGAATAATTGCTCCCCCAAAGCTATCCACATCCTAATTCCTGTAACCTGTGAATATGTTACCTTATATGGCAAAAGGGACTTTACAAATGGGATTAAATTAAAGATCCTGAAATGGGATGATTATCCTGAATTATCCAGATAGGCCCAATATAATCACAGGGTTCTTGTAAGGGGAAGACAGAAGAAAGGTGAGAATCAGAGAAGGAGACACAACATCAGAAGCAGAAGGCAGGATACTCCATTTGCCCTGATATGATTATTATTCATTGCATGCCTGTAATCAAAATATCTCATGTAACCTATAAGATTTTTGGAAATTGTATGCTCTCTAGCAACTTTGTGTGAATTTTTATATAAGCACTGTTTTATAAGTTCTATGAAGTGTTATAAAAATAGAAACAAATTTTAAAAAATAAGTAAAATAACAATTATCTGTTAAATGTTAGACTAGTTCTTGTTGAAACCTAGCTCTCAATAATCAAGATCAGATTTATGCAGGTGAAGAATTCCTTACGCTTTAAGTCATTTTCCATCTCCAGGCTAGCAGTTCAGTTGATTTCCAGGAAGAGGAATCAATAAGGTAGATTTATTTTTAATATATGGATATCCATAGAGTCTAGCTTAGTCTTTTGGTAAGTTAAAGTTTGCTAGTCGGACCTGCTATAGGAATTCTTTTTTGTTGCTGTTTCCTCCTCCCTCAGCTAGATACAAGATTAGGTAGGCAGGAGGTTAGGCGGCCAGTCTAGGTCCAGAAAAGTAGATCAAGTGGGTAGCAAGGTGAGCCGCAAATCTTAGCTGGGCCTGAGTTTGCACTGTTCTGCTCTAAGGGCCAACAAATAAGGCTCTATTAAAAATTATTTAACTCATCTAAACTATACAAAGTTATTTGATTTGGTCAGTTTCCTTGGATTGGAGAAATTTAAAATGACTTAAATTAATGTGTAATACTTAGTAGTAATGTCAAATGTTTAAACCTGGTATGTAAATTAGTCAAGCAACGGCCTTTCCTGTCTGTTTGGTGCAGCTGAACACATGGGTCTATATAAAGTTCTTTTGCTCTCAAATATAAATAGCAGCTCAAAAGATAGCTGGAAGGTTGCAGGAAGTTCTTAGCAAGGTCAAAAACAATTCTCATGTGAAGCCATGGTGATTTCTTACCGTTTGCTGTCATGATAATTATTGGGGCATATAATCGGATGTGCTCTTCAATCATTTCGTGAGATTTTCAGCCAACAATAAAAGGGTTTTGTTTTGTTTTGTGTTTTGGTAGCAGTGGTGGTGGTGGTGGTGGTGGTGGTAAGTATCCAGTCTCTTGACCAGGGGTGTTAGACTCTTGGGTATTCATAAGGTTTTCCCGGGGCCTGGCAGGGCCTCCTCCTGACTCCCAATCGTTCCTGGCCATCCTGGAAGCTACCTCTGCATGTTCCACCTCCGCATGCTCCCAGAGCTGTGCTGTCATTCTTGATGCTTTTATTTACACCGATACTGACTAGCATATAGATTTGGAGGGGGAAAATAAAAAGTTATCTATGATATTTTTCCTTTCTTTTAAATATTTATTTAAAACAAGTGCATTGTTTTAATCTTCTTTGGCACTGTATCTCCAAAATGCAATTTGATATCTTATATTTCACTATCAATCAAGGTTCACTTGCAAGAACAAGAAACCACTTAATCTTAACCAGAAAGGAATTTAATCTAGGGAATTGGGTGCCTACAAAGTCTGTGGAAAGGCAGTGGGCATGGGCTCCAGGCTGGCACCAGGAAATCCATCCTGGAACATGCCACCAAACTGAGCCACCAGCAGCACTGTAGCAGGACCCACAGTCAAGTTGGTGCCTGCCAATGAGATGCAACCCAGACAAACGCATTTCAGTGAGCCTAGAATGTTGTTTCAATGAGCCACCCTTTAAAAACCAAACAACTTCGCTAAAATACCCAGATTCTTTTGCAATATCAGTGTCTTCGTCACCATATAATTTTGGCTCTGTTTCCTCCTGGCATTTATCAGCTGGAGGGGAAAACCTGAGACCACCCCAGGTGACCACCCTCTTCCTCATTCATCTGTGCTGTCACCTGCCTGCTCCTGTAGGTATGTCTGCTTTTAGCCTTGATGTGTACAAGAAGCTGACAGAAGGGCCTCGGGTCTTAATCACAGACTTAGGGAAATCATAAGGAAAAGAGGCATGAAGGTGCTAAAAAAATCTTAAAGACAACAGTTTGAGAACTCCCAGGAGTCAATATCCCTATTTCCCTGACCCACTGTGCCCAACCCTCATTATTCAACTGGCAAACTTCACCAACAAACCAAAACAAAAGAAAAAATTGTCATATTTTTGTTTCTATCATTTTTTCCTTTAGAGCCCACCTAGTCCTATGTGGCAATAAATAGACACTACTCTAAATCTCATCTGGCCAACTGAGTTTCAAAACCTAATCCAGAGAGCCTGGAAAGAAAATGCATTGAAAAGAAAAAAAAAAGAAAGAAAAAGAAAATATGTTGAATATTGATGTTATAATTTACATGTGAGATTTTTCTCTTTATGAATCATTTTTCTGTTCAGGCAAAGTGGTCTGTTTTCCGATTTTGACATTATGTTATATGTATCTGTGCTAAAATAAGCTGCAAATACTTCAACTAGCAGTTGTCATTCTGTCAGTCTTTTTAGAATCCTTAAGTTGGCAAGGTATTGATTAGTGCCTGGATGCCTCCACACCTAAATTATATACTGCAGTGGGAAACTGCTGTCTCTTAGAATTATTCCTTTTTTTAAAGGATTATTCTTTGTAACTTCAAAAACTCTGATAGCAACCCATTCTTTTTTTAATGTACTCCAAAAATTGGCTAGGAAGGAAAGAAAAAAAAATAGTATCATCTTAAAAGTATGTATCTAACCTACTGATTGGGAGTACATATTTTCACAAGTTGCACTGTGCAGTCTTGTGTTAGAGCATGCAGATCATAGGAATAAAGAGAAACTGTCATGGGCATTGCTTCCTAGTTAACTAGCAACATTTAAGTTCTGAATTTTTGATACTTGCATTTTTATTTACTAGTAAGAAGTCTGTTCTTTTAAAAAGAGGTATAAATTGAGCACTAAGAAATATAGAGGCAAATGTGTTTTACCTCAAAGTTAAGAACAATTTCATTTAATGTTGTAGAAATAGGTTACACTTATGAATATTTTCATGATTTCCTGCGTAGTTGGTAGCAAAGCCAAAGCTCTGGTTATGCATAAGGAATTGAAAGTCACACTTCATTCCAGTGCACCTATGCTTTCCCCATCAAAGATGTCTTACCAGTGTCACCACTCTATCCAGTCTCAGGTTTGGTTGGTGGCTATTTCTAACAGTTGGGCTCACCCTGCAGACATTTGCAGTATTGTGAGAAGGGCAAAAATGTCAGAGAAAAAGCCACTGGTCATTTACACGTAGAGGGAAAATTGGCAAAGGCTCCCTAAATGATGAGTCCAACATTCTAGATCTCAGAGGCTAATCCATCAGATCTAACAGTCTTGTGCCCTCTTCTTCCTGCCATTACAGTGTCATAAACCTAGAACAGGGGTGGAAACACTCTAACCAGAAGCCCTTCCCCACAAATTGCTTACCACTAAGGTTTATAGACATGCAAGTAGAGCCATCCCAGTGGTTAGAGATCTTTCTTTAGATTTGTCTAAAATATCAGAAAATGGAAATGCAGAAACCTTACATGGTATATCCGAGCGTGTTAGTAGGACTTCAGTTGAACACAGGTCTCTAGGGTCTAAGCCTCTTGTCTTTTCCACTGTACCACTCCTGCATCATAGCCTCCAAAAACATACAAGGTTGGTTGGTTGGTTTTTTTCCTAACATGAGTTCTGGTCCTGTGTTTGAGACCTTTTTTTTTTTTTTGCTGCTTAATAACTAAAATATTTCTAGCAGGCAAAGTTGTGGGCTTATGTTTTGGTTTTTGGGTTTTGGTTTTTTGGGTTTTTTTGAGAGAGTCTCGCGCTGTGGCCCAGGCTGGAGTGCAGTGGTGCCATCTCAGCTCACTGTAAGCTCCGCCTCCAGGGTACAAGTGATTCCCCTGCCACAGCCTCCTGAGTAGCTGGGATTACAGGCACCCGCCACCACTCCTGGCTAGTTATTGTATTTTTAGTAGAGGCGGAGTTTCACCATGTTGGCCAGGCTGGTCTCGAACTCCTGACCTCAAGTGATCCACCCTGCTCAGCCTCCCAAAGTGCAGGGATTACAGGTGTGAGCCACCGCACCCAGCCAATGGGCTTACGTTAATGTCTACCTATAGTATTTGTTCTACCAGCTATTGGTGAATTTTGCTTATTAAAAACAGCATTGCAAAGGCAACTTTTCTATCATAATATTAGTCCTACTTCAAACCACCAATAATAATCGAATACAATAGCAGCTAATTATTGGACCTTATTAAGGGCCATGTTAAGCCCTTTATACATATCAAGTGATTTAATTCTCACAGCAATTCTGTAAAGTTATTATATTTACGGTCTCCATCTTACACATGAGGAAATTGATGCTTAGCAACATGAGGTAACTTTCTCAAGACCACATGGCTAAAAAGTGGAGGCATGACTTCCAGCTACAGCACTGATATAGAATATACAGTTTCAGATGATAAGTTTTAGATGATGCTTTTAATGGAAATTTGGTGACATCCATACAAGTTCTCGTCTTCATCTTTTTGCCTTTTCTTTTTCCATGGGATTTTGAGTGAGGATTTTCATCTTCAAAGATGTTAGAGACAGAATGTTCAAACACTTTAAAAATTTAACATTAATTTAAATTTATAAGAAACCTAAAATAGCTATTTCCTCAAGTTGTTATTTCCAACTCTCCAGGTGGACTCCAAATCACTACGTAATCATCGAGAAAAGACTTTTATTAGATATGTTCCTGCTGGGTTTAGAAAATCCTATATCTTCTGTTGATACAGCAAGGTCAGCAGGAATCTTTAATATTTACAAAATGAAAGGAGAACAGCTAGTTGCAAAAACTTCCTAGTGATTCCATTCCCCTAACCCTAATCTCAAGGGAAAGACAGCACAACTGTGTTACCTGCTGTGAACTTTGCAGCTACCTGCCATACCTAGACACCAGTCTAGGGCTACACAGCCCCTAGTAGGATGATGCACTCGTTGATGCTAAACATTGAAGACGACCTCTCCAGACTCTTTGTTCTTTTATGGTTTTTTGTTTTTTGTTTTTTTTTTGAGACAGAGTCTCTGTCACCCAGGCTGGAGTACAGTGGCGTGATCTCAGTTCACTGCAACCTCCACCTCCCGGGTTCAAGCAATTCCCCTACCTCAGCCTCCCGAGTAGCTGGGACTACAGGTGCGTGCCACCACGCCCGGCTAATTTTTTTTTAGTAGAGACGGGGTTTGGGGTTTCAACGTGTTAGCCAGGATGGTCTCGATCTCCTGACCTCTTGGTCTGCCCGCCTCAGCCTCCAAAAGTGCTGGGATTACAGGCATGAGCCACCACGCCCAGCCTGTTCTTTTATGTTTCTTAATCTGCTGACTCCTGCCTTGCAAACAGACCTTCCTACCCCCACCACCTCAGATGGTGGTGGGTAAAGATGCTCATGCGTCTTGCTAAATCATCCCTTAGGACATTAGCTCTCAAACTGCCACTTCTAGTGATCTAACATTGGGCAAGTTACTTGCTCGTCATGTGCCTCAGTTTCCTCATTTGTAAAGTGTGAATTACTATACTACTGCCCCCAGAGTTGTTATAAAGATTAAATGAAATAACAATTAGAAAGCATTTATACCTTGTGGCACATAGTAAGCCCCATAAAACATTTGTTGAAATAAAATAACCAAGTGATTTGAGACACTAATACCTTGCAGCTGCCGCATAAGTCTCACTGTAAAGGGCATGATGTTTTTGACAAAAAGCCATCATGGAGTGCTTTGTTAGAGTCCTTTCAGGAAATGGAAAACACACTTGGAATTTCAAAGGGAATTGGTTACAGAATGTGGGGAGGCTGGAAGACTGAAGGGGGAAATTCCAGAAACTCAGGTAAATAACTGCAGGAGGCAGCTCCCACCATGAGCTCTGCCACGATACCTGCTGCCGCCTTGGAGAAGGGACAGTGGCGGAGGATGCTACCTGAAGAGCTGGGATAGTGCAAGAACATAGCCACCTCCAGAGACACTGCCCTGAAATGGAAGAAAGATAAATGAGAGCAGAAAGCCAGCAGCTTCTGTCCTCCTGCCACCTTCTCATCCAACTCCTGCAATGCCTTGACTGACAGGACCTAGTCAAGAGGCCTATGGGATATCGTTTGCAACTCTGGGCCCCAGCATTGCAAAGTAGAGTTGAGATAGGATAAAAACAACCACAACACATGGAGCAAAAGCTAGATAGACACAGGATCTTTTTTAAAAGAGAGAGAGAGGAAAGGGTCAAAGCTTTACAAAGGTAGTGTGAGTGCAAGAACAGGAATCAATTTAGGCTTTTATAGAAGTAATCATGGAACCAATTTATTCTCATGCCATTGTAATAGTACTATGTAAAGTAGCCATAAATTTTTTAATGATCTGTGCAATTAGAGACTCCAGTATTTACCAATAAGTCTGTCTGACAATCAGTAATGCATTCCCTGGTACTGTGCTGGTTGTAAATACTCATAGAAATGTCTTAGCTAATTCTAGACACATGGGATAGATCTTTAGTTTGAGAATTCCTCAAAGAGGCTTGTAAGCTTGAGGAACCCAAGTGAGACTCCCTCTGATAAGGCAGGTGACACAGTTTGGGAGCAGATAGCCATCACCCATGCCCTTACAAAACATTTCTGCTTTATTACCAATACATCATTTGTGAACCCACCACCCCTGCAACATCTTATCTGAATCTTTCTTAGTCTGGAGCAAACACAGAATGAGGGGAAAATGTGGTCACATTCTTTCATTCTTAGTAAAGAAAGGATTTAGTCACCTTTTCCCAAGTGTCAAGAAATGAAGTCATCAAGCAAATGATACCACATGTTTAGAGAAGCAAAAACCTTCCTTATTCTTCAGTCTCTTGAAAGAAGGATATTCCATTTTAAAAATCAAAACCATTATAGCATTACCAGTGAACCTGAGTGGTGTCACATCTCTCTCCAGTTGTGGCTGAGGCACATGCTGAAAAAGTTGGAACCTGGCTGCGAGTGATGGCTCATGCCTCTAATCCCAGCACTGTGGGAGGTGAGGCAGGAAGATCTCTTGAGCCCAGGAGTTCGAGACCAACCTGGGCAGCTTAGCAAGACCTCATTTCTACAACAACAACAGCAACAACAACAAAAAACACATCTGAGCATGGTGGCACGTGCCTGTAGTCCCAGCTACTTGGGAGGCTAAGATGGGAGGATTGCTTGAATCCAGGAGTTCCAGGTTTCAGTGAGCTGTGATCATGCCACTGCACTCCAGCCTGGGCAACAGAGGCGAGACCTTGCCTCAAAAAAAAAAAGGAACCTGCAGAAGTTTTATAATATGCCTGTTAGTTTAGTTTTTCCTCCCCACCCCCAGAAAAAAAAAAAATAGAAGAAAAAACATGGATTTACATCACATTAGTCTGCACCTGGATTTTGCCAGATGTCTTTTTTCCTTTTTGACAAATTATAGAATTACTTCTGAAGTGATTAGCTTTTCAAATGATCCCTCATATATTTCTGCCAGGGCAGGAAATTGAAGTGAATTTTTCAGATATCTGACATTATATGAAGAATAATTTAGGATTCAGCATTAATTCAAAGAACATTCACATTTTTTGAGGAATTCATGTGAGATAATATTTCTGGGTACTTTTTGTGTGTTACTAAGATTTTTAAATCGATTTAGTTTATGGATAAATCATATTGCCAAAAAAAGTGGGAAAACTGTTGGCCAATTTTTGAATATTTTAACTGACAAAAAAAAAAAGACTTCTTTATCCATTCTTTGCCTCTTAATTCTGGAACTAAAACACTACATCTTTATTTCCCTTGACTTAAAACACTAGTGCTATGTCTCTGGAAGAATGGTTTGCTGGTAGTGGATGTACCTTTGTAGACACTCTTCAATTCTCTGCCCTCCTTCGTGGAGCCTCTAGAGAAATGCTTCTCAGTGTGACTAGCTCCTACATCAGGGTACCTACCTCTAGAAATGGAGCCCTGAAGTCTGCATTTTGGCAAGCTCCTTAAGAAATTCTTACCCACACTAGGATATAAAAGTTCTTTGGAAATAAACTCTTCTCCCCTCTCTGTTCTTTCTGAGTAGTGAAACAGCACCTGTCTGTGGTTCAGCTGAGACACAGCTGGACTCTCTGAAGAAATTAAGAGGACATAACATGTAATGCCAGAAATATAAAACCATAGCAAAGTGGATATGTTTTCAGATTCTAGTAAGGAGAACAGGACCTCAGTTCCTTTCTCATACTTCAGACATGCCTGGACAGGCCCTAAGCAAAAGTGACTTTTTGCCTTAAAGGTGTTAAAAGAAAAAGTTCAGCTGAATTAAATTGAAAGGAGTTTACTTGAGCAGTGAACAATATGTGAATCGGGCAGCCCCCAGAATCATATAGCAGATTCAGAGAGACTCCAGCGCCGACACGTGGTGGAAGAAGATTTATGGACGGCAAAAGGAAAGTGGCGTGCAGAAAACCGAAGTGAGGCACAGAAACTACTGGCTTGGTCAGAGCTCGGCGTTTGCCTTATTTGAACACGGTCCGAACAGTTGGCTACATCTGATTGGCCAAGACTCAGTGGTTGGCACAAATGTAAACTATGGTTGGTTTACACTTCCGCTTGTTGTATAGTTATCGATGTACAGAAAAACCTTTAGGCCAAACTTAAATATGTAAGGAGGCAGCTTTAGGCTAAACTTCATTTAACAAAGGTATTTTAGGTTAGCAACACCTCTGGGAAATGCTTCAGCCAGCCCCAAACCTGCTTCCCAGTGTGGTTCCTCTGACCTGAAGCCAACATACATTTCTGCCCAGCAGCTATTCGTGACCTCCCTGAGTCTACAGAGATCCTTGGTTCTGTAGTCAAGCAGGGTAATTCTCTTTCAGATTCCTTGGCCTCCACTGACTCCCCCTCTTTGCTTAAAGGTCAGTTTGGTCCTTCTGAGCCTTGAGAGTCCCCCTCTCCACCCTGACCATTTCACTCTGCTGTTTGCTTTGTCCACGTGACAGTTGCACTCTTGGGTGAAGCTGGCCTTATGCAAATTTCGTCTCACCCTAGAGAGCCCCTGGCCAGCAGCCTCACACAGGGCAGCACCCTTCCCAGGAGCTTGTCCATACCCATTCAGCTGCCTTCCCTGCCATGGCCTCTCTTCGAGACGTTTCCCTTTGGCCCAACCACTGTATTTCCATTTGCCTTCTGAGCCTAGCTCTTGTGTTGTGTACAAAGTAGTGTTCCCTGTGTGGGCCTGGGATCTGTAACAGGTGAACTTCCAGGTTCATGTTACCAGTTCTGGCCATGTCTCCTCCACCCAGAGGTCCTCTAGCTGGGGGGTCTGCAAGAATCCCAAGATTCATTTTTGTTTCTCTGATATGCTTCAAACATACAGGAAGAGTAACAAACAATTTCTTCCAAGGCAAGTAGAAAGTTGGTCCCGACATCCTCTGTTTAATCCTTCTGTTACCTGTGGAGTCATCACCACAGTAGTGAGCCTTATCTCCTGTAATTTAAATGACTTGTTGATTTGGGAGGGAAGGAATTTCACTGGGGAAGTCCACTAACATAAACCTGCTGCTGAGGACTCATTCACTTCACAGCACCAAGCTGGCCCAGCCTCCCCACAGACAGACCAAACGCCTCTACCACAACCTGCCTTTGCATTTAGTTCATGATAGTTATGGGTGCAGGAGAATTAGGTAAGTGTAAGGAGGGAACTAGGAGACAATGTTAAACTCTCCATTCAGAATAATATTAATCTAAAATGGAATCATTTAATAACCTGTTTTCAAGGATAAAGTAATAAAGGTGACATGTGTAATGAAGTAATGGAGCTCATTATTTTTCCAGCCAGCCCTATTAAAAATTAGTGTGTGGAAGGTCACAAATAACTTAAAAATGACCAGATTTGTTTTCAAAATGAAGGATTTGGCTATAATGCAAATTTCATCCTGAAGGCTACATGGGGAAAAAAATAATGGTAGAGTTTCTCTGTCTTTTCTTTCATTGCTTCTCATCACACTGGAAGAATGGTTCAGACTAAGCACTTTGTCTGGGAGAAGATTTTTTGTCTTTTATTTATGTATGAGTGCATTTCAGTTGGTGTCCTCCTAATTCCAACCACCCTCACCTGCTGCTTTCTGTGTGGTCACTGAGTTGTGACAGGAGAGAGGCCAGGTATTCGAAGGCCAGGTCAAAGCTCATTTAGGGAACCGGTCGAGCCTTCGCCTTTTCCCTGTTCACCCTCCTGCCTTTCCAACCTAAGTGGTAAAACTCATCCTGAAAGAATCACGGAGCTTTGGAGATGAGAGGGAACTTTGGCCATCATGTCATCCAGCCCTTTTATTTATTAAAAAAGGTATTGATTGATTTTAAAATTTATAAATTATTTTTGTAACAAAACTCTATGCCCAGAGTTTAACAAATAGTCGTGTAACATGTGTTAAGAAAAAGAGCAAGCCGTAGTCCACCTCCCCCTACGTCTTCATGTGCAATCACCTTCAACTCTTTGAGCTGATTCCTTTGGCAATTACTTTGGTTTTTCTAAATAACATGCTTATATTGTTATTGCTTGATCTATTGGGTGTAGGCATTAGCTAATAACTGCCCACTATAGAAGACGAAGATTTAGCTGTCTTTTCTCCACCCGACACATACCACGTATGTGTACTGTTCCCACCCCCTCCTCCTACACCCTTCCAGTTTCCCTGTATAGTTACATCTTGACTGTAGTCCGATCGATATTGAGTGTTTTATTATGGCTTTGTGAATAGTGTCATATACTATGTTTCAGTTTCCTTTCCTGTGTGACTTTTTGTTTTTATTGTAATAAATGACTGCCTTGTTCTTCGGTTTGCTTAGTTTTCTGTGTATTTTTCCTTAATAGAACCCTAAGCTTTCCACCAGTGTCTTCATTTCTTCTCAAACCATTTAAGTGCATGAGGTTCTGTTCCTTTTATTGTCTTGCAGAAGTTTCCGCCAGACACTTCTGACCAGCCTGGACTGAACTGGTTGCCCTCTAGGACCTGATGTACAAATGTTACTTTGGGGCCTCTCTGCTCCATCATTCTGGGGATTCTAGTAACCTCTTGTCTGTATCAGTTCCGTTGTTTGTCATCTCCTACATCTTCCTCTTTGCTTCTTCCTCTTTCTTGGTTTACTCCCTCATTTTGGTGGAACACATTTTCCAGAAGAAAATCCTCCAGTATGAAAAATATTCATTGCAGGCAAAATATTTGAGATCTTGCATGTCTTAAGTCTTTATTCTAACCCTAACACTTGATTGATAGATTAACTAGTATAGAATTCTAGATTGCAAATATTTTGGATTTTTTTTTTCAACATGGTGAAGGCTTGGCTCCATTGTCTTCTAGTTTCCAATTACCATTGAGAAATCCAGTGCTGTTCTGATTTCTGATCTTCTGTAAATGGCTTGCTTTCTTTGCCTGCCTGTCTGCCTGTCTGCCTGCCTGCCTGCCTGCCTTCCTTCCTTCCTTCCTTTCTTCCTTCCTTTCTTTCTTTCTTCCTATTATTATTATTATTATTGCAGAAACCTGTAAACTCTTTGATTTTCTCTCAGAGTCTCAGTATTTCATGATGCTAGGCCTTGGTGCAGGTCTATTTTCAGCCAGCATGCTAAGCACTCAGGGGACCTTTTCAACCTGCAAACTCATGTTTTGAGTTTGGGGAAATTTTCTAAACTATTTTCTTATTTCCTCCTCTCTATTTTCTTTTTCCTTTTTGTAATTCCTTTTATGCATACAGAATATCCTGGATTTGTCTTCCAATTTTCTCTACTTTTCTGTCTTCAGTCCCATCTATTTATGTTTCTGTCCTAGTTTCTGAGAGATTTCCTCAACTTCATCTCCTAATCCTTCCACTGAGTTTTTAATTTCCATTACCATGTTTTATAAGAATTCTTTTTTTGTTCGCTGAGATTTTATTTTTTAGCAATCTTTCCTTTTTTCATGATTGTAATTTCTCTTTTTTCCTGAAGATATTAGGATTATGTTTTTTGTTTTGCCCTGAATTTTGTTTCTTCTCCCTTTTTAGTCTCGGTTTTCATCCAGGCTGCCTTTTTCTCTTTGTAGTCTACATGTTCTATACTGGAGGTTTTCCTCAGATTTTTGGAAATCTTCATTTGTCTGCTCAACTAAGGCTTGAGTGGGAGACTAGAAAACTGATTAGAGGCCAGGTGTGGTGGTTCACACCTATAATCCCAGCATATTTGGAGGCCGAGGTAGGAGGACTGTTGGAGCCCAGGAGTTCGAGACCAGCCTGGGCAATACTAGTGAGACCCCATCCCTACAAAAAAAATTAAAATTAGCCAAGTGCAGTGACACACCTGTAGTCCCAGCTACTCAGAGGCTCAGATGGCTTGAGCCTGGGTGGTTGAGGCTGCAGTGAGCTGTTATTGCACCATTGTACTCCAGCCTGGGCAACAGAGCAAGACTCTGTCTTAAAAAAAAAAAAAAAAAAAAAAAAATCCCTGACTGGAAACTTAAGCACTTGAGCAGAGCTTGTTGACCAGCAAGCTATTGAGCTGGTCAGACTCCCTATAGGAGATGCTTCCAGTTTCTTGCTTGGAGGAGAAAGGCCTGGCTGTCAGCCTTCTGGGACATCTGGCAGGAACAGGTGTCTTAGCATCTAGTATATACATATTTACTTCCTCTCTTTCTTTTACCTCAATTGCTTCTGGTGTCCCTGGGTCCACACATCCTGTTCTGTGTTTTCCGCAGGGAGAAAAAAAATAAAATCCTCCAGTCTTCTGTTGGAATGGGGAGAGGTTTTTGCCTGGCTATATATTTCTTTGCTTTTCCCAGTGGTAGCTCAGGATTTTCCTCTCAAGTTTGCTAAATTGATTACTACCTGTTCATATGCCTTTCAGACTCCTAAATTTTGTCTCTCTTAGCTTCTTCCAATCTTCTCCCCTCTTTATAGGTTTATGTCCTTTTTTAACCCTTTATTGTAGTGTAGAGGGTTGAGCGTGTCTGCAAAATTAGATGAGATGTGTTTCATCTGCCTCTGTTTCTTCGTCTACAGATTAAGAGAGGCCCAGAGAACTGCTCAGCGAAGATTCTAAGGTTTGCAGCATAACTTAATAGCAAAAGTGGAGCTAAGACCTACAATTCCTGACTCCTTGTTCAGGGCAGCCTCTTTCAAAATAGACAAAATCATTAATAATGAGTTAATCCAAAATCAGTATGTTTCTGATTGTGTGTGGACAAGTTGAAAAGGCTATTTTTCAAAGAGTTCTTTGTATCTTAGCTTTGATTGGTATCTCATCATGAGACAGTAAATCAGGAAATGAGGACTTCCCAATGCCAACATGCCCCATAGACAAGCCCCACATGAGAGAGGACTAGCGAAAAATGTTGATACGACAGCAGTGGCTGTGCTGTTATACTGCTCCAAGTAACTGGAGTTGCACCAGATCTCCTCTACATGTGGGAACAAACAGGGTTGCAGTCAAATACCCAAATTTCACTGGCTCTTGCCCCATCTGCTGGGGGGCAGGTCCATGGTCAAGTGCTGTCCAAGTAGATCTGTAAGTCCCCAGAGGTGTCTCCTTGGTGCTCACAAACAAGTCCAAACAAGATGCTAGAAAGGATGGAAAAGATGGAAAATCATTGCCCTTGAGAGACTATAATATTTGTATAAATAGTCACAATAGAAAGCAAATGGTATTCAATGAAAAATCTACACAAAGTGAGTTAGGCAGACAGAGTTAGGAAAAATGACTTGCCTGGAGCTGTGTATGATGCCTGCAGTAAAGGAAGAGTGCTACAGGGTGAAAACTGCACATCCCTGATCATATTGCTCATTGTCCTTGGCATAAGTGCTCAGAAAATGTTTCATAATTATCCACATGCAACATTTGAGATGCCCATGCTTGACTGAACCAAGAAGGCATTCCAAAAGTGACAATGTTGCTTCATAAAGGGTTTAATTTCAGGAAGATGTACATTGATCACTTTTATTTGTGTTTGTAACAATAATTAGTACATCTGACTTTTCAAGTGCAAACAGATGTGTTGAACTCATCAGCCCAGGCACTGTGAGAGAGAGCAGAGCTCCCCAGTTTGCTCTTGTCATTTGTCCCGTGTGTCATTCTGTGGTTAAGACAGATTTAAAATTCATTTCCTGGCCTCCCGTGACATAGAAACAGTTCTTAATAAACAAGGGACTCCCACATAAAGCCCTCTCAGTGCGATCTCTGGAAAAGTGGGGAACTGGATATTTTTGTTTAAGAATACACAGCTCTCAGATGTAACCAGAGCATGGCACTTCTTTGCCAAAACAGGAAGGTGGGTCACCTGAGAGCTGGCCTCGGGTTAAAATAATTACATGAGTTCTGGGGAGTGGTGAGAGCTTCATATTTTTATAGCACTTTTATAGTAATATTTATGTAGTATTTTACTGTATCCATATGGAAGATATTTTGTATCCAATGAGTTATGACTACCATTAATTCATGCACATTCTTTTTACATTTTTGTTTATAATAATCCTAAGAACTATGTCTTTGATGTGTACTGTATGCAATGTAGTCAGCCAAGAGCTTTACAGATATTATTTTATTTAATGCACCCATCAACCCTCTACGGTAAGCACCAGTGGAGCTGACAAAAGGGACTTGCTTAGAAACATTAATGTCAGGCTCATAGAAAAATCAATTATTGCCAAGGTCATTGTGTACCCAAACCTAAGACCATATAAAAAACATAATAACTTGACCCATAAGATGAACTTCTAGATAAAATGAAACTTTTTTCCCTAAAATCTATAATTCTTCAACCATTATGAATGTACTCTCAAATGCATCGTTTGAAACATTCCTATAGGCCGGGCAAGGTGGCTCATGCCTGTAATCCCAGCATTTTGGAAGGCTGAGGCAGGAGGATCACTTGAGCCCAGGAGTTCAAGACCAGTCTAGTCAACATGGGAAAACCCCATCTCTAGAAAAATACAAAAATTGGCTGGGCATGATGGCAAGTGCCTGTATTCCCAGCTACTCAGGAAGCTGAGGCAGGAGAATCACTTGAACCCCGGAGGCAGAGGTTGCATCAGCCAAAATCGTGCCACTGCACTCCAGCCTGGGCGACTGAGGAGACTCTGTCTCAGAAAAAAAAAGAAAGAAAAATTTCTATGTTTGGATCTCATGAAATGTGCCTGTAGTTAATCAGGAAGTGGCCCCATTACTGACAAGAAAGAACACGAGTTAAATAGCAAATAGTTCTGTCAGTAGAATCATATGATGTGATTTGGGCTAAGATCAGTATTTTTTGCATATTCATATGTTGCTAGAGAATGTATGATATCTTATAAATCTCATCACTTTCCATTGACAAGCAGCATTGAGTCCAAGTTTTACTTAGAAGTGCATTCAGCCAAGTAACAGGTAAGTATGGCTTAAACTAGAACTTTTCAACGTGTATGGTGAGGCCCATTGATGAGCCACAAAGAGATGTGCAGAGAGATATGTATCCCCTCAGGCTTCAAGGTAGGGAGGAGTCCTGGGGCAGCTGAAGCCCCCAGCATAGTTCACCTCAGGTGCCAGCAGTCTCCTCTGTGTTCCCCAGAGGGCAGTACAAATATTACCGCCCACTGTGATTGTCATGACACAAAAAAGATGAAGAAGCAATGGCTTGAGATAGAATAAAGGATATTTGTCATTTACTTAAAGTCCAGGTATATGCAGTCTAGGGTGGGTACAGCTGCACAGTGACACTCTTATGTATCCAGGTTCTTTCCATCTTTCTGCTCTGCCATGCTTCACTCTGGTTTTTGCTTTTCTTGTTTGTGGCCTCATAGTTACAAGATGGCTGCCATAGCTTCAGACATCACGTCCTCTCTCCAGGGACTTCTGCAGGAAGGAAATAGAAAAAGAAAAAAAAAAAGGTGGGGAGGGAGAAATTCCTCATTGCAAGGCTTTTTATGGGGGAGGTTGCCCAGTTGTGCCCCCAGCAGCATCCTCTCAGCAGCTCATGGCCAGAAGTGGATCGCATGACTCTAGCTGCAAAGGAGGCTGGGAAGAGGCCTACCTCCCCTGAGACTACTTCAGAGGAGAGAAAGATATCTTTTTTTCACCCATCACTAGGTTCATGCCTATAACCCTTATAAAAGAAGACATATTAACAAGAGAAAGGCATACAAATGCATTTAATGTTTTATACGACAGAGGAGCTTTCAGAAATGAAGACCCAAAAAAACAGGCAAACCTGTGTAGTTTTATGCTAGAGTTGATGAAGAAGTGGAAAGTAAGATTGGCTGAAGGGGGTATGATCTAATGGTAAAAGACTGGTGAAACTTAGCAAGGCTTCTTTGTTTAGATTGGTCACCATGTCCCTGTGTCTTCAGAGATAAGTATATTTCCTTCCTCCAGTTATAGGGAGGGCACCTCTTAAGTGGGGTCTTACAGCCTACTACAGAGGCAGGCCAGAGGATTCTTTTATTGCCTGCTTCAGGGAAGAAGGGTGAGAGAAGGTCAGAGAGTGACCTTCCTAGGTTTATTACCTGTTTTCTTTTCTTTTTTTTTTTTCTCTTTAGACAAGGTCTGGCTCTGTTGCCCAGGCTGGAGTGCAGTGGTGCAATCTCAGCTCACTGCATCCTCTGCCTCCTGGCTCAAGCGATTCTCCCACCTCAGCCTCCTGAGTAGCTGGGACTACAGGCATGCACCACCATGCCCGGCTAATTTTTGTGTTTTTTGTAGAGACTGGATCTCACCATGTTGCCCAGGCTGGTCTTGAACTCATGAGTTCAAGCGATCCACCCGCCTTGGCCTCCCAAAGTGCTGGGATTACAGGCACGAGCCATCACAACTGGCCAAGGAGCTGTTTTCTCAAATGCTAAGTTGCCATATAATGGGTAGAATATCCTGAATCCCATCACTACAGATCTCCACCTACTACCTAAAATCAAAACCTAGGGTTCTGTTAGCAAAGACAGGACACTATGGCTTTTGTACAGGCACCAGTGATTGTGCCAAACACAGACTGTAAGGGAAAAGCCAGAATGATTTTTTTTAATGAAACATATTTTCTGCTTCTTAAGTAATTGTTTAGACTCTTTAAAATACCACCCACCAGATCATTTACCCCTCAAACTAAAAGCCTGTTCTGGAAATGGATTTGAAACAGAGCATCCTACGGACAAGAGAGCGGTTTGTGCAAATCTTAGAGAAATTTTTCTCAGTATTCATTTTTATTGAGACATCCAAGCAGCATTCATGATTTTGTAGCTCTTGAGTTATAAACTAGATATAATTCTTTGCTTTTTTTCTCCTATTCAATCGCATACTTAGACATTAATATTTTTAATTATTTTTTAAATTAGATGGGCTCTGTGGAATGTTGCATGAGATGCCTCAAGAATCAGGCCACAGTGTTGGAAAGTTATCATAATGCAAACGTCTCACACCACAAATTTTAAAAGGTTAATTTTTTTTGGTTCAAGCAGTATTAACTTTGGATATTTAGAAGGATTTTTTTCACATTTCCTCAGAATTGGTGACAGAGAAAAGTATTTTATGGTATTGCAAATATTATATCAGAAATGTATGGCACTGAGAGGAGAAACTAAGTATAATCGTCACCTTTGATCAATTTATAATTTTTAGAAAGTTGGTTCATAGTACTCCCAATATTGACGTGTAGGAAAGAAAGAATAAGAAAGAAAGAAACCACCATTTCCTTGATAACTTGAAAAATCATAGATTTGAATGACAGAAATAATTGTGAACCAAGTTCCAGTCTATAATGAGGAATAAACTTTTTCTGCTTTGTGAATTCATTTTCTGATTATGAAAATTATACAGGAACTTTATGATAGAGGAAATTTGGAAAAGACAATGGTTATTCTTAATTCCACTACCTTAATACAATCATTAATGCCTCTGTAAACCCCATCAGACATTTTCAGATGTGTGTCATTCATTATATGATTGTAATCACAGTGTGATTGCCATTTTACATTATACATATTTCTATGGAACAAAATACTATATTCTCTTCATATTTCTTTTCATATTTTTCTAGGTTTTATTTTTATGAAAGTCAAATAGTTCTTCCAGGACTATTATTAAAACCACCAACCCCATTCCATTCCCCACCCCTATTTCCTCCTCACCAAAGGCAACCACCTTTTTCATCTGATTTTTTTAGTTATTTCTCTCAACAAAATACTTGAGTTGCTATTTCCAGTTTTTTTGTTCTCACTTTGGAAGAGGATGATATAGCTCCCTTTTATCACCCCACCTTCACAGTAACCCTTCTCATCCTCTCTATTCTCCAAGTAGAGTTGCATCATAATTCCTATTAGATTGTAATTTACCTTATGTCATAAACATATTCGCAACTGTGCCCTGTTGTAAAGTTTCATTATATTTCCTTATACTTTTCCCCAAAATGATGTTCCATTCTGTTTTCTTTAGTTGTCTACATATTTATTAATAATTGAATCTCAAACTCTTTAAAATGTCTAATTGGTTCAGACGCGTCGGATATTTCAGCAGAGTTACTCAACTGAATAATCTCTCCCCAGAGTCTTCTGACCTTGTCTAGTCTGCTAAGTTTGGTGCACAGATGTTATCCTGGGAACTTCTTTCACCTTTGTTCTGGGAATTCACTTTGTCTCTAAAGTTGGCTCCACTGCTTCATAGTGTTTATATTTCCCTCTTCTTGGTTTAGTCCTTTGTTTCTGCAGAGCACATCCCCCAGTATCTTTTTGAGAAAAGGACTCATGGGAAGTTAATTTTTTGAGATCTTGCAAGTCTGAAAATGTCTTTATGCTAACGTCACTCATAAGAAATAGTTTAGCAAAGTATAGAATTTTATTTCAGAAGTGGTTTTCAAAG
The DNA here is from genome assembly GCF_000001405.40 of Homo sapiens. Classification (NCBI taxonomy): domain Eukaryota; kingdom Metazoa; phylum Chordata; class Mammalia; order Primates; family Hominidae; genus Homo; species Homo sapiens. The sequence continues at coordinate 68,960,200 of NC_000009.12, forward strand.
GCATTATTCCATTGTCTTCAGGCTCCCTAAGTTGCTGTTCAGAAGTTCAGATTTATCCGTTTCCTGATCATCTGCATGTTATCTATTTTCTCCCCATCTCTGAAAGTTTAAAGATGTCTTTTTCTTAATTGTCTTGGAGTTGGTCTTATTTTCATCTGTAGTAAAGCATTGTATTCAGTGGACCTTTTCAATCTGCATACTCAAGTCTTTCAGGTCTAGAAAATTTTCTTTTTTCCTTTTTGGTCTTTTTTTCTTAGGTCTAGGAAATTTTCTTGATGATTTCATTGCCTCTGTTTTTTCTTTTCTCTGTGTATCTCCTCATTTGAAAATTGAAGCCGCTAGACTAGTCTTCTACGTTTCTGTTGTTTTTTCTCTGTCTCCCATCTGTTTGTCTTTTTACTCTATTTTTTGTGGGATTTCCTCAAATTTTCATACAGCCCTCTAATTCAATCAATTCTACTGTTACGTTTTTACTTTCCAGGACCTCTTCTTGTCCTGATAATTTCTTCCTTTAGTATCCCGTTCTTTTATTTCATAGTTGCTGTAACTTATCTGAGGAAGTAAATAATAGTTGGGGTCTAAGGGTTTTTTGGCATTTTCTAATCCCTGCATAATCTTAGGTTATTCTAGTTAGCTTTTTTCGATATTTTCGATCTCTTTTACAATAGTAGCTTCTCTCAGATTTCTCATAATCGTTGGTTGTCTGTTCGTACTTAAAAGCGTGTCACCGGCCGGGCGCGGTGGCTCACGCCTGTAATCCCAGCACTTTGGGAGGCCGAGGCGGGTGGATCATGAGGTCAGGAGATCGAGACCATCCTGGCTAACAAGGTGAAACCCCGTCTCTACTAAAAATACAAAATATTAGCCGGGCGCGGTGGCGGGCGCCTGTAGTCCCAGCTACTCGGGAGGCTGAGGCAGGAGAATGGCGTGAACCCGGGAAGCGGAGCTTGCAGTGAGCCGAGATTGCGCCACTGCAGTCCGCAGTCCGGCCTGGGCGACAGAGCGAGACTCCGTCTCAAAAAAAAAAAAAAAAAGCGTGTCACCACAAATCTATCAAGACAGAAAGTAAGTTAGCAGTTACCTAGTGCTGGGGATTTTGGGGAAATGGAGTAACTATTAATGAGCACAATTTTCTTCTCGAGGTGATGAAAATATTCTAAAATTGGTTATGGTGATAGTTGCACAACTCTGAATATACCAAAAGCCATTGAATAATATACTTTAAAGCAACTAATTATATGGTATACATATGATATATCAATAAAACTATTTCAAACAAGAAGTGGGGCACTAACAAAATGATTAAAAGTTCAAAGTGCGTGGCTGGGGCTTGTCATCTGTGGGTTTCACTGTAGGGCGATTTGGCTGGGCTGTGTAGTTGGGGAAACCTGGTATTTGTCTTTCTTCTTGGGTTGATTAGATCCCCAGAAAAGGCTCTACCAATCTTTCCAGCCTGGATGATAAAGGCTGGCTGTCAGCTTGATGGAAGCCGAGTTGGGGAAGAGACCGTCTCTGAATCTGGCAGGCTAGTACCCTCCTTATCTCCTTATTTTCAGTTGGTCCCTTATCCTTGTGCTGTGACTAATGATCCCCAATCTAGAGACCTTCTGTTCCACCCACTCCGGAGAATAAACCTCCATTCTTAAAATAGGGTTGAGAAAAGGCAGTTGCATGTTGGTAGAAGTTTTGGGAGATGATTTACCTGCTGCTTAACCAGACTTTCAACCACAGATACTTAACTTAGCTGCCTCCTCTTACCCCGACACATGCTATTTCATGGATTCCCAATGCTTCTAATTCTTCAGCCTTTTGAGAGTTTTGTGAATCAAGTGTGTTCTAGGCTTTTCCCTCATTTTTATGAGTTTTTAGAAAAGAAGCAAAGTGGGAAGCATGTGTTCACACCATTTTTACCTGAACAGAAATACATATTTTGCTCTCTCCAATTATTCAAGGTCATTACAGTATGAACTATCAAGATCATTTTTTTAATTTAAAATACTGATTTGGGAAAAAAAAGACATTAAATAAACATTTCCTTGTACACAGAATACTCCTGTTTTGTGTAAAATCAAAAGATTTGAGCACATTTATCCCCTAACTAAAGGCAGAAATGTTATTTTTCATATGCAAGTAGAAAAATCAATCCTCTCTGAATTCAGAGAACTGGTTAAATGCATTCAAAATCATAAGACTTATGATTAGCTGTTTTAAGATGAATAGGTAAAGTAAGCTTCTGGCCAAGTCATGAAGCATTTCTTTCCCTTTGCAAATGATTTAAAGTCCTCAAATTCTGACTGCCTCATAAAGAACAGATAGATTTTATTGTTGTTACTTGCTGTAGAAAAATTAGAGGTTTACTAATTGCTTTACCTACTCTTCTCACATGGTTCTTTGATTTTAAGGGAGTCATTCAGTCCATCTAGACTGAATTTGGAACTCAGAGAATTAAAATTATGGGCAGGGGGACAGTGGCCAAGCTTACTATTCTTTATGATACTTGATCTTGCAGCTGACTTAATTCCTGTTTTCATTTCTGGTCCCTAGAGCTGCACCGATATTCATTTCATATTTCTTAAAGGTTTATCAGGTAAATAAGAGAGAGAACCATTCATAGTTAACAGCACAATTGTCATATATATTGACAACTTCAAGGCAATTCTAAATTGTCTCCTTCTCTAATGAAAACATTTCAATATGACAAAAACCTTGATCCAAATTCTGCTTGTTAATTACCATGATTTCTAAGATCTCCAGTCTCTAAAACCTTATGATTCTGTTTCTTTCTCAACTTAAAATGCCACCCTTCTTTTACTTTTGAAAAGAACCTTTATCTCATTGCATCGATGAAAGAAACTTATATTTGATTTAGATTATTACTCATAATAACTTGACCTTTCCAAAGCATCACAGCCATTCAGAACAAGCTACATTTGCAGCATCTCAAATAAAATTGTGAGGACTAATGTGCAAAAATTATTAACAGGTTCAAGATGGCAACATCAGAGCATTAAACTAAGCAAGCAGTCCTGTGTGTGGCTCACACCTGTAATCCCAGCACTTTGCGAGGCCGAGGCAGACTGATCTCTTGAGTCCGGAAGTTCAAGACCAGCCTGGGCAATATGGTGAAACCCCATCTCTACTAAAAATACAAACATTAGCTGGGCGTGGTGGTGCATGCCTGTAACCCCAGCTACTCGAGAGGCTGAGGCAGGAGAATCACTTGAACCCAGGAGGTGGAGGTTGCAGTGAGCTGAGATTATGCCATTGCACTCCATCCTGGGTGACAGAGCAAGACTCTGTCTCAGAAAAAAAAAAAAACAAAACCTAAGAAAGGAACCATTCTAAGCCCAGGAATCCATGCAGTTGCATAGGTCACATGACCCTGTAGTCAGCCCTGAAATTATCTGTAGAAGGAAGACACGTTTGATGTCCCTGCCAATGATAATTTGCTTTGGTTCAGCTGTTACGGTGACTAACACTTCCCCAGATCAGGGACCTTTACAATGGTAGTGGGGGCATTCATTATACAGTCATTGCCTGAAATTCCACATTTCAGGTATATCCTGAGTTAAATCACACAGCTATTACACTTTAGACAATAGATCCTTCAACCGTGGGTGGTCAGTATTGGGTGGTGGTGACTTCAGGTGCTTTCTTCCTGCTCTGACAGTAGCTTTCAATGGGTCAAATTCTTCAAGCCAAATTAAATGAAAGCTTGAGTTCTGATCCACAGAGAAAAAGAACTTGAATAAATATATATCTCCTATTTCTAAGCTCCCGACGTTTTGTAAAGCTACTTAATTTTCCCCCATCTCACTTGTTTTTCAGCTCAATCCATCTGAGCACCTGTTATTCATATCAGAAGGAAATGAAATCAATAGCATTTTCTTCCCCAGTGGCAGTCTTTAAACTTCCTTCTCTTTTGCCAGTAAGTCATCATTCTTCTTTAAGACTGCTGTTGTATCCAGGCATGTCCAAGATTTCCTTATTTGTTTTGAACTTTGAACCTGATAGACACTTAGAAATTCACGTGGTTCCACCCTCACCCATAGAGCATGTTATACTATCACAGTGGACTGAAATGTTTCTTAAGGGTTTATAAAAGGATGATTATGATGCCATTAAGAGAAGTAAAGGCCCCTAAGGGAAGTAAAGAGCTAATATTTATTCATCATGAGTAAACATCCGATCTTAGCTATCTCAGAACAGGACATGTATTAATACATTGAACTTTGAATAAATTGGCATCTCACTTCTGTGGTTGCCTTGCTGTGAAGGGTACTCTCCTGGGTCTGCCACAAAATAAGCAGAATCCGACCCAGGCTGACCTGACTCCCCATATAGCCCAGGAAGCTGATGAGCCTGGCATGTCAGCTCAGGCTGAGAATTCTTCTCCCCAAGAAAGCAGAATCAAAACCCATGCATGGAAGTTACAAAGAAAGGATTGTTCTATATAAGGAAGAGTTTAATAATGTGGTTAAAGAAGAAATAGGCTACCCTGAAAATGCTAAGCCTCTCACTGTAGCTGAGCAGCCATCTGGGAAGACTACCGTAGAGGGGAGAGAAATAGCACAGAGCTTTTTAAACTAGAATGCCTGTAGGTTTCCTTGTAAACGCTGCAATTCTGGAATTCTCTTAGCTCCCAAGAGGAGGTTGATTGATCACAATAAATACAGAGCCTGATAGACGGAAAAATAAGCCTGTTATATGTGTACAAACCTTCTCTCCCTTTCCTTATGAGCAAAGTGAAACCAGACCTGCAGGCATGTGGCCTTATGTAGGCCTGAGCCTTAAGCTGCCACCATTTGGCAGGATGTGCATCCTTTGAGGAAATTGTAAGGTTATATGGCCATGGTTTTCAGCTTGGACAGGTAACCTAGCATAGAAGCTTTCGAATTAGAATGCCACTCTGCTGTTGACCAGCTACACTACTTTACCTCCCTGCACCTTAATCACCTCATCTACAAATAATATCGACTTCACAAGATTATTGTGAGGATGAGATAAGAAAATATATATGACTAGTACAATGAATAGAATATATATAAGATACATATTCTATGACTCAATTAGTTCTGTGATTTAATTTGAAAGTCTAAGGTGAAGATGGGGGCAGAGGGTGTCCCTGGAAAGGCTAACGTTCTAATAGAGTTTAACTCACCATTGCCACTTCTGATGGATAGTCTAGTTCTGCAAGACCAAGCCTTTCTGCCTGAACTCTAGTACCTCAATCACAGGCTGGGAATGACTTAAGGAAACGAAGCCAGTTCCAAACGCTAACACACAGCTGTCATACAGATTTTGTCCCACAAATGAACAATGATATAAATGTAGTCAATCTTAAACTTCTGAATTAACTGTAAAGTGATACAAGAGCTTTGTGTTTAAGGATGAGAAGGTTCAGCCTAGTTCTTCAGTGGTTCCATACTTAAACCATCCAAAAATACAGGTATGTATCCTTATCTATTGAAAAGAAGAAAAGGCAGCGGGGCGCAGCGGTTCACACCTGCAATCCCAGCGCTTTGGGAGGCCAAGGCAGGTGGATCACCTGAGGTCAGGGGTTCGAGACCAGCCTGGCCAACATGATGAAACTCCGTGTCTACTAAAAATACAAAAATTCGCCAGGCATGATGCATACCTGGCACATACCTGTAATACCAGCTATTCAGGAGGCTGAAGCAGGAGAATCGCTTGAACCCAGGAGGCGGAAGTTGTAGTGAGCTGAGATTGTGCCACTGCACTCCAACCTGGGTGACAGAGTGAGACTCCATCTCAAAAAAAAAAAAAAAAAAAGCTATTTGTATTCAAAAAACAAAACAGTGGGGGTGTGTCAGAGGGCACAGGAGCTGACTGAAAGAGCTCTCAATAGCTAAAATTGGAACAATTTGAGCAATAAAATAACACAGTTTTGAGTTATAACCCAAAGAATAAATATCCAAGAGGCCATACTAATATTAATATATGATTGAATAAATAAATAAATGGAGGAGAGGAGACAAAATTCCCATACAGAAGAATTCCAAATACTGTATGTAGCTACTCCACCCTGAAGGAAGTGGAACACAACACCCCATCCCTTAAGCGTTGGCCACACTTAGTGGCTTGCTTCCAAAAAGTACAGCATGGAAAGGGAGGTGGGGGTACCTTTGCAGTAGAGAAGCCTGGTAAACACTACCTCAGCCAGGTAATCAAGGTAAACATTATCAATGATAAGTCATGTTAATAGTGCATAACCTTGACTTAATATGGTACTTGACCTCTGTGATCTTCCTTCCAAAAACTTACAAATACCGTGTCTAACCATGAGAAAAACATCAAGCAACCCAAATCATGTGGGACATTCTGCAGTATACCTGATGAGTACTCTTCAGAACTGTCAAGGTCATCAAAAACAAGAAGTCTAAAAAACCATCACAGTCTATGAGAGCCTAAGGAGATGTGACACCTAAATGTCACATGGTATCCAGAGTGGGACTCTGGAACGGAAAAAGGCATTAAGGAAAATGAACAAAATCTGGATATAGTATGGAGGTTAGTTATAAACAAAAAGGCATGGGTGCTTCCTCTTTCAAAATGACATTACAGAAACCTGTACCACAATCATGCATTATAGTAACACTTTGTTATAATGTAAATGTTGGGGGATTGTGTTCTAAAACTGTCTCTTGAGGCTTTACTTGAAATGATGGGAAACTCAGTATACAGCTGTATGCAGAGAAGATGAATAAGTAATCTGTCAAATATTAATACCATGGGTCTTTTTGCAGCTGGGTTTAACTATGATTGATTTATTATGCAGATCACATTTTCACCTGCCATAGAATCCCAATCCATATAAGGTTGAATATGTACAATTTTGAATTTTATAGTTCAAATGTCCCAGTTTCCAGAATTTGGGGTTGGGTAAAAGTTGTTTTTCATGCATATGTGCCATTTTTGGATACCTGTGGTAGTTGTTTCAACCTATGAATGAATCAAGGGCACTGTGGGAATAAACTACTTCCCCACATATTGTAGCTGGACTTTTTTGTGGGGACCTTTATGCAACCTAATAAATGATCTCTCATAACAGATTGTAGTTCCTTGATGCTCCAACTGAGGAGTTTTCTAGAGCTTCCTTCCTTGGGTGAGAATAGTAGGTGAAGGTCATTGCTATAGACAAACAGAACTCCATCAGGCTGGGTCCTCAAATATTTTGGCATATGTAACAACTCTGTGGAAATAATAGGTATCAGATAGAGTTCTCTGCTTACAAGCAAGAGAAACTGAAGTAGCAAAGGAAATCATGAGGAAGCTAAGAATTAGTTCACATAATCTAAAGAAAAACCTCAACTACCAAGCCAAGGGAAGAATATGAAATACAGCAGCTCAGAGGATTCAACCATTCATTGAGTAATATTTATCGAGCCTCTACCCTCTCCCAGACACTGCTACAGGGTGAGAATCCAGCAGTTCAGGGAATCTGTCACGCCATGCTTTCATCAAGCTTGCTTCTAGACAATCTCAGACTCAGGGACAGCATCTTCTAGAAGACATTCTCTTCCTCTGGGAAGCCTGAGACTCATGGACATACTGGTGTTATTACTTAGCTCCTACCACTTGACATTCTTCATCACACTGCCCAAGGTTCAGATTTCTCTGAGAGTATGATGAGCCTACATTGATGAGTCAAAGGCTCACCCCCATGGGGGTGAGGTGCTCTGATGTGCATTCCCAACAGGACTACACAGAATACCAGAAGGATTGCTCCCCAAAACCCAGTGAGCTGCTCTTACCAACAGAAGAAAGGAGTGCTGAGTGGGCAAAAAGTTCACTATAATTTGTATTAATAGTGTGAAGAAAGAAAAGAGAAGACTCAGATCTGGCTCAGAATTCTGATTAAAGCTATTTATGTTAGTATAACCTTGGGCATGCTTCCACAATTTCTCTAAAAGTCCCTTTCCTCATCTATATAAAGTGGAATCATAATCCCCATACCATAGAATCGTTTTGATGTTTAAATCAAGGATCAAACTAGCTATTTAAGGACCTGTTCTGGGGCCAGGCATGGTGGCTCACACCTGTAATCCCCGCATTTTGGGAGGCCGAGGCAGGTGGATCACTTGAGGTCAGGAGTTCGAGACCAACCTTGCCAACATGGCAAAACCCTGTCTCTACTAAAAATACAAAAATTAGCCAGGTGTGGTGGTGCATGCCTGTAATCCCAGCTACTCGGGAGGCTGAGGCAGGAGAATCGTTTCAATCTGGAGGCAGAGGTTGCAGTGAACCGTAATCAGCCTGAGTGAGAGAGCAAGACTCTGTCTCAAAAAAAAAAAAAAAAACCTGTTCTAATAACTGCTTAATAAAAATTAGTTGTATTTTCACACAGTTGTGAAACATAGTATCTACAGATTATTTTCCATGCATTTCTAGCACATGATATTTCAATACATTCTGCTCTTTTTTTTATCTTAGCATGAAAATACTTGTAGGGTGGACAGTGTGTTAGGATCCTTGTTTATATATATATATATATATTTTTTTTTTGCATGTGTTGACTATAAAGTTTTGCTTAGTAAATGTCACATCAGCCACTTCAAAAGAGGCATCCTATCTCAGCTCCCAGTTATGTCTCATGAAAGACTTTAAGAGTGAAATCTCCAAGCACTGAACCTCTCCAAGATTCTCTACTGGATTTCACTCTGCCTGTCTTGCCTGTGTCATGCTGGGGGTTTTATTTGTAGAGGGAGGCATTGTAAGGGAGGTTATATATTTACTATCCAGACAAACCTGGGTTGGAAACCTGTGTCTTTGGGCACAGTGCGTAGCTTCTGAGGGCCTCATGTGCTTCATGTGTGCAACTGGGATGTTAATACCTACCCTGATGGGTTGTTAAAACTGTAAATGAGGCCGGGCGCGGTGGCTCATGCCTGTAATCCCAGCACTTTGGGAGGCCGAGGAGGGCAGATCACGAGGCCAGGAGATCGAGACCATCCTGGCTAACACAGTGAAACCCCGTCTCTACTAAAAACACAAAAAATTAGCCGGGCATGGTGGCGGGCACCTGTAGTCCCGGCTACTCGGGAGGCTGAGGCAGGAGAATGGCGTGAACCCAGGAGCCGGGGCTTGCAGTGAGCCGAGATCACGCCACTGCACTCCAGCCTGGGCAACAGAGCGAGACTCCACCTCAAAAAAAAAAAAAAAAAAAAAACTGTAAATGAGATAATGTATGTGGCAGGCTCAGAGCCTCAATCAAGGGAAGCTATTACTATTATTAGGGGTGCTGATTGTGTCATCATTTGATCGCAGGCACAGTATGCTTGGAAATGTAGAATTTTTTATTCAACAGTACTAGGGGAAGAAAAAAAAACACAGACTCAGATTTTTAAAACAAGACTTTGCCATTTATAAGAAATTGCTAGAAGGCAGAAGAAAAATGCTCACCAGCCCAGAGTCTAGGACCACCCATTTTCTTAATAGGTCAACATTGTGAGATATCTTCTGTACCTGAGCACATCCTCCCACCCGAGGCCCTTCCGGGAATTGCTTTATGATCTACCGGAAAGAGAGCCCTGTTCTCATAAGTAAACAAACTTCAGTGGGGAAGACTGATAATAAACATTGAAGAAAGGTCAAATATACATTTGGAAACAAGGGGAATCAGTGTTTGTTCAGAAGAACAAAAGAGAATGTGACTTTAGAAAATCCGTAAAAGGGTCTTAATGGCTGTTCAAGTGAGTAACATTGAGGACATATTTGTTGAATTTCTAATTCATAGGACATGAAATTTTTTTAGTTGTGGAGGTTGGATTTTTTCATTAAAAAAATAGCCCTTACTTACCCCAACACCCTTACTTTAGAAATTGGAAAACCAGGGTGCATAGAAGTGACATTACTTACTTAACATCACACAGATAGGTAGTAGCAGAATCAAGACCAGAATCTAGTTCCTCAACTCTGAATCCAGTGACTTTTCCATTGACATGTTCTTAAATGTTATAAAGGATGATGGTAACTTTCTAAAATCATTGACTGATAAAATCTAAAATTGTTTAAAGGAGCATGTGTTTTTCCTTAAATTGCTTCTCACTGAAACTCTGTGCCATCCAGAATTATAGCTAGGGTTAATTACATGTTGTCAAGACCAGGCACTACGCCAAGTCTTTTAGATGCGTATTCATTGTGTACTTGTAACAGGATTGGCCTAAGCTTTGATGATTACCACTAGGGTTTGGTTGTTCCTGGCAATTAGTAGGAAATTGTCCTACCCAAGCAATATGCATGCAGTCATCTGAGATAATCTTTCCCACAATATGTGGAAAAGTGTTGGTAAGGCAGAGTAGGTTGTGAATACCAAGATGGATGGAACTTTTGTTCACCCAACTGTGAACTTTATTCCCTCACTATATATCGTATTCCATACACGATGGTGTGTACCCTTTTTCAGGTTTCCATTTTTAGAATTGAAGAAAATGGGCTGTTGCTTTCAAAAATCATGTTCATTTAAATTGTGTTTTTACTCTCTGTTAAGAAATCACATATAAACATATGGATTTGAGCACCCCCTGCGATTTTTCTGGGGTCCCACCAGGATCTGTGGCTGCCTAACTGATATCCACCTCTCCAGCATGTTGCCAGCAGCCACAGTGACTCCAATGGAAGCAGCAACTTCAAAATATTATGCTAAAATTGGCTCCTAATGTTTTCCTCTTGCCTTCATGCAGTAGCATGCCAGAGCCCACATCTTCTTGCTTGCTAGAGTCAAATTTTGCAAGCCAGTTGTTAAGAACAGCGATTTTTATTATTTATGTATTTATTTATTGATTTATTTATTTTATTATACTTTAAGTTCTGGGATACGTATGCAGAACGTGCAGGTTTGTTACATAGGTATACATGTGCCATGGTGGTTTGCTGCACCCCTCAACCCGTCATCTCCATTAGGTAATTCTCCTAATGATAGAGTGCCCCCCACTCCCCGACAGGCCCCAGTGTATGATGTTCCCTTCCCTGTGCCCATATGTTCTCATTATTCAATTCCCACTTACGAGTGAGAACATGCAGTGTTTGGTTTTCTGTTCTTGTGTTAGTTTGCTGAGAATGATGGCTTCCAGCTTCATCAATGTCCCTGCAAAGGACATAAACTCACTCTTTTTTGTGGCTACATAGTATTCCATGGTGTATATGTACCACATTTTCTTTATCTAGTCTATCATTGATGGGCATTTCGGTTGGTTCCAATTATTTGCTATTGTGAATAGTGCTGCAATAAACATACTTGTGCGTGTGTCTTTATAGTAGAATCGTTTATAATCCTTATGGTATATACCCAGTAATGGGATTTCTGGGTCAAATGGTATTTCTAGTTCTAGATCCTTGAGGAACTGCCACACTCTCTTCCACAATGGTTGAACTAGTTTACAGTCCCACCAGCAGTGTAAAAGCATTCCTATTTCTCCACATCCTCTCCAGCATCTGTTGTTTCCTGACATTTTAATGATCGCCATTCTAACTGGCGTGAGATGGTATCTCATTGTGGTTTTGATTTGCATTTCTCTAATGACGTGATGATGAGCTTTTTTTCATGTTTGTTGGCTGCATAAATGTCTTCTTTTGAAAAGTGTCTGTTCATATCCTTTGCCCACTTTTTGATGGGGTTGTTTTTTCTTGTAAATTTGTTTAAGTTCCTTGTAGATTCTGGATATTAGCCCTTTGTTAGATGGATAGATTGCAAAAATTTTCTTCCATTCTGTAGGTTGCCTGTTCACTCTGATGATAGTTTCTTTTGCTATGCAGGAGCTCTTTAGTTTAATTAGATCTCATTTGTCAGTTTTGGCTTTTGTTGCCATTGCTTTTGGTGTTTTAGTCATTAAGTCTTTGCCCATGTCTATGTCCTGAATGGTAATGCCTAGGTTTTCTTCTAGGGTTTTTATTGTTTTAGGTCTTATGTTTAAATCTTTAGTCCATCTTGAGTTAATTTTTGTATAAGGTGTAAGGAAGGGGTCCAGTTTCAGTTTTCTGCATATGGCTAGCCAGTTTTCCCAACACCATTTATTAAATAGGGAATCCTTTCTTCATTGCTTGTTTTTGTCAGGTTTGTCAAAGATCAGATGGTTGTAGATGTGTGGTGTTGTTTCTGAGGCCTCTGTTCTGTTCCATTGGTGTATATATCTGTTTTTGTACCAGTACCATGAAGAACAGCCATTTGATTGTTAATAATGGGCGATCGAGGCGGGTGGATCACCTGAGGTCAGGAGTTCAAGACCAGCCCGGCTAACGTGGTAAAACCCCGTCTCTACAAAAAATACAAAAATTAGCTGGGTGTGGTGGTGTGTGCCTGTAGTCCCAGTTACTTGGGAGCGTAAGGCAGGAGAATCACTTGAACCTGGGAGGCAGAGGTTGTAGTGAGCTAAGATCATACCACTACACTCCATCCTGAGCGACAGAGCAAGCAAGACTTTGTCTGAAAAAATAAAAATATAAGTATAAAAACTTTATGTACATACATATGTGCACATGGGTTTTTTTCCTAAATGCTGGTTGTTAAGCCTTTACTTGTACACAACTCCTTCTGAGCCAGTCAAGTCTATAACATGTGTTTCTTTATATAATTATCTTCAACAATAATACTAATAACTAAAATGTATTGAACACAAGGGACAGATTTTATAACAGTCAGCCTCACTGAATTCTCCCAAATGCTCCAGGGACCAGGAGACAATGAGGAGGGTAAATTCAGGCACCTCCAGCATGAGCAAGGACATCTAATAGGTGCCTTCCGAAGGCAAGCAGATGGTAGACACTTGCACATGTTATTATTTACATCAACCCTGTTGTAAATAACGAGAGTGATTTTTATCACTGTGATAGGGATAAAGAACAAGCTCAGAAAGATAAAGTGACTGCCCAAGCAAGCCCCAGCTAAGTAATGCTGGTTAGAAGGGGAGACCACAAGGCAAGAACTAAAGCCTTCCAGTGCCTGCTCCCGCAACAGCTCAGACGTAATACAACAACCTCATCTGTTGCAGTGAACTCCAGCCTGGGCGACAGAGCGAGACTCCATCTCAAAATAATAAAATAAAATAAAACAAACACATTAACAAGAAAAAAAAATCTAAGGAGAGGCTGTAGATATGTAGATACATCAATGATAAATATTTTGAGAGCATTTTTAGTAATAGCCATTAAGAAATTTTATGTAAATAGGATTTAGATATACCTATGAAAGATAGACATTATCCAAAATAACTAAAGCTTAAATGGGACTCTGAAAATGGATAATTTAGACTTTTTAAGAGGAGGTCAAAAACATAGGAAAAGGGTATATAGTTTCAGTGACAGCTTGTAAACATTAATATTTGTATTTACAAATGGCTAAGCACATTAATACATAACAAGAAGTCAGGTCTATAAACAGTGTAAAATTATGGGGAGCGTATTTGTGGTTCTTAACCAAGGGCCTAATCATTTATTAGTTTACATATATGTGCTTTCTGGAAGGTAGGATTTATTCAGTGTGATGTGGTAAATGGTTACATATCTGACCTAAGGGTGGAATTCAGAGCTCCTGAACACCAGCCAGGCCCCAGCCTCCTAAGCCAGAATGCTAACCCCTACAGACAGTCTAAACACTAGCACCAAGCCAGGAGGCACAGGCAGGGCCTTCAGCAGTGCCCTTTGACCCATATGTTACTCAACAATTTTTTTCGGGGTAGGGGAGACAGGGTCTCACACTGTCACCCAAGCTGGAGCACAGTGGCCTGATCTTGGCTCACTGCAACCTTCACCTCCCGGGCTCAAGCGATCCTCCCACCTCAGCTTCCCAAGTAGCTGGAACTACAGGCGTGTGCCACCATGCCTGGCTAATTTTTTGTAGAAATGGGGTTCCACCCTGTTGCCCAGGCTGGTTTCAAACTCCTGGACTCAAGAAATCCTCCCATCTCGGCCTCCCAAAGTGCTGGGATTACAGGTGTGAGTCACCACACCCAGCCTTCCTCTTCATTCTTGCTAAGATGGATCATTCTGGTCCTCAGTCATTCTTAGAAGCATACTATGCCATTTCTAGACTGCACATCTCACTGCTTTACCATTTCTCTAAGCCAGCATTTCTTAAAGTATAGGCTCTAGAATCACCTGCTTCAGAAACAAGTTGTTTAAAATGCAGCTTCCTGTTGTCAATTCTAATGCACATTAAAGCTTGAGAACCACTATTTAAGCAATTGGAGTGTTACTAATGTCAGATTCTAACACGCCTAGCCTTGATCCTTAACTTATAGGAAGGGTTTGGGTATATAAAAGAACCACTGCCAGAGATTACTAAAGCTGTACCATGATTTAGAAACCAGAACAAGTATGTCTATCCCTAAACTGCTTACGTTCCTAGTGACTCAGGACAGGTGTCGACCTGTATAGCAGAGACCAGTAGCTTCTGTGACATTTTCTGATTAGTCAGATCAGAACTTGTAATTCGTTTGGTGTCAGCCTAGCCACGAATGAGAGAACTTTCCTGTCATTCTGCACCTCTTTGAAGCTAGCAAGGACAGAAAGTCAATTCTGCTTATGATTTTCCAATAGCTCTGAACAGTTATAATTACAGTGTACATCTGTGAGAGCGAAGCTGCTTTTCTAATCTGTTTTCATATTATTTTTTCAGCAGCTTCTGCAGACCTAATAGTAATTTGGGTTTTGACTGAAGGATACCACTTACATGCTGAGGGTGCTCATTTCAACCCTGTGTGTTTTTAGCACATTGACATGGTGACAACCTGAGTAGAGTCTGAAAGCTAAGGCACAAACACTATCTAGCAATTCCTGGTCACTAATAAAGGTTTAAAAAATGTTTGTTGGATTTTACTGAAGAAGGGCCTTGCTTTTTGTTCTGGGTTTTTGTTTGTTAGGTTGGCTGGTTTTGAGACAGTTTTGCTGTGTCACCCAGGCTGGAGTGCAGTGGCACGATCACAGCTCGCTGCAGCCTCAGCCTTGTGAACTCAAGCAGCCCTCCCACCCCAGCCTCCCAAGTGGCTGGGACTATAGGTGTGTGCCAGCATGCCCAGCTAATGTTTATATTTTTTGTAGAGACAGGGTTTCGCCATTTTCCCCAGGCTGGTCTCAAACTCCTGGACTCAAATAATCTACCTGCCTTAGCCTCCCAAAGTGCTGGGATTACAGGCATGAGCCACTGCACCCAGCCACGTCTTACTTTTTAAAGACAGAAAATGTAGTGTTTAGCAAGAAATATGAATTGTACTTTTTTTCAGTTGCCTAAAATATAAACTTCCTAAAAGTTAAGGTGTTTATTTATGAATGCATGTCAGTGAGAAGTTCTTTTTTCCCAAGGTGGTGTTATGGAGGGAAAGTCAGTGAGTCAGCCTATTTGCCGAGGCCAGCTTGTCCTTCAGGCATTTATACCACCAGTATTAGTTTGCTAAGCTGCCCTTACAAAGTACCATGAACTGGATGGCTTAAACAACAGAAATTTGTCTCACCGTTCTGGAGGCCAGGAGTTTGAAATCCAGGTATCAGCAGGGTTTTCCCTCTGAGGTTGTGAAGAAGAATCTGTTCCATACCTCTCTGCTAGCTTCTGGTGGTGTGCTGGCCGTCTTTGACATTCCTTGGCTTGTAAATCTCTGCCTTTATCTTCCATGGAGCTTTCCTTGTGTATTTGTGTCTCTATGTCCAAACTTCCCCTTTTTATAAGAACACCAGTCATACCGAAGTAGGACACACCCTATTCCACTATGACCTCATCTTAACTAATTATGTCTGCAACAAACTCATTCCCAAATAGGGTCACATTCTGAGGTACTGGGGGCTAGGACTTAAACATATGAATTTTAGGGAGATGCAATTCAACCCATAACAACATGGCTCTGAATAAAGCTTTGTTTTTCTGAGTAATTTTTGTTTGTTTGAATCTGACAGCAGCAAGTATAGAGATTGCAGAGTATCTGGCAGCAAACCACTATCCATGGGAATTATGCCATTGAGGTGTAGTACAGAGAAATAATAGTGCTTAGGCCAGGAATTGTTTCCTGTTCACTGTGTCTTAAACCTTTATTGGTTCCATTAGCTTACACAGCAAAAGGCATTTCCAATTCAGCATATTTTATTTCCAGTATGCCACTCTGATCTCAAACTTTAGTTAGAGAAGACCAACTAAGGCTAAGAATCAAAACTTTTGGAAGCTAGCAAGACCTGATCAAATCCAAACTCCTGATTTTTACAGAGAAGGGAACTGTGGAGTACAGGAAAATTCAATGTCTTACCCAAATACAGTACTCACAGCTACTTAGTGCCATGTTGCTACCACAACCCCACTACCCTGCCTCTTGCTGTAGCTCCTTCTTTCACATATTGTACTGCTCCTCTGAGCCACAGGGGCCATCGGTGCCCTATGACAGTGGTCCCCAACCCTTTTGGCACCAGGGACCAGTTTTGTGGAAGACAATTTTTCCATGGATTGGACGGCAGAGTAGGGATGGTTTCAGAATGAAACTGTTCTGCCTCAGATCATCAGGCATTAGATTCTCATGAGAAACACAAAACCTAGATCCCTCTCATGAGCAGTTCACAATGGAGTTCATGCTCCTTTGAGAATCTAATGCCACCACTGATTACTGCCTAAGGCAGAGCTTAGGCAGTAATGCTCACTCACCCACCACTCACCTCCTGCTGTGCGGCCTGGTTCCTAGCGGGCCACAGACCAGTAACAGTCTATGGCCTGGGGGTTGGGGACCCCTGCCCTATGATTCAAAAGGTCCCAATTCCTGTTGCCTTCATGGTGCTTTTCTCTAGCTAGAGAACACAGTCAACCCTGTTTTCAATGTGTGCTGTCTACCTGGGAATGTTTCATGGATGGCCCATACTGCCATTTTTTAAATCTACCTAAGCCTCACCTCTGGGATCTACCTAAATATATTCTCTCTTAATTCCATGGATATGAGCTCTAGGAAGGGAACTAATTATAATGTTAGACTCTGCCACATATGAACAGTAAAACACATTGTCCTAGAGAGCAGAAGCCATCCAGTATTGTGAAGCTTAATAGAAATTACTTTGATGGGCCTAGCATGGTGGCTCACGGCTGTAATCCCAGCACTTTGGGAGGCCAAGGCGAGCAGATCACCTGAGGTTGGGAGTTGGAGACTAGCCTGGCCAACCTGGGGAAATCCCATCTCTACTAAAAATATAAAAAATTAGCCAGGTGTGGTGGTGCTTGCCTGTAATCCCAGCTACCTGGGAGGCTGAGGCACAAACATCGCTTGAACCCGGGAGGCAGAGGTTGCAGTGAGCTGAGATTGGGCTACTGCACTCCAGCCTGGGTGATAGAGCAAGACTTTGTCTCAAAAAAAGAAAGAGAAATTACTTTGATGGTGAAGGTTTTTATTTTGGTTTGCTGTTGTTGTTGTCTTGGATGTTATTTTGGTGGCGTATTTTTTTGCATTTATATATTTCATAATCATATAATTATTGGCTTCTTTTTTTTTTTTTTTTCGAGACGGAGTCTCGCTCTGTTGTCCAGGCTGGGGTACAGTGGCATGGTCTCGGCTCACTGGAACCTCTGCCTCCCAGGTTGAAGCGATTCTCCTGCCTCAGCCTCCCGAGTAGCTGGGATTACAGGTGTGTACCACCACACCCAGCTAATTTTTTGTATTTTTAGTAGAGATGTGGTTTCACCCCAGGCTGGTCTCGAACTCCTGACCTTGTGATCCACCCACCTTGGCCTCCCAAAGTGCTGGGATTACAGGCGTGAGCCACCGCGCCTGGCCTATTGGCTTCTTTTTAACATTTATTATTAATATATATCTCCTCAACTTTTGGGGGTTTTTAGGGTTTTTCCCCAGCTTTATTGAGGTATACTTAACAAATAAAAATTATATATATTTAAGGTGATACATTGTAAAATGATTACCACATCAAGCCAATTAACATATCTATCACCTCACGTGGTTATATCTTTTGTGTGGTGAGAACCCTTAAGATCAACTCTTCTAGCAAATCTCAAGTACACAATACGTGATTATTAACTATGGTCACCACACTGTGCCTCAGATCTCCAGAACTTCCTCATCTGGCATACATTTTGGCCAACACCTCCTCACTTCCTCTTCTTTCCACCAGTAACTATCATTCTAGTCTCTGCTTTTATGAGTTCAGCTTTCTTAGATTTTACAAATGAGTTCATGCAGTGTTTGGCTTTTTGCGTCTGGCGTATTTCATTTAGCATAATGTCCTCCAGGTTCATCCATGTTATTGCAAATGGCAGAATTTCCTTCTTTTTTAAGGATGAATACTCTTCCTTTGTATATGTATACCACATTTGCTTTAACCATTCATCAGATAAGGCACACTTAGGTTGTTGCCCCAACTTTTTGGGAAGCTCCCTAAGTTGGTGTTCTGACCATGTCTGCTTACTTTTTGGTTTAAGCCCAGCACTTGGAATGAAGTAGGCACTCAGTATACATTTGAATGGATGATTGGTAGTTTTGTAGGGAGAAAAGCAGATACTGTTTATTATGCTGACAGTTCATTATTAAAGTAAAATTTATATATAGTAAAAATGCAGAAATCTTTGTAGTTCCATAAATTTTGAAAAATATGTACCCAAGTTACCATCACCCAGATCAAGATAAAGAACATTCCCCCATCCCACCAGCAAGTTCCCTTCTGCCCCTTCTTAGACGTGACCCGAAGGGCTTTTCTCCTTCGTTTTTTCCTGGAAGCTTTCTACGTTTAACTTTCACATTTTGTCGGTGATCCATCTCAAATTAATTTCTGTATATGATATGAGTAGGGGTGTCGAAGGTTTCTGTTGTTGTGCTTTAACAACTATTCCTTGTTCCTTTGATGAAATCAAATAATCAAGACTTGTATATAGAAATAGATTTGTCATTGGGAAATGGATCTCTGTATCTCTTTTTCTCTTTTATAATTGAACCATGGTTGCTGGGGATAACTTAGAAACACAGGAAAGGGCTAATTTTCTGCAGTGATTGGATGGCTCAAGGCAATATGTGTAGGACAGGTTACTCCAGTCAGACCTACGTTCAAATCCAAATGCCACCAGAGGTGAGACAAGATAGTCTTAATACTCAAATGTACAAAATAAATAGCCAGAGACCTCACCTAACAGGGTTCTTTTTAATGAGTAAATGAAATAACATGTGTAATACAGTCATCACAGTATAAACATCACAGTCAACGATGCCTGCTAGCTTTACACCTGTGCTTGTGTGTGTACATGTTGGGGTATGATATTGGAAAGAAAAACAAATCTCATAGCGATATACGGTGAAAAAGGTCCCTGAACTTGGATGAGGGTTCCTCTTTAAAAAGGAGGAACCCTTTTTATATTTATATCCTATCACACACAGAGTCACTCCCCTCAAAGGGAGAGGAGGCCCTCTTCTCACCTCTGAGGCTGCTCATGGCAGGAGCTCAGTCACTGCCAGTTCTCTGAGCCATTGTGGCTTCTGTCCTCACAATGAATAAACCTGGAAACACACTGTTTGAGTCTCTTCCTGCCTATGGGTTCTAAGTGCTGCTGTCTGAGCTGTGCCTGCAGCAGGCTTCCTGCTTCTGGTGCTCACTGCGGGGAGGGGAGCCATCGGTTGATACCAGGAGAGAGCCTGCTGCTCTGCTGCCTTCATTAGAAACAGGCAGTCTCCTTGTCTAAAAATAGCAAAAGTGGGAGAGTGGGGAAGAGCAGCAGCCATGCTCAGGGCTGAAAGTGAGAAAGGCAGAAACAAGCAGATCTCTGAAAGCCTCCTGTATGGTGGCAGGCGGCTAAGCATTCTGGGTGCAGTGACTGTGGTCAAAGCTTTTCTACTTCCCTGGGTCCGTGTTGGGGGGTTTTGTAGATGTGTCCACACACTCAGCCAAGGGCTGAGCATGAAGGAGCCGCTCTGTCCTGGCAGGAGCATGAGATGTGCCACACGCTGATACTGTCCAGGCTGCAGCAGGAGCGCTAGTGCTAGTGCTTGAGAATTTCCACACCCTGTAGTATCCTCACCCACTCCCTGCCCCAACCAAAGGTGAGCTTTTTCCCAGTGGGGCACAAGGTGTTGGTTTGACCATCACTTCAGAAGCGCCTGGGTCACGCTGGAATGGGCTTGCCCTTAAGCAGAGTGTGGCTCTGGTACTAAACAAGTCTTTGCAGCCATTAAGTGAGACCAGGCTGTATTTGTGGGTGTTCTCTGCAGGTAGAGCTTTCCTGTCTACATTTGTTATCAGTTAATGTTCTGGTAGCTAAACTAAGAGCAGAAAAGGAATTCTTTCCAAGGTCTTACGATAAATCTGTCTATGCAAGCAGACCTCATCAAAGCCCCATGAAAACAGGCAGAGTCTCAGAGGTAAGAGTCCTGTTGATACTCCTGTTTGCTTATCCCAAAGAGCTTTACCCTCTCTTGGCCTTTCTTTCTCTTGTACTATCCAAACTGATCCTCTTGCTGGCCTTGTGAGATGGGCTGGGCATCTTTCCCACCCACAGATGAGGAACCAGGAGCTCAGTGTCATAACTTGCCCAGCATTGTAACCAGTAATCAGAGACGCAGAGCTTGTATCAAGGCCTCTGCCCTTCGCCTGGATATTCTCTGAGGTTTCTTCCCCACATGACAGTTTCTGAAGGGCAAAAACCTCCTAACATGAAGCAGCCTAAAATGTGGCATGAATTTAAGCAAACTTAGGGGGCAAAAAAAAGACTCCATTTAACTTTGATTTGGGAAACATTTTTCTTTGCATGACCCAGCAATTATGACTCTGAACCCAGAGAGGGAAATATAACCCTAACTCACTGTTGGCCAGGCAGTATACAATATTTATATAGTCACAATACTATAAACTCTATGTGTCAATTTTCTAATTTTAGAGCCAATCTGTGGACAAAGAGGGAGCAATTTTGTTATAGCTGCAAGATAGGATATAAATATGAACAGCCCTGACAAAGTAGAGATAAAAGTTGTTCGGTGTTTTTTAAGTGTGTCTAATATAAAGTGAGAGGGGAAAGCAGGGACAAAGATGAAATAATGTGGGGAGTTAAAGGATACGGTGTGTGGTTGATGGAATAAAAAAGCTCACTAGGTATGTTATTTACAGTTACAAAATAAAATATAAATAGCAAATGTTGGAAGAAGACACAGGGTAGAAGAGGGTAAATGTCCCTCATAGTGAATCAATGGATGCTACCTTAGGTTAAGAATCTTTTAACCCCTGATTCATCAAAAGACATGAAGGGAATCGCCAGAAAATATTAAAAGAGAAATCCCAAAAAGGGCTGCTGCCCCTAGGGAATGGCGGAGGGTGGGGGTGGGGAGGGCAGGAGGTTGTTGCTTTTCATCAGAAGTCATCTGTGTTGTGTGCTTTATTATGATGTTTATTACTTCGATTAAAACAAATTGAGGCAGTGAGAGAATGACTTTTAAAAGACAAAAACTGTGGATAGTACCATATGTTCCCTCAACAAATGCTCTCATGAGAATTAGCTATAAAACACTCATTAGGTCTGCAAACAGAAATCAGAGTGTTCCAGGCTATAAAATTATCAATGACTGTTTTCAGCAGTCCAGCCAGGCTAATGCTCTCCAATGAAGCCAAACTAATGTTGCTGATAACCAAAAGAATCTTTTTTTTTTTTTCTGTAAATGACAGAGGCCTGTGTGGCATCAGGGTGCCATTAACGTTTTCTCCTAGAGAGACAGCCAGGAAGAAAAATCGCTCCTCCTGTACTGCTCTCACCTGTGAGAAGTTTATGACTTGTTCGGAGAGCAGAGCACAGAGCCCGGGAAGAGTACTGGCAGTTTCTGTGTTTTTACAAGGGAAGAACATAGCTGAGTAGATTAACAGTTTCCTGTGTGGCTTGTTGCAAATTACATGCAATTAGCCCTCAGACAGCCTGAATCGAGAGAATTGTGGCAAAACTTGATGGTGCAGAACCTAGGCAGGCAGCCAGACTCCTAAACCCAGTCACGTAAATTTGCTGCTGTAACTGGATCTTCCCAAGCCACAAGTCTGAGAAATGGTGGGCACTCTGACCTGACCACTAGATTTTCAGGATATTCCTCCTAAGAGAGGTATCCTTGCTTCTAAGTGACCCCTAAAACAGAACCTAGGAAACTCTCAGCCAGATAAATTAGAAATTGATTCTAAATAGGCTTGTGCCCAGGAAATCAACAATGCAGTAAAAATATCAGGACAAAAGCAAGAATACTTCCCAAAGTCAGAACTGAGGAGCAATGAATATTAAATTGATCAATGGCATAGACATTTAAATGAAAATCCTTTTTTTAAATGTATATTACTGGCCAGGCACGGTGGCTCACGCCTGTAATCCCAGCACTCTGGGAGGCTGAGGTGGGTGGATCGCCCAAGGCCAGGAGTTCAAGACCAGCCTGGCCAACATGGTGAAACCCCATCTCTACTAAAAATACAAAAAAAAAAGTAGTTGGGCATGGTGGTGCGCACCTGTAGTCCCAGCTACTTGAGAGGCTGAAGCAGGAGAATCGCTTAAGCCCGGGAGGTGGAGGTTGCAGTGAGCCAAGATTGCACCACTGCACTCAAGCCTGGGTGACAGCGAGACTCCATCTCAAAAAAAAAAAAATTATATTACCTTTACTGCTTGGGGCATCTTCAAGAGAAGACTTTGCTGTAGACTATGGATGCATTTATTTGAATTAGATGACTTATTCTTGCGTTATCTCCTTACTCTTTTGATAATTACATTTCATTATTTTTTAAGCCACAATGGACATGCACATACATACTCCTGCATACAGTTTATAGGTTCTTGAGCCTAGGTAAGACTTTATGTCCTATGTGAAACATTTCTTGATTAGGAAAGTTACACCTTTCTCTTCAGTAGTGCATATAACCTTTACTAATCTCTCTTTGCTAAAAATAATGTGACAGTGTTAAACTGAAATATTTTTAGTATCTGTTTTGGCTGAGGCCCAAAACAAAAGTAAATGTGAGACTATAGCACTTGCAAAGGTCAAAACTGGTTTTTGAATGGCAGAAAATCAGCTCTACAGCCCTCAGCTGACTACCCACCTCCAGCCTTTAAAAGAGGTTATTGAGGCCAAGAAAAGAGTGGCAGTTAGAATGTGATCTTTAGAGAGAACTGTTGATCAGAGGTGTCTGTCCCCACCCAGGGACACTTGGGAGGGCTTGATAAGTGTCCTGTGGAGGATGTGGCTCATGCCTGAGATCCTATGATGGCAGAGCAAGGAGAGTTTGCTGTTTGGAGTTGGCTTCTGCTACTCACTTCCTATCTTTTTTCTGTGTGTGTGTTTTTTTTTTCTCCTTAGCACTTTTGACCAACATAATACATATTTTAAATACTTATCTCATTGTCTGTCTTCTTTAATACTATGTAAGTTCCATCAGGCACAGACTTTTAAAATTTGATCTCTGTATTCTAGGTGCTAGAATCCATTCTAGGTGCAGTGTGCATACATGGATACTCAATAACTATTTGCAGCTGGGAGCAGTAGTAGCTCATGCCTGTAATGGCAGTGCATTACAGGCCTGTGTGGCTTGTTGCAAATTGTGTGCAATTAGCCCTCAGACAGTCTGAATCGAGAGAACTGTGGCAAAACTTAATGGTGCAGCACATCGGCAGGCAGCCAGACTCTTAAACTCTTGGCCTTTGGGATGATAACTTGAGCCCAGGAGTTTGACACCAGCCTTGGCAATATAGGGAGACCTCATCTCTACCAAAAAAATTTTAAAAAGAAACACCAGGCATGGTGGCACATGCCTTTAGTCCCAGCTACTTGGGGGCTGAGGCAGGAGGATCATTTGAGCTCAGGAGTCCAAGGCTGCAGCAAGCCAAGATTGCAACACTGCACTCCAGCCTGGATGACAGAGCAATACCCTGTCTCTAAAAAATACAAATTAAATAACTAAATATTTGCATCCTACATTCATTACCACAAATCACTCCAACAACCCTACTCGTTCTGTATTATTATTCTCATTTTACATATGGGAAACTGGAGCTCTTACTCAGAAGGGTTAAGAAACTTACCCAGTATCACATACAACTAAGTCCAAGAGCCAGAATTGAAAGTCAGATTCATCTGATTCCAAAGCTTATGCTCTGCCTGTTAATGCTTTCTCAGCTCAGGTGCCTGTTTCCTGAAAATGTATTCTCATCCTTTTTTGGGTGCTAGGTAGTATCTAATCTAAGATTTTTAGGCAAGTAACATGCCATTCTGTGCTGTGGTCTCACTTGGTAGATCCTGCATAATGAGGATAACAAATAGAAAGATTAATTAATTGGTTATGTAGCTTACACTCAATACCAAGACAATAATAATTTCAGATTATTCAGAATACATTTAATGGTACTTTACTGTATAAATGCCTGATTATTCATTTAGGGCTGTATATTCTCCCAAATTCTTTTATATGTATAATTTGGTTTAAATATTAAATTGTTGGAAGCTTAAGTAGCATTATTTTCATTGTTCAATCTTAATATCCATTGTTTTAAATATGTTGTTTTAGAAAGCATATTTTGCTTACTTTTCCTCAAAACTTTCTGTTCATTGTTACTCTTCCCAAAAGAACAAAGATCTCCACAGCTAACACCAAACATCATATACCATATTTGTTTTTGTGGGTATTCTGTAATTATTTTCAAGCTCCTAGGCACATTTGCGTACACTACTTTTGTTTCTGCAATGACAAATTTCTAAAATGTTAGCAGCAATGACTGTAAAAAAGGGTAGTTAATTGGAAAAGAGTTCAGATCCTAACTCTGTTTAGGGACCATGTAACCCAGGCAAGCCGCTGCACCTCCCTGGGCCTCATCCTGGAAGTAGAGATGTTGGGCAGACACATGGGGAGGGATTGCGTGTATGAGTGTAACAGGCTGGGTGGGATGCTCGAGTGAGGTGGGGACCCTGCAGCAATGCAGAGGACATGCTCGGTCTAAGGAAGGCAGCTGCAATCTCACTGCTACTCAGAAATGTAGGCTTACAGTTGGCCACTCTTCTCATGTCTCAAAAGAAACTGGGTTTTTGTGGGAATTTCCTTTTCCTCAATTTGGCAATAATTCAAACTAAAATCTCTTCTTCTTTTTTTTTTTTTTTGAGACAGAGTCTCACTCTGTCGCCCAGGCTGGAGTGCAATGGTGCGATCTCGGCTCACTGCCACCTCCGTCTTCCGGATTCAAGCAATTCTCCTGCCTCAGCCTCCCAAGTAACTGGGATTACAGGCTCCCACCACCACGCCTGGCTAATTTTTGTATTTTTAGTAGAGACAGGATTTTGCCATGTTGGCCAGGATGGTCTTGAACTCCTGACCTCAGGCGATCCACCTGCCTCGGCCTCCCAAAGTGCTGGGATTACAGGCATGAGCCACCACACCTGGCCAACAGATCTCTTCTTCAAAACAGTTCTTCCAGCCAGACTGGGTTTGTGGGACAGCAGTGTGTAACCTCTGGGCAGGACATCCCCAGGATGGAGGTGCTCTGGCCCATGCCTGCACTATACCAGCATGTGCCCTGGGACATTGCAGATGGCTCCCCAGGCCTCCACGGGCCTGCACTCACAGTCTCTTCACCAGAGAGCTCGAAATCTCAGAACCCAACTCTCTCATGTCATCAAGCCAGAGACATGAGTCTGCTTTTCTGTCTCCTTAGATTTGTCTGTTCTTAGACATTTTGCATAAATGAAATTATGTAATATGTGGTCCTCTATGACTGGCGTCTTTCACTTGGCATAATGTTTTCAAGGTTTCCTCATGTTGTTGCATATATCAGAGCTTTATTCTTTTTATTACTGCATAATATTCCATTTTATGAATTATTTGTCCATTCATCAGTTGGTGGACGTTTGAGTTGTTTCCACTTTCTGGCTACTATGAATAATGCTACTGCAAACATTCATATACAAGTTTGTGTGTGGACAAGTTTTCATTTTTCTTGGATATGTATGTGGGAGTGGAATTGGTGTATCATATTGCTTTGAGGACAGACCAAACAGTTTTCTGAAGTAGCTGTACCGTTTTATCAAATACATTCCCATCAGCAGTGTATGAGGGCTTCAGTTGCTCTACCTCCTCTCCAACAAGTTTAATTTTTCTGATTTTCTATGATAACTATCCCAGTAGTTGTGAAAGTGGTATCTCACTATAGTTTTGATTTGCATTTTCCTTATGACTAAGGACATTAAGCATCTTTTTATATGCTTATTGACCATTCATGTCTTCTTTGGAGAACTCTCCAGATTCTTTGCTCATTTTTAAATTTGGTTATTTGCCTTTTTATTGCTAAGTTATAAGAGTTCTTTATATAATCTGGATACATGTCTCGATGAGCCTCATTTTTGTCACCCAAATTTAATGATATTCAAAATATTCTACTTACTAAGATAGGAAACTATTCTGTTTGAAAAACAGTATAAATAACAACGTTTTAAAAAAAAGAAAGATGCCCATTTGATTTTATCAAATTTTGACCTTATGATACTACTAAGTAAATCTGATATTTCTTTTTTCTGTAATCATACTATATTTTAGCTGAAATAATTGATAAATATACCTGTCAAGTCTCAAATAATATTCTAATTAATTTTTGTATGTTAATTTTGTCTTAACCATGCCAGTGGCTTACTCATAGCTTCCAAAAATAAAAGGTAACTCTTAGATTGAAAAATACTTTCAAAGTGGGTGGGTTTGCCTCTAGGGAGGAGAATGCTGGATCACAAGAGGGCAGGAGAAAGAGAATTACTTTCTGCTGTATTTTACACTTATATGCATGTAGCGTCATTTAAAAAAAAATAAATTTTGGAGGCTGGGCACTGTGGCTCATGCCTGTAATTGCAGCACTTTGGGAGGCTGAGGCGGGTGGATCACCTGAGGTCAGGAGTTCAAGACCAGCCTGGCCAATATGGCAAAACCCCGTCTCTACTAAAATATGAAAATTAGCTGGGTGGGGTGGCATACGCCTGTAATCTCATTTACTCAGGAGGCTAAGAGAGGAGAATCACTTGAACCCAGGAGGCGGAGGTTGCAGTGAACTGAGATCTCACCATTGCACTCCAGCCTGGGTGACAAGAGTGAAACTCTGTCTCAAAATAATTAATTAATTAATTAATGTTGGGGCCAGGCGTGGCGGCTTATGCCTATAATCCCAGCACTTTGGGAGGCCGAGGTGAGCAGATCATTTGAGGCCAGCAGTTCAAGACCAGCCTGGCCAACAGTGAAACTCTGTCTCTACTAAAAATACAAAAATTAGCAGGGCGTGGTGGCAAGTGCCTATAATCCCTGCTACTCGGGAGCCTGAGGCAGGAGAATCACTTGAACCTGGGAGGCGGAGGTTGCAGTGAGCCAAGATCATGCCATTGCAC
Organism: Homo sapiens; assembly: GCF_000001405.40. Lineage (NCBI taxonomy): Eukaryota > Metazoa > Chordata > Mammalia > Primates > Hominidae > Homo > Homo sapiens. Next base: position 68,987,529 of record NC_000009.12, read on the forward strand.
TCTAGCCTGGGCAACAGAGCGAGACTCCATCTCAAAATAAATAAATAATAAAACATAAATTTTCAGCAAAATTTAAATGTGGACTATTGTATTAGTCCATTTTCACACTGCTGATAAAGACATACCCGAGACTGGGAAGAAAAATAGGTTTTATGGACTCATAGTTCCATGTGGCTGGGGAGGCCTCACAATCATGGTGGAAGGCTAAAGGCACTTCTTACATGGCAGTGGCGAGGGAGAATGAGAGAGGAGCAAAAGCAGAAACCCCTTATAAAACATCATAACTCATGAGACTTATTCACTACCATGAGAACAGCACGGGGGAAACCACCTCCATGATTTAATTATCTCCCACCAGGTCCTTCTCCCAACACATGGGAATTATGAGATTACAATTCAAGATGAGATTTGGATGGGGGGACACAGACCCAAACCATATCAACTATAGATTAGATCATGGTATTATATCATTTTACATTTCCTGATTTCGATAATTGTACTGTATTATATAAAAGGATGTCCTTGTTTTTAGGAAATTCACACTGATGGGCTTATGGGTAAAGGAATGACTTGTATGCAATTTAGTCTTCCCAAACAGTTCAGGGAAAAAATGCTTATGGGTATTTATAAATAAATAATTACAAAGCAAATATGGTCAAATGATAGGAAGGGTATCCTGGACTTTTTAGCATTCCTTCCCTTTTTCTGTGAGTTTAAAGTTATTTCAAAATTAAAGTTTAAAAAAAAATTTAAAAGAAAGACACTTCCGGAATATTCTTTTATATATAAGAGCTTCCAGAATATTCTTTTATATATTTGATATATATTAATATATTTGATACACTTAATATTAGGAAAGAAATAAAAATCATAAATAAAAACTCAAGAATGGAAAAACTTAGTTGTTTTTTTGGGGTTTTTTTTTTTTTTTTTTTTTTTGAGATGAAGTCTCACTCTGTCACCCAGTCTGGAGTGCAGTGGTGCAATCTTGACTCACTGCAACCTCTGCCTCCCGGCTTCAAATGATTCTCCTGCCTCAGCCTCCTGAGTAGCTGGGATTACAGGCATGTGCCACCATTCCCGGCTAATATTTTGTATTTTTAGTAGTGACAAGGTTTCACCATATTGGCCAGGCTGCTGTCGAACTTCTGACCTCAGATGATCTGCCCGCCTTGGCCTCCCAAAGTGCTGGGATTATAGGCGTGAGCCACCGCGCCCAGCCTCTTTATGACTTTTGTAATCAGGAAAAATACAAGTGAACCTTACTTCTTAAGATCTACACAATTTGTTGCGCATGGTGGCTCATGCCTGTAGTCCCAGCATTTTGGGAGGCCGAGGTGGGTGAATCACGAGGTCAGGAGTTTGAGACCAGCCTGGCCAACATGGTGAAACCCCACCTCTACTAAAAATACAAAAATTAGCGGGACGTGGTGGCGGGCGCCTGTAATCCCAGCTGCTCGAGAGGCTGAGGCAGGAGAATCGCTTGAGCCCAGGAGGCAGAGATTGCAGTGAGCGAAGACCGTGCCATTGCACTCCAGCCTGGCTGACAGAGCAAGACTCCGTCTCAAAAAAAAAAAAAAAAAAAAAAAAAATCCACACAATTCTTTTAACAAGTTTTTTTTTTAATATTAAAAAGGTCAGGGCTTTTAATATTTCACATATCTTCAATTAATAGGTAAATATGTACAAAGACAGGATTATGTGCAGTTCCCAGGTTCCCAGACGCGGGAAAGACAGAGATTATAATGTCCTCAGTGGCCTCCTGTTCAGCTTGGAGGCTTAGACAGGAACCTCAGAGGATGCCTTTAGATGGGGAGTTTTCAGAAGAGGTGAGCTCTGATTTAAACCTGGAAGGGGTCGCAGAGGAAGAGGAGAGATGAAGCCCACCTTCCCCAGCCCTGCCCTCAGCTCTACCACCCAGGGAAGACCATAGGCTGCTGTTGGTTCCCTCCACATGGCCAATGGCCAGCCTTCTGCCAACTCTCCCAACACCAATATCACACTCTTCTCCATTTTCTTTTTTTTTTTCAAATATTTTGTTCCAGCAAAACCTTCCCATGGCAAATTTCCACAGGTTAAAAACATAACTTTGATTTTAATGGGGAAAAATTTTGTATATCCATGAGCCCCTAAATTAATACCCAATTTTAACACTATAAAAATGGAGCAAGCTGGGCACAGTGGCTCACATCTGTATTTCTGGCACTTTGGGAGGCCGTGGTGGGTAGATCACCTGAGGTCAGGAGTTCAAGACCAGCCTGGCCAACATGGTGAAACCCCGTCTCTACGAAAAATACAAAAATTAGCCAGGCATGGTGGTGCACACCTGTGATCCCAGCTACTCGGGAGGCTGAGGCAAGAGAATCACTGGAACCCAGGAGGTGGAGATTGCAGTGAGCTGAGATCACGCCACTGCACTCCACAGCCTGGGCAAGAGAGCAAGACTCCGTCTCAAAAAAAAAAACAAGAGGACCAGTTACTTCAACAGTTTCAACAGTTAACACTGGTTATATCACAACAAAACAATGGTGGCTTCTCTTCAGATGACTCTCCAATATACTGTCTACCTGCATTCCTTTGGCTTTTGGTATTGTCGTAGTTACTAAGGGTGTGCTCCAGCTATCCTCACAGAGGACATAACACAGTGCTCTGTGTTTATGTGGTTCACTGCTACTCCAAGTGTGGTCCTTGAACCAGCAGCGTTAGCATCACCTGGGAACTTGTCAGAAATGCAAATCCATGGGCTCTATGCCAGACTCTGGCTCAGAAGCTTTGTGGGAGGGATCCAAGAAATTTCATTCTAACCAGCCCACCAGGGGATTCTGAGGCACATGTAAGTTTGAGAACCACTGATGTAATTGAAAAAGAAGAAAAAAAGAGTAAAAAGGGGAAAAAAAGAAAAATCATCAGTGCTAATGATGCACAAGGTTATCTTTTGTAAACTAGGGTAGTGTAAATACTGTAAATTGAAGCAGCAAGAACTAATCATTCAAAGTCAAAGATAACTAATGAGCCCCTAGATTCACATCCTCCCACCACTCACAAGGCATGGGACCCACAGATCCCCTCTCCCAAATGCAATGAGGTATCTCGTGTGCTGGTAGAGAGAGAAAATGCACTTCTAGTAAAACTGAATACTATATATTTTTTTTTTGAGACAGAGTCTCACTTTGTTGCCGGGCTAGAGTGCAGTGGTGCGATCTCAGCTCACTGCAACCTCCACCTCCTGAGTTCCAGTGATTCTTCTGCCTCAGCCTCCTGAGTAGCTGGGACTACAGGTGTGCACCACCACACCCAGCTAATTTTTGTATTTTTAGTAGAGACGGGGTTTCACCATGTTGGCCAGGATGGTCTTGATCTCTTGACCTCGTGATCCGCCGGCCTCAGCCTCCCAAAGTCCTGGGATTACAGGCATGAGCCACCGCGCCTGGGCTAAACCCAAACTCTTTAAACTCAAGTGACCATGTCTCCAGGCATAACCATATTTCCTTCAAATTCTCAAAATTGTTTATCCCCAAAAGCTGCCCACCTCACCCTCTTTAGGACTTTGGAGGTGTCTTTAGATTTTGTTCTGGGGGCCTCATGCCCATCATTCATCTTTATTTTTCCAGCAAAGGGTTACCTTCCAGTTCAACATTTACCTTGGAAGAGGGGACCATCTACTTGACCGCTGAGCCCAACACTCTGGAAGTGCAGGATGACAATGCTTCTGTGCTTGACGTCTATTTAGTAAGTAATTTTTTAGTTTCCTCTCCTCCACTTCTGGTTTGTAAATGGATCCAGGCCATGGCTTACACAAGAACAAGTTCAATAAAACCAGGCATGCTTGGGTTTTAAAAGAAATGATGGCGCCCTTTCACTTCTGCAAATGGTGCTTCTTTTCACAAGCAATGTTTTCCTACAATTTATTACACAAAAGAACATCTAGGTCAATACGAAATCACCACGTATAACAAGAGAACGAATCCTCTAATGTTGAGGCAAAGTAGGGCTCCTTAGTGTTATTCCCAGCGAGGAAATGTTTCCCTTTGACTCAGCCGTGCTCCCTGATGTTTGAATCTTCTGTGTGTTGGCGTTGCTCCCTTGGTAAGTTAGTAGGCCGAGAGGCGCAGAACTGGGTCATGGGAAGAACCCAAATTCAGTGCTGGAGAATCTTGGCTGATTCTCTCCTCAGTTGTCACCAACCAGCTGTGTGATTTGGGAAGGAACCTTTCTGACTGCCTAAGGAGGGAAATAATGCCCACCCTGCCTACCTTACAAGGCTGCTTTGAGGATCATGAGTGACCCTTTAGTGCCTGTCAAATTACCTGTATCAGCTTAATCGAACTGTTAGATAATGCCTAGAAAGATACCCTGATGGGCTACACTGTAAAAGAGTATTTTCTGTGCCAAGTGCATCTTGCATGTATGCTACGTCTTTGTATGCCTGCACAAAAAAAAATTTTTTTTGGGGGGGGGCAGAGTTTTGCTCTTGTTGCCCAGGCTGGAGTGCAATGGTGCGATCTCGGCTCACCGCAACCTCCGCCTCCCAGGTTCAAGCAATTCTCCTGCCTCAGCCTCCCTAGTAGCTGGGATTACAGGCATGTGCCACCACGCCTGGCTAATTTTGTATTTTTAGTAGAGACGGGGTTTCCATGTTGGTCAGGCTGGTCTCAAACTCCCGACCTCAGGTATCTGCCCACCTTGGCCTCCCAAAGTGCTGGGATTACAGGCATGAGCCACTGCACCCGGCCTACCTGCACAAAATTACATAAAACAGGGGAAGTGTTCTTTTGGAATTTTCTGGGTTTTTTTAAGTTTTGCTAAACCTGAGCCAATACTCTGTGTCGCTCCTGGTGTACAAGTGCAACTTCAGGAATCAGCACCGAGTGATGCATGTCTCACAGCAGCTCCCTGAGCCTCCTTGAGCCTGCATTTTATGCTTTTCCATATCCCTGACCTAGCACTGTAATTTCTCACAAGTGCTCTGCAGGGCATCAGTCACCTAAGATGCTACTCCTAGCAATACTGGAGTAGTATCCAAAGTCCTGGCCAGGCATGGTGGCTCATGCCTCTAATCCCAGCACTTTGGGAGTCTGAGGCAGGCAAATCACTTGAGGTCAGGAGTTCGAGACCAGCCTGACCAGGATGGTGAAACCCCATCTCTACTAAAAATAGGAAAATTAGGCAGGCATGGTGGTGCATGTCTGTAGTCCCAGCTACTTAGGAGGCTGAGGTAGGAGAATCACTTGCACCTGGGAGGCGGAGGTTGCAATGAGCCGAGATCATGCCACTGCATTCCCACCTAGGCAACAGAGCATGACCCTGTCTCAAAAAAAAAAAAAAAAAAAAAAAAAAAAAAAAGTCCTGGCTGGGCGCAGTGGCTCACGCCTGTAATCCCAGCACTTTGGGATGCCGAGGCAGGAGCATCAGGAGGTCAGGAGTTCGAGACCATCCTGGCTAACACGGTGAAACCCCATCTGTACTAAAAATACAGAGGAAAAATTAGCCGGGCGTGGTGGCAGGCGCCTGTAGTCCCAGCTACTCGGAAGGCTGGGGCAGGAGAATGGCGTGAACCCGGGAGGCGGAGCTTGCGGTGAGCCGAGATCACGCCACTGCACTCCAGCCTGGGCGACAGAGCCAGACTCCGTCTCCAAAAAAAAAAAAGTCCTCCAGGCCCTGCATGGTCTGGTCTCCCCTGCATCTCCGACCTGCCCCCTCCCTGGGTCTCCCTCTTCCTTGCTGATGCTATTCTAGCCACACTGGCCTCCTTGGTGTTCCTCTCACAGACCAAGCACATCTCTGCCTTGGGACTTTTGTGTTTGCCATTCCTGTCTGTGTATTCTTTTCCACCTATCCCATGCTCCCTCACTTCCTTCAGGTCTCAGCCCAAGTACCTCTTTTTCAGATAGGCTTTTCTTGACCGCCCCCTACGTAAAACAGCAGGTCCCCCACCAACCGTTGTAAAAAGATTTTTTCTCTGAATATCCTAGTTTTTGCATAAACAAATTTTTTTGCACTGAGCAATGCTCCACCCTACCATTGCCCCCGCTTTAAAAAAAATAAGATTGTAGCAGATCACAAAATCCTTACAGAAAAGTTGGTCCACCCCCAACCAAGAAAATGGGGAATTAAATAGGGAAAAAAATACATTTTTGGTCCCATGTTGGATTCATCTGGAACCAGAAATCAGGAAAGCCTTTCAGAAAGAAGCTAAGTAAAATCTCATCTTCATGAGCTAAGGATTCATGCCACTTTCATGTGTCTTTACAAAAACTAGATTTTCACCAGTCACGGAGGTGCAATATTCCTAAGTGAGCCAAAACTCAAATTCAGCTCCATGTGTGGTCCTGCCTAAACTTGAACCCAGGAGCACCCTGTTGTTGTTATTGACCATAAATATAAGTCTCACGTCCATCTCATTGGAATCATGTGTCTTACAAGAGTGAGGGAAGGATACAGAAAGGAAGGAATGAGGGGGTTTTATTGAGAATATTTTTTGTAAAATTCTTTCACTGTTTTTTCCTGAATTTTTTTTTTTTTTTTTTTTGAGATGGAATTTCACTCTTGTCGCCCAGGCTGGAGTGCAGTGGCGCGATCTCGACTCACTGCAACCTCCACCTCCCAGGTTCAAGCGATTCTCCTGCCTCAGCCTCCTAAGTAGCTGGGATTACAGGGACCTGCCACCACGCCCAGCTAATTTTTCGTGTTTTCACTAGAGACGGGGTTTCGCCATGTTGGTCAGGCTGATTTTGAACTCCTGACCTCAGGTGATCCGCCCGCCTCGGCCTCCCAAAGTGCTGGGATTATAGGAGTGAGCCACTGCACCTAGCCAAAATTGTTTAAGTATTCATTAATTTAAAACAGTAATCTATTATATGTTAAATAATGTTTTTATGAATATTATTATATTTTCCAAAACAAAAATAAATTTTGTGAGAAAGGTGGCATTCTTTTATATTTCTGCAAATCCCTAATGTCTGGCTTAATGGAAGAAAAAAGATTCTCACATCTGTTTCTGTATCTGTCTTCTTGATATATATAACACATCATTTCATTTCTAGAAAGCTCCATCGTACATCCATGAAAGGGAATGAGAATAAAAAGGCAAACAACATCTTTGTATTATTAGGAAAATAGTTTGACCTCATGGACCCCCAGAAATGATCCCTACAGAGTTTTTCTCATATTTTAACTTAGTCTCTTCACCTGTTGCAAAACCAAGTGAAGCATAAATTAATTAGAGACAAATAGGCACCTGGAGTCTGTGCTGGTCTCTGCCTCTCATTAATCGTTTCCCTTGAATTCAGTGATCTCAGTTTTCTCATCTATAAAATGAATTATTAAATCAGGTTCATTCTAAATTACAAAGAGATATAGAAATAAGATTTTCCAAGGTGGGAAGATTGCTTGAGGCCAGGAGTTCGAGACCAGCCAAGGCAACACAGTGATACCTCATCTCTACAAAAATTAAAAAAAAAAAAAAATTAGCCATGCTTGGTGGTGCATGCCTGTAGTCCCAGCTACTTGTGAGGCTGAGGCTGGAGGATCCCTCAGGCCCAGGAGTCTGAGGTTGCAGTGAGCCATGATCTAGTCACTGCACCCCAGCCTAGGCAATGGAGTGAGACATGGTCTCTAAAGAAATTGAAAGAAAAGAAAGAAAAGAAGGAAAGGAAGGAAGGAAGGGAAGAAGGGAAGGGAAGGGAAGGGAGGGGAGGGGAGAAAGAAAGAGAGAAAGAAAGAGAAAAGGAAGGTTTCCAAAGTATCTACCGTTGTTTCTCCAAATTTTGCTGTTTAATCACCTCCTGTACCATAAACTTTCACATTCTTTAAACTTAAATTTTATGGCAGTACATCTAGAAAGTCCTGCACCATTAACTTGTAATTCCAGAATGTGTTTTCATGCTGGAAAATTTTATTTTTTGTTTTGCGTGCTCTTCTAGATCAGAAAGGGTACAGCTCATTGCCCTCCCTTCAGTATTTTCATTTGCATCTCCATATGAAAAAGCAAATGGAGGCCGGGCACAGTGGCTCATGCCTGTAATCCCAGCACTTTGGGAGGCCGAGGCGGGCAGATCACCTGAGGTCGGGAATTCGAGACCAGCCTGACCAACATGGAGAAACCCTATCTCTACTAAAACTACAAAATTAGCTAGGCGTGGTGGTGCATGCCTGTAATCCCAGCTACTCAGGAGGCTGAGGCAGGAGAATGGCTTGAACCCAGGAGGCAGAGGTTGCGGTGAGCCAAGATTGCGCCATTGCACTCCAGCCTGGGCAACAAGAGCAAAACTCCGTCTCAAAAAAAAAAAAAAAAGGAAGAAAGAAAATGGAAAAGAAAAGCACAAGAAAGGAAAACCAATCTTGCCTTTGCATTGTCTCTTTTTTCCTTTTGACATAATTTGAGTGCTCTGAATCACAGCCATCTTTATCTGAAGGGCAGTTGGAAGCTTCTCTAGTGACTTCCTGTACAGTGTTGTCACCAAACGTGGTCAGGTTTCTCTTGTAATGCTTCTTCTCCTTTAAGATAGCATTTCTCTATTAGTAGTTGTAGCCTAATCCCCTAGTGCTTTTATTTATACAGTAATGTATAATACCATTTACCTTTGTGTAAAAATACATAAGTTTAAACCCAAATGACGTATGCCCACCAGATAACATATGAAATATCCTTTTAAGGATCCATCCACACATTATGTGTGTGTGCATTAGGCTAGCTCTCCTGCTTTTTCCTGTAACTCAACATGAAATTAAAAAGGATTGGTGAGTTGAAAAGGCAGCTAATTGTTCCATCATCCTTAGTGAGACATTTAGTTCAGATTTTATGTATCTAGTTATTCTGCATGGCTTTTTAAAGGCCATTCACCTTCACACTGTAGAGTCCCAAGCTATTTGACTCATTTTCAAATATTCAAATCAAGGGAAGTGTTTTCTAAGATGATTTTTATCCAGTGACCAAAGATGTGTTTTTCATTGAATTTTGAGTTGATGACACAGATTAGGGTATTTAAAAGAATACACAGAGATGAGCAGGCTGTATTGATTTAAAATGGGCAATCACGCAGTCTTCATAATAGAGCAAGATTCTACTTTGTAAATAGTCCCAGATATTCTAAGGCACCGGATGCTGTCACAGTGGCTGTTATTTCCGTTTCTAAGGCGGCTTCTTTGCCTGATGTAGAATGCAATTTGGTTTTCGTGGAAAGAGGAACAACCAACAAAAAGCCATTTCTGCTGAAAAGTGTATTGGGAGAGAATATCCTTTTATGACTAGCTGGGAATGGCTGGGTAAGTGGGAGATAATGGGATTGCTTTTTTAATAATATAGAAGTTTGAAAGATGGCTGCCAGAAAACAGTGACTTCCTTGCTTCTACTATTCATACCCAAGGTTATGCCCTTACACTTTCCATATTAACATCCTCTCAATAATATGTACTTTCATCCAGTTTTGCTTCTCTGCAAAATGGCTGTTTGAAATACAAAAATAGCTGTGAGCAAAGGAGAAGAAACAGTTAAGCTGTTTTTTAGCCACGCCAGTATTGGAGATTAGCGCTCTGATGGGCAGCTGTTGGACGGCTTGATTATTTAATGTGTTTTCAGGGTAGTTAATAATACTCTTTGATCATGGGAAGAAGGGTGGCAGAGAAGTGAAAATGATTGAATTAACAGCTTATCATACTATTATGTATGGAAAAAGCGTGAGAAAGAGAAGAAAAACACTTTAAATTAGGTCACAGGGGTCTTAGAAAATTCAGTGGAACTTTTTTGGCAAAAGAAACTGCATTTCTGGATTTGAATCCCTCAGCGTTGAGGTTAATGACTTATATTGGGTCTCTTTAATCATTCCTTGTTGGAGCCAGTATCCGCTGCTTCAAGGGGTGTTTATTTGAAACAGTGGCATTTCTTATTCCTTCTCAGGAGAGAACTCGATCCCCTACCAACCAAAGATGCTGCTCGGGTTTTTGGTAGATTTTAGTGAGAGCAGAGTAGGAAGGAGAAAAGACAAACACTGCGTTTGGTGTAGAAGGCATTTGACCAGAAGCCCCTTTCCTTCTGCCAGGTGATCACATTGTTGAGAAGTGAAGAGATTTTGGAAAGGATAAATTAGGGCCCTTGTTTGTTTCCAGAAATGCTTGGCCCCTAAGTTATTGACAAATAATATTTCTAAGACATGTGGAAGAGCTGAGAAAATGGACCTCCCATTGCCCGAGTCTCACAGCATCTACAAGTTATTCCCATTCTTGAAATAAAAGTGACGCAAGCTTCAAATTAATGAGGCAACCTGTCAGTCTAGATTAGGAGGTCACCCATAGGATTTTTTTAAAAAACAAACAGCATTAAACTGCTGTTTAAGGATTAGCGTAGGGAATTCCAGCTGGAGTTATAAAGGCACACTGGCTTTCCAGTTCAATTAGGCTCAGAGTTAGCAATTGAATGACAGTTTGCAGGGCTGCAGTAGCTTTTTTTCTTTTTTTTTTTCTGTTAGGTCCTAGCTTTACAGTGAATCTTGGCTTGCAGGCTAGCTTGATTTCTACTTTCTTTTTTTCTTTTTTTCTTTTTTCTTTTCTTTTTTTTTTTTGTTTTTCAGACAGGATATCTCTGTTGCCCAGGCAGAAGTGCAGTGGTGCAATCTTGGCTCACTGCAACCTCCACCTTCCAGATTCTAGTGACTCTCCTGCCTCAGCCTCCCAAGTAGCTGGGACTACAGACTCACACCACCATGCCTAGCTGAATAGAGATGAGGTTTCCCCATGTTGGCCAGGCTGGCCTCGAATTCGACCTCAAGCGATCCGCCCACCTCGGCCTCCCAAATTGGGATTACAGGCATGAGCCACTGCACCCGGCTGATTTCCACTTTCTTAAAAGCTAGTTCTGCTCCAGTTTGCCTGGGTCTTTTATTATTATACATCCAGGCGCGGGTTGCCCCTCATTTTTCATTCTTTTCCTCCTAAGACTGGCCTCTCTTCCCTTCCCTTATCCCTCTAGACTCTTCCTATTGCTTCTCTTTGTGGTTTCTATTTTTGTCTTCCTTGTCAGAGAAAGCCAGTGTTTGCCATTTTCTGGAAACTTTCCAACTCTTGGGAATAGTGTTTGAGGAAGAACAGCCTGTAATGGTGTGAACTTGGGGTCTGCGAGGCCCTGAGCCTGCAGAAAACAAACAGCAGACTTAGAAAGAACCAGATTAGAACAAACAAGAACTTTTAGGAAAACAAGTTTAGATCACACCCATGGACCTAGTAAACAGGACTGTTCTCATTCGTGCCATTTCCCCTTCTGGGCTCTGAGGGGGAATGGGAAAATGCTTAAGGACTATTCGGTTTATAAAAAATAAAGCCCCCCAAGTGTGATGAATGGCACGAGTAGGAGTAGGCAGCTGAGGGCCTGGCTTCCCGTGGTCTGCTTCTGCCTCTGCTGGTTTCCAAGGCCTGCTATCACAAATGACCACAGACAGAAATGGATTGTCTCACAGTTCTAGAGGCCGGATGTCTGAAATCAAGGTGTCAGTAGTGCCACACTTCCTCTGAAGGCTCCAGGGGAGGATCCTTCCCTCCCTCTTTTAGCCTCTGGTGGCTCCACATGTCCCTTGGTCCTTTGATCTGCGTCACTGCTGCCATGTTCATATGGCCTTCTTCCCTGTGATGTTCTGTGCCTCTGTGTGGCCTCTCTTCTTATAAGGATGTCACTCATTTGATTTAGGGTTCACCCTAATCCAGTATGACCTCATCTTAACTAATTACATCTGCAAAGACCCTATTTCCAAATAAGGTTACGGTCTGAGGCTCCAAGTGGATAAGAATATTGGGGGGACACAATTCAGCCCACCCCTCTACCTTACCGAGGGACCTGTGAATTAACTGCTCCTTACCACACATAGCCTCGTTTTCTTGTTCACTTCCCTTCTCCCTGGTTGTCACTGTGACGTTAGATAGATGTTTCCAAATTAGTTTGTATTCCTCACAAAGAGGTATCAGGTAAATGACTATATGAACAGAGTCAGTCACCTGTTGGGGACATAATTTGTGTTCGAAGTAAAATCCCTGGGGGTGGACTGAGGCATTGGTATTTTTTAAACCTCTACACACACCAGAGCTGAGATCCCCTGAGCTTATTAACAGGGTCCTTCAGCTCTGAGCATCCTGGAATTCTTGTATGCTAATGTAAGGGGGAACCGTGTGACTCCCCTGGCAAGATAGCTGTCCCATTACACGTGCCTCTAATGTAGAAGCAAAGCCTAGGAAGCTCCTACACCCTCAAGTTTATGATCTGGGCTTGCCAATGAGTTCCTGCTTTCAGCAAGCCCTCTACTGCCACCTACTGATAATCAAGGCGGGGAAGGAGTGATGGAGCCCCTAGAGTTGAAACGTAATGAAGAGCAAGTGTGTGTCTCAATGGAGTTCCCACTCCATGTACTTGATTGTAGCCTTTCAGTGTTGTACGTGCAAGGTCAGCAGGCGGCGGGGGTATGTCCTTCAGAGGTCAAAGGCAGCTTACTCTGACAGGCCCAGCTCCACCACCTTTCAAGTTGGACTGGAGGCTACAATTACAATGTGGCGCAAAAATGAAGGTGTTACCTTCCCTCAGGTCCAAGTGTGCCCCCCTCATCCATCAAGGCCAGTTCTGCTTGAGCCTTTTTGAAAGGCTCCCTTGGCAGATTGGGATTCAACACAGAAAATGCTTCTTTCTACTGTTTAGGCAGCAATTTTAACAAAGTATCAACAAATCTGGGGTGGAGAAAGCCATTCTTCACCTTCGGTCTTCCACAGGTCCTCGCCTACAGCCATGGAACTCCCAGGTGATTGTGGCTTTTGAAGTAACTTTAGTAGAGAACAGAATTAAATATAATAAGATAAAAATATGTGGGGTTTTTTTAAAGACTTCCTAAATCCCAGTGGTTGCTATTTTATTAGTTTTCTAGGGCTGCTGTAACAAAGTACCCCAGATTTGGTGTCTTGAACAGAAATTTCTTTTCTTGTCATTCTGGAGGCCAGAAGTTCAAGATCAAGGTGTTGGCAGGGTGGATTCCTTCTGAGGGCTGTGAGGCAAGGATCTGTTCTAGCCTTTCGCTGGTTTGTAGGTGGCCTTCATCTCCCTATGTCTTCACATCACATCTTCCCCCTGTACGTGTCTGTATCCAAAATTCCCCTTTGCATAAGGACATCAGCCATATTGAATTAGGGCCCAACCTGTGGCCTCGTTTTAATCTGATTACCTCTATAAAGACCCTGCCTCCAAATAAGGTCACATTCTGTGGTGACAACAGTTAGGACTTTTAACATAGAAATTTTAGGGGAACACAGTTTAGCCCGTAACAGCTACTTGGGTGTTTTTGTAAAGGAAAATGCCGCCGAGGAAAGTGCTGAGATGGAAAAGGCTTGATGGGAGCACAACTTTTTTTTTTTTTTTCTTTTTTTGATGGAATCTTCCTCTGTCACCCAGGCTGGAGTGCAGTGGCGCAATCCTGGCTCACTGCAACCTCCACCTCCCAGGTTAAAGTGATTCTCGTGCCTCAGTCTGCTGAGTAGCTGGGAATTATAGGCGCACGCCACCACACCCGGCTAATTTTTATTTTTATTTTTTTTTTGTAATGACAGGGTTTCAGCATGTGGGCCAGGCTGGTCTCGAACTCCTGACCTCAGGTGATCCACCTGCCTCGGCCTCCCCAAGTGCCAGGATTACAGGTGTGAGCCACCACACCCAGCCTGGGTGTGCAGCTTCTAATTTCCACCCTCTGGGTCTTGGCAGAGGGCCTCTGGTGCATTCCTTCCTGTGGGTGAGAGAGAAGCCAGTGGCGTTGTCCTCAGGCAGTGCTCCTTTTCAAATGAAACCAGTACCATATTCCTCCCCCCACATTTTTCAAATGTGGCTGAAGCAGGGGTCAGAGTGGATTGTGTTGCAGCAACAGATCTATGTGATGTGTTAGATGATAAGGTGTATCAGTCCATTTTCACACTGCTATAAACAACTACCCAAGACTGGGTAATTAATAAAGGAAAGCGGTTTAATTAACTCATAGTTCCACATGACTGGGGAGGCCTCAGGAAACTTACAATCATGGCAGAAGGTGAAGGGGAAGCCAGGCACATCTTACTTAGTGGCAGGAGAGAGACAGAAGTGGCAATCACCAGACATTTTCAAACAACCAGATCTCATGAGAACTCTGACATGACAACAGCAAGGGGGAAGTCTGCCCCCATGAATCAATCGCCTCCCACCAGACCACTCCCCCAACACATGGGGATTACAATTTGACATGAGATTTGGGTAGGGACACAGAGCCAAACCATATCATGAGGTAACCACCCAGATTTACAATTAGCAGGAGTCACTCAAGTGCTGAAAAGTCCACTGCAGAACTGTCCACCAGTATAAATCACTGATGCTCTCAGGCTTCTCTTGGGTCCTTAGGAAACAAATTAATCAGTCAGGGAGCTGTGTTAAAATGTTACCACATTAACAGTTTTGAAATGAGAGGCCAAATCTTAAATCCATCCCAGGAGACGGCACAGACGAGTGTCAGCTGCGTCTTGGGTCTGCTCTCACCTTATGGCTCATCTACCTGCTGCTTAGTGTGGGATGCTTTAATGAGGCATCTGGAGGCCGGCAGGAGGCCTGGCACTCCATGTGCTGCCAACACCCCAGAATTCAACCAACAGTCTACCAGATCTGGAACAAAATAGCTGTCTTCATCCCAATTGTACACATCCTTCAAGGATGGCGAAAGTCCTGCCTTCTGCCTCAAGGCTTCTCGGTTGAAGCCTTGTAGTCCCTGGTCCTTGGAAGAGAGTAACGTCACCTCTAATGCTGCGTCCAAATATATTTTTTAAGTACAAAGGTAGGAAATTTGGATCTGAGCGTGCCTAAGTTTCCTTTCGGCAATGCAGTTCCATAGCACTGTGATTTTCTTCTGTTCACACTGCTATGTCCTGATTCTGCAGCACTAGCACGTGTATTTGTTTCCATGCCTAACAAAATGGTGAGCTTTTGGGTCCCTGCTACTACTGGAATCCAATACAACGAGAAATCCCCCACTGCACTACATCCCCAAATGATTGTGCCTTGTGAAGTAATTCCCAATAGAGGATAGATATGAATATAATAAAATATAGAGCTTTATTTAAAAAAAAGAGAGAGAGAGAGACTCTGGACTTCCCAGAACCCAAAGGTGATACCTTGTGTTTAAAACTTAGGGATCTCAACCAGGCATGGTGGCTCATGCCTGTAATCCCAGCACTTTAGGAGGCCGAGAGGGGCCCATCACTTAAGTCCAGGAGTTCAAGACCAGCCTGGGCAACATGGTGAAACCCCATCTCTACTAAAAATGCAAAAATTAGCTGGGCATGGAGGCGCATACCTGTAATCCCAGCTACTTAGGAGGCTAAGGCACGAGAATCACTTGAACGCAGGAGGCGGAGGTTGCAGTGAGCCAAGATCATGCTGTTGCTCTCCAGCCTGGGTGACAAAGGGAAGCTCTGTCTCAAAAAATAATAATAAAATAAAATTCAGGGATCTCTGGGAAAGAAATCGGGTGAACCCAGAGATGAAGGGGACCCCGGAGCCAAGGAGATGATGTTGGGGTGAGATATCCTGAGCCTTAATATGGATTTGTGGTGATGTGTGAGTTTTGACTAACGTGGGCAGAGGGAGGCGGGATGAGTTGATGTGATCTCATGGCAACGAGAGGAACATCAGACAAAAGAATCAGGACAATAGAAATAGAAAGGAAACAGAGCAGACCTGGAAAAAAAGAGAATTCAGAATTGATGACAGAAACAGGAGCTGTGTGTAGGAAAATGAAACACGGGACTAAGCCTACGATGGCCGAGAGAAAAGCTGATGCTTTCGTCAAAGATATTTGGGACAAAGAATTTCAACTTGAAACCAAAGTGAGGATTTCCTGGACACCAGAGAAAGCTCTTGCTTTAATAAGGCCTCAGGACTGAAACCTGAGGTAATTATAGTTAAAAAAAAAAAAGGGGGGGGGATATCACCCCAAGGGTTGACTGCTCAGGGATCATGGAGACCTCACAGGACTTGTCAGTGCTGTTCATCTTGGCCAACCTAACTGTGGTGAAGTTCCGCCTCTCTCAGCACTGCCCTAAAACTCCCTCACACCACATCCCAGATGTTCAGAAATTCTCGATATGTTTGTAAGCCAGTCGGTTGATGGGGGCAAGGGTGTCAAGGGAAGGCTTGAGAAAGGCAAGCAGGAGTGGAAGGAATGAGTCTAGGAAAAAAGTTTCTTGGAAAAGAAACTCCTCACCTTCTCATGCCCTTCCTGTGGCTCTGAAAAGTAAACCGAGGCCATCTGAGTTGGGAAGCCCTCCTGGGAGTGTTTCCTGCCTGGGCTCCCCTCCAGGGGATCCGACTTCACAGTACAGTCAGCCCCCTAGAAAGGGCTTCTGGGTTAATTAGTGGACAGATTGCTTTTGATTTGCTGTTTTCCCTTATTGCTCTGTATTAGTGTTTAATTATTTAATTTTAAATAACTTTTTAAAATAAATGTTGAAAATTATTTAATTGTAATATTGAAAAGCTTTGTAATCTCTGACCCCTTGTGTACATACTATTGTGTAGTTTCAATCATAGAATCAAGCATTTTATTTTAGGTAGAAATAAAAATACACCTTTCTCTTTCTTATACCCCAACATATGTGTGGGATGAATAACACTGGGATTTAGGCTGAAATACTCTACTTTTACTTTTTATGGCAACTATTAACGACACTTTTTACTGTCAGGTATCAGAATTTTAAATAGTTCATGAATTCTCAGAGTATCTCAGTGCATAGGCAAAAATGCTGCACCTTTGTGGGCGTGTGTGTGTGTGTTTTTGTGTGTGTGTGTGTGTGTGTGTGTGTGTGTGTACAGAGGTTCACCTGGGGACAGAGCTGAAATGTCACTCCAGGGTCTGTAGTCTCTGAGCTCCTCTGCCAAAGCACCAGCACTGAGAGGGAGGAACTTCACCACAGTTAGGTTGGCCAAGATGAACAACACTGACAAGTCCCGTGAGGTCTCTGATCCCTGAGCGGTCAAACCTTATTTCAGTCTCTACACCCATTCGGTCAGGATGGGTCTGAATCTTGGTTGACCTTGAGGAGAAGCTGCTAATCTTTTGGGCAATAATGCCCTGAAGAGTCCATCTGCGTGCTGGGGAGCAGAAGGGACTTCTGCGTGTACCACACTTTGAAGAATGAGCTCAAGCTATGAGTTAGTTTCCTTCCAGGGTAGAGAACTGATGTTTGTGTCTCTGCAGTGATGGCTAATATAGGACTCCTGAGTTATGAATTTGAAGGAAGGAAAATTATGGCACCTTTTATGCTAAGGAAGGAATAATAAAATGGTTTCTGCATACTTCTCACTGTGGCCATGTTTACAAGCAAGAAGACGCTGTGCTTTCAGATCCCACAGATACCTCTCCATCTCATTTTAACAGGGTTATAAATTAATGCAAAACAGACACGTTCATGTATCCAGATCATGTCATCCAAGAATTACATTACAACATGGGTGGAGAGTTGGCAGTGCTCACCCAATTTTGACATTCTTGAGCCCTGAGGGTGAGAGTGAGTGTTTATAGGAGCTTATAGAAACTTCTATGACATCCTTAGTTTAAAAAAAAAAAACTAAACTAAACTTCCTGTGTGCATGCAAAGGACATTTTATGACCAAAGCTGGAAATCATTCTTTATTTTTAATACTGAGGAGAGTATCTTTTATTATTATAAGACCCTGTGTGTTTTTTTATTAAACTATAAATTTAACCAATTTTATGAGAGACATCAAGGTATTAAATTCTTTTCAGATCGTTCCCGTTGCATAAGTCACCAACTGTTTACAGTATTCTGAGTTATTCAGTGGTATAAATTTACAGCAATTTATTTTATTTTATTTTATTTTTGATATGGAGTTTTGCTCTTGTTGCCCAGGCTGGAGTTCAATGGTGCGATCTCAGCTCACCACAACCTCCGCCTCCCAGGTTCAAGCAATACTCCTCCAAGTAGCTGGGATTACAGGCATGCGCCACCACACGCGGCTAATTTTGTATTTTTAGTAGAGACGGGGTTTCTCCATGTTGGTCAGGCTGGTCTCGAACTCCTCCCGACCTCAGGTGATCCGCCTGCCTCGGCCTCCCAAAGTGCTGGGATTACAGGCATGAGCCACCACACCCGGACTTTACAGACAATTTTTAATGGGATCTTGTGGTTGAAACAGAACTTCATAGTCATCTGGCCCAAGCTACCCACAAGTGCCCAAGTCCTCTCTACTGTGCCTTCTGGGTGCTGGGTCAGGATAAACAGTTTCTGCCTCAGCTCTCCTGGGGCTGATCCCTAAGTGACAGCAACTGCTCCTTCTTTAGTGACCACTCATTTCTTTCTTTTTTTTTTTCTTTAGAGACAGGGTCTCTCTCCGTCACCCAGGCTGGAATGCAGCAGTGTGATCATAGCTCACTATAGCCTCAAACTCCTGGGCTTAAGCAATCCTCCCACCTTAGCCTCCTGAGTAGCTGGGACCACAGGCACATGCCACCACACCCAGCTAATTATTTTATTTTATTTTTTATTTTTGTAGAGACAGGGTCTCACTATGTGGCCAAGGCTGTTCTTGAACTCCTGGGCTCAGCCCCACAAAGTGCTGGGATTATAGACGTGACCCATCATACCCAGCCCACTCATTTTTTTTACTCCGGTTAAAAAGCACTTCTAGCTTGAGAAAAAACTGGCTTCCATGCAGTTGTCCTGGGTTCTGGCTTCTGGGATCATTCTCAACCACTGAGTCTCAGCAGATGGCATGCTGGGCCCTTGTATCTAGGGAGGGCTTGCGTCATGTACACATGACATGTGCTGGGGGAGGACATAAATTTCAGGATCCTTAATGAAGAAAGAGTGGAGGGGGTGCAGCTTTACAACTCTACGCCCTTCACACATTCTGAGATTCCACTCACCTCCCGACCCCAGGATCACAGCATCTGTGCCACTATTGCTGGTGACAGTGTCACATCTTTCAGCAATACCGGGACTAAACTAATACCTAAGCCTTTCTTCCCTGAGGCTAGTCTTCAGAGACTCAAAGACAACTATTATGCCCTGTCTCTACCTCTCCTATTTTCTAGACCAAAAAGCCCAGGCCTTTAGCCATTCCCCTGGGGTCCTGGCTCCAGGGCCCTTCACTGGTGGATCTCCTCAGGCATCACTCAGGTTACTCACTGTCCCTCTCAGAGTCTGGCACTGGAAATGAGACACAGAACTCCAGTGTGATCTATAGAACGAGGAAAGCAAAACTATCACCTCTTTTTGTTTTTATTCTGCTTTGTTTTTTAAGAACGCAGGACTTCTAAATCTAATCAGTAGGACCTCATCATTTTATGTGGGTTGTTTTGTATGTCACTGGTTTTGTGAGAGACCTGCACCATACATCAAAGTTATCAGACTGAGGCTGAATGAAATCCACCAGTCCACCTTAAAGACAGCTATCCTGGGAATGTGGGCAACGTCCCACTTGCCCACTGCTATAGCTTATAGCACCTTACACTCACCTCTTCCTACAGATTATTTTTGAGTAACAGCGTGACCATGTTGTGCATTTAGCCAAGCAAACCTTTCTAGCTTAGGTGAATGAGAGGGAGCGGCCAACGTATAAAACAAAATAGTAAGTTCATAAAAATTACAGTGCACAATAGTCTCAGATAAAATATTAATTGTTAAACAGAATTCCCTGTATGTGACATGTTCTCTTTCCTAATAATTTTCAGTTATTTCAAACTTTTTACTCAAGTTTTTTCAAGCCTCCAATTAAAGGTGCTGAGCTGCACCAGTCTCTGTGACCCCCAGCTCCAACCTTCTTCACTACAATTTTGGGGGTACTAGCACATGCCAGGTACAGTACTCAATTATAAATATATGATTTGTGTATATCGTGTGTGTGTAAAACACTTCATTTTCCCCATGGAAAAATTTATCCCTCACCACCACCCTATAAAGTAGAGTTTGTTACCTCCACTTTATAGATGAAACAACAAGGTTCCAAGAAGATGTTGCATAATATTCTACAGATGAAATAATTAGGAAATCAGGCCGGGTGAGGTGGCTCACGCCTGTAATCCCAGCACTTTGGGAGGCCAAGGTGGGCGGATCACTAGGTCAGGAGTTCAAGACCATCCTGGCTAACACAGTGAAACCCCATCTCTACTAAAAATACAAAAAATTAGCCAGGCGTGATGGCAGGCAGCTGTAGTCCCAGCTACTCGGGAGGCTGAGGCAGGAGAATCTCATGTACGTGGGAGGCAGAGGTTGCGGTGAGCTGAGATCTTGCCACTGCACTCCAGCCTGGGCAACAGAGTGAGACTCCATCTAAAAAAAAAAAAAATAGGAAATCAGATGATTTGACCCAATGTGTCTGTCTCTAAAGGCTGAATATAATATTGCTTTCCCCACATATATCATAGTGCTGCTGTCACAGGTTGAGTTAGCTGGCTCTGATTTTAAATAGCTACCATTTAAATAGCTACCATTTGCTGAACATATTGTTACCACCCAGCCACAGTGATATTGTTTGGAAAAAAACATTTACAAGTTCAAGGCCATGTTCAAGTTGTTCTTTTTGGCTTCAGATCTAATATACCACAGCACATCCCCTCATCCCTGTGCACTTGGAGGGCAGGAGGGTGTCTTAGTCAGTGTTGCTTCCTTCCAAGTCCCGAGCACAGTGCTGTGATGTAGTCAGGACTCAATCTTGATAAACATTGGTGTAATTAACAGGTTTCAGGTCCACCAAAGAAGTATATGCTATGCTGATCATTGCAGAAGAATCCCAAACATAATGCACCCCATTTTCCAGACACAAGTGATTGGGAGAAATAACGAACTTATGTTGCGACTCATGGGGAGAGGTTACAAATTGATGCCAAAATCTAGTCTCACACCTGCTTTTTTGCTCCCCCCAGTAAGTGAAAATGGTGATCACCTAAGCACATGGATGAGACGTGAGCACAGTTATGGCAGAGAAGTTTCTCCGCACCAGAATTATCCACAGCAACTTGGCTGAGCCCCACTACACACAGAGAAATCATCAACCTGACTTAAGAGTTTTCAAGATGTCAACTTCAGGCTGATCAGCAGATGGGATGTGAAAAATACTACCCTATTCTATCATTTGCTGTTGCTTGCTGAACTGTGAAGAACTGCATGAACTATATTTAAGCTGCTTTCTGTACCATTGCCAATCACCTTTTTGGAGTTGGAAGTGCTATTTTCCTATGGACTTTTGCATTATTTCATTGTGCATGCATCCAGTGATTATACATAAGCAACATATGTAATCTGCTTATATATTTTTAAAAATCCATCCACACACATGGTAAATTAAGTATAAATTCTTTTGCAAAATTATAGTTCATGTCATTGAAAGTTTAAATTGGTTTCATTTAAAGATCAATATACTAGGTCTGCCTTCACTTTATAGAAAACTAGCTTCTATAAAGATTTTTTCACTGTTTACTAGTGAAATGAGAAAAGCAAAGCTATTTATAAAAGGCCTTATGTCGTGTACATACATTGTCTTTGAAATATTTGTGATCTAGTTTATTGCTTGTAAAAGAGAAATTATATAATTTATTTAGTAAATACTACTGTAAACTATAGTTTTGTGAGAGAAATAAAATATTTTGTTCTCAATTGTGGTGGTACATCGATTCCAGTGATTTATGGTCTTTCCATTTCTTCTTTTATTAAAAATAACCCAAATACTCCTCATTTGAGATATTCAGAAATCCTAAATAAACTGAATTTCATGATGGATAAAAATGGGAAAAACTTCAATAGCAGCTTCTGCTGAACTCATCCAAAGACTTTCCCAAATGTCCTGGTATATTAGTCAGCTTTCACTATGTTATGCTATGGTAACAAACAATCCCAACATCATAGGAGCTTTCACCAACATAGTTTTACGTCTCCCTCACATGTGGGGACCAGCTGCAGCTCTGCTCCAAGAGTCTTCTTCATTCTGGGGTCCAGAGCAGCCCCTATGTGGGACAGGCAACTTTCATGGCAGAGAAAAAGAGCAATGGTGGAACCAATGAGAGCTCACAAAGCTTCTGTCTCAGTGCAGCTGACAGCATTTCTACTTGCATTCCATCCACCAACATGAGTGACATTGACAGGTCTGGAGTCAAAGGTGTGGGATGTACACTTCTCACATGGGAATGGACTCAGCAATGAATATTTTAATTAATTAATACAGTTTACACCACCTGGTAAGTGTCCCTAGCAACAGAGACATAAGAGGTTGAGAGAAAAATCATTAGAAAGCAAAATGATCAAGGCTGCAGAAAGATATTCCTGATGAGTAAGATGCTCAGTGTTAAATACTTCGAGTTAAAACAAGCTGATTCTTGTAAGCAAGCATGCTGTAAACTTTTGTAAATGTAGCCCAGAGCCATAGTTACTCAGCATAAGTAGCAGTTTCACCTGCAGAGTCAGTGCTGGAAAGCTAGGATGTCTTACATCCTAGGTTAGGATGTCAACAGGGAATTCTGCAGAAGTGGATGATTGAGGATCCTCTGCCTCTCTCTAGTATTCATATGTGCTACCACTCTCCCTTACTACATGGGTTTTCATAGGTGAATCCCACTCTTCCCCCCTCCCATTTGTAAATCTACCCATTTAAGCAGGGTTCTTAGCCTAGGACCCACTGATTTCTAGAAGAGTCATAGATAAATGTTAATAGGGCCATGAAATCATATACACAAGTTGGGTATGCTTTTGTGTATATGGGGTGTTTTTTTTTTCATGAAGAGAAAGACTATACTTTTTATCAAATTCACAGTGACCTGGACCCAAGAAATGTTAAGAACCTTTATTTTAAGACCTAACTCAAAAGCCGTTTCAATACCATGAGGCTGTGATCCTCAAAACTCTATCCCCACTTGAATCACCCGTGGCCTGCCTGTGTTGTCTCACCTGTCTCAAAAAACCTCAACATTTTCAACCGTTTTTTAATGACTGAGGTATAACTTACATATGCTAGAGTGCACAGCTATGAATTGTATAGTCCAGTGAATTTTTACATATGTGTAGACCCATGTGCCCAGCACCTAAAGCGCATAGAAAACATTTGCAGCTAACCTACTGGCTTTTTTTTTTTTTTTTTTTTTGAGACAGAGTCTCGCTCTGTCGCCCAGGCTGGAGTGCGGTGGTGCAGTCTCAGCTCACTGCAACCTCTGCATCCCGGGTTTAAGCAATTCCCCTGCCTCAGCCTCCCGAGTAGCTGGGATTACAGGCAGCTGCCACCATGCCTGGCTAATTTTTTGTGTTTTTAATAGAGACAGGGTTTCACCATGTTGGCCAGGCTGGTCTTGAACTCCTGACCTCGTAATCCGCCCGCCTTGGCCTCCCAAAGTGCTGGGATTACAGGCGTGAGCCACCGTGCCTGGCCACCTGCTGGCTCTTTCATGTCCCCTCTCCACCAATGCCATCCTCAAAGGTCACTATTATGACTTCCAGCATCATAGATTAGTTTTGCCAGTTCTTTTTTAACAAAACTTTATTGGTAATAGTTGGTTTTTTGTTTTGTTGTATTGAGACAGAGTCTCACTCTGTCACCCAGGCTGGAGTGCAGTGATGCGATCTCGGCTCACTGCAACCTCTGCCTCCCAGGTTCAAGCGATTCTCCTGCCTCAGTCTCCCAAGTAGCTGGGATTACAGGTGCATGCCACTACGCCCAGCTATTTTTGTATTTTTTAGTAGAGACGAGGTTTTGCAATGTTAGCCAGGCTGTTCTCAAACTCCTGACATCAAGTGATCCACTTGCCTTGGCCTCCCAAAGTGCTGGGATTACAGCACCCGGCCTTATTGGTAATAGTTTTGACATATGTTTACAACAGCACACTGTTCAAGAGGAAATCTCATCTTTTCACAGCAAGCAGGTTGAATCACCCTGAGCCCACCTGGGGACCCACCCCAGGCCTGAGAGCTCCTCCTGGGATGGGGAGAAGTGATGAGAGGGGGAAATATGAAGATGAATGAGGTGGCTTGCCAGCAGCTCCTCACTTTTCTATTAAGAAAGAAAACAGACCAGGGACGGTGGCTCACTCCTATAATCCCAGCACTTTGGGAGGCCAAGGCAGCTGGATCACCTGAGGTCAGGAGTTCAAGGCCAGCCTGGCCAATGTGGCAAAACCTCGTCTCTACTAAAAATACAATAATTAGCCGGGGATGGTAGTGGGCCCCTGTAATCCCAGCTACTCGGGAGGCTGAGGCAGGAGAGTCGCTTGAACCCGGGAGGCGGAGGTTGCAGTGAGCTGAGATTGTACCACTGCACTCCAGCCTGGGTGACAGAGTGAGACTTCATGTCAAAAAAAAAAAAAAATTGAAAACAGCACGGGGTGGCAGGGGAGAAGAGGTGAAGGATGGCTGACAGCTAAGCTGGAGAGGGGCACCCAGGATGGGAGAAGGCAGAAGCTGCTGGGTGAATAAAACAGGCAGCCCCTCCCCAGCAACCCTAGCCTTGAACCCTGGGCGATGAGGTGGGGGTGGAGGGGCTGGGCCTCTTCCATGTCCTTTTGCAGGACTGCCTTCCCATAAGGAGAGGCTGGGCATCACAATCTGGCTGAGAATAAAATTAAGGAGTTTCGGGGAAATGCTGCTGTGAAGAAAGACTTGGGCTTGGAACTCCCACTCTGTCTTTTTGGGGGACAACTCCTCTTTGGCAGGGAGTAGGGCAGCTGCTTTTCTGGCTCCCAAAGCCCAAGGGTGAAGAAAAGTCTGCTGGGGAAGAAGAGAGTGGAGCTTCCTAAAAGAACTGAGACCTTTGCAAGAGTGATAGAGGATGCCCCTGGGGAGGGGGGAGGGGGAAATCAGCAGTTCATGGGGGAAGTTCAAACCCCAGAGCCTCCTTCCAAAGTCAGTCGGCTTCCTGGATTTGTTAAAATGGAATGGGGAGACACGGTAAGGTGGGAAGGGTGGGAGGGGTGGAAGTAGAGGAAGGAGGAAAGGGGACACTGGTGGAACTTAAATAAGATTTTAATTGTTTTTTGTTTTAATTTTTTATTCTAGCAAACAGCCCACTGAACATGGCACTAAACCTCTCTCCTTCCCAGGCAGGATTACGCCAAAGGGTAGGTGTGCTTTTCATTCATCCTCTCTTAGTAAGTGGTGCCTGTTCAGGGCTGGAGTTAAGTTTGAGCCCCTCTTTCCACACCGTGTCCCTTGATACAACAGCAAGACCTGGCCTGAATAGAGCTGAGAAACTCGTTTAAAACAGGCAGAAGGGGGCTGGGGCAAGGGGGACCCTGTGGGAGGAGAAAGAGAGAAGCACAGAGGGACCAGGAAGGCATGGGGGGGGGTGAGGGAGCAGCTGGTGTTTCTGTTCCTCCAAATATCTGGGCTTCCTGCTCCCCCAACCCTGGAGGGTGGGGTGAGGATGAAATTAGATACAAGGAACTCTGGGGCCCTCTGGCTGTTCAATCCAACCCTCCCATCCCCCAAACCACCAAAAACAAAAAGGAAAGAAAACCCACAGGGGCACAAGCACACCCCTAAAACTCAGAAAACTCCTTGGCACACTTCTCATTGATGGAGATCCGGAGCTCTTCCTCCTCGTAGTCGTCAAAGTTACTGGCATCCCCAGGGCCTGTGTACTTCGGGATGAAGGGAGCTTCCACCTTCTTCTCATAGATGGCGATCCAGCTGGTTGTGGCGAACCACTTGTGGTTCTTGATGTCGCCAACCCCGTTCCTGAGGTTTCCGAAGCGCTTGGTGAGGTCCACCTGCAGCAGGCTCCGCAGCAGATGCTTGAGGTCAGAGCTGAGTTTGGAGGGAAACCGCACCCTCCCAGAGACGATCTTCTCGTAGATCTGGATGGGCTGGTCGGCGTAGAAGGGTGGGAAGCCCACGGCCATCTCATAGATGAGCACCCCTAGGGCCCACCAGTCCACGGCCTTGTTGTAGCCTTTGCTCAGGATGATCTCGGGGGCCAGGTACTCTGGGGTCCCGCACAAGGTCCAAGTGCGGCCCTTCACGCGCTTGGCGAAACCGAAGTCCGTCACCTGCAGGTAGCCCTGCTGGTCGATGAGGAGATTCTCGGGCTTCAGGTCGCGGTGGATGAGGTCGAGCGAGTGTAGGTACTGGACGGCCAGGACGACCTGGGCGGCATAGAAACAGGCATGGGGCTCGCTAAACCTTCCGACGCGCTGTAGGCGGGAGAACATCTCCCCACCCGGCACGTACTCCATCACCAGGTACAGGTAGGAGTTGTCCTTAAAGGAGAACTGGAGCTTGACGAGGAACGGAAAGTCGATCGCCTGCAGGATGCGCTTCTCGTTCAGTATGTGCTCGACCTGCTTCATCTTCACCACCTTCTGCTTGTTGAGGATCTTCATGGCGTAGTGGCCGCCGGTCTCCTGGTGCCTCACCAGCATCACCCGCCCGAAGGAGCCCATGCCCAGCGTCCTGAGCCGTTCGAACTGATCCGAGCTGGCGGTGTTTTGAGCGGGGTTTCCCCATCTGTAGAGGAAATCTCCTCTGGCTTTGGCTAGGAACTCGTTCACGCTCTCCTCCTGCTCGGTGTCCTTCTTGGCGGGGGCGTTGCCCATGGCGGTGGCGGCGGCAGGGGCGGGGGTCTCGCGGCGGCGGCGGCGGCGGCGGCAGCGGCGGAGATGGCGCCCCCTGGGGCTGGCTGCGCTGGCTGCGGCGCTGCGACCCCCGCCCGGCCTCCGCTTATATTCCCAGCTACATGGGAGGCTGAGATGGGAGGATTTCTTGAGCCTGGGAGGTCAAGGCTTCAGTGAGCCAAGATCACGCCGCTGCACTCAACAATATGGATAAATCCAAAAGGCATTATGCAAGTGAGAGAAGCCAACTCTAAAGGAGACTTACTGTATGAATCCATTTCTATGACATTCCAGAAAAGGCAAAACTATAGTGTGAGAGAACAGATCAGTGATTGCCAGGGCTTGGGGTTAGGGGACGGTTGGACTATGAAGGGACAGCCTGAGGGAATGTGGGAAGTGGTGGGACATGTTTGTATCCTGATTGTGCTGGTGGTTACAATGTATTGGGTGGTGGTCTACATTTGTTTTAAAACTCATAGAACTGGCCGGGCGCAGTGGCTAAAGCCTGTAATCCCAACACTTTGGGAGGCCGAGGCGGGCGGATCACAAGGTCAGGAGTTCGAAACCAGCCTGACCACCATAGTGAAACCCCGTCTCTACTAAAAATACAAAAAAATTAGCCAGGCGTGGTGGCGCATGCCTGTAATCCCAGCTACTCGGGAGGCTGAGGCAGGAGAATTGCTTGAACCTGGGAGGCAGAGGTTGCAGTGAGCAGAGATCGTGCCACTGCACACCAGCCTGGGCAATAAGAGTGAAACTCCATCTCAAAAACAAACAAACAAACAAACAAACACCTCAAAGAACTGTATACTTCCCCCCAAAATTCAGTTTTACTGCATGTAATGTTTTATTTTAACACATACATATGATTTCCTTTCTTCTGTTTGCTTTGGGTTTAATTGCTCTTATTTCCTAAGGTGGGAACTAAGGTCACTGATTTGAAATCTTTCTTCTATTACAATCACTTAGTGCTATAAATTTCCTCCTAAGTATTATTTTTTGCAGCATCCCACAAATTTTGGTATGTTGTATTTTCCTTTTCATCCAGCTCAAAATATTTTCTAAGCTCCCTTTTCATCTTCTTTGACAGATAAGCTATTTAAAAGTATATTATTTCGTTTCCAAATACTTGGGGATTTTTCAAGAATTTTCCTATTGATTTCTGATTTAATTCCATTGTTAGAAAACATACTCTGTGTGACCTAAAATGTTTTACACTTCTTGGGGCTCATTTTATGGCCCAGAATATGATCTATCTTGGTAGATGGCCCATATGCACTTGAGAAGAATGTATATTCTGGTGTATTCTGCTGTTTGAGGATACAGTGTTCTACAAATGTCACTTAGGTCAAGTTGGCTAGTAGTAGTGTTCAGGTCTTCTATATTCTTATTGACTTTCTGTTTACTTATTCTATCAATTATTAAAAACATGCCACAGGAGTTTATGAGAAGTCAAAGTACA
Organism: Homo sapiens; assembly: GCF_000001405.40. Lineage (NCBI taxonomy): Eukaryota > Metazoa > Chordata > Mammalia > Primates > Hominidae > Homo > Homo sapiens. The sequence continues at coordinate 69,015,573 of NC_000009.12, forward strand.
TAGATGATGGGCCTTCCATCACTCCCCCAGGCCACCATGTCAGCCGCCCCACACACCCTCCAGAAGACTGCCAGCACTCAGCCATCACAGGGTGGGTTCTGAGCTGCTCTCCCCAGTCAATTCTGTACAAAGATTCTGTCCTACATCATAAACACTGAGCTACAGGAATACCCATTTATCCTCCTATTTTCTCTCCATCTTGCCCTTTAAGTTTGACAGCTAATTCTGCCTACCCACCCTGGCTACACCGCCTGTAGCTAGTGCAAGTAAACAACACACTTTCACCTAGCCCTGCAGGCTGAAACCAAGCAAATTGGAGAGGAATCCCTGATTACTTGACTCCAAGTAGAAGGTTTCTATTGTGACTGTGAATTCTTGCCGCTCAGTTCAGCAGATGTTGGTCAAGCAGGTGTCTATTGTGTGCAAGGCCTGGTTCCGAGTTTACGGTTTAATCTGGGGCCAGTACTTGGGTACTGACTGTATATTCAGAGACGGTCAGGTTAGAGAGGAAGAAGAGGAAAGGAGAAAAATCTACTGTTGATCATCTGAACTTCCACAAAAGGGAAACCCACATTCCCTCAAGAACATAGCAGGGGGGTCAATTGCCCCTTGTGCTTTGGGTCAAGGCAAATCCCTGGCAGATGGAAATTCCACGTCTCCCCCATAATCTCAGTGATTTCCTCTTCATTTTCATCACAGTAGATCTGCTAAAATTCTGCCCATTTCTGACTTACCTCCAGATTATTCAGTAGAAATTTATACACAAAGAGCAATTAGTGGGAAGCCATTCTCTTGGACCGACGCCTTGGAAGTGGGACAGTTTGTTTAGAAGCAGGCTGTGCCATTCCATGACAAATTCTTGTGGCATTAATCTCTGAAGTTCAATTAGGAAGACACAGGGGTCTAGAGGGAACATATGCTGCACACTAGAAATGTCCCCATGCTTCGTTTACAGGTCAGAACATCAAGTATTTATCCCAGAACAAGCTGCAGAATAATTACATTTGTTATTTCTCTCCACTTTCCGTTCTGCTTTTCTCCATGGCCTTGGGGAGCAAGGGAGTCCTTAGCATGCCAAGGAAACAGGAATCCTTTTGCATTCAGATAAACCCTTTCAGAAGGAAAAGATTTGTGTAGCAAGATACAATACCTCTGCATGATCTGCTTGGAGCTTGCCTAGGGGGCCAAATGAAGAGGTGAAAGCCAACTCTGCTTTCCTGTATGCCCAATGAAAGGCAATCAAGACCATTCTTCTCCCAAAAAACTGCTCACTGGCAGTCATGCCAGCTGATTCTCCTCTTTACTGTTTATATAGCAGTTTCCAAATGGCTAATTGCATAAGGCTTGGATCATTCAATTCTAACTTCCTCTCTATCTCCAAAATATTGATGGGAGCAAAGAAAAGAACAAACTCCACCAGGATTCAAATAAGAAATAAACTACAAATCTCTATCACTCAGGGAATTATTTACATAACACTGCATGTTCTGGTCCAGAAATACTTATCATACCTGGATTTTGACAAGCCAGCTTCTATTAATAGTTTGTTTTCTCCTTATTAGCAGAATATTGTAAAAGAACATTTTTGAACACAAAGTTTCTATGTCAGATTTATGATCTATAAAATGCTGATTTAAAAATTGGCGTGGCCTTTGTTATATGAAAGATGAAAAATTATGGGAGTCAGGAAGTTCAGAAATAACTTAATGACAATAATTTATAAAGTACTACATTTATTTAAAGTTTGGGCAATCATTCATCCCTTGGTACCACTAATTTTGCCACAATTTTTTTTTTCTTTTTTTTTGAGACCGAGTTTTGCTCTTGTTGCCCGGGCTAGAATGCAATGGCACGATCTCGGCTCACCGCAACCTCCACCTCCCGGGTTCAAGCAATTCTCCTGCCTCAGCCTCCCGAGTAGCTGGGATTACAGGCATGTGCCACCATGCCCAGCTAATTTTGTATTTTTAGTAGAGACGGGGTTTCTCCATGTTGGCCAGGCTGGTCTCGAACTCGCGGCCTCAGGTGATCTGCCTGCCTCGGCCTCCCAAAGTGCTAGGATTACAGGCGTGAGCCACCGTGCCCGGCCACCATAATATTTATAGAAGTGGCTTGACACACATGATAATGAGCATTGTAATGTTTTTGGGACCTGAAAAGAAAGTAGTCCTAGAAATAGGCCCAACTTGCTTACCTAAAAATATATCTTCTGACATATAAGAACTGCCAAAAGTGATTACCCCTAGGGAATAGCACTAGGAACTTAGAGAAGCATAAATTAAAGGAAGGAAAATTTTTACTTCTCACTTTATAAGCTTCTGAATTGCTAAAATTAATTTTGAGCATGAATTACTTTACTTATTAAAATAAAAATGAGGTAAAACATTGGTTTCTCACAAATGCATTTACTTATATTTTATATGTCACTTTTATATACTGTTTAAATCCACAAAAGGGAGACAATTTTTATAAAATTATTTTCCCCATATTTTGTAGTTCTCCTTCGTTTCCTGGCAATAGCACTCTGTTTTATCTTTGAGGGATTACTTCTACCTCATTTCATCTGATTCTGTTGGGTTCCCAATCTAACCCACTCACCTGAGTCAAAGTCAGGGATGGCCACAGGACCCAAGATAGATCGATCAGTTTATGTCTCTCAGGAATTGAATCTTGAGCAGAGACACAGGGGGATTTGAGGCATTTGTAAAGGAGCCATCCAAATACAGCATCTTAGAAGGCTGTCCATGTTTCTACAGCTGTTGGCCAATAAGTTCCTTGCCTTCTGTCCTGAGCCCTGGTTTTTCAGTTCTTCCTTTATGTGTCTTTCCACATAAAGGAAGCAAAGCTTTTTTTTTAAGCAAAGCAAATGGGACAAGGCGGGGGTGGGGAAGAGAAAGAAAGAAACAAATTTATTGAAGACAATAATGAATTCAGGATTGAACACATTGAGTTCATAGGTCCTTAAGACATTCAGGTAGAGATGTCTAATTAGCCAATGGAAATCTGGGATTGAACTTAGTAGACAGATAAGCACTGGCAGCACAGATTTAAGTGGTATGAGAGTGTTAGCCAAGGAACGTGAGCCGAGAGAGAACAGAGTCAAGGAGGGGGATTGTGGGAAACTCCACTATCTGAGGATGGGGGTAGGAATGTCAGGCACTGCTATTTGCCCACCATGGCTGTGTCTTGTGAGGCCTGCCGTACTCAGTCCTTCTGAGACCTTGAAGAGAATTTCTTGTGCACACCTACACAAGAAGTGGGCATTGTCACATGGTTGCAATGTGACTGCACATGTATAATGCCTAGTAATTATCATGCAACATACAGACAGTACAGCCGAGTGGCTGAATGGGAAACTGTACCCAGGACAAGATGTTAGATACAGATAATATGGACTGCGACAGGAGCTTCGGCACTCATGTAAAGTATAATGGCATATGAGTTTCTTGGTGACCTCTTCTGCTATCACTGTAACAGCCTACATTTCATGATGAAGAGTTGAGGCCCTCAAGAGAAACAGAACAGGAGAGCGCTTGATGATTTCCTCTGAAATCTCATCTGCAGCACTTAACATGTGTGATACAGCACACCTGCCAATTAACAGAAGGCCCTAGGTGGAGCAGAACATTCACAACATCCTTCTGCCAAAATATGCCCTATAATCAGAGCTCACAAACCGATGCACATCAAAAGCAGTGGTTCTTAATTTTAACTGCACATTGAAATCACCTGAGACATTAAAAAAAAAAGAATACTGGGTTGGGCATGGTGGCTCACGCCTGTATTCCCAACACTTTGGGAGGCCGAGGCAGGGAGCTCACTTGAGGTCAGGAGTTCGAGACCAGCCTGGCCAAAATGGTGAAACCCCGTCTCTACTAAAAATACAAAAGTTAGCCGGGTGTGGCGGCAGGCACCTGTAATCCCAGCTACTTAGGAGACTGAGGCAGGAGAATCACTTGAACCCGGGAGCCGGAGGTTGCAGTGAGCCAAAATTGCGCCACTGCACTCCAGCCTGGGTGACAGAGCAAGACTCTGTCTAAAAAAAAAAAAAAAAAAAAAAAAAAAAATACTGATGACTGAATCTGCCTCCAGAGATTGACTTAACTGCCCAGGCATGTGACTTGAACGTTGGGACTTTTAAAAGCTCCCCAGGTGATTCTAATGCACAGCCGAGTTTTAGAACCATTGGATGAGCCCATGAACACATTTTGTTTAACCCAATATAGTTATAGGCCTAACAGAGTATTTCAAATTTTAATAATTGTTTTCTCAATGTAAAGAGTCGTCAGTTTCATATACCCCAGATCATCCAGATTTCAGTCTCCTGTTGTAATATTTGTGCACAGTAGGCCTACGTTTCCACAGGACACCATTCAGCTATGCTGAGTTGCTACTGCACCTATGTAAGCATTTTCTCTGCACTTCACAGCCCTTCCTGCCCCACCCAACTATCACCACTGCACAGAGCTAATGACAGTTGCTGCTTATCATCCTGTTGGCTCTGTGGGTTTTTTTTTTTTTTTTTACATTAGCGTTAAAAGTAAAATAGTGCTTATGCCATGTCTCCAGCAGAGCAAGAAAGAAAAAGGCAGCCCAGGAAGGCTAAGTGTTCCATAGGGCACTCATTTCTGGCACCTGCCTGGCCCCTGCAGCATTTGGGTGCATGCCCTTGATTTAAATCGATTAATGTTTTCCCAGAAGGAGCCCCAAAATGCTTTATAGCCTATAGAACAAAGAGCTGAGAAGTGAGAGGTCCCAATTCAATTATCTTAATAATTAGAGAGCTCTTGAAGACAAAAGAAAGCTATACAAATACAGCAAGGAAAAGGGGGTATCCAGTGACCAGTTCCATAATTCAGGAAATGCAGGAGATTTGAAGAGTTTGTATGCATTATAAGGGACAAAGAGGGCTGGAGCTGAACCTGAACTGTGAGGGATGGAAGTGCCTAACCTGGAGTTAAAAAAGAATAAGAAGATTGCAACCCTAGGGGTAAACTGCAGACCTTTCAGAACTGCAGAACCCCAGGAGCTAGGGCCCAATGCATCCAAGCTTGAGTCTGTTTGAGAATCTCCCTTTTTCAGCCTCTCCAACACTGTACTAGATGAGGACATCTGGCCTCTGGGTCTGTACATACTGTCCCCTCTGCTATGCTCTTTCCTCCTTGCCCTCTTTCACCTGGCCAACTCTTCATCTCTCTGATCTCAGAAACTCATGCTGTCACCACCCCCACCAAGTCAAGACCAGGCCACTCTCATATGCTCCTGTAGTATCCTATAATTACCCCATCTAGCACTTATGTGACTTTGTAAATACTTTTACGTTATCATCTCTCTCCGCAAGACTGTGAGCTCCATGAGAACATGTTGATTATCAATCTTTGTTACCACTATATCATCAGCAACCACAGTGCCTGGAACTGTGGACGCTCAACAAACAATGATGGATGGATGCCGGGCGCGGTGGTGGCTCATGCCTGTAATTCCAGCACTTTGGGAGGCTGAGGCGGGCAGATCATGAGGTCAAGAGATCGAGACCATCCTGGCCAACATGGTGAAACCCCATCTCTACTAAAAATACAAAAATTAGCCGGGCGTGGTGGTGCACGTCTGTAGTCCCAGCTACTGCGGAGGCTAAGGCAGGAGAATTGCTTGAATCCAGGAGGTGGAGGTTGCAGTGAGCCAAGATCGCGCCACTGCACTCCAGCCTGGAAACAGAGCAAGACTCCGTCTCACAACAACAACAACAACAACAAAAACAATGATGGATGGGTTTGTAAACCAAAACTAAAATTCAAAGCCCCCCAACTGACTAAATGGACCCCCCTCTTAGCCAAGGGGAGTCCAAAGAAACCTGCAAAACTAGTTCAGGCCACTCCAGGAAGGGGTAGGGGTCAGACATGCCTCATTATACCCTCTCCCTTTTGTAGTTTGTAACCGCCCAATGGGATCACCTTGCCCAATGCCTAGACAGAGCCGATTTATCAAGACAGGGGAATCGCAATAGAGAAAGAGTAATTCACACAGAGCCAGATGTATGGGAGACTAGAGTTTTATTAGTACTCAAATCAGTCTCCCTAAGAATCGGGGATCAGAGTATTTAAGGATAATTTGGTGGGCACAGGCCAGTGAGTCGGGAGTGCTGATTGGTCAGGTCAGAGATGAAATCAGGGAATCAAAGGTGTCCTCTTGTGCGGAGTCAGTTCCTGCTGGGGGGTACACAAGATCAGATGAGCCAGTTGATTGGTCTGGGTGGTGCCAGCTGATCCACTGAGTGCAGGGTCTGCAAAATATCTCAAGCCCTGATCTTAGATTTTACAATAGTGATGTTATCCCCAGGAGCAATTTGGGGAGGTTCAGAATCTGGCCGCCTTCAGTTGCATGACTCCTAAACCATAATTTCTAATCTTGTGGCTAATGTGTTGGTTCTGTAAAGGCAGTCTAGTCCCCAGGCAGGAAGGGGGTTTGTTTTGGGAAAGGGCTGTTATCGTCCTTGTTTCAAAGTTAAACTATAAACTAAGTTCCTCCCAAAGTTAGTTCCAGAATATGTTTCCTTGCTATATTTTGAAATGGCCCTGCAAAGCTTTCTTTTGTGGGGGAGAATTTACATCTGTAAAAAAATCTTTTTTTTTTTTTTTTGAGACAGAGTCTCACTTTGTCGCCCAGGTTGGAGTGCAGTGGCGCAATCTCGGCTCACTGCAACCTCTGCCTCCCAGGTTCAAGCGCTTCTCCTGCCTCAGCCTCCCGAGTAGGTGGGACTACAGGTGCATGCCACCACGCCCGGCTAATTTTTTTTTCTTTTTTGTATTTTTAGTAGAGGCGGGTTTTCACCCTGTTAGCCAGGATGGTCTTGATCTCCTGACCTTGTGATCCACCTTCCTCGGCCTCCCAAAGTGCTGGGATTACAGGCATGAGCCACTGTGCCCGGCCCAAAAATCTCTTTTAACATAAGTGGATCTTTCCTTTTCCAGGCCCTCCAAATCCCTGAAGAGATTAACTGAGAGTCTAATACCTACCTTTTAAAGGTCTGCATAGGAAATATTTGCATCTATAATCTCTAAGCTACCTATGAGACTTGATCTATACAATAAGAACCTTGGTCTCCACAACCCCTTATCTTAACCCAGACACTCCTTTCTATTGCTTCCAGGTCTTCAGATAATAACTTAACTCTCAACCAATTGCCAATCAGGAAATTGTTGAATCCACCTATGACCTGCAAGCACTCTGCCCTTCAAGTTGTCACACCTTTCTGGACCAAACCAATGTACACCTCACATGTATACATGTATTGATTGATGTCTTAATGTCTCCCTAAAACATATAAAACCAAGCTGTGGCCAGGCGTAGTGGCTCACGCCTGTAATCCCAGCACTTTGGGAGGCTGAGGTGGGTGGATCACAGGTTCAGGAGATCGAGACCATCCTGGCTAACACGGTGAAACCCCGTTTCTACGAAAAATACAAAAACAAAACAAAACAAAAAAAACTTAGCCAGGCGTGGTGGCGGTCCACTCCCAGCTACTTAGGAGGCTGAGGCAGGAGAATGGCGTGAACCCGGGAGGCAGAGCTTGCAGTGAGCCAGTGAGCCGAGATGGCGCCACTGCACTCCAGCCTGGGCAACAGAGCGAGACTCTGTCTCAAAAAAAAAAAAACAAGCTGTAACCCAACCATCTTGGGCACATATTCTCAGGACCTTTTGAGACTGTGCCTTCGGGCCATGTTCACTCATATTTGCCTCAGAATAAAACTCTTTAAATATTTTATAGAGTTTGGCTTTTTTCCTTGACAGGTTGATGAGTAAGTGGGTGGAAGAACAGAGTGGGTGAACAGAGCAAACATGATAAATGGAAGAAAGGACCTGAGGTTAAGGAACTGGAGATTGTAATCAGAAAGCAGGATCCTATAGTTGAAGATATCTGAGAAAGAACAATTTAAAATGGCAATAAAGTCCAAAGTACAGATACGAATATCAGCTGGGGTCCAGCCTCACAAACAAAACCTAGGTCCGGCAATTCACAGAGATAATCTAATGCAGGGAATTTGTTGCAAAGGTGATGGAAGGACTGAAAGAGCTACCAGGGAGAATTAGACAAACTCAAAATTAAGAAATGCAGAAAAGTTGCATTTACCATAACTACGCATAGAGGAACAGAAGGAAAAAGGTGTTAACACAGCCCCGGAGCTGAGACTGAAACCACAGTGGTCTGTCCAGCAAGAGGCGGAGCCATGGAGGAAACCCAATCACTGCTGGAAATGGTGCCTGAAGGGAATGGCGGGAGGAGAAAAGGAGGGCAGAAATACCTGCCTCCTCTCTGCCACCCACCTGCCAGTCTCCCACAGGCGCCTCTCGTTGGCTGAACCTCTCTTGAAACAAATTGGCAAAGCAGTTTAGGAAACGTAATTTGCATGGATCAGGTTTCCTTGAAAGAAACAGATGAGGAGAAGAGAATGGATGTAACAGCAAATAGGCAAACAAGCAACCCAAGATGAGAATGGCTTGCTGAAGCTTTATGAGAAGTGAAAAGTGGATTCCAGGAACTGTGAAATGGTGAAATGGCATATGCCATCCCTGTGGATACTGTAATCACTATTTGATGCCCCAGAGGGGAAAGGGAGAAAGGACTGTGGCCAGAGCCAAGGAACTCAATGAATGTCAATGTTTAGGAATGACTGAAGGACAAGAGATGAAATGAAAGGAAAAGGGTGTTAGTGTTATGTCCCAAGCCTGGTCTGGAAAGAGCAAGGGAGAGGTAGAATAGCAGCACAGTTAAAAGGCCCAAGTTTGAGTCCCAGCTTGGACACTTATTAGCTGGAGGATTTGGAAAGGTGAATTAGCCTCTGAGCCTTGGTGTATAAAATGGAGATAATAATAGTACCCTCAGTAAGGCTATTAGAGTTAAACAAGAGTGTATATAAAGCACTTCCCACAGTGCCTAACAACAGCAATCATAGCAGAGCACATTCAATCTACATTCTCAACTCTAGGGCATGAGAAAAAGGCTTTCTCCAAGGTTCTCGCTCAGGGTTCCTCGTGAGGTTGTAGTCAGCTGTCAGTCAGAGCTGCAGTCATCTGAGGCAAGAGGACCCACTTCCAGCTCACTCATGTGGTTGCTGGCAAGCCTCACGTCCTTGCTGGCTTTGGGCTGTGTACTGGAGGTCCTCACCAGGGGCCTCTCCATAGATTCTGACAGCATGGCAACCAGCTCCCACATAGCAAGTGATCTGAGAGAGAGAGAGAGAGAGCCGCAGTCATCTATAACCTGATCTTAGACAGGAGAGACTATCAGCTGGGTCATCTACTACTGGTCACACAGACCAACCCTGGTACACTGTGGGAGGGACTACACAAGGGATGGAATCCCAAGAGGTGAGGGACCTTTTGGAAGCTGGCTACTACACCTCTTCTCCCTCTTCCTTGTTTTTTCTCCATACCGCTGATGACCAGCTAACACATTGTTTTTTGAGACACGGCCTCACTCTGTTGTCCAGGCTGGAGTAGCAGTGGCACCATCACAGTTCATCATAGCCTTGACCTCCCAGGCTCAAGTGATCCTCCCACCTCAGCCTCCTGAGTAGCTGGGACTACAGGCACATGCCACTAAGCCTGGCTAATTTTTTATTTTTTATAGAGATATATGTTGCCCAGGCTGGTCTTGAACTCCTGAGCTCAAGTGATCCTTCTGCCTCAGCCTCCCAAAGTGCTGAGATTGCAGGTGTGAGGCACCCGGCTTCTAACACATTGTTTACCTTATTTTGTTATCATCAGTGTCCCTACAATAGAACATAAGAAGCAAGGGATGTTTGCCTGTCTTGTTCACTGCTGTATAATCGGCACCTAGAACAGTGCCTGACACACAGTAGGGCTTCATTAATATTTGTTAAATGGTGAGTGATGTGCCACCATAAGAAATTAGCCTGGGCCAGGTGTGATGTCTCACGCCTGTAATCCTAACACTTTAGGAGGCTGAGGTGGGTGGATCACCTGAGGTCAGGAGTTCGAGACCAGCCTGGCTAATATGGTGAAACCCTGTCTCTACTAAAAATACAAAAAATTAGCTGGGTGTGGTAGCGGGCACCCATAGTCTCAGCTACTCGGGAGGCTGAGGCAGGAGACTCGCTTGAACCCGGGAGATGGAGGTTGCCATGAGCTGAGATCGCACCATTGCACTCCAGCCTGGGCAACAAGAGTGAAACTTCATCTCAAAAAAAAAAAAAAAATTAGCCTGAGTTCTCTCAGAATATCATAGCATAAGTCCTGTTCCCACTTTCTAAAAACGTTTGTACTTGATTCTCACAATCTAGGAGGAAAACATGGCAGTGTTTGTATCCCCATTTCATCCATGAGGAAACTAAAATCCAGGGAAGTTCAGGTCTTCTTGCCCAGGGTCGACCAATGGTATGGTGGGTCTAGGACAGGTGGCCCTTTCTTTTGCATACAGCCTCCCCCTGATGCCCCATAACTCCCACCTCATCCCACCGGGTGCCCTGCTGCCTGGTGCAGCATTTAGCATTACTGGCAAGTCACAATCATCACAGATGAGCGAAGTTCATAGAGCTTTCATTCAGCGAAGCCAGGCAGGATGGGATGAAAGAGGGGAGCCAAGAAGCCTGGAGAGAAGACACCATGTGAATGCTCTGGCCTGATTCTCCTTTCCCTGCAACCAGTGACTCTCCACTATGCAACAGTGTCAGGCTCAGAGACTCAAGCCCAGTCTGCCTGTTAGTGTTCTATAATAAGCAGGGAATGGGTCAGGCATGGTGGCTCACACCTGTAATCCTATCACTTTGGGAGGCTGAGGTGGGTGGATCTCCTGAGGTCCGGAGTTCGAGACCAGGCTGGCGAACATGGCAAAACCCTGTCTCTTCTAAAAATTCAAAAATCAGCCAGGCGTGGTGGCGTGCACCTGTAATCCCAGCTACTCAGGAGGCTGAGGCAAGAGAATTGCTTGAACCTAGGGGGCGGAGGTTGCAGTGAGCCAAGATCGCACCACTTCACTCCAGCCTAGGTGAAACAGCAAAACTCCAACTCAAAAAAAAAAAAAAAAGCAGGGAATGGAGAGCAAGCAATTATCCCCCACAGATGGGAGACGGCTGTGCCCCCGCCTTAGACTGAATCACTCTGAAACCCCAAAATAACCCTTTCCAGAGTCCCAGGCCCCCAGACATAGACGTTCTCTGTTGGACAATGCAGTCCCACAGACGGATCTAGGCTGTTCTTAAAGTGGTTTTCCAAGTAAAGGCACTTGTCTCCCCGTGAGGCGAGGGCCATCAAAGCTCCTTTTCCCTCAACGCCTACCAAGCCACAACCTATTTTAACAACACACACATAAATTAGCTCAGTTCATCAACAAGATCACCTCTGAATAGTAGATGTAGAAGGTTGAAGGATAGCAACAAAGATGCTAGTTATACTTTCACGTGGAATTCCTGACCCTATATTCTGGTACCATATTGCCTAAGGCAAGAGACAAGGCAAGACGGGTTCCTCCAGCAAGGGGCACATCAGGTCCCTGAGCACTGGAAGAAAGTAGTGATGGTGTTGATACTTGCATCAGGTCAGAGGCAGAGAAGAGAACTGGCCTGCAGTGATGGCCAAGGGTGAAGGTAGGGGTACTGGCTCCCCTCTTCTCCCCTAACTCTTGTCAAGGCCACCCACTCCTCTGTCCTGCCTAGAATGTGAAGGGAGGCACCCAGCTCAGCTGCAGGGTCCTGACTTCCCGGTGATCTGCACTAGCCTGCAGTCCCCTGAAAGCCCAGACCTGGATGTGTGTGCCTGGCCACCAAAGTGGCCCCGGGGTGCCCTCTGTGACCACAGGTGTATAAACATGCCTCTTAAAAGACACCATGACCAACCATGAGGCCAAGTGTGGGGCTAGCATTCGCTGATGTCTGTGTTTTGCACATACTAATTCACTTCATCCTCATGGAAATCTCTGAGGTAAAGAAGTATTTGCTTTAATTTACAGATGAAGAAACTGAAACTCAGGTTAAAAATAGACCAAGGACACACAGGTAGTTGAGGGGCAGAGCAGGGATTTGAACACTGTTATGAAAATTATCTAAAACTTGGAAGTAAGGCAAAAAGATTGCTTTGAATATTTAATTCAAAGTTAGACCAGAATAGTGGTTCTCAACCAGGGGCAATTTTACTCCTTAGGGGACCTTTTCACAATGTCTGGAGACATTTTTGATTGTCACTATTGAATGGGAGAGCAGATACTACTGCCATCTAGTGGGTGGAGACCAAGAATGCTGCTAAACCACCTTACAATGCATGGGACAACCACCACGACAGAGTTAGCCATGTGTTGCTTAACAACAGGGATACATTCTGGGAAATGCATCATTAGGTGATTTTGTGATCTTGCGAACATCATAGAGTGTACTTACACAAAGCTAGATGGTCTAGCCTACTATACGCCTAGGCTATACAGTCTAGCCTACTGCTCCTAGGCTATAAACCTGTACAGCATGTTACCATACTGAATACTATAGTCAATTGTACTACAGTAGTTAAGTATTTATGTATCTAACATATCTAAGCACAGAGAAAGTACAGTAAAAAAATATAATCTTAGGGGACCATTATCACATATGTGGTCCATCACTGACTGAAACAGCATTATGCAGCACATGACTATAATCAGTAGAAACATCAGTAAATAGTCACCATTGAGAAACTCTGTTCCAGCACAGTGTGACTATGCTCGACTTATTATTTGCCATTAATTAGGTCTCAAGGATGTCAATTTTTAGAAGACAATAAACAAAAAAATTAAAATAAAAAAATAAACAGCAAGCACAGTAGCTGATGCTTTTAATCCCAAAACTTTGGGAGGCCAAGGCAGCCTGGCCAACATGATGAAACCTCGTCTCTACTAAAAATACAAATATTAGCCAGGCTTGGTGGCACATGCCTGTAATCTCAGCTACTCAGGAGGCTAAGGCAGAAGAATTGCTTGAACCTGGGAGGCGGAGGTTGCAGTGAGCCGAGATCACGCCATTGCACTCCAGCCTGGGTGACAAAACTCCGTCTCAAAATAAATAAATAAACAAAAGAGAAAAGAATGTCAGCTTGTAGAAAACTGGTAAGATGCAAATGACTCTTGTCTAAGAAAGTAACCCCAAAGACTATAGTTTTATAGACCTGAAGGACACTACCCAGTTGTGTATCTCACTTAGCAATCTTACGCCAGAATGCTCTTTTTATCACTGACTATTATAGATCAGTTTCTTCCAGCTTCCTTTAAACCAGTTTGCCTTCCTGCTGGCTCCCTCTTGTATTTTGCTAGGGCTGCCATAACAAAATACCACAGACTGGCTGGCTTAAACCACAGAAATCTATTTTCTCAGAGTTCTGGATAATGGAAGTTCAAGATCAAGGTGCTGGCAGGGTTGGTTTCCTCTGAGGCCTCTCCCTGTGGCTTGCAGGGGGCCGCCCTCTTGCTGCCTCTTCCTGTGGTCTTTTCTCTGTGCACATGTGTTCCTGGTGTTTCTTTCTCATTTTATAAAGACACCACTCCTTTCACATTAGGACCTACACTTGAGACCTCATTTAACCTTAATTACTTTTTTTTTTTTTGAGACGGAGTCTTGCTCTGTCGCCAGACTGGAGTGCAGTGGCGCGATCTCAGCTCACTGCAACCTCCGCCTCCTGGGTTCAAGTGATTCTACTGCCTCAGCCTCCTGAGTAGCTGGGATTACAGGCATCCGCCACCATGCCCAGCTAATTTTTTTTTTCTTTGTATTTTTAGTTGAGACGGGGTTTCACCATGTTGGCCAGGCTGGTCTCGAACTCCTGACCTCAAGTGATCCACCTGCCTCGGCCTCCCAAAGTGCTGGGATTACAGGCATGAGCCACCATGCCTGGCCAACCTTAATTACTTCTTTAAAGGCTTTATCTCCAAATATAGTCATATTCTGAGTGTCCTGGCAGTTAAAATTTCAACCTATGGACTTTGGGAGAACACACTTCAGTACCTAAAACTCCACTAATTATTTAATCTTTGATGCATGCTCACTACAAATTTGCATGAGAATTGTTTTTAACTTTTTGAAAATTATGCTTTGCAAATACATTTGTCTAAGCCCACAAAGTCTACTTGTTTCTACTATACTATACTTCTTGCATGCTGGACAGATAGAGCCAATTCACTGAGACAGCAGTATTGCAGTAAAGAAACAGTTTAATTAAGGCAAGGGCTGGCCACATGAAAGACAAGAGTTCATTATTCAAATCAGTTTCTCTGAGAACTCAGAGGCTAGGGTTTTTATGGATAAGTTGGCAGGCAGGGAGTTAGGGAATGGGTGCTGCTGATTGGGGATAAAAGCATGGCAAACAATCCTCATGTGCTGAGTCCACCATAGGGTGGGGGCCACAGGACTGGCTGAGTCATGAGTCGTGAGTCCAAGTGAAGTCAGTTGGTGCCCAGAATGCACAGTTCTGAAAATCATCTCAAAAGACGAATCTTGGGTTCTACAATAGTGATGTTATTTACAAGAGCAAACGGGGAAGTCACAAATCTTGTGACCTCCAGCATAGATTATAGAAAGGCAAGCTATTCCTACATCTTAGCAGAATTCAGACCCCTCCCATAATCCTAATCTTGTGGCCTTTCATTAGTTTTACAAAGGCAGTTTCAGTCCCCGAAAAAGGAGGGGCTCAGTTTTAGGGAGGGACTATTATCATTCTTGCTTCAAAGTGAAACTATACACTAAATTCCTCCCACAGTTAGCTTGGCGTGGCCTTTGTTATATGCCCAGGAATAAGTGAGGACAGCCAGCCTATGAGACTAGAAGCAAGATGGAGTCAGCCAAGCTAAATTTCTCTCACTGTCATAACCTTTACAAAGGTGGTTTCATTAGGCATATTAATGCAAATTCCTTAGTTAAAACAAGAATGACTCTCTAAAGGCTATATTTCAGATACATCACATGCTTCTTTCCTCTTGTCCCCTCAACAGTAAGCAAGAAGAGTATTTTTGTACAAGAGAGAGGCCTCTGCCTGAAGCTCCCTTAATCTGTCAGATCACAGATCAAAAGCTATCACACACTGCCCAAGGGACCCTAAAGGGAGCCACTCTCAGAAAATAAATCCAAACCTCCTTTTTTCTGGCCACTGAAACGTTCAATAATTAGTTCATTATCTACATCATTCACATGTTTAATATTTATTGACTTTGGAATTATTGATTACTTTGCTGAGTATCTTATGAATTTAATCTATATTAATATTAAGGTGATGTATCAAATTGCATTCCAGAGTGTGGATTTGACTCTAGTGCCATAATCAGTCTCCTGGGACAAACAGCTGTTTCTCTTCCCTCATTATAGAAAAAAATTGCCCTTGGCAAATGTCAAAGAACATCCTTTTATCAATCTCTCTTACCAATCAATCCAAGCAAATGCAGTGGGATTTCTTTTCCCCAGAGTTGAAGTCACCTCCTGACAGGAAGTTAAGTCTTTAGGCACTGAATCATAGCACTGAGCTGAAGCCCAGGACTAAGCAAGAATGAGTGAGAATTTGGAGACTTAAGGTTTGGTCATCTGTAGAGGATTGGGTTTTGTCTTGTTTTGTTTTTGTTTTGGTGTCCTGCAAGGTTTCTCACTGCCCTTCATCAGGTAATATGCCCTGTCCCTGAACTGGCCAATTGTGTTACCCCATTCCCTTAGCAACAGTGATTGCTACTGAAGAAACAGGAGGCCAACAAAGAATATCACTCATTCACCAGTAGAGTGTCTATGTCAGAGATATTAGATAAACAGGAAAACTAACAATTACATTGCAGGCTGTGGAAACAGAGAGAGGTACCTAAGGCACACCTGTGGGAATATGAAAGTTTGGTTTCATAAAAGGATTCTGGAGGAAGTCACCTCTGACATTTGAGTTGAGTCCTACAGGATATGAAGAAAGTAGCCCCATGTTCCGGTTACTATGGCTGTGTAATAAATTACCTAAAACATACTGGATTAAAGCTATGAAAACATCTTTTCTGCCCAGAGATTCTGTGGGCCTGAAATTCACATGGAACACATAAGGCATACCTTGTTTCTGCTCCATGATGTCTAAGGATTCAGCTGGAAGACTGGGAGGCTGGGGGCTGGAATTTATCTGAAGAATGACTCATTTACATGTCTACTGGTTGACCCTGGCTGTTGGCTGAGGGGGCCTCAGCTCTCTCTACATTGTTTCTCTACTTTGGCTAGTTTGGATTTCCTCAAAACATGATGGCTGGTCCTCAGTGTCAGCATCCCAAAAAGAGAATGCCGGACACAGTGGCTCACACCTGTAACCTCAGCAATTTGGGAGGCTGAGGTGGGAGGTTGCTTGAGTTCAGGAGTTCAAGACCAGCCTGGGCAACATAGTGAGACTCTGTCTCTACCAAAAATTTTTAAAATTTTAAAAATCAGCCAGGTGTGGTTATGCACACCTATAGTCCCAGTTACTTAGGAGGCTGAGGCAGGAGGATCACTTGATTCCAGGAGGTCAAGGCTGCTGTGAGCTATGACCACACCACTGCATTTCAGCCTGGGTAACAGAATGAGACTCTGTTTCAAACAAACAAAAACCCAAAAAAAAAAAAAAGAGAGAGAGAGGGAGTTAGAAGGAAGATGCATCATTTTTATGACCTGGACTTGGAAGTCACCAAGCAGCACTTCTGCAGTACCCTGTTGGTTGGAATAGTTGTAGCCCAAACCCGAATTCGAAGGGAGGAGAATAGATAACATCCCTGGGTGACAGGAATGTCAAAGTCCCAAACAGCATATGACATGTGACAAATATTGGTGTGGCCTTCTTTGGAAGATCCAATCTTCCATACCAGGCAAAGGGATGGAAGACTAAGGAACAACATGAGGGATAGCCAGAGAGGGAAAAAGCATCACTTGTTCTAGGAACTACAAATAGCTTGAAGAAGCAAAGATGTCTAGATGCCTCCCAATATGCAGAGTGGGGTGTA
The DNA here is from genome assembly GCF_000001405.40 of Homo sapiens. Classification (NCBI taxonomy): domain Eukaryota; kingdom Metazoa; phylum Chordata; class Mammalia; order Primates; family Hominidae; genus Homo; species Homo sapiens. The sequence goes on from NC_000009.12 coordinate 69,032,530, forward strand.
CAGAAGAGAGTGGTAAGGGCGCTGGGAGAGCTAAGGTGGGCAAGAGAGCTTCCTCTGTCATGCTAAGAAAGTTGGAATTTATCTTGATGGTGGTGAAAGCAGAGGGCTATGGTTAGATTCACATTTGAGATTTAGATTTTTAGATTTAAAATGATCACCCTGGTGACACTGGCTTAACTCACAATTTTGCCCAAGGCCTATGCTACCACAGTGCTTCTGAAACTTTAAAGCACATTAGAATCACCTGGAGGTCTTGTTAAACCATGGATTGCTGGGCCTTGAAACCCCAGAGATTCTGATTCAGTAGATCGAGAATAGGGCCTGAGAATTTGTATTTCTAACAAGTTTCCAGGTGATGCTGAGGCTGCTGGCCCAGCGACCACATTTGATAATCATAGCCCTCTGATAAATCCTATCAAAATATCCTAATGGCAGAGCAAGGGAATTCTGGTGATATCCTCCCCTACCCATAACCTGACAGCTATTAGGATCTGCCTACTTGAGGCTAAAAGCAACCAAGAGAGGAACAGCTACAGTGTACCACAGAGTCCCTCAACATCTTTGCCCACGCCACGGTGCCCCAGCTTCTTACCAAGTGTGCCTGATTCCTCTTGACTACCTCCAAGGAAGTGGAGAAAGACAAGTTCTTGCGAAGCCTTCGTCTTCTCTGATATGCTATTCTATGTCTATTTCTTTGGCCAAAAAGATGGGGCAATGATATCAACTTTGCAGGGAGCTGGAGCATTTGCTAGTGACCTTTCTATGCCAGAACTTGCTAAGCATGCTAGCTAATAATGATGTAGCACAGGGTGCGGTGGCTCACGCCTGTAATCTCAGCACTTTGGGCGGCCGAGGCGGGCGGATCACCTGAGGTCAGGAGTTCGAGACCAGCCTGGCCAACATGATGAAACCCCATCTCTACTAAAAATACAAAAATTAGCCAGGCGTGGTGGTGGGCACCTGCAATCCCAGCTACTCTGGAGGCTGAGACAGAATCTCTTGAACCCAGGAGGTGGAGATTGCAGTGAGCAGAGATGGCACCACTGCATTCCAGCCTGGGCAACAAAGCAAGACTCTGTCTCAAATAATAATAATAATAATAACTAATGATGCAGCTTTCTCTCTCTGAGTATATAATGCAGTTCTGATGATGTGAGGAAGGGCCTCACTGTTGGTGTGGCAGAGTCTGAGACCATGGCTGGCAATGAAAACACTACCCTTTGATGCCTATGGGCTCTCCCTTTATGGTTTCAAGGAGGGCTTCTCAATCTTGGCAGAATTTTGGACTGGATAGTTCTTTGTTGCACAGGTGGGGGGCTGTCCTGCACATCACAGGATGTTTCATCCCTGGCCTCTACCTACTAGATGCCAGTAGAACATACCCACCCCACAGCTGCCTGTTGTGACAATCAAAAGCATCTCCAGATACTTTGCAGGGGGAAAATGATTTCTCCAGGCCTGGCATATACATAACAGTATTTAAGCAGCTGCCTAGAATTAATTAAACACAGAAGGATGTCTCTCATCCAGAATGCCCTGGACCACCTCTTTGATAGGCAATCAGATCCCACCTCCTCCACCCTATTTTTGAAGGCCCTGTGCCAACACCACTTCTTCCATGAATACTTCCTTGATTCCCCCATCCCTAGCTCTATATAAATCTCCCACTCAACACTCACACCTGTTAGTTTACATTCCTCTTGACACTTGTCATTTAGCATCCTAAGTATGTAAACATGTCTCTCTTCACGATTCACAAAGTGGCTTTGGAAGAACTTTAGTACCTTCCCATCTTCTCTGCCATGGAAAGTGTACACAACTGACATTTTCTTTTTTTTTAAGACAGTATCTTGCTATGATGGCCGGGCTGGAATGCTGTGGCTATTCACAGGCACAATCATAGCTCACTGCAGCCTTGAGCTCCCAGGCTCAAGTGATCCTCCCGCCTCAGCCTCCTGAGTAGCTGAGATCACAGGCATGCACTACCACACTCGGCTCACATTTGACATCCTCTAAAGCATATATAAAATGTGAAGAAAACTTTCACAATTTGCATCCCTTTGTAATATGTAACAGAAATAAAATTCTCTTTTAAAATCTATCAACAATAGGCAAGGCACGGTGGCTCACGCCTGTCGTCTCAGCACTTTGTGAGGCCCAGGCGGGCAGATCGTTTGAGCCTAGAAGTTCAAGACCACCCTGGGCAACATAGCGAAACCCCCTTTCTACAAAAAATACAAAAACTAGCTGGGTGTGGTGGTGCACACCTGTAGTCCCAGCTACTTGGAAGGCTGAAATGGGAAGACTGCTTGAGCCCGGGAGGGAGAAGTTGCAGTAAGCCAGGACCACACCACTGCACTCCAGCCTGGGCAACAGAGTGAGACTCTGTCTCAAACAAACAAATAAATGAGGCGGGTGGATCACGAGGTCAGTAGATCGAGACCATCCTGGCTAACACGGTGAAACCCGTCTCTACTAAAAAAAAAAAAAAATACAAAAAATTAGCCAGGCATGGTGGCGGGCGCCTGTAGTCCCAGTTACTCGGGAGGCTGAGGCAGGAGAATGGCGTGAAACCGGGAGGCAGAGCTTGCAGTGAGCCGAGATCGCACCACTGCCCTCCAGCCTGGGCGACAGAGCGAGACTCCGTCTCAATCAATCAATCAATCAATAAAATCTATTAACAATATTTATTGTGCACTTAACAGGAACATGCCCTGTCCAAAAAAAACTTTACAGGGCTTAACTCATTTTATCCTTACCACAATCCTATGAAGTAGGAACTTTTATAAAACGCATTTTATAAACAAGGCACAGAGAGGTTAATTAACTTGCCCTCTGGTCACACAGCTAGGAAGTGGGCAGAGTACAGATTTACACAAGGCATCCGTCTCCTGGCCCCACATACCCAACTGCTGTAAACCCATACCGGCGGCCAAGCAGCCTCAATTTGTGCATGCACCCACTTCCCAGCAAGACAGCAGCTCCCAAGTTCCTCCTGTTTAGAATTTTAGAAGCGGCGGGCCACCAGGCTGCAGTCTCCCTTGGGTCAGGGGTCCTGGTTGCACTCCGTGCTTTGCACAAAGCAGGCTCTCCATTTTTGTTAAATGCACGAATAGTGCTAAGCTGGGAAGTTCTTCCTGAGGTCTAACCTCTAGCTGCTCCCCCACAGAAGAGTGCCTGCGGCCAGTGGCCACCAGGGGTCGCCGCAGCACCCAGCGCTGGAGGGCGGAGCGGGCGGCAGACCCGGAGCAGCATGTGGACTCTCGGGCGCCGCGCAGTAGCCGGCCTCCTGGCGTCACCCAGCCCAGCCCAGGCCCAGACCCTCACCCGGGTCCCGCGGCCGGCAGAGTTGGCCCCACTCTGCGGCCGCCGTGGCCTGCGCACCGACATCGATGCGACCTGCACGCCCCGCCGCGCAGTAAGTATCCGCGCCGGGAACAGCCGCGGGCCGCACGCCGCGGGCCGCACGCCGCACGCCTGCGCAGGGAGGCGCCGCGCACGCCGGGGTCGCTCCGGGTACGCGCGCTGGACTAGCTCACCCCGCTCCTTCTCAGGGCGGCCCGGCGGAAGCGGCCTTGCAACTCCCTTCTCTGGTTCTCCCGGTTGCATTTACACTGGCTTCTGCTTTCCGAAGGAAAAGGGGACATTTTGTCCTGCGGTGCGACTGCGGGTCAAGGCACGGGCGAAGGCAGGGCAGGCTGGTGGAGGGGACCGGTTCCGAGGGGTGTGCGGCTGTCTCCATGCTTGTCACTTCTCTGCGATAACTTGTTTCAGTAATATTAATAGATGGTATCTGCTAGTATATACATACACATAATGTGTGTGTCTGTGTGTATCTGTATATAGCGTGTGTGTTGTGTGTGTGTGTTTGCGCGCACGGGCGCGCGCACACCTAATATTTTCAAGGCTGGATTTTTTTGAACGAAATGCTTTCCTGGAACGAGGTGAAACTTTCAGAGCTGCAGAATAGCTAGAGCAGCAGGGGCCCTGGCTTTTGGAAACTGACCCGACCTTTATTCCAGATTCTGCCCCACTCCGCAGAGCTGTGTGACCTTGGGGGATTCCCCTAACCTCTCTGAGACGTGGCTTTGTTTTCTGTAGGGAGAAGATAAAGGTGACGCCCATTTTGCGGACCTGGTGTGAGGATTAAATGGGAATAACATAGATAAAGTCTTCAGAACTTCAAATTAGTTCCCCTTTCTTCCTTTGGGGGGTACAAAGAAATATCTGACCCAGTTACGCCACGGCTTGAAAGGAGGAAACCCAAAGAATGGCTGTGGGGATGAGGAAGATTCCTCAAGGGGAGGACATGGTATTTAATGAGGGTCTTGAAGATGCCAAGGAAGTGGTAGAGGGTGTTTCACGAGGAGGGAACCGTCTGGGCAAAGGCCAGGAAGGCGGAAGGGGATCCCTTCAGAGTGGCTGGTACGCCGCATGTATTAGGGGAGATGAAAGAGGCAGGCCACGTCCAAGCCATATTTGTGTTGCTCTCCGGAGTTTGTACTTTAGGCTTGAACTTCCCACACGTGTTATTTGGCCCACATTGTGTTTGAAGAAACTTTGGGATTGGTTGCCAGTGCTTAAAAGTTAGGACTTAGAAAATGGATTTCCTGGCAGGACGCGGTGGCTCATGCCCATAATCTCAGCACTTTGGGAGGCCTAGGAAGGTGGATCACCTGAGGTCCGGAGTTCAAGACTAACCTGGCCAACATGGTGAAACCCAGTATCTACTAAAAAATACAAAAAAAAAAAAAAAAGAAGAAGAAGAAGAAGAAAATAAAGAAAAGTTAGCCGGGCGTGGTGTCGCGCGCCTGTAATCCCAGCTACTCCAGAGGCTGCGGCAGGAGAATCGCTTGAGCCCGGGAGGCAGAGGTTGCATTAAGCCAAGATCGCCCAATGCACTCCGGCCTGGGCGACAGAGCAAGACTCCGTCTCAAAAAATAATAATAATAAATAAAAATAAAAAATAAAATGGATTTCCCAGCATCTCTGGAAAAATAGGCAAGTGTGGCCATGATGGTCCTTAGATCTCCTCTAGGAAAGCAGACATTTATTACTTGGCTTCTGTGCACTATCTGAGCTGCCACGTATTGGGCTTCCACCCCTGCCTGTGTGGACAGCATGGGTTGTCAGCAGAGTTGTGTTTTGTTTTGTTTTTTTGAGACAGAGTTTCCCTCTTGTTGCCCAGGCTGGAGTGCAGTGGCTCAGTCTCAGCTCACTGCAACCTCTGCCTCCTGGGTTCAAGTGATTCTCCTGCCTCAGCCTCCCGAGTAGCTGGGATTATCGGCTAATTTTGTATTTTTAGTAGAGACAGATTTCTCCATGTTGGTCAGGCTGGTCTCGAACTCCCAACCTCAGGTGATCCGCCCACCTCGCCCTCCCAAAGTGCTGGAATTACAGGCGTGAGCCACCGCGTCTGGCCATCAGCAGAGTTTTTAATTTAGGAGAATGACAAGAGGTGGTACAGTTTTTTAGATGGTACCTGGTGGCTGTTAAGGGCTATTGACTGACAAACACACCCAACTTGGCGCTGCCGCCCAGGAGGTGGACACTGGGTTTCTGGATAGATGGTTAGCAACCTCTGTCACCAGCTGGGCCTCTTTTTTTCTATACTGAATTAATCACATTTGTTTAACCTGTCTGTTCCATAGTTCCCTTGCACATCTTGGGTATTTGAGGAGTTGGGTGGGTGGCAGTGGCAACTGGGGCCACCATCCTGTTTAATTATTTTAAAGCCCTGACTGTCCTGGATTGACCCTAAGCTCCCCCTGGTCTCCAAAATTCATCAGAAACTGAGTTCACTTGAAGGCCTCTTCCCCACCCTTTTCTCCACCCCTTGCATCTACTTCTAAAGCAGCTGTTCAACAGAAACAGAATGGGAGCCACACACATAATTCTACATTTTCTAGTTAAAAAGAAAAAAAAATCATTTTCAACAATATATTTATTCAACCTAGTACATACAAAATATTATCATTCCAACATGTAATCAGTATTTTAAAAATCAGTAATGAGACCAGGCACGGTGGCTCACGACTGTAATCCCAGGACTTTGGGAGGCCGAGGCGAGTGGATCATCTGAGATCAGGAGTTCAAGACCAGCCTGGCCAACATGGTGAAACCCCATCTCTACTAAAAACTAGCTCAGCATGGTGGTGGGTGCCTGTAGTCCCAGCTACTCGGGAGGCTGAGGCATGAGAATCACTTGAGCCCAGGAGGCAGAGGTTGCAGTGAGCCAAGATTTTGGGGGATTCTGTGACATACAAAAAAAATCAGTAATAAGATATCTTGCATACTCTTTTCGTACTCATATACTTCCAGCATATCTCAATTCACAATTTCTAAGTAAATGCTCTATCTGTATTTACTTTTATAAAATTCACAATTAAAAATGAAGGTTCACATAGTCAAGTTGTTCCAAACACACTTAAATGTCTCCTAGGCTGGGTGTGGTTGCTCACACCTGTAATCCCAGCACTTTGGGAGGCTGAGATGGGCGGATCACCTGAGGTCAGGAGTTTGAGACCAGCCTGGCCAACATGGTGAAACCCCGTCTCTACTAAAAATACAAAAATTAGCTGGATGTGGTGGCACTCACCTGTAATCCCAGCTACTCAGGAGGCTGAGGCAGGATAATTGCTTGAACCCGGGAGGTGGTGGAGGTTGCAGTGAGCCGAGATCGCACCACTGCCTTCCAACCTGGGCGACAGAGCGAGACTCCGTCTCAAAAAAAAAAAAAAGGCTCCTAATAACTTTATTACTTTATTATCACCTCAAATAATTAAAATTAAATGAAGTTGAAAATCCAGGTCCTCAGTCCCATTAGCCACATTTCTAGTGCTCAGTAGCCACGGGGGCTGGTGACCACCACATGGGACAGCATATTTAGTACCTGATCATTGGTTCTCAGATCTGGCTACTCAGCAGAACCAAGAATCCACAGAAACGGCTTTTAAAAGCACAGCCCCACAGCCCCCAGCCCCAGCCTTACCTACCTGGAGGCTGGGAAGGACTCTGATTCCACGAGGCAGCCTATGTTTTTTGATGGAGGGATGTGACAGGGGCTGCATCTTTAACGTTTCCTCTTAAATACTGGAGACAGCTTCGAGGAGGAGATAACTGGATGTGTCTTAGTCCATTTGATGGAGGGATGTGACGGGGCTGCGTCTTTAACGTTTCCTCTTAAATACCGGAGACAGCTTCGAGAAGGAGATAACTGGATGTTTCTTAGTCCATTTTCTGTTGCTTGTGACAGAATACCTGAAACTGGGCAATTTATATGGTAAAAAATTTTCTTCTTACTGCTCTGGAGGCTGAGAAGTCCAAAGTCAAGTCCCTTCTTGCTGGTGGGGACTTTGCAGAGTATTGAGGCGGCACCGGGCGTCATATGGTAAGGGGCTGAGTGTGCTACCTCAGGTGTCTTTTTCTTTTCTTATAAAGCCTAACTAGTTTCACTCCCATGATAACCCATTAATCTATGAATGGATTAATCCATTATTGAGGGAAGAACCTTCATGACCCAGTCACCGCTTAAAGGCCCCACCTCTCAATACTGCCACATCGGGAATTAAGTTTCAACATGAGTTTCGGAGGTGACAAACATTCAAACCATAGCATGCTGTCTCTTAAATGACTCAATAAGCTCCTGTGGCATCCACTTCTGCATGCCTTGGGCAGCTTTTAGACATCTGTCCATTTTCCTAGAGGGACAAGACCACCACCTGTGATCCTATGACCTTTTGGCTTTAGGCCTAACAAGCAGGTTATACCCTCACTCACTTTCAAATCATTTTTATTGTCTTGCAGACAATTTACACAAGTTTACACATAGAAAAGGATATGTAAATATTTATACGCTGCCGGGCGCGGTGGCTCACGCCTGTAATCCCAGCACTTTGGGAGGCCGAGGCAGGTGGATCACGAGTTCAGGAGATGGAGACCATCCTGGCTAATACGATGAAACCCCATCTCTACTAAAAATACAAAAAATTAGCCGGGCGTGGTGACGGGTGCCTGTAGTCCCCACTACTCGGGACGCTGAGGCAGGAGAATGGCGTGAACCCGGGAGGCAGAGCTTGCAGTGATCCGAGATCGTGCCACTGCACTCCAGCCTGGGTGACAGAGCGAGACTGCATCTCAAAGAAAAAAATAAATAAATAAATAAATATTTATACTGCTTATAAACTAATAATAAATGCTATGGTCTGCATGTTTGTGTCACCCCACCATTCATATGTTAAAACCTAATCACCAAAGTGATATTAGGAGGTGGGGCCCTTGGGAGGTGATGAGGTATGAGGGTGGAGCCCATATGATTGGGATTAGTGCCCTTCTAAAATAGCCCAACGGAGCCCAGTGACAAGGCATCATCTATGAACCAGGAAACTGGCCCTCACCAGACACCAAAGCTGTTGGTGCATTGATCTTGGATTTCCCACCCTCCAGGACTCTAAGAAACACATTTCTATTGTTTATAAGCCACCCAGTGGCTGGTATTTTGTTATAACATCCCAGACTAAGACAAATAACAAATACTTGTATCCCTGACACCAGGTTAAGAGATAGAATTTGTTTGTTCCTCTGGAGGCCCTTGTCTTCACCCCATCACTGCCCTGTCCTCCCTGGAGGAATCTGCCAGCCCGAATTCTGTTCATCGTACCCTCCTTTTCTTAGAGTTTGACCTCCTCTGTATCTCCCCCAATCCATGTATTGCTTATATACAAGGTATTCTGCTGTATCTGTTCTGCTATGGCTTGCCCCTTTTGTTCAACACTGTTTTTGTGCGTCATCTGCATTGATGCATGCAGTTGTCCTTTATTTGTTCTCACTGCTGGATAGTATCTGGTTGGGTAAATATATCACACTGTAAATCACACTATCCAGGTTCCTTTAGGTGACATTTGGTTGATTGCAGTGTTCTGTTGTTACGATGGTGCTGCTGTGACTGTTCTTGTGCATGGACAGAAGTTCCTTTCAGGTGAATTTCTCAGAATGGAATTGCTGGGCAAAGGGGCAGCCAATAATCAACTCATTTGATGCCAAAAGTGGTGGTGCCAGTTCATCCTCCCCTGCGAGGTATGGGTCCTGATTCACTCTTCAAGTGCTGTGGTTTGACAGGGCCGGGGGTGACAAGGGGACACCTGGGAAGGAAAGCTGGGCTCCCTGCTGGCCATCCAGGCCAGTCCTTACCAGGGGGTAGGCAATGATTGGGTCAAGTGGTTCCTGACCACTGGGCCTGAGACTTCAGGCCCAGAAACTATCTAATATTTCCTCAAATGCATCCCATGAGCAGGCACTGTGTGAGTGAGCACACACATCTGAAGCCTCAAGCTAGGCAAGCCTACCATGACTTGTGGTCCAAGGGCTCACGGGTGACCTGGAGTTAGAGGGAGACATGGCTGCCAGGTGGCTTTAGAAAGAACACTCATCATGGCCAGGTGCGGTGGCTTACGCCTGTAATCCCAGCACTTTGGGAGGCCAAGGTGGGTGGATCATGAGGTCAGGAGTGAGACCAGCCTGACCAACATGCTGAAACCTGTCTCTCCTAAAAACACAAAAATTAGCTGGGCATGGAGGTGCACGCCTGTAATCCCAGCTACTCAGGAGGCTGAGGCAGGAGAATCACTTGAACCCGGGAGGCGGAGGTTGCAATAAGCCTAGATTGTGCCACTGCATTCCAGCCTGGGCAACAGAGCAAGACTCCGTCTCAGAAAAAAAAAAAAAAAGGAAGAACACTCATCCTATGACCTTGACCTCCAAGCTTTGCCTCCCTCAAGCAGAACAGAATGGAGCCTCCCTTAGGCAGAGGCGGAAGTTTGCCTCTCACCTAGTTCTCCATTCTTTTGTTCAGAGCCTGAATACCCTCAGGCTCTGTACTTGGGGTATTTCTGTTCTCTTGTTTTATGCTCACGGTTGTGAGGTTTGTTGTGAGTACCACGATCCCTTCCTTCAGAGGAGTAAACTGAGGTTCCAAAAGGTTTAGCAGTTGCCCGAGGAATATTAAATTGGCAAAAGCAGGTAGAATATAAAGCAAGGAGTATTTGGCAACGGTTCTTTTTTATGATTAAAAACAGCCGAAGAAAGACTTCTACTTGTGCCTTTGAAGGAGTAACTGCATTTGACCTTCCCACCAGTAACAACCATCAAATCTCTATTAAATTAAACACACACACACACAAACAAAAACAGCTATTGTGAAGGTATCAGCGACTAAGACAACTAAGGTTTGAGGGGCCAGGATCCTGGAGAGATGGAAACTTCCCTGAGGTGAGCCCCACATTCTCAGACACTTTTCCTTGGATGTTTTGAGCACTGCTTTAATTCCTGGGAAAACAATTCCTTCCACTGTGCACAGACTCTGGGGCCAGACAGCTTGGGTTCAATCCCAGCTCTGCCACTTAATGTCTGTGTATCTGTGTAGGCAAGTTACCCTTTGGTGCGTCAGTTTCCTCATCTGTAAAACACAACTATAGTTGATCCTCATTCGTTAAGAGTCTGTACTTGTTAATTTGCTCACTTGCTAAAATTTGTTACCCCAAAATCAGTACCCCTAGCCTTTTGGGGTCGTTTCAAAGATGTGTGCAGAGCGGCAAAAAAATGTGAGCTCCTCCAGGCTCATGTTCCCAGCCAAGGTCCAACAAAGTGCTGCCCTGCCTTCTTATTTCAGCTGTCATAGTGTAAACTGTGTCCTTTTCACAGTCTGATTAGTGCCATGTTTTTCAGATTTTTATGCTTTTTTCTTGGTTATTTCTCTGTTAAAATTGTCTCCAAGTGTAGTGCAAAGTTTAGCACGAGGAGGCTGTGATGTTCCTTACAGAGAAAATGCATGTGTTAGAGAAGCTTTGTCAGGCATGAGTTAAGGTGCTGTTGTCCTGAGATCAATTAATTTGTTGTTGTTGTTGTTTGAGACAGGGTCTCCCTCTGTTGCCCAGGCTGCTGGAGTGCAATGGTGTAATCATAGCTCACTGCAGCCTCTACCTCTCTGGCTCAAGCAATCCTCCCACCTCGGCCTCCTGAGTAGCTGGGACTACAGGTACACCCCACCACACCCAGATAATGTTTTTGATATTTTTTTAGGTGGAATTTTGCTCATCACCCAGGCTGGAGTGCAATGGTGCGATCCTGGCTCACTGCAACCTCCACCTCCCGGATTCAAGCAATTCTTCTGCCTCAGCCTCCTGAGTAGCACAGATTACAGGCACATGTCATCACGCCTTGCTAATTTTTGTGTTTTTAGTAGAGGCGGGGTTTCACCATGTTGGCCAGGCTAGTCTTGAACTCCTGACCTCAGGTGATCCACCCGCCTCCGCCTCCCAAACTGCAGAGATTATAGGCACGAACCACAATGCCCGGCCTCATGTTTTTTATTTTTCAAGTTGAAATGAGGTCTCTCTATGTTGCCCAGGTTGGTCTCAAACTCTTGAGCTCAAGTAATCCTCCCACCTTGGCCTCCCAAAGTGCGGGGATTACAGGTGTGAGCTACCATGCCCAGCCAAGATCAGTGTTAATGAATCAACTATATATATTACATAAGGTGTCTTTAAACAGAAATAAGGTTATATATTGATCGATTGGTAACAATGTTGTGACCAGCAGCTTACAGGGTACCTAGCCTTGTATTTCTCCTATAAATAATTTGCTCGTTGAGTGTTTGTGGCAACTTTGTAGCACATAACTACCAAGAATAAGGACTGTAATAAGAGTACGTCCCTCACAGGATTGTAATGAAGACTGAGTCCATTTACATAAAGGCTGAGAGCAGTGTCAAGCAGATGGAGAACACTGTAGAATGTGCGATAGCTCTAACAGTGGTTATCATGGCTGCCCTCTCACTTCTTCAGAGACATGTGTTTCTAAGGTCTGCACTCTGCCCCACCCTCCCCATCCACTGTCCCCCAGCCCGTTTCCTCCTCCACTTACTTCCCAGCCCTGTGCCTTCTGCCTTCTCTTTTCTGAGTTTGCTAAGGGCACTGCTGGCTCAAGAGCAGTAACTAACAGTCTCTCGCCTCTTCTCTCCATGGCAACCAGTGACCTTTGGAGAATGTAAACCTTATCACCAATCTCTTAAAGCCCTTCGGTGCCTTCCCAGGATGACGTCCAGCTGAGGTCCTTGGCAAGACCCAGGGCGCCCCCTCCTCGCTCCATCACCTCCCCTGTCACCTCCCCTGCATCTCCCTACTCCAGCTGCACCACTCTTGTGCCCCAGTGGCTCTTGTCTGATTATTTCCTTCATCTCCCCAGCTGGTCAGCAGAGCTGGTGGTAATCAACTCAGACCCTGTCACCTGGATGTCCAGCAGTTAGGGACTAAAAAAAATCAACAGGTCACATTCTGTCCTGCAGATCATGATAATAAGATCTGTCAGACAGCAGTCAGCAGTCAGAGCCAAATCTTCTGGACTTCAGCAGGATTCTGCCTCTTGCTATTTCCTGTTGCCTCTCTTAGTGACCTTTTAAGAGCATTGTGGATGCCTCCCAGCCTCCTGCTAACCACCCTGTAACCTGAACAGCCTGCAGCAGCCCTGCCCAGTAGAACTTCCTGATGTGATGGAAATGCTGTGTCTGCACCACTAGCCACATGTGGCCACAGGATTCTCGAAACTGGTGGTGCAGTTGAGGAGCTGACTTTATATTTTATCTCATTAAATTTAAATGTAAATAGCTACGTGTGGCTTGTTGGCTAGCCTATTGGAAAACACGGGCTTAGAGAGACACAGGGAGAATCACTGTAATGCACTAAAAGAAGGTAAAAAAAAAAAAATCCTAAGAAATATTCCTAAAATACTTTAATATAGGGCTGGGTGCGGTGGCTCACATCCAGCATTTTGGGAAGCTGAGGAGGGCAGATCACTTGAGGCCAGGAGTTCAAGACCAGCCTGGCCAACATGGTGAAACCCCGTCTCTACTAAAAATACAAAAAATCGGGTGCGGTGGCGGGTGCCTGTAATCCCAGCTACGCGGGAGGCTGAGGCACGAGAATCACTCGAACCCGGGAGGCGGGGGTTGCAGTGAGCCGAGATCGTGCCACTGCACTCCAGCCTGGGCGACAGAGCGAGACTTCATCTCAAAAACAAAAAACAAAAACCAAAAAAAAAAACTTCAGCATGATTATTTAACCAAAATGCAGGTTAGTTGTTCACCGGATGCAGAGTCCAATTAACAAGAGCAAGGCCTGGTACCAAAAAAAGTGAATTTACTCCGAAACTAGCTTGGGTGAGGGGTACAAAGCATCCTGCCTTTCTTTAAAAGTGCTGCTTCCCCTTGGAAGTAGAAAGTGGACACTTTTATAAGGTAAGGGGGGAAGTGTGCAAGGGCAAGTGGGGGGGTCCCTCTGCTAGTTCCGTGCATACTCTACAGGACAGTTGACTTGGCACCTTCCTGGTTAGTAATAAGCTGTAGCAGTGGCCAAGTGGGCATGCTTTCAGTATGCCCTCCCAGTGAATGAAAGTCCTGAGGCAACCCCCAAGGGTGGAAGTGCCAGGCCACCACCCACTGGAGGTGAAAGTTCCGTGATGGGTTTGCTTTGGTCTGCGAATCTACTGTCATGTGGAGAGATCTGTGCTCTGGAAGAGCATACAGTTAGAAAAGCTTGCCCTGAAGGGAATGTATGGTGAAGGGGAGGTGAAAGGTTATATTTGCATTTCTGAAGGGCTAAGTAGGAAACCGGGAACCAGGGGAGAGGAGAAGAGAAGAGAGGATAATTTTTTTTAAGAAAAGCAACATATTCCCTTTTTCTTAGAAAAAATGGAGCACTCGGTTACAGGCACTCGAATGTAGAAGTAGCAATATATAAATTATGCATTAATGGGTTATAATTCACTGAAAAATAGTAACGTACTTCTTAACTTTGGCTTTCAGAGTTCGAACCAACGTGGCCTCAACCAGATTTGGAATGTCAAAAAGCAGAGTGTCTATTTGATGAATTTGAGGAAATCTGGAACTTTGGGCCACCCAGGGTAAGATAAAACACCTTCCACGTCATAGGTATCTTCCTCTCTCCTTCCCTGCCTCTCCCATTAGAACCTGGTTTTCTTCCTGAGCAGCAACAATCTTAGGCATCTTTCCATGTGACTGAGTATCCACCACATTATTTTTAATGAAATAGTATTAGATTGCATGGATGTGACATAATCCATTTAACCCATCCCCTACTGTTGGACATTCAGGTTGTTTCCAGAGTTTCAATATTATTTTATTTAATACCCTAATAGTTAGAGCAGGCCATGCTGCTATCACAAATAGACCCAAATATTTAATAGCTCAAACCAATAACGTTTGTGTCCTCCTCTCTGGGCAGTACAGGGTTGGCATACCTCCTGAAGTGAATTAGGAACTACACTCATTCCAGCTTCCAGTTTGGTCTTTATCTGTCAGTGCCTTACTGTCCTCTGCATTGTTGAGTCTCAGTCACCTTGTCCAAGTTCCATTGGCCAGAAAGGGCTAGAAGCACAGAAGGGCTGGAAGTGGCATTTGTTCCTCACTCACATTCTGGTGGGAAGAACTTAGTGGTGTGGCCTTAGCTGACTGTAAGGGAGGCTGGGAAATATAGTCTAGCGAGTGCCCTGGAAAAAGCCGGCACGGCATTCCCCATGGAAAGCTGTCAGGCACGGCTACAGTCTACCCCCTGCCAACCAGTATCTGCATGGACCCTCCTTCCACACTCAGATGCATTTACCCCCAGCCCCAAGAGAGCCAACCGATGCCCATGTGGTCACCACAGCCACCTCCGAGTCCAAGATTTCCAGGTGACATGCAGTCTCCTCTCTCCCAGCTTTAGGAATGGCTTCTTCTGATCTACACACAGACACAGACACACACACACAGACACACACACACACACACACACACACACACGATGGAGAGGGGCAGGATAACTGCAACTGTAACTCCATTCAGAAAAGAGGCACAGCACTAGCTGCCCGCAGCACTGGAGCCCTGCTGGGCAGCACTGGATCAACCTCTGCCCTGGCAGAGGAGCATGTTCCTCCACAAATCCCTGCTTCAGCCTCTCGAGAGGCTCCTCCTTGTCTGTTATTTTCCTTGGCCACAAGGCAGGCAGGCAGTGGGAAGTGTGCCCTCCTCCGGGGCAAGGAGCCTTCACAGCCCACTTCCTGCTAATAACAGTTTGGGGTTCCACAGGGTGTTTTAAGACTCCAGTCAGCTATTTTAGGCCAGACTCATTTCTCTCTCTCTCTCTCTTTTTTTTTCTTTTATGAAATCACACCCTGAGACCCAGGCTGGAGTGCAGTGGTGCGATCTCGGCTCACTGCAGCCTCCGCCTCCCGGGTTCAAGCAATCCTCCTGCCTCAGCCTCCTGAGTAGCTGGGACTATAGGCGTGCAGTGCCACACCTAGCTAATTTTTGTATTTTTAGTAAAGACGGGGTTTCACCATGTTGGCCAGGCTGGTCTTGAACTCCTGACCTCAGATGATCCGCCCGCCTCGGCCTCCCAAAGTGCTGGGATTACTGGCATGAGCCACTGCGCCCAGCCCAGACTCATTTTTCTTTGAGAGTAGGCTTTTCCCAAAAGTAGGCTTCTGAGCTATTCACTTTCAGGCAGTCCCATGTGCCAGGAACCACATCCAAATTTCCTCCGTGGATGGGAGTCTCAGGCTGCCTTATCTCCTTGCATGTCCCCATGCCCAGCTGTCTCAGCCTAAGGGCAGGTACCTTGAAGTCAAGTTAAACAATAAGATTGGAGACCAGCAATGCCCTCAGCCTGGTTTTTGCAGCAGGACTGAGTCCCTTGTTTTGGCTCAATGGGAAGTCTTTGCTGTTCAAAGCCTTAGCTTCTCTGGCTGAGTGCGGTGGCTCACGCCTGTCATCCTAGCTCTTTGGGAGGCCGAGGTGAGCAGATCACTGAGGCCAGGAGTTCAAGACCAGCCTGGCCAACATGGTGAAACCCTGTCTCTACTAAAAATACAAAAAGTTAGCCAGGCGTGGTGGCAGGCACCTGTAATCCCAGCTACTCGGGAGCCTGAGGCAGGAGAATCGCTTAAACCCAGGAGATGGAGGCTGCAGTGAGCTGAGATCATGCCATTGCACTCCAGCCTGGGTAACGAGCGAAATTCCATCTCTAAAAAAAAGAAAAAAAAAAGGCCTTAGATTCTCCCTTTGACTTTCCACGTTTGTGCAGCCTTTTATCTCCAATGCTCCATTTCATTCCATCTCCTGGCTTATTCTTTTCTTGTCACATCTACTAAAAGCAACAAGAAGCCACCGGTATTCAGGAACATTCTACCTGTCCCCAGAGCTATATGCTCAGTAGGCATACAGTTGGCCCTCCAGGTTATCTGAGACTCAGATTTCCAGAGGGCTTTGCATGGCTCACAAGGTCTGAAGAACCTCTGAGCCTCCCGCCTGCGGTGTCTGTTCATTGACTTTGCCACAGTCTCAAAGAGGCACTGCATGCTGCATGTTTGAGGTTTTTGCTTTGGTGGCATCCATTTCCAGCCTCGGCTTCCGGCATTCCTCCCCCAGCAGACTCTCTGCTGCTTTCCCCTTACTCCTTCTGGCAGTTCTGGGAGGTTGCATAGGGCCCTTGCAGGATGCCCCAAGTCCAGCTGCCTCTGGCCTCTGGGAAGCACACCCTTGACCTGCCATGTGTAGGAAGACAGCCCGCTTCTGCCAGGGCCCAACTCTGCCGGCAGGTAGCACCTTCCAACCTCTTCACTTTGGACTTTATAACTGTCAGGTATAAAGTCGGTTGTGTCCTTACGTTTCTCAAATTCTTCAAGACACGTCAACCAGCCTCTCCTACGCATTCTCTCCAGCTCAGTCTCAAAACACACCCTTTCTCTCCAGCTCACTCTCAAAACACACCCTATCAGGCCAACCACTCTTTTTAAAGGACAGCTCCTCACCAATCCAGTCAGGTAGCCTTCCCCACATTGTATCCTGGAAGTGGGTGATGGACTGGGTGGGGAAGAGGGTCATATGGCAAATCTGTATGTCTTACAGTAATTGTCTAGCAGCCCCTGGTGTCTTACTTTAGGCCCCCTGGAAACTTTCAGATAGTGGAGTTGTCTGATACATATCTTATAACCTACAGATATTAATATATCCTCACAGGGGCACAAAAGCTCTTACAAGGATGTTTATTATAATAATATTTTTATTGTTATAATTTACATGCCATAAAACTAACCATTTTAAAATGTATAATGCAAGGGTTTTTAGTATATTCACAAGATTGTGCAGCTGTCACTACTAATTCCAGAACATTTTCATTATTCCAGAAGGAAACCCTATTCATATTAGCAATCACTCCCCCATTCCGCCTTTCCCTAAAACCCAGCAATCACTAATCTACTTTCTGTCTCTGTGGATTTAAAGTAATTTTAAATTTGAAAAATAGTATCTATAAGGAAATGTATCTAGTCACAAGCATACAGCTTGATGAATTTGTAAAAATTGAACAGTCCTATGAACATACCCTGTAAGCTCAAGACATAGAATGTTACCAGCCCCTGCAAGCAAGCTGCCTGCTCACTTCTAGTCATTAACCCCTCCCTCTTTTCCTTCTAGTCATTAACCCTTCAGAGTAACTATTCTGATTACCAATAGCATAGATTAGTTCTGCCTGTTGTTTTACTTTATATAAACTGTCTCATTAAGTATAAACATGTTTGTGTATACTTGTGTATTTCTTTCTATCACAATGATGTTTGTGAGATTCATCCATGCTGTTCCTATAGACAATTCTATTTTGCAGCGTAGTATTCCATTGCATGACTATACCACAATTTATCTGTGATATTACAAAGGAATACTTGGGCAGTTTCCAGTTTGGGGCTATAGGATAGTTGTGATACAAATATTTTAGTATAGTACATGTCTTTTGGTGAACCTGGGTACACATTTCTGTTGTGTATACCCCTTAAGAGTGGAGCTGATGATCCTGGCTAACAAGGTGAAACCCCGTCTCTACTAAAAATACAAAAAATTAGCCGGGCGTGGTAGCGGGCGCCTGTAGTCCCAGCTACTCGGGAGGCTGAGGCAGGAGAATGGCGTGAACCCGGGAGGCGGAGCTTGCTTGCAGTGAGCCGAGATCGCGCCACTGCACTCCAGCCTGGGCGACAGAGCGAGACTCCGTCTCAAAAAAAAAAAAAAAAAAAGAGTGGAGCTGATGGGTCATAGCATGTAAATGCATTCAACTTTAGTAGATACTGTCCAACAGTTTTCCAAAGTGATTGTCCAACTTACTTGCCTATCAGCAGTATCTGAAAAGTCTAGTTGCTTCTTTTCTTGGCCAACTCTTTTTTTTTTTTTGAGATGGAGTTTTGCTCTTGTTGCCCAGGCTGGAGCGCAATGGCACGTCCTCTGCTCACTGCAACCTCCGCCTCCTGGGTTCAAGCAATTCTCCTGCCTCAGCCTCCCGAGTAGCTGGGATTACAGGCATGCGCCACTATGCCCGGCTAATTTTGTATTTTTAGTAGAGACAGGGTTTCTCCATGTTGGTCAAGCTGGTCTCGAACTCCTAACCTCAGGTGATCCGCCCGCCTCGGCCTCCCGAAGTGCTGGGATTACAGGCATGAGCCACCGCGCCAGGCCGGCCAACTCTTTTTTATTTTATTTTATTTTACTTTAAAGACAGGGTTTCACTTTGTCACCCAGGATGGAATGCAATGGCACGATCACAGCTCACTGCAGCCTTGACCTCCCTGGCTCGGGTGATCCCTCCCACCTCAGGCTCCTGAGGAGCTAGAACTACAGGCATGGGCCATGCCCAGCTAATTTTTTAATTTTTGGTAGAGACGGGGTCTCTGTTGTCTCAGATTCCTGGGTTCAAGTGATCCTTCTCCCTTGGCCTCCCAAAGTTCTGGTATTACAGGCATGAGCCACTGCACCCAGCCCATGGCCAGCTCTTGATACGATCTGTCTCTTTCTTTTCTTTTTTTTTTTTTAATTTGAGAAGTGTTAAATAATCTTTCTTTGATATTATACATAAACCACACCAAAATGTCTTTCAGTAAGTAAAATGAACCATTTTAGATACAGAAAATTCTAATTAGATTGGCATAGTTAAGGCCAAAAATATAAAGTTGACATTGCTACCTTATCTTCAGCCCTTGCCTTTAAGAGGCAAATGAACACAAAATACAGGTGAATCTTGCTTGGTTCTGAGACAGTGAAGGACTTTCCCCCAGTATTTAAATATATTTACATAACCAGTTACATAAATCTAAATATTAAAAAAATCTCCAATAGATTTTAGATGGCATTCACCATCTTTGTGAAAAGTTGAACATTACTAATGAAATCTGATCATATCTTTAGAAGGATAAACAGTGATAGCATTTACTGAATCAGAATAACTGTTTTTTGGGGTTTTCTTTGAGACGGAGTTTTGCTCTTGTTGCCCAGGCTGGAGTGCAGTGGTGCCACCTCAGCTCACTGCAACCTCCGCCCCCTGGATTCAAGAGATTATCCTGCCTCAGCCTCCCGAGTAGCTGGGATTACAGGCTCGCCCCACCATGCCCAGCTAATTTTTGTATTTTTAGTAGAGGCGAGGTTTCACCATGTCAGCCAGGCTGGTCTTGAACTCCTGACCTCAGGTGATCCACCCGCCTCAGCCTCCCAAAATGCTAGGATTACAGGCGTGAGCCACCAGGCCCAGCCTATTTTTTTTTTTTTTCTTTTTTTGAGACGGAGTCTCACTCTGTCACCCAGGCTGGAGTGCAGTGGCACAATGTCAGCTCATTGCAACCTCCACCTCCGGGGTTTCAGTGATTCTCCTGTCTCAGCCTCCCAAGTAGCTGGGAACTACAGGCGTGCACCACAAGCCCAGCTAATTTTTGTATTTTTAGTAGAGACAGGGTTTTGCCATATTGGCCTGGCTAGTTTCAAACTCCTGACCTCAGGTGAGCCACCTACCTCGGCCTCCGAAAGTCCTGGGATTACAGACGTGAGCCACTGCACTGCCTGGCCCAGAAAGGACTATTAATTGTAGTTGCCTCTGGGAATGGGGGCTGCCTGCTTCTTTCTGTAACCCCTTCTGTGCTGTTTAAATTTTTTTTTTTTTTTTTTTTTTTGAGACAGAGTCTCGCTCTGTCGCCCAGGCTGGAGTGCAGTGGCGCAATCTCGGCTCACTGCAAGCTCCGCCTCCCAGGTTCACGCCATTCTCCTGCCTCAGCCTCCTGAGTAGCTGGGACTACAGGCACCCGTCACCACGCCCGGCTAATTTTTTGTATTTTCAGTAGAGACGGGGTTTCACCATGTTAGCCAGGATGGTCTCGATCTCCTGACCGTGTTATCTGCCTGCCTCGGCCTCCCAGAGTGCTGGGATTACAGGCATGAGCTACCACGCCCGGCCTTTAAATTTTTACTTTGGGCCGGGCACGGTGCCTTACGCCTGTAATCCTAACATTTCGAGAAGCTGAGGCACGTGGTGGATCACTTGATGTCACGAGTTCAGACCAGCCACTGCACTCCAGCCTGGGTGACAGAGTGAGACTCTGTCTCAAAAAAAAAAAAAAAAGAAAGAAAAACTTTTACTTTTTACATGTTATTTTCATCAATTTAATGAATTTAAATAACAAATGTATAAATTTGATATTAATAAAATGGAAGCATTTGGTAATCATGTTTTGGGTTTTGTGCTTCCTCTGCAGCTCTCTAGATGAGACCACCTATGAAAGACTAGCAGAGGAAACGCTGGACTCTTTAGCAGAGTTTTTTGAAGACCTTGCAGACAAGCCATACACGTTTGAGGACTATGATGTCTCCTTTGGGGTACCTCTTGACTTCTTTTATTTTTCTGTTTCCCCCTCTAAGAATTTTAGTTCACTAAAATGAAGAATTTCCCTCCAGCAGAGCTAAGCATCAAGTAGCATGTAGTTGTAGGTAGGATTAAAAGACTAGGGTTCCGGGAGGTGAAGGTTGCAGTGAGCCAAAATCACGCCACTGCACTCCAGCCTGGGTGACAGAGCGAGACTCTGTCATAGATGGATGGATGGATGGATGGATGGATGGATGGATGGATAGATAGATAGATAGATAGATAGATAGCTGGATAGATAGATAAGATAGATAAGACAAGACTAGGCTTCAAGCTGCAGTCCAGCTCTACCAGGCTTGTTGTGACTCTGGGCAAGTCACTCAGCCTCTCTGAGCCTCATTTTCCAGCTTCAGTGGATACCCATGAAGGCAAATCAGAGAGGGGCCTGAGTGTGTATTTGTCCAGCAGGCAGATGGAGGGAACAACAAACTAGACCCGTAGTTCTTCAGTAGGGATAAGATAACTGCCCAAAAGTTATTTAGATTACAAAGACTTGAGCCCTGCTCCTGTGAGACAGTGATGGGGTAGGTCGGGTGCATTCCTGGGAAGCATATTTTTGAAAAGCTCACCTGGGATTCTAATGTGTATCCCTAGGTCTTATTCCTAGAGATTTTGATTACTTGGTCTGGGGTGTGGCATGACCTGGGCAGGGCACTGGGATTTTTAAGCTCCACAGATGATTCCAATATGCAGCTAGTATGAGAACTTGTTTTTTTTTGAAGGAGTCTCACTCTGTCACCCAGGCTGGAGTGCAGTGGCGCAATCTCGGCTCACTGCTCCGCTTCCTGGGTTCAAGCAGTTCTCCTGCCTCAGCCTCCCGAGTAGCTGGGATTATAGGCATCTGCCACCATGCCCAGCTAATTTTTGCATTTTAGTAAAGACGGGGTTTCACCATGTTGGTTAGGCTGGTCTCGATCTCCTGACCTCAAATGGTCCACCCCCATCAGCCTTCCAAAGTTTTGGGATAACAGGCGTGAGCCACCAGGTCCGGCCTGGTGTGAGAACTTCTGAGTTGGATGAAACATTAGCCCCAGATCCTAGAAGCCAGGGAAGTGCTGGTCTTTATCGACTGGCCACCAGGTGGCAGATTTGGGCAAGGGTCTGCCTTTGGGTTTAGAATTATTGCTTAGGCCTTAAAGTAGTTCTTTTTTGCCAGTGGGAGAAAATCCCTCAAAGATGGTTTTCTGGGTTGGTTGGTTTGTTTGTCTGTTTGTTTGTTTTTTGAGACAGAGTCTCCCTCTGTTATTCAGCCTGGAGTGCAGTGGCATGATCTCACTGCAACCTCTGCCTCTCGGGTTCAAGCAGTTCTCCTGCCTCAACCTCCCAAGTAGCTGGAATTATAGGCACACGCCCCCACACCCAGCTAATTTTTGTATTTTTAGTAGAGACAGTGTTTCACCACGTTGGCCAGGCTGGTTTTGAACTCCTGAACTCAAGTAATCCTCCCACCTCAGCCTCCCAAAGTGCTAGGATTACAGGTGTGAGCCACCGCGCCTGGCTCCTCAAAGATGTTAATCCTCTTGATGGCAATTGACTAATACCAGAAAATGTCACGAAGCGTGCATTTTGGATTCAATCATGGAATTGTTGAGGACAATCAGCCATCAGACTAAAGCGATAGAAATAGTATTGGAAATTGCAGCGGGAGCACTGAATGGAGAAGGCACTCCACATAATGGAGGAGGCAACCAAGTCTTAGAGAAGGTATCAAGCCTGACTATAAGGACAGTGAGGGAATTGAAAAAACAAAAAAGGAGCAATGGAGCAGGGAAGGATTGAATGCCTTTCAAGTAGATTCAGTAATTGCTGTTAGCAGCAAAAAATGCAGTAGTGCCTGGGCAGGGCTTTAAAGTGCTTGCACAGGCAGCCCTAGAGGGCCGGGCTGCTTGGGAACTCTTACAAACTGACCTACCAACTTGAGCATCCACAGCCTGATCAGAGGTGGGGGAGTTAAGGGCCTTCTCTCCCCTAGCCTCTACTAGAGCCTGTAACTGCAGGGAAACCAAGTTGCAGGCTAAACTCTGCCCACACATGCAGACATTGATTAGCAAGCTACAAAAACAGTCATGAAACCTGTTTTTATAGGATTAGTGAAGCCCCAGTTTGACCAGAGTACTTTGCATGAATGTTTTGTTAGAAGCAAATGTGCCAATATTCTAGCAGCTGCGTTTGGTTTACTTCTTCTTCTTCTTTTTTTTTTTTTTTGAGTTGAAGCCTAGCTCTGTCACCCAGGCTGGAGTGCAGTTGTGTGATCTCAGCTCACTGCAACCTCTGCCTCCCAGGTTCAAGCGATTCTCCCGCCTCAACCTCCTGAGTAGCTGGGATTACAGACATGTACCACAATACAGGGCTAAGTTTTGTATTTTTAGTAGAAATGGGGTTTCACCATGTTGGCCAGGCTGGTCTCAAACTCCTGATCTCAAGTGATCCACCCGCCTCAGCCTCCTAAAGTGCTGGGTTAACAGGCATGAGCCACGGCACCTGGCAAAAGTCATCTTTTGGTTTACTTCTATTGAACTGAAAAAGTCACAAATATATTTATATTTAATTAAATATATTTATATAAAAATATGGTATTTAGTATTATTATTTTTAGAGACAGGGCCTCGCTCTGTCACCCAGGCTGGAGTGCAGTGGCACAATCATAGCTCACTGCAGCCTCAAGCTTCTGGGCTCAAGTGATCGTTCCACCTCAGCCTCCCTAGTAGCTGGGACTACAGGCACATGCCACCATACTCGGCTAATTATTTTATTTTATTTATGGGTCTCGCTATGTTTCCCAGGCTGGTCTCAAACTCCTGGCCTCAAGCGATTCTCTCACCTCGGCCTCCCAAAGCACCGGGATTACAGGTGTGTGCCAGCACACCCAGCCACAAATCTATAAATTTAGAAAGGAGGACTATTTCTAAAGAGGGTCCCACTACCTGTAGGCAGGAAGCAGAGCCTCTGGCCATAACTGAAAAACAAGCACTTCCAAGAAGGGGCAAAGGGAACATGAATTTATGCTGAGAGGCGTAGCTAAGCATACATATTCAACAGATTATGGGAGGATCTATGAATATTCACAAAGGGAGGATCTATGAATATGCACACATGTGGAGTAAGCTAACGTGTGCAGCATGTCTCCCATGTTCACCTTAGGCAGAAACTTAACACTAACATGTATTACAGGGCAACAAAATGAGACTGCATATCTACATAACCTAGCTATTTGGTAGGCTGAAGCAGGAGCATCACTTAAGACTGGGAGTTCGAGGCAGCTGTGAGCCATGATCGCACCACTGTTCTCCAGCCAGGATGACAGGGCAAGACCCTGTCTTAGACCACTCTGTGGTCAGTGGTTATCAGGAAGGAATGCTAGTCAGTTGTGCTGAAACCACTAAAAAGGAAGGGCAGAATTAGGTGATGAGTTGATACCAGTGGTGAAGTGAGTCTTTTTTTTTTTTTTCTTTTTGAGATGGAGTCTTGCTCTGTTGCCCAGGCTGGAGTGTAGTGGTGTGATCTCAGCTCATCGCAACCTCCACCTCCTGGGTTCAAGTGATTCTCTTGCCTCAGCCTCCCGAGTAGCTGGGATTACAGGCGCCTGCCACCACGCCTGGCTAATTTTTTTATATTTTTAGTAGAGACTGGGTTTTGCCATGTTGTCAGGCTAGTCTTGAACTCCTGACCTCAGGTAATCCAACTGCTTTGGCCTCCCAAAGTGCTGGGATTACAGGCAGCTCCAAAGTGCTGGGATTACAGGCATGAGCCACCATGCATGGCCTGAAATAATTTTTTTGAAAGGGCTAGTTTCTATTTAGCCCTTAGGGGAAAAAAAACTAATGGCAGTTAGGGAGGGAATAGAACGAGTCCTGTTTGAACTCCTTTCCCATCATGGCCAAAACTTAAAATTTTTTTTAGATATCTCTGGGCTCCCCTTGGCCAAAAGATAGTTTGTTGAGTCAGTTGGGAGCTTAGAATTTTGTTTTTATTTCTCACATCATTGAATCAATTTGAACCAGGCGACAAAACCTTCTGCTCCCAGTAGTGGGTCAGAGAACCTTCCTGATTCCTGCCCTGAGATTGTCTCTCTGAAGACAACATTAGGCTAGTAGGCTTTCCAGATTCTGTAACCCATTCTTTCAAAGGAAGAGATGCCTATATTTTTCTAGCCAATTCATATACCTTGAGTATCACTCAAGGGCAAAATTATTTCTAACAAATCATTTACTAATTAGCAAATGCTTAAGTGTAGATTTAGAAAGCTAAAGCTATACAGTGGCTGCCATCTATAGTTTGGACTTGTGATTAACTACATTGAAATGCTAACTCTGTACCCTAGAGTATGAATTCCTGATTAGAGTCCTTCAGGTGCTAACTAATTTATGTATTTCATGTTTGATAATATTATTACTTGAGCTTTGTGGGAGAGCAGTCTTTTCCTCCCCTGAGATATAGCTAGAAGTTACCTCCTTTGTGAAGCCTTCCTAGATACTCCAAGCAGACACGGTCCTTCCTTTCTCCCTTGCCCAGCACTCTGAGGTTGACTCTGTGGAGCACTGATCCCTCTGTGTTATAATTGTCTATTTACACGTCAGCTACCACCTATAACACACTGAGTTCCTCAACAGCAGGGACACTGTCCATTCTTTGATCCCAGTGTCTGGAACAGTGCCAAGTACATAGTAGGGACTTAATAAATATTGATTCATATGTAAATGAGACTTTTCCAAAACATGCTTTCGTTGATGCCTCTCAGCATTTATACACCTTTTACCAACTCGCTACTGGCCACATAGACAAATGAAAGCAGTAATCCAGATACACCCAAGAGGACATCTGTTCTTTTTTCTCTCTGTGGAGTGGGAGACTTAAGTGGCTTCTTAACTGGTGTGTCGTCTGATCAAGTGGTCCAGGTAACAGGTGGATGCCAATGTCTGGCCCAGGCATCACCCCTTACTGGCACTGGTCATTACAGAAGACACTCTACCAGAGCTGAAAGGACCTCTTGTCACTAGGCAGCTGTGGAGTCCGCTCTACTTGACCTAGTAAAATCTGCCTGGAGACTGTTAGAGTCACCCCACTACCTGAAGTTACCTCCAGGCTGACCTCTTTTTTTTCCCAGGTGGAGTCCTGGCATCTTAGATATTTTAATAAGGATTTGCTTGTTGACATGTTCTTTATTCACTAAGGTGTCAGCATATTACTGTCTTAGAACTGAGGGTTCTTCATCTTTTTTGGATCAGGACCTCCCTCTAAGAATCTGATGACTGCTCTGGTCCCTCTCCCAATAAAAACTTCCATACTCACCTGTTAAAAAAAAAAAAAACTTTAAACAAATTAACAGAGTTTTATTCAGCAAAGAATGATTCATAAATCGGGAAGGCTGCAACCAGAATAGGTTCAGAGAGACTCCACGGTGTGCCACGTGGTTGGAGAGGATTTAGGATTTATGCACAGAAAAAGGAAAGTGACATGCAGAAAATGAAAGTGAGGGCCTGGTGCTGGTGCGGTGCCTCACGCCTGTAATCCCAGCACTTTGGGAGGCCGAGGCGGGCAGATCATGAGGTCAGGAGATCGAGACCATCCTGGCTAACACGGTGAAACCCTGTCTCTACTAAAAATGCAAAAACTTAGCCGGGCGTGGTGGCAGGCACCTGTAGTCCCAGCTACTTGGGAGGCTGAGGCAGGAGAATGGTGTGAACCTGGGAGGCGGAGCTTGCAGTGAGCCAGGATCCCGCCACTGCACTCCAGCCTGGGCGACAGAGCGAGACTTCATCTTAAAAAAAAAGAAAAGAAAAAGGAAAATGAAAGTGAGGTACAGAAACAGCCAGGTTGGTTACAGCTTGGTGTTTGCCTTAAACTTGGTTTGAACAGTTGGCCGCCTTTGATTAGCCAAAACTCGGTGATTGGTACAAGAGTAGATTGCAGTTCACTATGTACAGAGAAGCCCTTAGATCCGAACTCAAAATAGGTAAGGAGGCAGTTTTAGCTACACTTAAGTTAACATACTCAGGAGTACCATTCCAGCTTCAAGCTGGAAGTGTCTGCAGCCCCCTGAGACCACTTAATCCCAAGTTAAAAACCCCTGCTCAGAGGCAGCATCTTTTTTTTTTTTTTTTTTTTTTTTTTTGAGAGAGATCTCACTCTGTCACCCAGGCTGGAGTGCAGTGGCACGATCTCAGCTCACTGCAACCACCACCTCCTGGGCTCAAGGGATTCTCTTGCCTCAGTCTCCCGAGTAACTGGGATTACAGGCGCGTGCCACTATGTCCAGCTAATTTTTTTTTTTGTATTTTTAGTAGAGATGGGGTTTCACCATGTTGGCCTGGCTGGTCTTGAACTCTTGACCTCAAGTGATCCACTGGCCTCAGCCTCCCAAAGTGCTGGCATTAGAGGTGTGAGTCACTGTTCCTGGCCCAGTGAGGCACCATCTCATTGGATATGGAGACAAAGGATCTGGCTTAGCATCCTGGATTTGTATTTTCTTTCCAAGAGTCCTTAAGTGATATCTAACTTTTGCGAGCTGCAGTTTCCTCAGCTATGAGATGAGTGACATTAACCTCCTCTCTTCAGATTTATAAGAGGATCAATTAAAATGGCATAGGTAAAAGTGCATCCTAGCAAGTTGGTATCTACTTTAGAAATGAAGGAGGTCATATGTATGTGAAGTCTCCAGACCCAACATGCCATCTTATATGTGTCTATTTCTACAAGTGAGCTAGTGACAACAGTAATTGCTATTTTTGCTCCTACATGGGTAGGGCTGATCTTGACTAGGAGGAGTCAATAAGACTCACCAGCCGGGCGTGGTGGCTCACGCCTGTAATCCCAGCACTTTGGGAGGCCAAGGCGGGCGGATCACGAGGTCAGGAGATCGAGACCATTCTGGCTAACACGGTGAAACCCCGTCTCTACTAAAAAAATACAAAAAAATTAGCTGGGCGTGGTGGTGGGCGCCTGTAGTCCCAGCTACTCGGGAAGCTGAGGCAGGAGAATGGCGTGAACCCGGGAGGCAGAGCTTGCAGTGAACCAAGATCGAGCCACTGCACTCTAGCCTGGGTGACAGAGCGAGACTCCATCTCAAAAAAAAAAAAAAGACTCACCAGCTGTGGCCACTGTCTGTGCTAATTGGCTAGTGCCTGCATCTCAGAAACTGCTACATATTTTGACTATTCCCCCTGCACTTAAGGGCATGCACACTCCCAAAATAGACTCAGATTGTCTAAGGAATAATGATGATGATGAAGAGAAAGCCCTCTTTATCTGGTCTATTTGTAGTCAGTTCCAAAAGCATTAAGAATTTCTGCTGAACTAATGCAGCTAGTTTCTTTCCTGTCACCACTTTCCTTCCAAAATAGTTTCAAGATCTGTGGGGGAAAAAATCTATTTACAGTGAACAGACTGGTGGGAGGAAGTTGAGCATTGGGGTTTTCTGCCCTGTGTAACCTTGCCCTAAGTTGGGCAGATGGTATCACACTACCTGGACATCATCTGCTCATTCACTATTTGACCAGTTGGTCATTCATTCACAAATGTCCTTTTTGCAGGAGGGATGGAGGTGCTAGACCTGCAGATGCTAGCATGAAAAGACAGATCTCCTGCTGCTAAGGTGCTTAAAGTAGTGGAGGTCAGGGGACAAGCAAGCAGTCAGGCAGCTCTGAATGCAGAGGCAGGAAGCACCACGAGGCAATGGGACCCACAGAGGGGTAGCAGGGTAGAGGTGAGTGGGTCTCATGTGGGGAGGGAGGAAGTTGACTGCAGAGAAGGTGCCAGGGGGTGAAAATAGCTTGAGAGCTGTGGAGCTAGAAGGGCTCTCACATTTGCTTATTAATATGCCCTTTGAAAAAGAGTGGCCTGATACCTGGAGTCACTCAAAAGATTTCCAATTCCGATAGGAAAAAGTCAATTTTGGCTTCAGTGGTTGCATGTGCACCCCCTGATTTGCTGTATGCTGAGGCATTGTGGTGATGGACGCAAGTGCGGAGACCTTGAGCACGCATCTGCCCCTAGTTCTTGCCCTGAGTCCTCGAAGGAGGCAGGAGAGACATCAAGGCAGACAGGCGCCGCTCATCAGTGATGAGACCAGACCTGGAACTCGCGTCTTATACTCAGTCCTCTGCCCTTTCTGCTGGATTGTGGCCCCCCAGTATAGGGTGCAACACACAACTGGAGCATTTAAGGGCCACAAAGAGAACAAATTACCAATGATTGTGTGTTGATTCTTTGAGCTCTTTTTTTTTATTATTATACTTTAAGTGTTAGGGTACATGTGCACAATGTGCAGGTTAGTTACATATGTATACATGTGCCATGCTGGTGTGCTGCACCCATTAACTCGTCATTTAGCATTAGGTATAGCTCCTAAAGCTATCCCTCCCCCCTTCCCCCTCCCTCCACCCCACAACAGTCCCCAGAGTGTGATGTTCCCCTTCCTGTGACCATGTGTTCTCATTGTTCAGTTCCCACCTATGAGTGAGAATATGCAGTGTTTGATTTTTTGTTCTTGCGATAGTTTACTGAGAATGATGATTTCCAGTTTCATCCATGTCCCTACAAAGGACATGAACTCATCATTTTTTATTGCTGCATAGTATTCCATGGTGTATATGTGCCACATTTTCTTAATCCAGTCTATCATTGTTGGATGAGCTCTTTATCTCATGGAAAAATAATTTATAAAACTCTGTATGAGAGGAGTGGGAAATAGTATTAACGGGTGCGGGGTTTCTTTTTGGGACAATGGAAATAGCTGGAATTAGATAGTGGTGATGTTTGCACACTTTGTGAAATACTAAAAACTCCTGAATTATACAGTTTTAAGAAACTTTTATTTATTTGTTTTTGAGAGAAGTTCTCTGTGTCACCCAGGCTGAAGTGTGGTGGCGTGATCACCGGTTATTGCAGCCTCAATCTCTGAGGCTCAAGCGATTCTCCCACCTCAGCCTACCAAGTAGATGTGACTATAGGTGCGCACCACCACACCCAGTGAATTTGTAATTTTTTGTAAAAACAAGGTTTTACCATGTTGCCCAGTCTGGTCTTGAACTCCTGGGCCCAAGCGATCCTCCCTCCTTGGGCTCCCGAAGTGCCAGGATACAAGCATGAGTCACCACATGCAGCCTCAGTTTTAAGAAACTTTTAAATAAATGAAATATAGTCATACCAAAACAGTAAAAATGGGTTTCAGGAAAAAAAATGTTTTTTTAAACAAACTTACGTATTGTATAATCCCAGCCCTTTTAAAAAATGCTTTCAAAAACTGGCAGTCAACTCATAAAAGGACAAATACTTATGATTCCACTGATGAAGTAGTCAAAAGTAGTCAAAAATCACAGAAACACCACCATAAATGTATAATTTTTATTTTCAATTAAAAAAACATCTTTTTTTTAGTCAAAATCATAGAAATAGAAAGTAGACAGGTGGTTACTAAGGGCTATGGGATGGGGAAATTAGTGTCTAATGGGCATAGAGTTTCAGTGTTACAAGGTGAAAAGTTCTAGAGTTATGCTGCCCAGCAGTGTGAATATACTTTATTGTTCTGTACACTTAACATGGTTAATATGGTAAATTTAGCGTTATGTGCTTTTTACTATAGTAAAATTAAAAAAAAAAAAAATGGGGCCGAGTGCAGTAGCTCACACCTGTAACATAATCCCAGCACTTTGGGAGGCCGAGGTAGGAGGATCACTTGAGGCCAGAAGTTTGAAACCAGCCTGGTCAATATAGCGAGACCTCATCTCTACAAAAGAAAAATGTTAAAATTAGACAGGTGTGGTGTCTGTAGTCCCAGCTCTCTGGAGGCAGGGACTGAGTCAGAGGATCACTTGAGCATAGGGGTTTGAGGCTGCAGTGAGCCATGATCCTGCCACTGCTGCAGCCTGAGCAACAGAGCAAGACCCTGTTGTAAAAACAAACAAACAAAAACTGGCAGCTGATACCTGAGAGTGAATATCTTTTATCGCTGGTTAATGGGATTGAGAGAATGCTTCATCTTATAGAAAGAACAGTGTCTTTGGACCCACAGAGACCTGGATTTAAGATTAGCTCTGCCAATTACTGAGTACTCTTTACTATGAACCTCTGTTTTCCTCATCTGTGAAACTGGAATAATGAATCCTACCGCCAACAATTGTAGTCAAGTTGGAAACAATTTACACAAAGTGCCAAACACCAAGCCTGGCACAGTAGGAACCGAGTAAATAGTGGTTAATATTTTTATCAGTGTCTGCATTGCTGACGTCTCCATCATTTCTATACATTTGTTTTTGAATCAGAAAAAGATGTTATTTTAAAAAAATAACCCAGTAGTGCCCCTTGTCCCATTCCTATCAGTTATATTATTATTGTTACTACCCTCTGGAATTTCAATAACTCTTTGTTTTTTGGGTTTTTTGTTTTGTTTTGCTTTGCTTTTGAGACAGGATCTCTGTCGCCCAGTCTGGTGTGTAGTGGTGTGATCTCAGCTCACTGCAGCCTCAACCTCCTGGGCTCAGGTGATCCTCCCACTTCAGCCTCCCAAGTAGCTGGGACCACAGGCGCATGCCACCACACTTGGCTAATTTTTGCATTTTTAGTAGAGACAGGGTTTTGCCATATTGCCTAGGCCGGTCTGGAACTTCTGGGCTCAAGCCATCTGCCTGCCTCGGCCTCCCAAAGTGCTGGAATTTCAGGCATGAGCCATGCCTGGCCTAAATAGCTCTCTGTGTTTGCAAAAGTGTGTTATAAGAATCATTCAGAGCCTCTCGATTGGATGGAGGCTCTAGAATGCACAGAAAAAGGCTGCCACCGTGTATCTCTGCAAGTCATGCACAAGATGGGGAACAGCAGGCTTCCCCCTGCTTACCAGTTCAAATACAGAGAACTAGCCCTGTAGCTGTTTCTTTCATATCTCACCCATTCTAAAGAGACCACAGGCCTTAGAAGTAAAGGACTCTTTTGTTGAAAGAGTGTTTTCAAATTTAAATGAGCATTTATTGGTCAAAGATGCACCAACTAGTCTTTTGAAGAATTCAAGGCTCTTTAGAGAAAAATAAAGCCTTGGAGGAGTATCTGAGAAGCTTGTTAGATGCGTGGGAAGAGTCTGGAAATAAAAAACTTCATCTGGAGTTTCTGCCTTCTACCAACAGAGCTGAAGCTAATGCTCTCCTAAGACAAGCAAAGCAGATGGTTTGCATACTTCCTTACCTTCCTTTTACTTCCTCTGTAATAGACTTGTCATGTCTGATGTTTGAGTTGACGTGGTACTCTAATAGAGTTAGAGTCTGCATTTTTTTTATGTCCTCTAGTATGTTCTGGTTGATGGTTGAGGGCAACAAACCAGCAGTCCCAGATGCCAGCACCAAGACCTGAGACAGGTCACTTAACTCTCCGAGCTTCACCACCATTCTCACCTTGCAGACCTCACAGGGAACAGGGAAAGCTCTATGAGATACAACATCATTATGATTAATCCTATTCTGATTCTGAAAGCAAAGCTCTTCCTACACAAACTCCTATTTCTAAATACTAAAAGACATTTCTTTATGGTGTATTTTGTGTACTTGTAGAAATGGAAAGTGTTGAGATAAAACATGAAGCAATGATGACAAAGTGCTAACTTTTTCTTGTTTTAATTTCTTTATGCTTTTTTTCCACCTAATCCCCTAGAGTGGTGTCTTAACTGTCAAACTGGGTGGAGATCTAGGAACCTATGTGATCAACAAGCAGACGCCAAACAAGCAAATCTGGCTATCTTCTCCATCCAGGTATGTAGGTATGTTCAGAAGTCAACATATGTAATTCTTAAAGACTTCCGAAATGTGACATTGTGGACCATTTAAGAAATGTCGGCTGAGCACAGTGGCTGACACCTGTAATCCCAACACTTTGAGAGGCTGAGGTAGGAGGATCACTTGAGGACAGGAGTTCAGAACCATCCTGGGCAACATAGTGAGTCCCTGTCTCTGTAAAGAAAATAAAAATAAAGTCACAGCTGGGTGCAGGCTTACACCTGTAATCCCAGCACTTTGGGAGGCCAAGGCCTGTGGATCACTTGAGCTCAGGAGTTTGAGACCAGCCTGGGCAATGTCACAAAGCCCCACCTCTACTAAAAATATAAAAATTAGCCAGGTGTGGTGGCACACGCCTATAGTCCCAACTACTTGGAAGGCTGAGGTTGAGCCTCAGCCTGAGCCCAGGAGGTGGAGGTTGCAGTGAGCCAAGATCGCGCCACTGCACTCCAGCCTGGGCAACAGGGCCAGACCCTGTCCCAAAAAAAAAAAAAAAGTCATCGTCTTATGTTAGCATCCTTGTAAGTGAGCCTTTCCTGATATTTTGCAGCCTGTCTCATTCTCAGTAGAAAAGTTTACTCTAGTTACATAACTTCTCCCTGCTGACAATTTGGATACTGTAAGCAGGCATCAGGATATTAAGATCTGAAGTGAGTAGCTTATAACTTTTCCAAATCCAGCCTAGACAGTTTTCCTCTATTAAATTATTGCCCTGACTTTAAAAGAAGCTACTTTTGACCTTGTAGCGTTTGAACAAGTTGCACTTTGTCTTCAAAGCAAGTTAAAGTTTGACCTCTACTTGTTTTGAGCCTCTCAGGTAAAGGGTTATTTGAATTCCCTTTGCAGGTTGGGGTTGTGTACCCTGTGGAGGTGGTAGAGTGTTATATATTGCTGCTCCAGGGCATTTAATCCCTCCTGCCTTTTCCATTGATGTGCTTTCAATCTAGAGGAATAAAAGATTGTGTTGGAGACACAATGTGGCCTGCATAGCATCTGAAAGCCTGAGAACATGCAGGGAGAGACATCCCTCATCCCTCAGCAGCCTGGCTGCTGTTGAAGTGGTTGTAAGAAAGTAAAAGAGAAATGCCCACAAAACGTTCTCAGATCCAGTCATTCATTAGCACTTCCAAAGAGAGCATGTTGACTGTGAATTGGGAAAGGGCCAGATAAAACTAGCATAGAATTCTTTGAAAGACTAACGGTATTTGCATTTTTTAAAAATTATAACCTTACTCTACCCCCTAACATTGACATCATTTTTAGGTAATTAATATTTTCCCATTTATTATTCTGTGATCTCTAATGCTTTGTTCAGAATAAATAGTGTGTTTCCTTTCCCCACACTTTCATCCAAGAAGTGTGCTAGAGTTCAACAAAAACAGCACTAGAAATCACTGTCATTCTAGGAAGGCCCTAATTCACAGATTGTATTGGTTTTTAGACCCAGTTAGTGTGCTGGAGGTTGGAGGATTTTAACCTCTGTGGGCCAACTAGCCTCTGTGGCCTCAGTCATTCTTCCTGACCCTGGCTGTGCTTGAGCCTGTGTGTTCTTATCCTTCATCTCCGGGGGAACGAAGTGGATCAGCTCGGTCCAGCGATCACTTTTGGGGATCAGTGGCTTTGTAGATATCGGGCAGGCACTTACCCCAAAAGAACTTTCCCCATATCTGAAGACTGAAAACGTCCATATCGTATTTGGACACACTGCCCAGCAATACGCTCTAGCTGTGTTCAGAAGCATGGGAATTTGGAAAGATCTGCTGAGCATGCCGTTTACTGTCACAGATACTATCTTCCTCAAAAAAAAAAAATATATATATATATATGGGGGACGGGGCAGGTTGAGACTGGGTGAGACTGAAGAGGTGCCTTGGCCAGAGCAGGCCACACCCAGAGACCACAGGCTCCCCGGTCCACCTCAGGCCCCTCCCCTTCCTGCGCCGTTTCCGGCAGATCCAGAGTGGCCACCGCCGGATGGGAGTCGGGGGAAGGGAGGCAGAGAAGCGGGCCCTGAGGACAAGCTCTCAGTGCTTCTGTGGGAAGTGGCGGCAAGACGGCAGCTCCCAGCGGGGGATGGAGGCCGAGTCAGTCTGCTGGTCACTGGAGGCCAGGATGCTGCCTAACACAGCCGTCCCGCTCCGGGCCTCACCACCAGGGCGGCTCTCCCCACTCCCGGCCTGCTGCCCACACAGACTGCGGGGTTCCGGGGGAGCAGGACCCAGGCCGTTCTGCGCCTGTCTTCTTGGAAGGAGCAGGCCGGAGCGCGGGAGCGCCGTGTAGCTGTACCTGCGAAGGCACAGGATTCCGCGGGAAGATCCCGCAGTTTCGGGCCGTCGTCATTGTTTTTATACCTGTGGCAAATGGCATGACCAGACACACGGTTATGTCTGGAGAAACCCCTGTAGAGGAGCAGGAGGTTGTGGACATGCTGTGGCCCGGACAGTGGCTGCCGAGCAGTTGGAGCCTGCACCCGCCCAACTTGGCTAAAGAAGTCCCCATACTCTCTGTGGAAAAGATTTCCAGAAGCTGTTGTGTCAATATCAAAGCCTCAAAACAACAACAACAACAACAAAAACATGAAATTATCAACAATAAAGATCATCCTTGAGTCTGCTTTGAAAAGTAGGGTGAAATTCTGCAGAGGCATTCAACTGGCAAGATACCACCCTCATAGCCAGATCTGCAGGTCTCAGCCATCATGCCAGGGAAAATGCTCCATTCACCACTCCTCAGCTTCTGCTTCTGGTTTCAGAGGTCTCTGTATTGGAGGGGCTTTAAAGCAAGAAGGGTCTTTACCCACTTACTCTTATTCACAGATGTGAATATGCAGGTCCAGTGGGGAAAGTGACATGTCCTAAGTCAGAATAGAGTCAACAAGAAAACAGGGCCCAAAATGACTTAGCCTCTAGTGTATAATGGGCATTGATGAGCTACTGGAAATACAGAGATGAAGAAAACACAGTCCCATCTTCAAGGAGCTCAATCTAGCAAGGGAGACAGACTCTTTGTAGGTGGGACCGGGCTTCCCTGCAGCAGAAGGAAGCTTGAAATTGGTAACGAGCCTCAGAAGGGACAGAGGCAGGCCACCATGCTACCCTGAGAGGATCGCATGTGGACACGGGGCTATGACCTGGCCCTGCTTTGACCCACTAGCTGTGCTGTAGGGCCAGGTGGAGCCTGGAGTGGCCTGTGCTAAGGGGCTACTATGAGCTCTTTCCACTCCCCCAAGGCATTGCATAAATAATGTCACTTTCTGTTTGCACAGCAAAATCAGGGACACAATTTTCTAGAACATGGGGTGCCTCCCCTCCCCCCAGCCCAACAGAAGTTCTACAATGACTGATGGGCCCTTGTTTTTGTTTGAGACGGAACACCCCACAGGGTTCCGAGTGGTGATTTGTGGCCCACAGGCCACTGGCAAGTGGAGGCAGAGCTGCAGAGCCCTCGGGAGCCACAGAGGGCCTGCTGGCCGCCACGACATGCCAACTCAGCTGCTGCTGGCCCTCCTGTGGGCGGCAGTGCTAGTGATGTGCAGAATCTTAGGACTAGTGCCAAGGAACCTATAAATACCCTGGGTGACCCAGGCGTGCACTGCTGTGGTGGCCTTCACAGTCAGAAGATGACAAGCTGAGAAGGGGAGAATCGGCCCAAGGTGAGATCCACAGAAAGGCCAGGGCCAAGATGCGGCCAGCACCTCAGGCTGGTGGTGGTCTTACGTTGACCATGCCAGAGGCCAGTCCTTGATTGCTCCAAACCCTCTGTTCGAGGGTTCCAAATGAAATGAGCAGGTCCTCGTGTCAGGACCTAGGTTAGTTTCTGAAAAAGCATGAAAAGCAGGCCTCCTGAACTTCCCCGAGTGACTGATGCAAAGTGCGTCCTGCATGCTTCACAGCACCATGGAGAGGATCTTCAGGGGCAAACTGCAGACTATCTGAATGACGGCACTGACCATCAGCAAACCGCAGAGCTGCCTGACCAAGAAATTGCGAGACAGAAGCAATGCTTGCAGGCGAAGAAGAAGGGGCCAGACACAGTGGCTCACGCCTGTAATCCCAGCACTTTGGGAGGCCAAGGCAGGCGGATCACTTGAGGTCAGGAGTTTGAGACCAGCCTGGGCAACATAGTGAAACCCTGTCTCTACTAAAAATACAAAAAATTCGCCAGGCATGGTGGCAGGCACCTGTAATCCCAGCTGCTTGGGAGACTGAGACAGGAGAATTGCTTGAACCCAGGAGGCGAAGGTTGTAACGAACTGAAATCGTGCCACAGCACTCCATCCTGGGCGACAGAGTGAGACTGTCTCAAAAAAAGGAGGAGAAGAAGGAAAGGCCAAGGCAGGAATGAAACAGGCCATGAATGTTGGAGTGAAGCAACTGGCCTCCTCGTGCTAAGCGGCTACTGTGAGTTCTTTCCACTCCCCCAAGACATTGCATAAATAATGTCACTTTCTGACACTCACCCCGCTGAATGTCCTGCCTCTGCTCAAGGGTGGTATGATGGGGACTTGGCAGTGGAGGGGAACAGGGAAACCAGACATGGTGGTCTCCCCGCTTCCTGGCTACAAGTCCCTCTGAAGAAATCCAAAGGAGTAAAGAGCTTGGAGAGTAGGCCTCTGTAGGGTGCAAGGGCACAGCTGGAGACGGAGCTCCTGAGGCTGCAGCTGATGCTGCCCGCTCTGCCTGAACTGCACCAAAAACGTGATGAGGCCATAGCGGGAGTCCACGGAGGAGGATGCCTACTGCCCGACCTCTAGCAGAGACTAAGCAAGGTGCATGAAAACTTGAACCACATGTGTCACACCCATGACCACTACATGAAGATGGCCCAAAACCTGGCCCAGGAATTGAAGAAAGACTCTTCCAATTTGCTGTAAGAAAATGGCCCAGGGGGCAAGCACGGTAGCTCACACCTGTAATCCTAGCACTTTGGGAAGCTGACGCAGGCAGATGGCTTGAGCTCAGGAGTTCCAGACCAGCCTGGGCAACATGGTGAAACCCCGTCTCTACCAAAAATACAAAAATTAGCCGGGTGTGGTGATGCATGCCTGTGGTCCCAGCTACTCAGGAGGCTGAGGTGGAAGGATTGCCTGAGTCTGTGGGGCAGAGGTTGCAGTGAGCTGAGATCACACCACTGCACTCCAGCCTGGGTGACACAGTGAGACCCCATCTCAAAAAAAAAAAAAAGAAAGAAAACGGCCCAGGAAGGCTGGAGGGCCGCCGTGTCCATTGAGAGAGTGCTCCAGGCACTCCAAAAAGAAAATGACCACAATGGGAAGAAACCAGCTGACCATGAGACCAAGTTCCAACCTTTTACAAGTGGCCTGTGGCTCCTGGCGCCCCGCCCACAGCTGACAGGGGCTCAGAAGTGCTAGGGGGACCATGGGCCACCAGGGCCACCAGGAGGGAGGCAGGTAACGATGCGAGGGCTTGGATGCAGAACACCAGCTGGTTTGATTCTGTTTTCCCTGTACCTGGGTCCTGAATGCCCAGAGGCTCAGGGAAACACCAGCCAGTGCTGCTGCCTTTAAAGCACTTTTGACTGATCTCTTGTTAATTTAGCAACTGTTATTGGTTGATGCTGCAGTTGCTCTTATTGAAGTTTGATTGATAGCATTAGGATGGTAAGGCACTATTTTTCAAATAAAGGTTGTTTAATATAAAAAAAATTTTGTTTTTTTTTCTCTCAGCCTTTCACATTGGTTCAAAATATCTTTCATCTGGCTGCATTTCTGATTTTTGTTTTGTTTTTTTTTTCTTAATTTTATTTATTTTTAATTAAAAATAATTTTTTTTGTCAACATGGGGTCTCACTTTGTTGCCTAGGTTGGTCTGAAACTCGTGGCTTCAAGCAATCCTCCCACATCAGCCTCCCAAAGTGCTGGGGTTATGGGTGTGAGCCACTGCAGCAGCCTGTTTTTTTTGTTTGTTTGTTTTTTTTAATTTGACAAGTTTTCAGGTCCTGTGAAATCAGCAGTCTTACCTCCCACCTTGCGCACCCTGAGGAGGTTGCAGAATAAAGGAGAATTCTAGGGACACGTGGGCATCAGTGCCTGTGCTCAGAGCACCTCAGGCAGTGTGGAGGGGTCTAGAGGTTACTCAGGCTCTGCCTGGCAACCCGATAGCAGTATCAGAGTATAGGGCCAAGGGGACGGTCCTTGGGCTTGGTGTGGTTTATTAGTCCTTTTCCTGTGACCCTGATGGTTTGGTTCACTCATTTTTATCTCCATACTGG
This sequence comes from Homo sapiens, assembly GCF_000001405.40. NCBI lineage: Eukaryota > Metazoa > Chordata > Mammalia > Primates > Hominidae > Homo > Homo sapiens. The sequence continues at coordinate 69,071,291 of NC_000009.12, forward strand.
GAACAGGTTCAAGCCCCAGCATTTGGTTGATAATGCAGGAATCCTTGATACTTTTATTGCCCAAGCTTCCCTTCCTGGTGACCTCATCCTAGCCTCAGTCTTTGGAAAAGCCCTCCTTGAGTGCTCAGGCAGACTCAGGTGCCCTTTCTTCTGGGCTCCCATGCACTCTGTTCTTACCTCCATCAGGGTGCCACATGCACTAGTGTTATCTGCTGCCGTGGCCAATCATCCATGAGGCCATGAGGAAGTGGAATGTACATCTGGTATAAGAAGACATGGCAGAAGCCAGCCTCCGATCTGTCCACACGAATACAGCATTCCCAAAGCAACGTGCATGTGCCATTATTCACTGGATGAGCTTGAGGTGGATGAACTAGCCCACCAGGCTCTCAATGTCATGAATTTAACACTGAATTAAGAAAAATATGTTTTAAAAATAATAGTTTAGGTGATTGCTGGGGTGCTAGGAGAGGAAGGAATGGGGAATAACTGTTTAATGGGTATAGTTGGCCTTGTGTATCTGTGGGTTCCACATCTGATTCAACCAACCGTGGATCAAAATATTTGAAAATAAAAAACAAAACAAAAATGATACAAATAAAAACCAATATAACAACTATTAACAGCATTTACATTGTACTAGGCATTATAAGTAATCTGGAGATGACTTAAAGCATACAGAAGGATGTGCCTAGGTTAGATGCATGTATCGTACCATTTCATATCAGGGACTTGAGTACCCACGGATTTTGGTATCTGCAGATCCTGGAACCCCTTCCCTATGGATACCAAGGAACAACAGCACTGGGTCTCCTTTTGGGGTGATGCAGATGTTTTGAAGCTAGGCAGAGGTAGTGGTTGCACAACATTGTAAATGTACTAAATGCCACCAAATTATTCATTTTTAAATGGTTAATGTGTTATGTGAATTTCACCTTAACAACTAATAATATTATAGGTAAGGCACAAGTTACATCTGTAGCACAAAAATGGCCCTAATTTTTAAAACACTGCTCCAGCATAGCAGGTATCACATGTGAGGTAGCAAAAGCTGGAGATCAAAGTGTGATACCTGGAGACTTATCAGTAAGGGTCAAATGTTTTTTCAGGTTTTGAGAATCATTCTTGGAATTGTTCCAGAAGATATATCGTATAACTCTTCTTAGATGCTAAGATAAGAAGGCAGATATACACTAGCTCATTTTGTGTTATTTTCTAGAGCTTTACTCCAGTCAATTTCTTGGGGGCAGCATTTGTGGAATCAGTGGTTCATCTGAAGGGCTGTGCTGTGGAATTACTATGCATTTGTTTTGTCTTCCAGTGGACCTAAGCGTTATGACTGGACTGGGAAAAACTGGGTGTACTCCCACGACGGCGTGTCCCTCCATGAGCTGCTGGCCGCAGAGCTCACTAAAGCCTTAAAAACCAAACTGGACTTGTCTTCCTTGGCCTATTCCGGAAAAGATGCTTGATGCCCAGCCCCGTTTTAAGGACATTAAAAGCTATCAGGCCAAGACCCCAGCTTCATTATGCAGCTGAGGTCTGTTTTTTGTTGTTGTTGTTGTTTATTTTTTTTATTCCTGCTTTTGAGGACAGTTGGGCTATGTGTCACAGCTCTGTAGAAAGAATGTGTTGCCTCCTACCTTGCCCCCAAGTTCTGATTTTTAATTTCTATGGAAGATTTTTTGGATTGTCGGATTTCCTCCCTCACATGATACCCCTTATCTTTTATAATGTCTTATGCCTATACCTGAATATAACAACCTTTAAAAAAGCAAAATAATAAGAAGGAAAAATTCCAGGAGGGAAAATGAATTGTCTTCACTCTTCATTCTTTGAAGGATTTACTGCAAGAAGTACATGAAGAGCAGCTGGTCAACCTGCTCACTGTTCTATCTCCAAATGAGACACATTAAAGGGTAGCCTACAAATGTTTTCAGGCTTCTTTCAAAGTGTAAGCACTTCTGAGCTCTTTAGCATTGAAGTGTCGAAAGCAACTCACACGGGAAGATCATTTCTTATTTGTGCTCTGTGACTGCCAAGGTGTGGCCTGCACTGGGTTGTCCAGGGAGACCTAGTGCTGTTTCTCCCACATATTCACATACGTGTCTGTGTGTATATATATTTTTTCAATTTAAAGGTTAGTATGGAATCAGCTGCTACAAGAATGCAAAAAATCTTCCAAAGACAAGAAAAGAGGAAAAAAAGCCGTTTTCATGAGCTGAGTGATGTAGCGTAACAAACAAAATCATGGAGCTGAGGAGGTGCCTTGTAAACATGAAGGGGCAGATAAAGGAAGGAGATACTCATGTTGATAAAGAGAGCCCTGGTCCTAGACATAGTTCAGCCACAAAGTAGTTGTCCCTTTGTGGACAAGTTTCCCAAATTCCCTGGACCTCTGCTTCCCCATCTGTTAAATGAGAGAATAGAGTATGGTTGATTCCCAGCATTCAGTGGTCCTGTCAAGCAACCTAACAGGCTAGTTCTAATTCCCTATTGGGTAGATGAGGGGATGACAAAGAACAGTTTTTAAGCTATATAGGAAACATTGTTATTGGTGTTGCCCTATCGTGATTTCAGTTGAATTCATGTGAAAATAATAGCCATCCTTGGCCTGGCGCGGTGGCTCACACCTGTAATCCCAGCACTTTTGGAGGCCAAGGTGGGTGGATCACCTGAGGTCAGGAGTTCAAGACCAGCCTGGCCAACATGATGAAACCCCGTCTCTACTAAAAATACAAAAAATTAGCCGGGCATGATGGCAGGTGCCTGTAATCCCAGCTACTTGGGAGGCTGAAGCGGAAGAATCGCTTGAACCCAGAGGTGGAGGTTGCAGTGAGCCGAGATCGTGCCATTGCACTGTAACCTGGGTGACTGAGCAAAACTCTGTCTCAAAATAATAATAACAATATAATAATAATAATAGCCATCCTTTATTGTACCCTTACTGGGTTAATCGTATTATACCACATTACCTCATTTTAATTTTTACTGACCTGCACTTTATACAAAGCAACAAGCCTCCAGGACATTAAAATTCATGCAAAGTTATGCTCATGTTATATTATTTTCTTACTTAAAGAAGGATTTATTAGTGGCTGGGCATGGTGGCGTGCACCTGTAATCCCAGGTACTCAGGAGGCTGAGACGGGAGAATTGCTTGACCCCAGGCGGAGGAGGTTACAGTGAGTCGAGATCGTACCTGAGCGACAGAGCGAGACTCCGTCTCAAAAAAAAAAAAAAGGAGGGTTTATTAATGAGAAGTTTGTATTAATATGTAGCAAAGGCTTTTCCAATGGGTGAATAAAAACACATTCCATTAAGTCAAGCTGGGAGCAGTGGCATATACCTATAGTCCCAGCTGCACAGGAGGCTGAGACAGGAGGATTGCTTGAAGCCAGGAATTGGAGATCAGCCTGGGCAACACAGCAAGATCCTATCTCTTAAAAAAAGAAAAAAAAACCTATTAATAATAAAACAGTATAAACAAAAGCTAAATAGGTAAAATATTTTTTCTGAAATAAAATTATTTTTTGAGTCTGATGGAAATGTTTAAGTGCAGTAGGCCAGTGCCAGTGAGAAAATAAATAACATCATACATGTTTGTATGTGTTTGCATCTTGCTTCTACTGAAAGTTTCAGTGCACCCCACTTACTTAGAACTCGGTGACATGATGTACTCCTTTATCTGGGACACAGCACAAAAGAGGTATGCAGTGGGGCTGCTCTGACATGAAAGTGGAAGTTAAGGAATCTGGGCTCTTATGGGGTCCTTGTGGGCCAGCCCTTCAGGCCTATTTTACTTTCATTTTACATATAGCTCTAATTGGTTTGATTATCTCGTTCCCAAGGCAGTGGGAGATCCCCATTTAAGGAAAGAAAAGGGGCCTGGCACAGTGGCTCATGCCTGTAATCCCAGCACTTTGGGAGGCTGAGGCAAGTGTATCACCTGAGGTCAGGAGTTCAAGACCAGCCTGGCCAACATGGCAAAATCCCGTCTCTACTAAAAATATTAAAAAATTGGCTGGGCGTGGTGGTTCGTGCCTATAATTTCAGCTACTCAGGAGGCTGAGGCAGGAGAATCGCTGTAACCTGGGGGGTGGAGGTTGCAGTGAGACGAGATCATGCCACTTCACTCCAGCCTGGCCAACAGAGCCATACTCCGTCTCAAATAAATAAATAAATAAATAAAGGGACTTCAAACACATGAACAGCAGCCAGGGGAAGAATCAAAATCATATTCTGTCAAGCAAACTGGAAAAGTACCACTGTGTGTACCAATAGCCTCCCCACCACAGACCCTGGGAGCATCGCCTCATTTATGGTGTGGTCCAGTCATCCATGTGAAGGATGAGTTTCCAGGAAAAGGTTATTAAATATTCACTGTAACATACTGGAGGAGGTGAGGAATTGCATAATACAATCTTAGAAAACTTTTTTTTCCCCTTTCTATTTTTTGAGACAGGATCTCACTTTGGCACTCAGGCTGGAGGACAGTGGTACAATCAAAGCTCATGGCAGCCTCGACCTCCCTGGGCTTGGGCAATCCTCCCACAGGTGTGCACCTCCATAGCTGGCTAATTTGTGTATTTTTTGTAGAGATGGGGTTTCACCATGTTGCCCAGGCTGGTCTCTAACACTTAGGCTCAAGTGATCCACCTGCCTCGTCCTCCCAAGATGCTGGGATTACAGGTGTGTGCCACAGGTGTTCATCAGAAAGCTTTTTCTATTATTTTTACCTTCTTGAGTGGGTAGAACCTCAGCCACATAGAAAATAAAATGTTCTGGCATGACTTATTTAGCTCTCTGGAATTACAAAGAAGGAATGAGGTGTGTAAAAGAGAACCTGGGTTTTTGAATCACAAATTTAGAATTTAATCGAAACTCTGCCTCTTACTTGTTTGTAGACACTGACAGTGGCCTCATGTTTTTTTTTTTTTTAATCTATAAAATGGAGATATCTAACATGTTGAGCCTGGGCCCACAGGCAAAGCACAATCCTGATGTGAGAAGTACTCAGTTCATGACAACTGTTGTTCTCACATGCATAGCATAATTTCATATTCACATTGGAGGACTTCTCCCAAAATATGGATGACGTTCCCTACTCAACCTTGAACTTAATCAAAATACTCAGTTTACTTAACTTCGTATTAGATTCTGATTCCCTGGAACCATTTATCGTGTGCCTTACCATGCTTATATTTTACTTGATCTTTTGCATACCTTCTAAAACTATTTTAGCCAATTTAAAATTTGACAGTTTGCATTAAATTATAGGTTTACAATATGCTTTATCCAGCTATACCTGCCCCAAATTCTGACAGATGCTTTTGCCACCTCTAAAGGAAGACCCATGTTCATAGTGATGGAGTTTGTGTGGACTAACCATGCAAGGTTGCCAAGGAAAAATCGCTTTACGCTTCCAAGGTACACACTAAGATGAAAGTAATTTTAGTCCGTGTCCAGTTGGATTCTTGGCACATAGTTATCTTCTGCTAGAACAAACTAAAACAGCTACATGCCAGCAAGGGAGAAAGGGGAAGGAGGGGCAAAGTTTTGAAATTTCATGTAAATTTATGCTGTTCAAAACGACGAGTTCATGACTTTGTGTATAGAGTAAGAAATGCCTTTTCTTTTTTGAGACAGAGTCTTGCTCTGTCACCCAGGCTGGAGTGCAGTGGCACGATCTGGGCTCACTACAACCTCCGCCTCCTGGGTTCAAGCAATTCTCTGCCTCAGCCTCCCGAGTAGCTGGGATTACAGGTGCCTGCCACCACACCCGGCTAATTTTTGTATTTTTAGTAGAGACGGGGTTTCACCATCATGGCCAGGCTGGTCTTGAACTCCTGACCTAGTAATCCACCTGCCTCCGCCTCCCAAAGTGCTGGGATTACAGGCGTGAGCCACTGCACCCAGCCAGAAATGCCTTCTAATCTTTGGTTTATCTTAATTAGCCAGGACACTTGGAGTGCATCCCGAAGTACCTGATCAGTGGCCCCTTTGGAATGTGTAAAACTCAGCTCACTTATATCCCTGCATCCGCTACAGAGACAGAATCCAAGCTCATATGTTCCATCTTCTCTGGCTGTATAGTTTAAGGAATGGAAGGCACCAGAACAGATTTATTGAAATGTTTATTAGCTGAAGATTTATTTAGACAGTTGAGGAAAACATCAGCACCCAGCAGTAAAATTGGCTCTCAAAGATTTTCTTCTCCTGTGGAAAGTCAGACCTCTGAGGCCCCATCCAGGTAGAAGTACTAGTGCAAGAAGGGCCTCTGCTGTCCACTTGTGTTTCTGTGATCTGTGGGAACATTGTTAACGCCACATCTTGACCTCAAATTGTTTAGCTCCTGGCCAGACACGGTGGCTCACACCTGTAATCCCAGCACTTTGAGAGGCTGAGGCAGGTGGATCACCTGAGGTTAGGAGTTCGAGGCCAGCCTGGTCAACATGGTAAAACCCCGCCTCTACTAAAAATACAAAAATTAGCTGGCCGTAGTGGCGCACGCCTGTTATCCCAGCTACTCGGGAGGCTGAGGCAGGAGAATTGCTTGAACCTGGGTGGTGGAGGTTGCAGTGAGCCGAGATTACACCACTGCACTCCAGCCTGGGTGACAAGAGGGAAACTCCATTAAAAAAATGTAATTCCCGTGTCTGCCATCTTAAGTGTAAAGGTGGCTAAATTATATAGAAAAATAAGACAATATCATTTCCCAATTACATTCCTTTCCTACCGCACTCTATGATGCTAGCTGAGATTTTTCCAAAAGAAAATGGCTTAAATAAAACCCTAAGAGAAAGAAAAACTTTAAATCCCTCCAAAGCTCAAAAGTAATAGAAACAGATGAGTTTGGAGTCAGGATTTCTCTGTAAGATTGCCTAGGCTGTGTACTGCACATCTCCAGGTGCCACTGTTGACAGAGATTATAACTACAATGTGAAGTGAATGGTGCCACTGACAGTTATGCAAACCGTCCAGAGCATAGCCACCTGATCCTGCTGGGATTCCTCTTGCCAGTCCATCAGCAGTTCCCCTTGAAAGTTTCACCAAACATCCCTTAAATCTGCCCTCTCCTGCCCGTCCCCAGTGGAGGTCCTCATCATTTTTCACCTGCATTTTTGCAGGAGCTTTCTTATATCCACCTTCCTCCTTTTCTCTCAGCCCATCATCTAGCTACACAGTCTCCAGGGTAAGCTTTCAGAAAGGCAATCTCTTGTCTGTAAAACCTAAGCAGGACCAAGGCCAAGTTTCTTAGCCTGAAAAATGTGCTTTTCTGACTGAACTGTTCAGGCACTGACTCTACATATAATTATGCTTTTCTACCCCCTCACACTCAACACTTTGACTCCAGCAATCCCAAATCCCCAGATCCCTAAGTGTGCTGTGCTATTTTCACGTGGCTCTCAGACTTGGCCAGTGCTGTTTCCATTTTGGTCTTTATTCCCCACATCTCTGCCTGGGGGGTAGATTCTACCCTGAAAAATGTTCTTGGCACAGCCTTGCAAACTCCTCCTCCACTCAGCCTCTGCCTGGATGCCCTTGATTGTTCCATGTCCTCAGCATACCATGTTTGTCTTTCCCAGCACTGACCTACCATGTGTCACCCCTGCTTGGCTGTACCTTCCATGAGGCTAGGACTATGTGTCTCCTTTGTTGACTGCTGTTGCCCTAGCATCTTGCACAGTTCCTTGCACACAATTAGAGCTCTATAAATGTCAAATAAATGTGTTATAATTATATGTTTAAGATAGTTGTTCAAATAAACTCTAAATAACCCCAACTCCAAGAGTGTTAGCAAGAAATATAAATTTTACAGAAGAATGGTTGGAGGTGGGGAGGGTGTCCACGGAGTGAGTTACCTCACACAGGCACGGAAAAACTTGAACCTCCTAAGGACATTTTTAAGCTCTCTTTCCCATTTTCTCTCCTGGATTCCCATTGCCTGGTCTCATTTCTCTCTTCTCCACCACACCACTTCCTCAAAAATTCCTTTAGGGTTTGTTCTTAAGCTTAGATAGGTTTCCCATTCTGAAATACAAAGGCCTGATAATTAGCCAACTTACCTTGTTGGGGATGTGGAAGGCAAGACTCTCAGACTCCATGACTCAGGTATATTGCAACAATTAGGCTGAAAGTTCCTTGAGAGTAAGTGTCCAAATCTTTTCATGTTTGGTTCCCAGGGCTCACTACAGTTGTTGGTATATCATAGGCACTCTAATATCTTCTTAAAGAATCAATATCATTAAAATGGCCATAACTGCCCATAGCAATTTACAGATTCAATGCTATTTCTATCAAACTATCAAGGTCATTTTTGTTTTATTTTTTTTCTTTGAGATAGAATCTCGCTATTGTCACCCAGGCTGGAGTGCAGTGGCGCGATCTCGACTCACTGCAACCTCCGCCTCCCGGGTTCAAGTAATTCTCCTGCCTCAGCCTCCCGAGTAGCTGGGATTACACGTGCCTGCCACCACACCTGGCTAATTTTTGTATTTTTAGTAGAGACAAGGCTTCAACATGTTGGCCAGGCTGGTCTTGAACTCCTGACCTCAGGTGATCCACCTGCCTTGGCCTCCCAAAGTGCAGGGATTACAGCATGAGCCACTGTGCCCGGCCCATGGTAATTTTTCACAGAATCAGAAGAAACTATTCTAAAATTCATATAGCGGCCAGGCGAGGTGGCTCACGCCTGTAATCCCAGCACTTTGGGAGACAGAGGCAGGAGGATCATCTGAGGTCAGGAGTTCGAGACCAGCCTGTCCAACATGGTGAAACCCTGTCTCTACTAAAAATACAAAAATTTGCCAGTCGTGATGGCGGGCACCTGTAGTCCCAGCTACTCGAGAGGCTGAGGCAGGAGAATTGCTTGAACCCGGGAGGTGGAGGTTGCAGTGAGCCGAGATCACGCCACTGCACTCCAGCCTGGGCAACAGAGTGAGACTCCATCTCAAAAAAATAAATAAAATAAAATAAAATAAAATTCATATAGAACCAAAAAAGAGCCCAAATAGCCAAAGTAATCCTGAGCAAAAAGAACAAAGCTGGAAGCATCACATTACCCAACTTCAAACTCTACTACAAGGCTATAGCAACTAAAACAGCATGGCACTGCTACAAAAACAGACAGGTAGACTAACGGAACAGAATAGACAACTCAGAAATAAAGCCACACACCTACAGCCATCTGAACTTGGACAAACTCAACAATATTAAGTAATGGGGAAAGGACTCCCTATTCAAAAAGTAGTGCTGGGATAACTGGCTATCCATATACAGAAGAATGAAACTAGACTGCTACCTATCCCCATATACAAAAATTAAATCAAGATGGATTAAAGACTTAAATGTAAGATCTCAAACTAAAAAATCCTAGAAGAGCCAGGCGCGGTGGCTCATGCCTGTAATCCCAGCACTCTGGGAGGCTGAGGCGGATGGATCACCTGAGGATAGGAGTTCGAGGCCAGGCTGGCCAACATGGTGAAACCCTGTCTCTACTAAAAATACAAAAATTAGCTGGGCATGGTAGTGTGTGCCTGTAATCTCAGCTACTCGGGAGGCTGAGACAGGAGAATCGCTTGAGCCTGGGAGGCAGAGTGAGCCCAGATCGCACCATTACACTCCAGCCTGGGTGACAGGAGCAAGATTCCATCTCAAAAAAAGAAAAAGAAAAAAAAAATCCTAGAAGAAAACCTAGTAAATGCCCTTCTTATATCAGCCTTGACAAAGAAGTTATGACTAAATCCTAGAAAGCAATTGCAACAAAAACAAAAATTTACAAGTGGGATCTAATTAAACTAAAGAGATTCTGCACAGCAAGAGAAGCTATCAAGGGAGTAAACAGACAGCCTACAGAATGGGAGAAAATATTCACAAATTATGCATCTGACAAAGGTCTAATATCCAGAATCTATAAGGAACTTAAATCAACAAGCAAAAACCAAATAACCCCATTAAAAAGTAGGCAAAGGACACGAACAGACATGTCTCAAAAGAAGAAATACAAGTGACCAACGAACATGAAAAAATCCTCATCATCACTAATCATGAGAGAAATGCAAATCAAAAGCACAGTGAGATATCATTTCATACCAGCAAGAATGACTATTAAAAAAGTCAAAAAATAACAGATGTTGCAAGACTGCAGAGAAAAGAGAACGTTTATACACTGTTGGTAGGAATGTAAATACATTCAACCACTGTGGAGAACAGTTTGGAGATTTCTCAAAGAACTGAATTGAACTACCAGTCGACCCAGCAATGCCATTATTGAGTATATGCCCAAAGGAAAATAAATTGTTCTATCAAAAAGACAAATACACCCATGTGTTCATCACAGCACTATTCACAATGGCAAAGACATGAAACCAAACCAGGTGCTCATCAATGGTGGATTAGATTGTGTACATATATACCACCATATGGTACATATACACTGTGGAATACTATGCTGCCATAAAAAAGAATGTAATCATGTATTTTGCAGCAATATGGATGTAGCTAGAGGCCATTATTCTAAACAAACTAACACAGAAACAGAAACCAAATAATGCATGTTCTGACTTAAAAGTGGGAGCTAAACACTGAATACACATGGGCATAAAGATGGGAACAATAGACAGTGGGGGCTATTAGAGAGGCAAGGGCTGAAAAACTACCTATTCGGTGCCCTGCTCACTATCTGGGTGACAGAGTCATTAGCACTCCAAAGCTCAGCATCACACAGTATACCTTTGTAACAAACCTGCACATGTACCCCCTGATTCTAAAATAAAAGTCGAAGGAAAACAACAAAAACAAAAAGAAATAACTCCTGAGTTGGGGTCTCCATCTCTTAGTTCAGCCTATTGGCAGTCCCCTTTTTCAAGTTCTAAGGAGCCTGTACTAGACTACTCTTCATTTAGTCCCATAATAATCCCTCTTTCAATTATTTTGCCTTCAAACCTATAGGGAAGGGATTGGAAATGAAGTTTCAGTCATTCCCTAAGTAAAATGTATATACATATTTTAATTGAAACAGGATTTCACTCTGTTGCCCAGGCTGGAGTGCAGTGGTGTGGTCATGGCTCACTGCAGCCTCAACCTCCTGGGCTCAAGCAATGCTTCCATCTCATCCTCCCAAGTAGCTGGGACTACAGGCTCGTAAATTTTTTAGAGAACAAAAACACAGTCTTTAGATTTAAACATGTGAAAGCAGAAATTTTAAAAATACAATGAAAGAGTTGGAAGACAGAGTTGAAATTGTTCAGAAATTACAGTAAAAATACTAAGAGATAGGAAATAGTCAACTTCCAAATGAGAAGAATCACGAAAGAGAGAACAGAAAAGATAGAAAAAAAATTATCAAAGAAATAATTCAAGAACATTTCCTTAAAGTGAAGGGCATGAGATTCCAGGTATATTCCACATATAGAAAAATATCCCATACAAAATCACATTGTTATGAATTTTCATAACATGAGGGACAAAAAAAGATAATATAAGTAACCAGAGAGGGAAAAAATAAATAAACAAAACAAGACAAATAGGTCATATACAAAGTAATATTCATCACAATAGCTTCATAGTTCTCAATAATAACAAAAAGCCTTTAAAATTCTGGTTGAAGCAGTTCAGACAATGCCATCACCCAAAAATATGCCATTTTGGCATACTGATTATTATTAGCTGAAAGCACTTGAGAAACAGCAGACTGTACAGGAAGGGCTTTCCAACCTCCTCTTTTCTACCTAAAAACAGGCTAGAAAATTTCCCATGATAAAGGTGCCCTCCCTCTACTAGAAAGAGAAAAACATCCTTATCACCAGAGATAGGGAATCAATGCCAAAATGGATCTGAACAAACTTATTGGAATAACCCTTGTCTTCCACTACTTATCCCCAATATAGCTCTTAGTAATTTCCCCAAGCCCCTTTGTCTTGTCATTTCTTCACAAATTTATCATTTCTTTGTCTAAAACATATATAAACTTGTCTGCTATGGTGACTTCTTCGGGTCTACATTTGCTTGTGAGGACTCCCAGGTACATGTAAAATTGTAATAAGACTTGCGTGCTTTTCTACTGTTAATCTTTCCTGTGTCAGTTTAATTCTTAGGCCTAGCTGGAAACTTAAGAGGGTAGAACAGAAATTTTTCCTTTCCTACATGGTGAAGGGACATTCTGTAATAAAACTAGCCTCAACATTAAAAAAATGTGATGTAATAAAAAACAAAGGAAAAAGAAAACAAAACAGAAAAGCAATTAATAACACTAGGAAACACGAGGCATTGTACAGGATAGGAAACGTCCTGTTATGTTACACAATGCAACAGTGGGTATTGTTTTCATCATTATTATAATGAAAATGCTAAATAGTGATTTGACCAACAATCCAGTTTAAAACATTTGGAGGAATGTGAATGTTTATGGCCAGAAAATGGGGAGAAAAATGGTTAAGGAAACAAAATCTCATCATCTAGAGTGGGAAGGAGACTGATAATTCCTAATATGAACCAAAAACTCAAACTTTTTTTTTTTTTTTTGAGATGGGGTCTCGCTCTGTCGCCCAGGCTGGAGTACAGTGGCACGATCTCAGCTCACTGCAACCTCTGCCTCCCAGGTTCAAGAGATTCTCCTGCCTCAGCCTCTTCAGTATTTGGGACTACAGTTGCACACTATGATGTCTGGCTAATTTTTGTATTTTTAGTAGAGATGGGGTTTCGCCATGTTGGCCAGGCTGGTCTCGAACTCCTGACCTCAGATGATCAGTCCGCCTTGGCCCCCCAAAGTGCTGGGATTACAGACATGAGCCATTGCACCTGGCCTGAAAACTCATTTTATTTAGATATGTTAAGGGAAATCTCAAAATAATCAGCTAGAAAAATTGAAAATGGTTGCCCATGAGGAGGGGAGAACTGTTATTATTTATGTCAAATAAAATTTGTAGGAAGCCATTGATTTGGACTGTGCTCCTGCACTAGGCCCCAATAGACCAAACCACATGGAGTCACTCTTGCTAAAGTTCCACGTCACCAAACCAAAGCTAAGTAGTTTATCTTACCTTCTGGGAAATTAGGGGAGAGAAATAATAGACAAATCCCCAAACAGGCCAGTTTTAGCTGGCATATAAGGAAGTCCTCTCTGTTTTAACCGTATTAGGAGAGTAACTTTGAAAAGACCGTCCACTTTTTGGTCCCTGTTTCTGTTTTCTTCTGCCTTTTCTGCCTATAAAGCTAACTTCCTCTGCCCAGCTCACTGGAGTACCTTCTCTGAATTTTTAGAAGACAGGCTGCCCTGATCCATGAATTGCAAATGAAAGCCAATTAGATCATTTAACTAAATTCATTGTAATTTTGTCTTTTGACATTTGTAAACAAGCCTTGTAGTACTTGCTAAACAATGGGCTGGGCGCAGTAGCTCACACCTGTAATCCTAGCACTTTGGGAGGCTGAGGTGGGTGGATCACCTGAGGTCAGGAGTTCGAGACCAGCCTGGTCAACATGGTGAAACTCCGTCTCTACTAAAAATTCAAAAGTTAGATGGGCATGGTAGCATGTGCCTGTAGTCCCAGCTACTCAGGAAGCTGAGGCAGGAGAATTGCTTGAATCTGGGAGGCAGAGGTTGCAGTGAGCTGAGATAGTGCCACTGTACTCCAGCCTGGGCAGCAGAGCAACACTCTGTCTCAAAAAAAAAAACAAAAACAAAAACAAAAAAACAACTTGCTAAACAACATATGTTTATTATTTGGTAAATTATAAACAATAAATTCAAAACTTTAAAAAGAAAACATTTTATTGATAGCTCACTGAATACAAATTTATAAAATATTATTTATGCATTAAGTTTCAGTTACACATTTTCACCCATCATTACAGATGTCATATGGAGTTGCTAGAGTATGAGAAGAGCTTCTTCATCCCAACAGCTTTCAAAGTGAAGAGGCGACTCATGCCTGTAATCCCAGCACTTTGGGAGGCTGAGGCGGGTGGTTCACTTGAGGTCAGGAGTTTGAGACCAGCCTGGCCAACATGGTGAAACCTCGTCTCTACTAAAAATACAAAAATTAGCTGGGCGTGGTGGCGCACACCTGTAATCCCAGCTACTCAGGAGGCTGAGGCAGGAGAATCACTTGAGCCCGTGAGGTGGAGGTTGAAGTGAGCCAAGATCATGCCACTGCACTCCAGCCTGGGTAACAAAGCAAGATTCTGTCTCAAAAAAAAAAAAAAAAAAAAAGTGAACATCTGGGTCCCCCAGATCTCTTCAGAGATATGTAATGTTCTCCTTTTTCCAACTACATAACTCTTTAAGCTGGGTTTTCTTCATATACTCCAATGAAAACAACATATTGCAACAGATGGAATGAAGAGGCAAGTAGAAGAATCCAGCTGTTTTCTATTAAGCCAAACATTACAATTGTCAGCTGAAGAATTCTGAGATTCATAAATTTGGAAAGAAAAGCTTCATTTCTCATAAAAGATTGCAGCCTGCAGGGTGGCCATTCTGACAGGCTAAGAAATGTAGTCTCTGGCCAGAAGCCAAAAACAGACACTGAGGGTCAGAAGAATAAGATGGGCATTTATGCTGAATAGGATGGCCAAATATACATATTCAATAAACTACAGTCATGAATATTCATGAAAGGAGAAACATGCACATGCTCAATTGAGCTTCATGCCTCTCCATGGGACGCGTGTGCAAAAAATGGCAGCATTAGCATGATCAGAGGGTGGAGTTTTCTGTCCTCTGATATCAAAAGGTGAAACAGAGGACACAGAAACCCTCACTGCACATCCTCTGTAAACTGGCCAGAACCACTCCATTGTGGGCAGTCTGTTATCAGGAAGGAATGCTGGTTAGTTGTGCAGAAACTGCAAAAGGAAGGGGCAGTGTCAGACCATTGGTTGATATCAGCGGTGCAGCTCGTCTTTCCAAAGGGCTGGTTTCTGTTTAACCTGTAGGAAGGAAATCCTAATGGCGTTTAGCAATGGAGAGGGTATAACAACACATCATGGCAAGAACTCAGTTTTCAAGGTTTCTCTGGGGTCCCCTTGGCCAAGAGGTGGTGCATCCGTTTAGTCAGCTGGG
This sequence comes from Homo sapiens, assembly GCF_000001405.40. Lineage (NCBI taxonomy): Eukaryota > Metazoa > Chordata > Mammalia > Primates > Hominidae > Homo > Homo sapiens. The sequence continues at coordinate 69,086,358 of NC_000009.12, forward strand.
GGACTTAGGATTTCATTTTTATTTCTCAGAGTTTTATAAAACTCTAAAATAATTATTTGACAGCCAGGTGGGAGGGGGTCCCTGGAGAAACTCCAACCAGCCTGCCTACTAGGGTGGAGCCTTGGGAGTTTGCAGCAGGGAGGAGCCTGGCGCCTCCTCTTCCTATGTGAACCTGGGATTCTAGCAGCCTGGTGGGAAGCACTGTAGCAGGAGACTCTGGCCTTGCAGAGGATCCCTGTTCCCCTCATCCCTTTATTTCCCCTTTTCACTTAATAAAACCCTGCTTTACTCACCCTTTAAACCATCTGCAAGCCTAAATTTTTGTGGCTGTGGGATAGACAAGAACCTTCTCTTTAGCTGAACTAAGGAAAAGTCCTGCAATGATCCCATTCTTCACACCAAATATGTTTTGTTTCAAAAGTATAGTTATTTATCATAAATATGTCATTAATATTGTTAAATCAAATTTAGCCTAAAGCTGCCTCCTTATATAGTTTAAGCTTGACCTAAAGGTTTCTCTGTACTTAGTGAATTGTAGCCTACCCAGATGTGTAAACAAGACTGTGAACTACTCTTGTGACAAACATTGGATTTTGGCCAATCAAAGGAGGTCAACTCTTGACACTGCTTTCAAATAAGGCAAATATTGAGCTGTAAACAATCTGGCTGTTTCTATACCTCACTTCTGTTTTCTGTACGCCACTTTTCTGTCTCTGTCCATAAATGTTCTTCCACCACGTGGCTGTGCTGGAGTCTCTGAACCTACTCTGGCTGAGGAGGCTGCCCAATTCTCAAACTGTTCAATTAAACTCGGTTAAATTTAATTTGTCTAAGGTTTTCTTTTAACCATATAAACAAGTGAGTTTATGATTGTTATGTCTTTTTTCTTTTCTTTTTTGAGACAAGGTCCCACTCTGTCCCCCAGGCTGGAATACAGTGGCATGATCACGGCTCACTGTAGTCTCGCACTCCCAGGCTCAAGCGATCCTCCATCTCAGCCTCCTGAGTAGTTGGGAGTACAAGTGCATGCAACCATGCCTGGCTAATTTTTTTTTTTTTTGTATTTTTTGTAGAGATAGGGTTTTGCTACATTGCCCAGGTTGATCTCGAACTCCTGAGCTCAAGTGATCCTCTTGCCTCAGCCTTCCAAAGTGCTGGGACCACAGGCATGAGTCACCACACCCAGCTATTATTTCTAAATTAATGAACAGATGAACATTTTCAAAATTTCTCAGTTTTAATTTTAAATATGATTAAAAGGATAGATATAACACACAAACAAAAGCTCTATGGAGTCCTCTATAACTCAAGAATATAAAGGGTCCTGAGATTTTTCTTTAAAGAGAACCACTGCACTCTCCTGGCCTACTAGCTCTCCGCAATCCATCCTGCTTCTCCCCTTGGCAGGAGAGACCTGTTCTAGACCCTCAAGGACCCCTCATAACATCACCTAGCTATTATCTAAGGAATCTTTCTCCATTTGGACTTCCCATTTTTTTCTTCCCCCTTTAAGGTCCCCTTATTCTTTTCATCTAATTTTGTGTGCCACCTGCAGAGTCCTTCTTCTTCTTCTTCTCCTTCTCCTTCTCCTTCTTCTTCTCAGAGTCTTGTTCTGTTGCCCAGGCTGGATTGCAGTGGCACGATCTCGGCTCACTTCAGCCTCTGCCTTCTGGGTTCCAGTGATTCTCCTGCCTCAGGCTCCTGGGTAGCTGGGACTACAGGTACCCACCATCATGACTGGCTAATTTTTTTGTATTTTTAGTAGAGACGGGGTTTCACAATGTTAGCCAGGATGGTCTCTATCTCCTGACCTCGTGATCCGGCCGCCTCGGCCTTCCAAAGTGCTGGGATTACAGGCATGAGCCACCGCACCCGGCGACTAATTTTTTTTTTTTTTTTTTTTTTTGAGACGGAGTCTCACTCTGTCGCCCAGGCCGGACTGCGGACTGCAGTGGCACAATCTCGGCTCACTGCAAGCTCCGCTTCCCGGGTTCACGCCATTCTCCTGCCTCAGCCTCCCGAGTAGCTGGGACTACAGGCACCCGCCACCGCGCCTGGCTAATTTTTTGTATTTTTAGTAGAGACGGGGTTTCACCTTGTTAGCCAGGATGGTCTCGATCTCCTGACCTCATGATCCACCCGCCTCGGCCTCCCAAAGTGCTGGGATTACAGGCGTGAGCCACCGCGCCCGGCCGGCGACTAATTTTTATATTTTTAGTAGAGACGGGGTTTCGCCATGTTGGCTGGGCTGGTCTTGAACTCCTGACCTCAGGTGATCCGCCCGCCTTGGCCTCCCAAAGTGTTGGGATTACAGGCATGAGCCAACGCACCCGGCCTGAGTCCTGCTTCTTCCAGATCTGGTGCCCAGTCCTGACGCCAGAAAGGGGGTCTTGTTCCAGACCCCAAGAGTGTTCTTGGATCTTGCCTGGGAAAGAATTCAGGGTAAGTCGCAGAGTATAATGAAGTTAAGATAGTTAATTAGAGGCTACTCAATTACAGAGTAGGGCATCCTCAGAAAACAAGAGGAGGAAGGCGCTACCTTAAATGTAGTGCTTGCTTATGTAGGTTGTATAAGAATTGTGTACTTTATTACAAAGGCTTGTGATCAGCTTGTGACAGGCTATTGGTACTGTTATTTTCCTGTTACTATTGATTTCAGCAAGAATTTATGAGTACACTATTATATTTAAGGCAAAACCTATTCCTTAAGAATGCTTTTTGTTCTTAAAATACTGGGACATTTCCATAAGTTCTGAGTCTTTAGTTAGCAACATTAACTCATTCCCTCAATCATAAACATCTCATGACCAAGAGTGCCCAGTTCCTGGGGAATGTAACCCAGCAGGTTTGGCTTTATTCGGCCTTTATTCAAGATGGAGTCACTCTGGTTAGGACACCTCTGACAGTCCCTGGAAATCCAAAGGAACCCTTCTGTGTGGCACAGGGAATGGAAGAAAGAAAGAGATGAGGCAGGAAAATAGGGTCTGGAGGCAGAAAACATAAGCCGATTCACACTTCAGCTATGACAGGAAATATCCTCTCCATAGGGCGTATGCCTGTAACTTTACTTCATCCTCTTCATTTACATAGGACGTATCCTAAGTAACCAATGGAATCGTCTAGAGGGTATTTAAACTCCCAAAAATTCTGTAACAGGGCCTTTGAGCCCCTATGCTCGGGCCCGCTCCCACACTGTGGAGTGTACTTTCATTTTCAATAAATCCCTTCATTCCTTCCTTGCTTTCTTTGTGCTTTGTGCATTTTATCTAATTCTTTGTTCAAGACGCCAGGAACCTGGACGCCCTCCCCTGGTAATAGAGAGATGAGCCTTTCAAATGACCTGACTCCTTTATCCCAGCCAGGTGTGTGCCCGACCCTGAAAGGAGGAATAGGGAGGGGGACGTTCAACCCGGCCTCCCGCTCTGTGTTAGCAGCGTCTGGATGGGTCAGGGTGGAGGTGGGGGTGTTCTACCCTGCTATTTGCTCCTAGAGAAGCTTCTCTGCTTCACTAGTCTCACAGTTCTAAAGGCAAGAACAGCCCTAGTGGGATCTTCCAAGGATTTTAGAAAAGAATGAATAAGGGAAAAATTAAAATATTGCAGGGTGCCATAAAAACATCCCAGTAAAACAAACACCTTTCTAGATGCTCATTGGAACGTAAATGGAGCTCAGCCCCCATCCCTTCACACCAGATCCAGTCTTCATCTTTGTGGTTCACTGCCCCCTCACCACTCAGGAGGAAAACCCCAGCTTCTGTTCTGGCTCCCCTTCTCTCACTTAGAATTTTTCACCAGAGTTTCAGAAAGATTTGTCAGGACCACTCCATGCCCAAGGTAAAAAGTGTAAGTGGTACAAAAAGGTAGAAACTCATCAGACCCCCAAAGAGTGTCATTTAACCATACAAAGCCCTGATAAACTCCAGGGCAGAAGAAAAAGCTGCATCCTTGACTCCACTGGGGCATTCTTATGTAAACTAAGATCCAAGAACTGCATCAGGAGAGAAATCAAGAGCCCTGGGGATGTTAGGATGAGCCCTAGAGGTGCTAAGACAGGTTATTTGAAAAACCAAAAAGTAGACTGAGATTCCCTTCCTTTTCAGGGAAGAATTGAGACCTTTCCTTTCTTACTGTTCAGAGTGGGGGCTGATAAGGGTAATTATTTCCTGGAGCCACTGGCTACTGCCCTGGGAAGGAAATCCGCTGGGTTGGGGGAGGGAGGAAGGCAGAACCAGGCATTAACTCTCCCTCCACTACATCCCTTTCCCGTACCCCTCCCCTCCTCTCCTTCCCCCCACTCCCTGCCCCCGCCCTCCGAAAATGACACTTGGCCTGAGAAAGGAGGAAGGTAGAATAGGTGGACACTTCCCTTGTCCTGCTCCAGGGGTGTCTCAGTGACAAGGAGATGTGAAAAAAGAAGGAATCCCAAGGCTCCCCTTGGAAAGAAGGGAGATCTCCAGGGGCTTTGGGAAGTCAGGTTAGTACTGGGAAGGCTGAAGACTCCCAGTAGATAGCGTTCAGGGCTGCATTTGGCTGCAATCCTATAAAATACATTCTTCTCTAAGGTTGGATACAAGCATTTAGAAGACTGGCCATTAAAAAAATAAACAGTATTAATAATATTAATAATCATGAGTGTCAGTAGTGTTGAATTTTTTCTGGAATCCTTTCCCAAGTTGCCTAATGCCCAGAGAAGGAAAATAACAGTGTTTAGTAGACATAAATTATAGGATTAGTGCAAGTAGCTATTGAGATGATGAGCCAAGGCTTGTAAATTGGTTTTGTTTTGGTTTTCCTAATTAGATGTTTGCGCCTATCTGTGTATGTGTGTGTGTGTTTGTGCGTGTGCATGCTCGCATGTGGTTAATTTCATGACTTTTGCCTCTGGCTCTTCCTGATTAAAAAAAATACTTAAAATGGTAGGAAGTGGCACACACCCTTGATGGACCTGTGTTTATATTAAAGAATTGGCTTAGTAAATTTAACTGGGACAAGGAAACTGTGAAGGACTGTATTTTTGCCATTATTTAATAATTCATATATTCAACCGTTACTGATTGCCTATTTTGAACCAGGCCACGTGCTAGGATACAATGGTTAACAAACACATTCCCTCCCCTCAAGGAATTCATGGTCTAGTGAAATACAGAGATAGAAAAGAAATAGAAAAGTATATCAATAAAATGCATTGTGGAAAGAGTTATGGTCATAGTGTGTACTATATGCTTATAGAGGCTGCCTTTGTATAAACATACATAAGACTGCTTTTTAAATTATAAAAGGCAGTACATAGGCCAGGCGTGGTGGCTCACACCTGTAATCCCAGCACTTTGGGAGGCCGAGGCGGGTGGATCATCTGAGGCCACGAGTTCGAGACCAGCCTGGCCAACATGGTGAAACCCCATTTCTACTAAAAATACAAAAAAAAAAAAAAAATTAGCCAGGTGTGGTGGTGGGCGCCTCATCCCAGCTATCAGGAGGCTGAGGCGGGAGAATCACTTAAACCCAGACGGAGGTTACAGTGAGCTGAGGTGGAGCCATTGCACTCCAGCCTAGGCAACAAGAGCAAAACTCCATCTCAAAAAAAAAAAAAAAAAAAAAAAGGCAGTACATAGTACAAACTGCTTGGGTTTTGTTGTTGTTGTTTTACTGTACCATATAGGTTGGAGATCATTCCACCTAGTAGCTGAACATTTTAAGCAGATCATCTGGCTACAGGCAGTGAGTAGGATGAACTGGGAGAGTGATGAGTGAGTTAGAGAGTTAGGGAGGGAGGGTGCTGTCGGAGTGTTACCGGAAAGGGGTCCCGATCCACACCCTAAGAGAGGGTTCTTGGATCTCGCACAAGAAAGAATTCAGGGCGAGTCCATACAGTAAAGTGAAAGCAAGTTTATTAAGAAAGTAGAGAAATAAAAGAATGGCTACTCCATAGACAGAGCAGCCCCGAGGGCTGCTGTTGCCCATTTTTATGGTTATTCCTTGATGATATGCTAAACAAGGGGTGGATTATTCATGCCTCCCTTTTTAGACCATATAGGGTAACTTCCTGACGTTGCCATGGCATTTGTAAACTGTCATGGCGCTGGTGGGGGCGTAGTAGTGAGGATGACCAGAGGTCACTCTCGTGGCCATCTTAGTGTTGGTAGGTTTTGGCCGGCTCCAACACCGGCTTGTTGTTTTATCAGCAAGGTCTTTATGACCCATATTCTATGCCCACCTCCTGTCTCATCCTGTGACTTAGAATGCCTTAACTGTCTGGGAATGCAGCCCAGTAGGTTTCAGCCTTATTTTACCCAGCTCCTATTTAAGATAAAGTTGCTCTGGTTCACACGCCTCTGACAAGAACATCTTCATGCCTGTGCCTGGTTGAGAGAGGGAGGCCTCTGCGCTGCTGCTGGATCTAGTGAAGATTCACTCAGTCTCTCAAATTCCTCTACAGTTTCTCTAATGGAAGAGAAAAGTGGTGTTATTGCTGCTAGGGAGCAACCTAGAAGTTATTTTATTTATGCCATAGATATGGTGGGCTAAGCACTGTGCCAACGTTCAATAAGTCACTGCAGATTCTCCATAAATTATTGTGACAAGTACAATTGTTTGTAAGGCTTAGATCTAGGTGTGTAAGTCCAAAGAAGGGTGTGAAGCATCTGTATTTCTGTTATGTAGTTATTAGGAAAAAGGATGTTGGGGCCTTAAAATGGCCATTTTTAACATTTCCAAACTTGTGTTGAATTCTAAGATTTTATAATTGTATGTTTCCAGTTGAGAAGAGCTTTGATATTGGTAGCTCTAAATAAATAAATACCGTTGACCTGGAAGAGAAGGTAAAGTTTAGGGAGAGGCCTTTTTTTAGCTTTATATTTAAACATTTTTTATAAATGTGATTCATGGGCCAGGCCTGGTGGCTCACACCTGTAATCCCAGCACTTTTGGAGGCCAATGCAGGTGGATCACTTGAGGCTAGGAGTTCGAGAGCAGCCTGGCCAACATGGTAAAACCCCATCTCTACTAAAAATTAGCCAGGTGTGGTAGCACACACCTGTAATCCCAGCTACTCAGGAGGCTGAGGCAGGGGAATCACTTGAACCCAGGAGGCGAAGGTTGCAGTGAGCCGAGATTGTGCCACTGCACTCCAGCCTGGGTGACAGAGTCAGACTCCGTCTCAAAAGCAAAACAAAACAAAATGTTATTCATAATGCTCGGGTTGTAACTATAGTACTTATCTAGCAAAAGCTTGCTTTTTTTTTTTTGGCTTTGACTAATTGAAACTGCAAGAGCTTACTGGCAGAGTGGTGTACTGGTCAATATTTAACCAATTCTCCAAAGGGGAAAAACCCTGATTTGTATGTAGGATTTGTCAGTTTCCATGGTATAAATAGTCTTCCCACAGCTGGTAGGGTGACCAACTTGTTCTGGTTTGCCAGGGGCTTTCCCATTTTTAGGCCTGAAAGTCCTGAATCCCAGAAAATTCCTCATTCCCCAGGAAATAGCTTGATTGGTCACCCTAATGGCTGGTTGCAAGCTCCCGATATGACAGAACTGGACGAGAAGTTGGGCAGAGATGTGCACATGGTACCAGCCTATGCCAGGAGCAGCGGCCTCCAGCACCCCACTGTCAGGGAGTCCTTGGCCCAGTAGAGGATGGTTAGCAGGGCCCGGCTGTTGTTCATATTAGCTCTCAAATTTACCACCAACCCTGTATTAGTTTCCTGGAGCTGCTGTAACAAAGTTCCACAAACGGGGGTCTTAAACACAGAAATCTATTATCTCACAGTTCTGGAGGGCAGAAATAGAAAATTAAGGTATGAGCAGGACTCTGCTCTTTTGATGGCTCTAGATAATCCGTTGTATGTCTTTTCCTCAGCTTCTGGTTTCACAGGTAATCTTTGGCGATCCTTGACTTGCATCTGTGTAACTCCAGTCTCTACCTCCATCATCCTGTGGCATTCTTCTTTATTTTTCTTTCTTTTTTTCTTTTCGAGACAGAGTTTCGCTCTGTTACCCAGGCTGGAGTGCAGTGGCGTGATCTCGGCTCACTGCAACCTCTGCCTCCCAGGTTCAAGCGATTCTCTTGCCTCTGGCTCCCGAGTAGCTGAGATTACAGGTGTGCGCCACCACACCCAGCTAATTTTTGCATTTTTAGTAGAGGCGGGGTTTCACCATGCTGGCCAGGCTGGTCTCGGGCTCCCGACCTCAGGTCATCTCCCTGCCTTGGCCTTCTAAAGTGCTGGGATTACAAGCGTGAGCCACTGCACTCGGCCCATGGCATTCTTCTTTTGGTGCCTTTGTCTTCACTGACTTCTTGTAAGGAAATCAGTCGTATTGGATTAGAGGCCTACCTTATTCCAGTATGATCTCATTGTCTTAATTTAACTAAAACATCTGCAACAACCTTATTTCTAAATGAGGTCACATTCTGAGGTATTAGGGTTTAGTACTTCAACATATCTTTTTTTTTTTTTTGAGACAGGGTCTCATTCTGTCACTCAGGCTGGAGTGCAGTGGTGCAATCACACAGCTCACTGTAACTTTGAACTCCTGGGCTCGAGCAGTCCTCCTATCTCAGCCTCCCAGATAGGTAAGATTACAGGTACATATCACCATGCCTAGCTAATTTTTCAAATTTTTTATAGGGGCTGGGCCCAGTGGCTCACACCTTGTAATCCCTGTAATCCCAACACTTTGGTAGGCTGAGGCGGGCGGATCACTTGAGGTCAAGAGTTTGAGACCAGCCTGGCCAACATGGTAAAATCCCATCTCTACTAAAAAAAATACAAAAATTAGCCGGATGTGGTGGTGGGTACCTATCATACCAGCTACTCACAAGGCTGAGGCCGGAAAATCCCTGGAACCCGAGGGGCGGAGATCGCAGTGAACCGAGATCACGCCATGCACTCCAGCCTGGGTGACAGAGCAAGACATAACCTTAAAAAAGAAAAAAAAAAATGTAGAGATGAAGTCTTGCTGTGTTGCCCAGGCTAGTCTCAAATGCCTGGGCTCAAGCAATCCTTCTGCCTCAGTATCCCAAAGTGCTAGGATTACAGGCATGAGGCACTGCACCAGGCCTACATCCTCTTTTTTTTTTTTTTTTTTTTTTTTTTTTGAGATAGAGTCTTGCTCTGTCTCCCAGGCTGGAGTGCAGTGGCACGACCTCGGCTCACTGCAACTTCCACCTCCTGGGTTCAAGTGATTCTTCTGCCTCAGCCTCCAGAGTAGCTAAGACTACAGGCATAATATCTCTCTTAGATATGACAAATAATATCACAGAGTGTACACCCACTGTGATGTTAGGAGTAATACCTCCCTATGATATTACAAGTAATACTGCCTTTAGATACTACAAATAATATCACAGGGTGTACATCTACTGTGATATTAGGAGTAATACCTCCCTTAGATATTACAAATAATATCACAGGGTATACACCCACGGTGATATTAGGAGTAATATCTCTCTTAAGCGATCCTCCCATCTCAGCCTCACAGAATTAAAGGAATTACAGGAAGAGCTGCTATACCTGGCTGGATCTATGTTTTAAAAATATAACCCAGATAACCCTGTGGTCAGTGTCTAAGATGAATTGGATTAGACCAAGGGAGAAAAACTAAAGATGGGAATACTAGTTTGGGACTTTGCTTGCTTGCTTGCTCTCATTTAGAAAACATTTAGTAGTTCTACAATGCTCAGGCACTGTTCTGGGAGTCACAAATATAGGATTGAATAAAGTAAATAAAGCACTTGCTCTCCTGGAGCTCACTTTTCACTGGGGGAATGCAGATAGTAGACACATACATCTATAGTATCAGTAAGTGCTAATAGAAAAATGAAGCAGGTGAGATGGATCATGCTGAGTAGAATGTATCTTCTTTTCCTTCCTTCCTTCCTTCCCTCCCTCCTTCCTTCTTTCCTTCCTTCTTTCTTTCCTTCCTTTCTTCTTTTCTCTTTCTTCCTTTCTCTCTCTTTCTTTGCTTTTTATTGTCTTAAAATGTACATAACATAAAATTTACCCTCTTAACCATTTTTAAGAATACAATTCAAGGCCGGGCATGGTGGCTCACACCTATAATCCCAGCATTTTGGGAGGCTGAGGCAGGCGGATCATGAGGTCAGGAGTTTGAGGCCAGTCTGGCCAATATGATGAAACCCCATCTCTACTAAAAAATACAAAAATTAGCCAGGCTTGGTGGCACATGCCTGTAGTCCCAGCTACCCGGGAGGCTGAGGCAGGAGAATAGCTGGAACCTGGGAGGCAGAGGTTGCAGTGAGCTGAGATCGCACCACTGCACTCCTGCCTGGACAAGAGAGCAAGACTCTGTCTCAAAAATAAATAAATAAATAAATAATAATAATAATAATAATACAATTCAGTAGCCTTAAGTACATTTGCATTGTTATGCAGCCATCACCACCATCCATCTCCAGAATTTTTTTGAGTGGAGCTCTTTTTAATAGAGTAGTTGAAGGCCTCTGTGACACAGTAGCATCTGAGCAGAAGCTTGAATGAAGTGAGAAAAGAATCCTTTTGCATAGTTTAGGGGAAGTATGTTCCATTCCTGGTCCTGGAAATAGTTAAGACTATCACAATAGTGCAGGAGAAAGATGATACAATACAGTTTGTGTAGCTGAAACCCCGTCTTCAGAATGTAAAGGAGAACAGATGGGAAGTCATGTTCCTCCCAGAAGTAATTCATGTAGCAGAGAAGCCAATGCAGATCCACGAGACAGACAATTCAGTGCTCTGCACAAGAACTGTGCTTTAAGCATGGAGAGGATTTTTGTATCTGTCCTGGGATCCTACATCAAACAGCATGTGGTGATTGTGAACACAAACGTACAAGACTGTGAACCCTACCAAGTTTCCTTCTTCCATTAGATATGAATAAGGAGTCATGAGTTTCCTTTGGAATGTCCTTTAGCCTGTTGGTACATGTTTTGCCTGTGACGAATGCAGTTACTCATAAATCATTGAGCACATTGGGTACAGAGGGCAAAAGATAAATTCCTGTATTTCCTCTATTCGGTCAACAGAAATACCTCTAGGCCATAATCCATTCATCCAATCTAATAATTTTGCCATCCATAAAACCTTCAGGTGTTCTGAATTCAACATCTTTTTTTTTTTTTTTTTTTTTTTTTGAGACAGAGTCTTGCTCTGTCACCCAGGCTGGAGTGCAATGGCAGGATCTCGGCTTACTGCAACCTCCGCCTCCCAGATTCAAGCGATTCTCCTGCCTCAGCCTCCCGAGTAGCTGGGATTACAGGTGCCCGCCACCACGCCCAGCTAATTTTTTGTATTTTCAGTAGAGACGGGGTGTCACCATGTTGGCCAGGCTGGTCTCGAACTCTTGACCTCAGGCAATCCACCCGCCTCAGCCTCCCAAAGTGCTGGGATTACAGGCGTGAGCCACCATGCCTGGCTGAATTCGACATCTTGCACCTAATTCCTGTTCAGTTAAAGACCCAAATCATGATCTCTGACTTACCTGGATATTTGAAAGATTAACTTGCTGTGGTGATACCATACTAGAGTCACAAAATCAAGCCCTACCCTGCCACAGCCACCTAAAGGAAATTAGGTGATATACAAAAGAAATTGACCATATTGTTGTCCTTTTAGTGACTCTCCTAATTTTCTTCCCCTGAAAACTTACAGAGAAATTTGAGTATGTTTGCCTTAGGTGGATGCTTGTTTTTTTATTGATATGAAAAGCAGTAAGAGGAAATGGAGTTTTTTGGCCTGTTAAGGAAGGGCAGCCACTGTAAACACAGTTGAGTGCAAATTCACAGTGTTAGAATGTTGAAGTGTATATAATGATTTTGCAAAATTTTCTACAAGGCTGATACAGTATCCAATCAGGACTAGGATTAGATATATTGTCATGTATGTTTGCGCAGGAAATGCAGAGACTCTAAGGTGCTACAACTGCAATTTGACATGTGGGATAGTTCACTGGTAACTGTTGATCTCCCTGAGGTTTAAGTTTACAGTTCCACAGCTCTTTATCTGAAACTCTTGGGCTATGTGTTATGGAATTTAGAATTTTTTCCGAAATACGTTGCATATATTGTATATTATGACATGATACCTCCAAGAAAGACTTGGAGTCACATCCTATAAACAAACACATGAATATATCCCAGTGAAATGTATGACTATTTTTACTAAAACAAATGAGAATCATAAATAGACTTACATTACTTCAGGTCAGATTTTGCTGCCGAATTAGTTTGGGCATCGAACTTTTGGTTTCAGAGACAAAACTGTGAAATTTTAGATTATATTATGGGGTTGTGGACCCATGTAACCCTCCTCTCCGTAATTCCTAAAAGCAAGCAATTGCATCAACCAGTCTCATGAGTAGCTGCGATTCTAGAAATCAAGAATCCGGATCTGAAATTAGCCGGGCATGGTGGCAGGCACTTGTAATCCCAGCTACTGGGGAGGCTGAGGCAGGAGAATCGCTTGAACCCAGGAGGAAACTGCAGTGAGCTGAGATCGTGCTGCTGCACTCCAGCCTGGGCAACAGAGTGAGACTCTGTCTCAAAAAAAAAAAAAAAAAAAAAAAAAGAATCCAGATCTGGGCAGGACCGAATTGCTGACATGCCCCCGGTATAGCAGAGACGTTTTGCCTACATGTTACACACCTGAGTAATAGTTGTCAGCAGCTGATGAAGAAGATGAATGTGCTCTTAATGTCCATCTTTGATTTCCAGTCATTTTGCTTCTGGGTCTTGGCTTCCTGAGGAAAGAAGTCTCCAGTAGGTGAATGCAGTGATATGGAGAATACTTTCTTCTGGCTGCATGCAGTAACTCACACCTGTAATCCCAGCACATTGGGAGGCTGAGGTGGGCAGTGCACTTGAGGTTGGGAGTTCGAGACCAGCCTGGCCAACATGGCAAAACCCCGTCTCTACTGAAAATACAAAAATTAGCTGGGCGTGGTGACAGACACCTGTCATCCCAGCTACTCGGTAGGCTGAGGCATGAGAATCACTTGAACTTGGGAGGTAGAGGTTGCAGTGAGCCGAGATCGTGCCTCTGCACTCCAGCTGGGCAACACAGCGAGACTCTGTCTCAAAAAAAAAAAAGTGTGTGAGAGAGAGTACTTTCTTCCTGTTTCCTCATAGGCCAGTTCTCTCTGGCATGTGAGTTTAACATCAGTCACCTCCTTCACACACAGCGGGTGCATTCGTAATAGGAGGTCCTTAGCTGGGAGTTTTTATGGCACATCAGTGGGGCGTGAAAACACCACATAGGAGCTAATATATCTTTGCTGGCTGCTTTCTCCGGCTCCGCAGCAGACAGAAACCCTATGAATCATATCCAGGGGTCAGGTGCAGGCAACAGACAACTAATATCTCCCAAGTGAGTTGAAAAGGATCTTGTTACCCAGCATCCTAAGGAGGTTGTAGCCTTGGGAACCACAGGCAAGAATAATTAACTCAGCTCCTCGGTTAGTGCCTCTTCAGTTCGAGATGGAATTTATTTGCAGGCATGGCTCCTTAATATGCCAAACCCATGCTCAAGACATACTCCTTCTCCTGGAAGGTTAACGTGGCTCCTGTGGCTGTTCCATCCCTGAGGAAAAGTGAGGACCATGCTCTCCAAACAGGCCATGTGCTGGACTACCTCTGTTTCTGTCTCCTGGGATTCCAATCAGCAAGTGAGCAACGAAGCAACCCAGACAGTGTGGTTCATAGGATGGCTGGGTAAGTGGCTGTTTGTTTTTTCCTTACTGTGGATATGTATCAGTGAAGGAATCTGTAGAACATTCTTGATGGGAACATTTAGTCATATCAAGTCAATAAATTAATGTTTAGGCTGGGCGCAGTGGCTCACGCCTGTAATCCCAACACCTTGGGAGGCCAAGGCGGGCAGATCATCTGAGGTCAGGAGTTCAAGACCAGCCTGGCCAACATGGTAAAATCCCGTCTCTACTAAAAATACAAAAATTAGCTGGGTGTGGTGGTGCATACTTGTAGTCCCAGCTACTCTGGAGGCTGAGGCAAGAGAATTGCCTGAACCTGGGAGATGGAGGTTGCAGTGAGCTAAGAGTGCACCATTGCACTCTAGCCTGGGCAACAGAGTGAGACTCTGTCAAAAAAAAATTAAAAAAAAAGAAAAATCATTATTTTATTTTTGACTTATTATTAATATAAATAATTATATCTTGGCCGGGCATAGTGTCTCATGCCTATAATCCCAGCACTTTGGGAGGCCAGGGCAGGCAGATCACTTGAGCCAAGAAGTTTAAGACCAGCCTGGGCAACACGGTGAAACCCTGTCTCTACAAAAAATATAAAAAATTAGCTGGGAGTGGTCAGCTTGCCTGCAGCCCTAGCTACCTGGGAGGCTGAGGTGGGAGGATCACCTCGGCCCAGGAGGTAGAGGCTGCAGTGAGCCATGATTGTACCACTGCACTCCAGCCTGGGTGATAGAGTGATGAGACCCTGTCTCAAAAAAAAAAAAAAAAAAAAAAAGAAAGAAAGAAAGAAAAAAGAAAGGAAAAGAAATCATATATTGGTGAGGAGACAATTCAACACATATTTTTTATTGAACACATACTATGTGTCAGGGTACCAGATATAAGCTCTATCTACAAGGATTTTAGGAGCTGGAGTATGTGTATGGGGGGATGTATGAGTGTGTATAACAAAGACGACTCCTGGGGAAGAAGAGGAAGACAAGCCCCAGAGGTATACTGCATAGGCATAATACACAACAGGCTAGCAAAGAAGCAAACCATGGGTATGGTAGAGAGAATCAGAGGATACATTGGGGACCATGTCTAGTGAGTGAGGTCAGGAGAGACTTCAATAATCTGAGTGAATTTAGACATGGGCCTTGAAAAGTGGACAAGGTTTGTTGTTGTTGTTGTTGTTGTTGTTGTTGTTGTTGTTGTTGTTGTTTTTGAGATGGAGTCTCATTCTGTCGCCCAGGCTGGAGTGCAGTGGTGCGATCTCGGCTCACTGCAAGCTCCGCCTCCCAGGTTCATAACATTCTCCTGCCTCAGCTTCCCGAGTAGCTGGGACTACAGGCGCCCGCCACCACGCCCAGCTACTTTTTTATATTTTTAGTAGAGACGGGGTTTCACCGTGTTAGTCTGGATGGTCTCGATCTCCTGACCTTGTGATCCACCCACCTTGGCCTCCCAAAGTGCTGGGATTACAGGCGTGAACCACTGCGGCCGGCCTAAATTTGTTTTAAAAGTACGCATAGGAAGGCTGGGGGCTGTGGCTTATGCCTGTAATCACAGCACTTTGGGAGGCCAAGACAGGCAGATCACGAGGTCAGGAGATCGAGACCATCCTGGCTAACACAGTGAAACCCCGTCTCTCCAAAAAAACAAAAAATTATCCAGGCCTAGTGGCACACGCCTGTAGTCCCAGCTACTTGGGAGGCTGAGGCAGGAGAATCGCTTGAATCTGGGAGGTGGAGGGTGCAGTGAGCCACTGCACTCCAGCCTGGGTGACAGAGCAAACTAGGTCTCAAAAAAAAAAAAAAAAAAAAGTACATGTGGGGGACAGGTGCAGTGTCTCAGCCTGTAATCAATCCCAGCACTTTGGGAGGCTGAGGTGGGTGGATCACTTGAGGTCAGGAGTTCAAGACCAGCCTGGCCAACATGGAGAAACCCCATCTCTACTAAAAATACAAAAATTCGCTGGGCGTGGTGGCGCACGTCTGTAGTCCCAGCTACTGGGAAGACTAAAGTGAGAGAACTGCTTGAGCCCAGAGGTCGAGGCTGTGGTGAGCGGTGATTTCACCACTTCAGTCTAGCCTGGGTGACAGAGAGAGACCCTGTCTCATATAAACAAATAAATAAAAGTTTATTTATTTATTACACATATTTATTACACATTATTACAAGACCTTGAACTAACAACATTAACATGCATTTGTTAAAGGAAAATAAATTAGCTCAGATGCTACTACTTTTCATAATACTTGCACGATTGATTTCAATCCCTGTTCATCTGAATGGAGAGTTGCAGGTATACTATGCAGCTATTCTACTTATATTCTGTTTTTTAATGTAACAGTATTATTTCTTGATGTCTCTACACATTTTATATCACTTTAATATTTAATAAAAACATCTACCATAAGTTCTAAAATGGTAAAAGGAAGAATAGTCATTAGTACTGTCACTACCCTGAATGAATACAAATACAGTTTGCACTAGGGCTTATTTTGCTCCTGTCCTTTGCCTGTGCATTTCATTTTTGCATCGTGGTAATCATACTGGGTGAATTTTGTATTCTGTAATTTCAACTGAATATTATATCATAAGTGTTATCTACAAGTTCCATGAGGACCAAATCTTCTCCACCTTTTTCACCATTTTACTTAGCATGGTATAGTAAAGCTGGCTCAATAAATATTTGCTGATTGAATAAATGTTGTTACATGCTCTTCCTGATTAACATATATATACGCATATACAATTTTTTAGTGACTGCATTAATTTACTTCATTTTTTCCTAATTGTTGGATATTTCAGTTGCCATTTTTTTGCTTTTATGAATAATGTGTTGATGAAAAGATTTGTGCATATAGTTTTCTCTGCATTTGGACTATTGTCTTTTTTTTTTTTTTTAAAGATAGAGTCTTGTGCTGTCACTCAGGCTGCAATGCAGTGGCGCAATCTCGGCTCACTGCAACCTCCACCTCCCGGGTTCAAGCTATTCTCCTGCCTCAGCCTCCTGAGTAGCTAGAATTACAGGTGCCCACGACCATGCCCAGCTATTTTTGTATTTTTAGTAGAGAAGGGGTTTCACCATGTTGGCCAGGCTGGTCTCGAACTCCTGACCTCAGGTGGTCCTCCTGCCTCGGCCTCCCAAAGTGCTAGAATTACAGGCATGAGCCACCAACGCCCAGCCTTGACTATTGTCTTAAGATAGGGTGAAATTACAGGATCAAATGATTTGGACAGTTTTGCAAGTCTTAATGCATTTTAAATTAAAATGCTTTTTAAAAAAGCTGGGACAGCCAGGTGCGGTGGCTCATGCATGTAATCTCAACTCAGGAGGCTGAGGCAGGAGAATTGCTTGAACCTGGGAGGCAGAGGTTGTGGTGAGCTGAGATCGCACCACTGCACTCCAGCCTGGGCAACAAGAGCAAAACTTCGTCTTAAAAACAAACAAAAAAAGCTGGGACAGTTTACAATGGGCAATAGCCATGTACCAGCTTTACCACACCTTCACCTGCCCTGGTTTTTTTGTTGTGTTTTTCAATTGTTGTTATTGATTTAAGTGAAAGAATTTTTTTTTTTTTTTATTGATCATTCTTGGGTGTTTCTCGCAGAGGGGGATTTGGCAGGGTCATAGGACAATAGTGGAGGGAAGGTCAGCAGATAAACAAGTGAACAAAGGTCTCTGGTTTTCCTAGGCAGAGGACCCTGCAGCCTTCCGCAGTGTTTGTGTCCCTGGGTACTTGAGATTAGGGAGTGGTGATGACTCTTAACGAGCATGCTGCCTTCAAGCATCTGTTTAACAAAGCACATCTTGCACCACCCTTAATCCGTTCAACCCTGAGTGGACACAGCACATGTTTCAGAGAGCACAGGGTTGGGGGTAAGGTCACAGATCAACAGGATCCCAAGGCAGAAGAATTTTTCTTAGTACAGAACAAAATGAAAAGTCTCCCATGTCTACCTCTTTCTACACAGACACGGCAACCATCCGATTTCTCAATCTTTTCCCCACCGTTCCCCCCTTTCTATTCTACAAAACCGCCATTGTCATCATGGCCTGTTCTCAATGAGCTGTTGACAGAATCTCGCTCTGTCGCACAGGCTGGAGTGCAGTGGCGCGATCTCGGCTCCACCTCCCAGGTTCACGCCATTCTCCTGCCTCAGCCTCCCGAGTAGCTGGAACTATAGGTGCCGCCACCATGCCCGGCTAAGTTTTTGTATTTTAGCGTAGAGACCGGGTTTCACCATGTTAGCCAGGACGGTCTTAATCTCCTGACCTCATGATCTGCCCGCCTCGGCCTCCCAAAGTGCTGGGATTACAGGCGTGAGCCACCGTGCCTGGCCAAATGAAAGAATTTTTAATCAATTAGCCTACTTATATAACCACAGTTTACATCACAGGGATACTCTGCCAAATAAATACTCATTAAAATGTGAGCCCATTATTTTGGTCATGTCCCTATTATCTCTACTATTACCCTATGGATAATAAGCAAAGTTGCAATTCAGCTGTATCTCTAATTTCAATTATTAACCTATACGTATAAATACCAGTTGTATTATTACAGAACTATATTATTGTTCACAACTCTTTGAACATCACAATGAGTAAGTTTTTACATTACGCACTATCAGTAATATTACCTTCATTTTCTATGAAGGCATCCAATGAATATATCTATGTGTATGTCTATCTATATCTATATCTGTATAGCTGTGGCTTTCTCACTGGAAATTCATAGGTAATCCCAACTTCAGAGAAACTATGCTTTTCTATGTGAATTTAAAATTAGTTGTATTTGCCAGAGGCTTAAATAAAACTACAGTGATCTTTGGACTGTTAACAAATGGCTAACACAAAATATTTATTTATGAGTTGTTTGCTAAAGTCCAAATGCCATAAAGCAAACAGTATGCCACTTACTTGAACTGATATTTTCTTAGAAAAACTTTTTAAAGATGGCTTTAAAAGAGAAAAAAAAAGCTTGTTAAAAATGTCTTTTAAAGCCATTCTAGCCATGAATCTAGAGGTAACCACTGACTCTAAACTCCATGGAGATTTGTAAATTGAATGACTTACAACATCATGTCAAAGTAGAGTGGACTGTAAAGTGTGTTAAAGAGGACCAAAGTAATCTTTCACCCAGTGATTGCTGAGCATGGAGGAGGGACTGTCGTTGGCTATTCCTCTTTCCTTTCTTCTCAACACCTGACTGGTAGTCACAGGTCGGGTGTTTACCTATTTGTGCCACTGCTCAGAGAGAAGGTGGAGCTTCCTGGGAGGAGGGACCCAGGTTTTCTCCAGGCTCAGGAGCAGCCCTGCCCTCAGGCCAGGCAGGTGTGGCTGGGGAGGGGTAAGGAGTGCCAAAAGAGCACTCAGCAGTCATGTGACCCTTGTGACCTTGGCCAGCCTGTTTCTGACAGGTACAGCTGCCCCTATTTAGTCTTCAGGAAGTACCAGAACACCCTAAAAGCAACCTCTCACTGGGTCCCCTTCAAGACTTTCTCCATCCCATTAGGATCCCTGCAAGTGTCAGCCAGTGGTAACTGGCAGATCTTCTAGTCCACCCCATTATGTTTATTTTACTGTATTTGGCTTTTAATTAAATTCAAAAGAGTACATTATTAAAAAGTACAGGTGTGGGCTGGGTGTGGTGGCTCAGGTCTGTAATCCCAGCACTTTGGGAGGCAGAGGTGGATGGATCACTTAAGCCCAGGAGTTGGAGACCACCCTGGCCAACATAGCAAGACCCTGTCTCCATTAAAAATAAATAAATAGCCAGGCGCGGTGGCTCACACCTATAATCCCAGCACTTTGGGGGGCTGAGGCAGGCGGATCACCTGAGGTGGGGAGTTCAAGACCAGCCTAACCAATATAGAGAAACCCCGTCTCTACTAAAAATACAAAATTAGCCAGGCATGGTGGTGCATGTCTGTAATCCCAGCTACTCGGGAGGCTGAGACAGGAGAATTGCTTGAACCTGGGAGGCAGTGGTTGTGGTGAACCAAGATTGCACCATTGCACTCCAGCCTGGGCAACAAGAGTGAAACTCCATCTCAACAAACAAATAAATAAATAAATAAAGTACAGGTTCGTCTTCACCACTGTTCCCTTACTCCCCTAAATAACGTCTCTCACCTTTCCAGTTAACCACTGTTAACCAAGATGCTACTCCTCTTTCCAGCCTTTTTCCTACTTATTAGCATATATGTGTATTTACTAAATAAACAGGTCAAACTATATGTATTGTTTTGCAAATTGCCTTTTTCCTTAACCATGTGTCTTGAAGAACTTTGCATATTGGCCCATATGGACTAGCTTACCATTTTTAACTAATGGAGAGCATTCTTTAGAGTTGGCTGGCAGAAATACACTAAAAAGTTGTGACCCCCAAATCAGGAAAAGCCACTAAAGACAACTAAAATTCATTTCAATTCAATCCCCCTCCCCAAGTCTTTTTTTTTTTTTTTTTTTTTTTTTTTAAGACAGAGTCTCGTTCTGTTGCCCAGGCTGGAGTGCAGTGGTGCAATCTCGGCTCACTACAAGCTCCACCTCCCGGGTTCATGCCGTTCTCCTGCCTCAGCCTCCTGAGTAGCTGGGACTACAGGCGTCCGCCACCCCGCCCGTCTAATTTTTGTATTTTGTTTTTAGTAGAGACGGGGTTTCACCTTGTTAGCCAGGATGGTCTCGATCTCCTAACCTCGTGATCCGCCCGCCTCGGCCTCCCAAAGTGCTGGGATTACAGGCGTGAGCCACCGCACTCGGCCTTTTTTTTTAACATCTGAAAACATATAGACTTTAATTACATTTTGTTGAAAATTCATGAGCCGGGCACAGTGGCTCACACCTGTAATCCCAGCACTTTGGGAGGCCGAGGCAGGCGGATCATGAGGTCAGGAGATCGAGACCATCCTGGCTAATACAGTGAAACCCCGTCTCTACTAAAAATACAAAAAATTAGCCAGGCCCCTGTAGTCCCAGCTACTCGGGAGGCTGAGTCAGGAGAATGGTGTGAACCTGGGAGGCGGAGCTTGCAGTGAGCTGAGATTGCACCACTGCACTCCAGCCTGGGTGACAGACCAAGACTCCATCTCAAAGAAAAAAAAAAAAAAGAAAATTCATTCAACTTTGGTGCTTATCCAAGGACTTATAATGTAAATTTCTGACATAAATCATAACCCTCAGTACATAATGTATTTTCAAAGGAAACAAGTCATCTTAAAGTAATATTTTTCTATATGCTAATTGATACATTTTTATAGTAAATTGAAAATTATGAGTAAACTGAAAGTATGCTTAACAACAAAATAAATACAGCATATATGGTTAGCATATACATTTCTTAGTGTAAAGGCAGCAGTGAATTTGTACCTTACAACAAATCTGTAACTCCAGTAGCTTTTTTTCTGGAATTTATATGGTGTCTCACCATGTTCCACAATGCTAGAAAAGTCTTTTTTGGCATCAATCTATGCAAAAATTTCTGACATTTTCCCCAAATGACATGTAACTTTTTTTTAACTTTTCCAGAAAAATATGGAAACTTTATCAACCACTTCTTAACTGAACAAAAAGTTAGAGTACTACCAAATGCTCTTTTAATTTTGCTCTAACAGATGTTTTAAAAGTTCAGACATCGCTGATGTTTTTAAGGATAACTGCATAAAACACACTAGATGATTGCTAAGGATGAATCTTAGTATCTGACTCATTCGAGACATCCTTAGTATCCAGAATAAAATCAGTAGAAATAAAAGTAATATAATTTTCAAAGAATTCATACATACTGGAAGTCTTAGAAAAACCAGCTTCTAAATGCAAGGACTAGGAGATTTGCCCATCGTACTATTAATAGTTACATACATTTCTCCTCATGAAGTAACTGAAGATTTCTGGCTTGTTTGTGGAACTTTAGTTTGTAGGAAAGCATATTCATAGGGCCAAATCTTGTTGGTTTCTGTTCCAGAGAATGTTTCCAACACCCCTTTTTTCTGGTAATATTCCAGGACTGGCTTTGTTTGGGTTTCATGAGCCTTTAGTCTCTTGATAACCGTCTCTGGTTTATCATCCTCACGCTGAATGAGAGGCTCCCCAGTTAGATCATCAATGCCCACAGTTTTGGGAGGGTTGAATTCAATGCCGTAGACTTGGCCACTGGTGGGATGAATCCCCAAATTTTTATATAGAAAAAATTTCAGCCGGACGCGGTGGCTCACGCCTGTAATCCCAGCACTTTGGGAGGCTGAGATGGGCGGACCACCTGAGGTCGGGAGTTCGAGACCAGCCTTACCAACATGGAGAAACCCTGTCTCTACTAAAAATAAAAAATTAGCCGCCATTGTGGCACATGCCTGTAATTCCAGCTACTCGGGAGGTTGAGGCAGGAGAATTGTCTGAACCCAGGAGGCGGAGGTTGCAGTGAGCAGAGGTCGCACCATTGCACTCCAGCCTGGGCAACAAGAGCAAAACTCTGTCTCCAAACAAAAAAAAGGGAAAAAAAAAAAGGAAAAAATTTCAAACATACCAAATAGTGGAAAGACTAATAAATGCCCATATACTTTCCACTAGGTTGTTACCACATTCATTGACTGCCATTAATATCTGATAGGGTTTTGTGGTTTTAACATGAGAAGTATATGAAAAGAAGCAGAACTCATCAAGTCTCAAAGTCTTAAGAATTAGAAAGAAAAGGCGCGGTGGCTCATGTCTGTAATCCCAGCACTTTGGGAGGCCGAGATGGGCGGATCACCTGAAGTCCGGAGTTCAAGACCAGCCTGACTAACATGGAAAATCCCCCGTCTGTACTCAAAATACAAAATTAGCTGGGTGTGGTGGCGCATGCCTGTAATCCCAGCTATTCGGGAGGCTAAAGCGGGAGAATCGCTTGAACCCAGGAGGCGGAAGTTGCAGTTAGCTGCGATTGCACCATTGCACTCGAGCCTGGGCAACAAGAGCACAACTCTCGTCTGAAAGAAAGAAAGAAAGAGAGAGAGAGAGAGGGAGGGAGAGAGGAAGGAAAGACATTATCAAATCATAAGAGCCAAAGGAATGTAAAATCCACTTAATCGACCTGGGTGGAAGGTACAAATTTCTATGGGTAGAAACCAAATTAGTAATCCTGGGAGGTGGGCTATATGGTTACCCCTTTTTGAAATTATGAAGCGATTTAAGTACAAACAGGGTTTGGTGAGTTCCAGCCAGATGTACTTGCTGGTAGCTGTGCAACTTCAAACATACTTAGAATGCAAAATCCACAAATTACTGGAATGATACATATATTTGCTTAGTGAGTGAAAAGAAGACTCACTCCTATGGTATACAAAATCTAATCTTGCCGTCATCTGAAATCTTTTCTTTAAAGTTCACTAACAAAGTAGTTGTCTGGCCAAGAGTGGTGGCCCACGCCTGTAATCCCAGCACTTTGGGAGACTTAGGTGGGTGGATCACCTGAGGTCAGGAGTTCGGGACCAGCTTGGTCAACATGGTGAAATCCTGTCTCTACTAAAAATACAAAAATTAGCTGGGTGTGGTGGTGCATATCTGCAATCCCAGCTACTCGTGAGGCTGAGGCAGGAGAATTGCCTGAACACGGGAGGCAGGGGTTGCAGTGAGCCAGGATGGCATCACTGCACTTAGCCTGGATGACAGAGTGAGTGAGATTCCATCTCAAAAATAAAATCAAAATAAAATAAAATAAAATTGAAGGTAATCATCCACCTAGGAGGTGGGCATCTTTTTATCCAAAGGAAAATTTATATATTTATTTATAAATACATAAAAATAAAATAAATAAATAAATAAAAATAAATTTTCCGTGTCAGGCATGGTGGCTTACACCTGTAATCCTAGCACTTTGGGAGGCTGAGGCGGGCAGATCACAAGGTCAGGAGTTCAAGACCAGCCTGGCCAACATAGTGAAACCCCGTCTCTATTAAAAATACAAAAATTAGCTGGGCATGGTGGCCCATGCCTGTAGTCCCAGCTACTTGGGAGGCTGAGGCAGGAGAATCACTTGAACCTGGGAGTTGGAGGCTGCAGTGAGCTGAGATTGTGCCACTGCACTCCAGCTTGGGCAACAGAGTAACACTTTATCTCAATAAATAAATAAATAAATAAATAAAAAAGAAATACAGCTATATCCAACAACCAGAATAAATCTTGGAAATATAATTTGCAGTGAAAAGAGCTGGTTGCAGAAGACTACATAGAGTGTGATTCCATTTTTATAAAGAAGCTCAAAACCAAGCTAATCCAAACAACATATTGTTTAGGAAGACATACATGTTTGTTAAAACTGTTTTTTTTTTTTAAATGAATGCATAATTTAGGATGGTGATTACCTCGAAATGGATGGAGAAGATGGGTTTAGGATTTGGAAGGCACATGGTAGCTTTAAAAGCAATGGCAATGCTTTATGCATAAATTGTTTGGTGGGTTCATGTATTCATTTTATTATATACTCCTAAGCTTACAGAGATGTTACTTATTTTATATATATCAAATATTGTATAATAAAATGTAAGTGAAAAAATGCTACTTTTATAAAATGGAATAATCAAGCAAACATGTTAAGTTAAAACCTAGAGAAAGGGTTTTAGACTTGTAACTTTAACTAATTGGATACTCATTTTGGAACCAAAGCAAACATCTGAATAGTCCATACAGAAAAACATTTAACACATCATATAGCGTAACATTGTTTATCCTGCCATTCTTTTGGTGGCTAAAAATGTAATTTTAATTTTTGCTATTTCAGATACACAGGAATAAGCATTTTTGAACTTCTTTCCTTCTTTTTTTTTTTTTTTTGAGACAGAGTTTCACTCTTGTTGCCCAGGCTGGAGTGCAATGGCATGATCTCAGCTCACTGCAACCTCCACCTCCGGAGTTCAAGCGATTCTCCTGCCTCAGCCTCCCGAGTAGGTGGGATTACAGGCACCTGCCACCATGCCTGGCTAATTTTATTATTATTATTATTATTTTAGTAGAGATGGGGTTTCATCATGTTGGTCAGGCTGGTAGCAAACTCCTGACCT
This sequence comes from Homo sapiens, assembly GCF_000001405.40. Classification (NCBI taxonomy): domain Eukaryota; kingdom Metazoa; phylum Chordata; class Mammalia; order Primates; family Hominidae; genus Homo; species Homo sapiens. Next base: position 69,111,083 of record NC_000009.12, read on the forward strand.
CAGGTGATCCACCCGCCTAGCCTATCTTTTTCAATACTTGTGTAAGTATTGTTTTTTGAGATAGATGCTTAAGAATGGAGTGCTGAGTCAAAGGGTGAGGAGACTGAAGTGAGACTCGGAGAAGTTAAATGCATAACTCACATCACACAGGCAGCAGGTGGCAAAGCCAACAGGGCTCCTTTTGGGGCTCCACATCACCCCCATTACAAAGAAAACGATGGTTCTGGCCGGGCGCGGTGGCTCACGCCTGTAATCTCAGCACTTTGGGAAGCTGAGACGGGCGGATCACAAGGTCAGGAGATCGAGACCATCCTGGCTAACACGGTGAAACCCCGTCTCTACTACAAATACAAAAAAATTAGCTGGGCATGGTGGCGGGTGCCTGTAGTCCCAGCTACTCGGGAGGCTGAGGTAGAAGAATGGCGTGAACCTGGGAGGCGGAGCTTGCAGTGAGCCGAGGATCGCGCCACTGCACTCCAGCCTGGGCGACAGAGCGTGAGTCCGTCTAAAAAAAAAAAGAGAAAACACTGGTCCTGCCCAGCACGGTGGTGCCTGTAGTCCCAGCCACTCAGGATGCTGAGGTGGGAGGATCATTTGATCCCTGGAGTTCAAGACCAGCCTGGGCAACACAGCAAGACCCCATTTCTAAGGAAAAGAAAATGAAAACATTGGTCCTGTCAAAACGAGTGCTCCACTTTCCACTTTGATTTGACTCTTTCCCATTCTTGTTTGCCCAGACTGCAGGTGAAGCTCAGTATTGATTTCAGGACCTCAGGATACAGAACACAAGAGCTCCCTGTCACGAGAGGCACAGAATAGAGCTTTGTCTCTTAAAAAGGCTTGATTGCTTCTACGTGACTGTCTTGCTGCCAGTGGCAGGGAGGGAGGCTTTGCTGAGCACCAAGTCAGAACTCAGAGTTCCTGCGCCATTTTTCATAGTGCTGCCCTTGTAACCCAAGGAGGCGTCCCATTTTATTTCCCTGGGCAGATTTTGCAATGCTCAGTCGTCAAAATGGAAATGTTTATTAGCTACGGAAAATGCTGTTTTGCTGATTACAGAAAAACACAGACAAAGAAATACATACAACATGGACCTACAATGACAAGAAAAACAAAGATGTCAGTTACCACCTATGCTTGCCAGAGTCCCTGTCTTCCTATCTGAACACATTCCAGAACAATCCAATTCTTCTTTGAAATGTTCATTTTATTTCAGATACAGAAAGAAATTAAACAAGATTGGGTGCGGTGGCTCATGCCTGTAATCCCAGGTCTTTTGAAGGCTGAGGCAGGCCGATCACTTGAAGTCAGAAGTTCCAGACCAGCCTGGCCAACATGGCGAAACCCCCATCTCTACTAAAAATACAAAAATTAGCTGGGCATGGTGGCAGGTACCTGTAATCCCAGCTACTCGAGAGGCTGAGGCAGGAGAATCACTTGAACTTGGGAGGCGGAGGTTGCAGTGAACTGAGATCTCACCACTGCACTCCAGCCTGGGAAACAGAGGGAGACTCCTAAAAAAAACAAAACAAACAAAAAAAAAAACGCCAGGCGCGGTGGTGGCTCATGCCTGTAATCCCAGCACTTTGGGAGGCTAACGCGAGCAGATCTCGAGGTCAGGAGAGATCGAGATCATCCTGGCTAACGCGGTGAAACCACGTCGCTACTAAAAATACAAAAAAATTTGCCCGGCAAGGTGACAAGCGCCTGTAGTTGCAGCTACTCGGGAGGCTTAGGCAGGAGAATGGCGTGAATCTGGGAGGCGGAGCTTGCAGCAAGCCAAGATAGCATCATTGCACTCCAGCCTGGGCGACAGAATGAGACTCCGTCTCAAAAGAAAAAAAAAAAAAAAAAAAAAAGCCAGGTGCAGTGGCTCACACCTGTAATCCCAGCACTTTGGGGAGGGTGAGGCGGGTGAATCACCTGAGGTCAGGAGTTCAAGACCAGCCTGACCAACATGGCGAAAACCCGTCTCTACTAAAAATACAAAAATTAGCTGGGCGTGGTGGCCAGCGCCTGTAATTCCAGCTACTCGGGAGGCTGAGGCAGGATAATCTCTTGAAACTGGGAGGTGGAGGTTGCAGTGAGCCGAGATCGTGCCATTGCGCTCCAGCCTGGGTGGCAGAGTGAGACTCCGTCTCAAAAAAAAAAAAAAAAAAGAAAAATTAAATTAGTATGCCACTCAGACACAGGTAGTAGCAACATCAACTCTATATACTAAATCAGTGGTATGTGAATAAAACATGCCATTAAATAATTTTCCTAAAATTTTTACCAACTTAGAGAATATAGAATTTCTTCAAATATCTCATAATTTTTCCTAGAGTTTTTTTTTTTTAACCCAAGACCCAAACAAGATTTACACATTGTATTTCACTGATCTCTCTTAAGTATTTTAGTCTGTAGGTTTCTCCTCCATCTTTTTTTTTTTTTTTTTTTTTTTTTTTTTGAGACGGCGTTTCGCTTTTGTTGTTCAGGATGGAGTGCAGTGGCACGATCTCGGCTCACCACAACTTCTGCCTCTCCTGCCTCAGCCTCCAGAGTAGCTGGGATTACAGGCATGTGTCACCACGCCTGACTAATTTTGTATTTTTAGCAGAGATGTGGTTTCTCCACGTTTGTCAGGCTCGTCCCCAACTCCTGACCTCAGATGATCCACCCACCTTGGCCTCACAAAGTGCTGGGATTACAGGTGTGAGCCACCACGCCCAGCCTCCTCTATCTTTTTTAATGCCTTGCTGCATGTTGAGGAAACTGGGCGATTTTTCTTTTTTCTTTTTTTTTTTTTTTTTGAGACTGGGTCTCACTCTTTCATCCAGGCTGGAGTGCAGTGGCACGATCACAACTCATTGCAGCTTCAACCTTCCTAGGCTCAAGTGATCCTCCCACCTCATCTTCCCAAGCAGCTGGGACCACAGCATGCACTACCACATCTGGCTAATTTTTTTTTTTTTTTGAGACAGGGTCTCACTATTTTGCCCAGGCTTATCTTGAACTCCTGTGCTCACGTGATCCTCCTGCCTCAGCCTCCCAAAGTGCTGGGATTATAGGCAGGGGCTATCACACCCAGCCTGAGTGATTTTTCTTTTAGAGTTTTTTACATCCTGGACTTCATTTACTGTACCTAGCAGTAGTGTAGTGTTGTTTAACACATTCCTCTATTTCAAGAGTTTTTCTAAACAGTTAATTGGATCTAGATGCTGGGTCAGACACTAGTTTGCTCTTTTTGGCAAGAATATGTCATTTGTGGTTGTATATTTCTATCAGATGGTACATAATGCCTGGTGATCTCCTTTTCTGTGATGTGAGTGGCTATTCAATGACCACTGCCTGGATCTGTTATTTTATTAGAGTTTTACAAAATGCTGGTAATTCAAATGTCATTCCTTATTTATTGACTGACATAATTCCCTCATCAAGTCTTCAGTTAGTTACTCTGAGATACAAGTGGTACATACACATCTTAGCTTGGGTCTTCCAGGAAGCAGAGCCTAGAGACAAAGGCTTGACTGGAGAATGTGGTGATCCTAGGGAAAGAAGTGAGGGATGGGGAAGCAGGAGAGACAATTCAAGGGAGCCTCACTGAATAGGCTGCTGCTTCAGGTTCCTGAATGGTTGGCTGTGTGTGACCATATGAGTTGTATAGAATGAGTCTCGGGCTCCTTCATCTTGCGGGGAAAAGGGAGGAAGTTTTATCAGTTCCTGTCCCCCACTCGTTAAAGGTTAGACCATGAAACATTAACTCCCCCACACTTCAGGGTGCTGGGTTCATGGGCACCCTGATAGCTTCCATAGATCCCCACACTGTCATTAAGAGAGAACCCCTGGAATGGGAGGTAAGAGGTAAGGATTTTTTTTGTTTTGTTTTTTGAGTTGGAGTCTTGCTCTTGTCACCCAGGCTGGAGTGCAATGACACGATCTCGGCTCACTGCAACCTCTGCCTCCCGGGTTCAAGCGATTCTCCTGCCTCAGCCTCCTTAGTAGCTGGGATTACAGGCACCCACCAGCCTAGGCCTCCCAAAGTGCTGGAGTTACAGGCATGAGCCACTGTGTCTGGCCAAATGGTAAGGTTTTTTGTTTTTTGGTTTTTTTTTTGAGACGGAGTCTCGCTCTGTCGCCCAGGCTGGAGTGCAATGGTGTGATCTCAGCTCACTGCAACCTCCGCCTCCCGGGTTCAAGCGATTCTCCTGCCTCAGCCTGTCAAGTAGCTGGGACTAACAGGCGCGCGCCACCACGCCCAGCTAATTTTTGTATTTTTAGTGGAGACGGGGTTTCACCATGTTGGCCAGGGTGGTCTCGATCTCCTGACCTTGTGATCTGCCCGCCTCGGCCTCCCAAAGTGGTGGGATTACAGGCATGAGCCACCGCACCCAGCCAACCAAGTGGTAAGGTTTTTAAGGGTTGTCCCTGCATGAAGTGGTCAGAGCCCCCCTGGAACTTGCTGCTGCAGTAGTGGCTGGAATAAGATAGGTAAGGCCAAGAAGATCTGAAATGGTACATAAGAAATGTTAGATCCAGAAAAGGCAGGCAAAATGTGCAATTCTTTTCCTTTATTTACCATTTGCCAGCTTTCAAAATAATGAACTAGTTCTATTGTATTTCCAAAGTTGAGCAATTAAGATTTTTTTAAAAATATCATTATGACTCATGGATATACAAATATTTGATATGTCTCAATTTATTGCTGTGATTTTTCTTATTGATGCTCAAATTTATTCCACTTTGGCCAGCAGGAGTTTCTACAAATTGGTTCCAGATGACATTTCAAATAAATTTGTTTCTGAGCGCTTCCTTGCTTTCTGAATTGGCAAGATATTCCAGGCTTATTTGGCATTCATCTTACTCTAGACCTATTATCAACCATGTCTCCAAGGATAAGTAGATCCTTTTAAGGGAAAATGGTATTTTGAAAGCATAGTGTGGGATCTGAGGATACCTATTCCTGTCAGGTTGGTTATTGTTTGTTTTCAGTGAGTAGATCTTGGACTTTATTAATTTTATTTATTTATTTTAAGAAAAGTACATCATGAGTTATAAGTAATAATTCCAACTCAAATTTTAATATTGCTTAACTTCTTTGATTTTATATTTATCTTTTACACTGAAAAGTCTTGGCTGGGCATGGTGGCTCAAGCCTGTAATCCCAGCACTTTGGGAGGCCGAGGCGGGCGGATCACGGGGTCAGGAGATCAAGACCACCTGGCCAACTGGTGAAACCTCGTCTCCACTAAAAATATAAAAATTAGCCAGGCGTGGTGGCGGGCACTTGTAGTCCCAGCTACTTGGGAGGCTGAGGCAGGAGAATGGGGTGAACCCAGGAGGCGGAGCTTGCAGTGAACCAAGATCATGCCACTGTACTCCAGCCTGGGCGACCGAGCGAGACTCCGTCTCAAAAACAGAAAAAAAAAAAAAGAAAAAAGAAAAATATTGATATCTAAGGATATTAACATAATTACTGCTAACATTATGATTATTCAAAAAGGTTATAGTTTTTTTTCTTAAAGTTCTCTTTGTCCTTAGTTATATCCCCAAAGGCTATAGAGTCAAATAATTGTGGATTTTCTTGTTCAGTCATCCAGGCTGAAGTGGAGTTCAGTGGTGCGATCTCGGCTTACTGCAACCTCCACCTCCTGGGCTCAAGCAATTCTCGTGCCTCAGCCTCCACACTTGGCTAATTTTTGTATTTTTACTTTATTTATTTAGAGATGGAGTCTGGCTCTGTCGCCCGGGCTGGAGTGCAATGGCATGATCTCGGCTCACTGCAACCTCCGCCTCCCGGTTCAAGTGATTCTCCTGCCTCAGCCTCCTGAGTAGCTGGGATTATAGGCAGGCACCACCACACCCGGCTAATGTATCTTTAGTAGAGACGGGGTTTCACCATGTTGGTCAGGCTGGTCTCGAACTCCTGACCTCATGATCTTCCTGCCTTGGCCTCCCAAAGTGCTGCGATTACAAGCTTCAGCCACTGCGCCTGGCCTTATTTTTTGTATTTTTAGTAGAGATGGCCTGTTGACCAGGCTGGTCTCAAACTCCTGGCGTCAAGTGACCTGCCCAACTCAGCCTCCCGAAGTGCTGGGATCAAGAGCATGAGCCCTTTGTCCAGCCCAAATAATTAATTGCGTCTGTGTGTGGTTTTTTGTTTTCTTTTGAGACAGAGTCTGCCTCTATTGCCCAGGCTGGAGTGCAGCGGCCTGATCTGGGCTCACTGCAACCTCTGCCTCCCTGGTTCAAGTGATTGTCCTGCCTCAGCCTCCTGAGTAGCTGGGATTACAGGCATGTGCCACCACACTTGGCTAATTTTTATATTTTTTTTAGTAGAGATGGGGCTTCTCCATGTTGACCAGGCCGGTCTCCAACTCCTGATGTCAGGTGATCCGGCCAGCTCGGCCTCCCAAAGTGCTGGGATTACAGGGTGAGCCATTGCTCCTGGCAATAATTGTGTTTTAAAATCACTTTATATAATTTCTCTTCACACTGTTAAGCTACCAACTTGATACCAGCATTCATGTGTTGCATTTTGCTTTTTTTAAATTTAATTTTGTTTCATAAGAATGTAAAAAACATTTATATCATTCCAAAGTCAAATCCACAAAACACAGTATATTCTTTTTTTTTTTTTTTTTTTTTTTTGAGACGGAGTCTTGCTCTGTCACCCAGGCTGGAGTGCAGTGGCGCGACCTTGGCTCACTGCAACGTCTGCCTCCCGGGTTCAAGCAATTCTCTGCCTCAGCCTCCTGAGTAGCTGGGATTACAGGTGCCCACCACCATGCCTGGGTAATTTTTTTTTGTATTTTTAGTATTTGTAATGATTTTGTATTTTTAGTAGAGACAGGGTTTCACCATCTTGGCCAGGTTGGTCTTGAACTCCTGACCTCATGATCCACCCGCCTCAGCCTCCCAAAGTGCTGGGATTACAGGCATGAGTCACCGCACCTGGCCAAAACATGGTATATTCTGAGAAGTCTAGCTTCGATCCTTGTCCTTCCATCCTGGTCCCTCCCTCCCTTATAGGTTTCCATTTTATTTAATAATTTATCCTTCCAAAAAAAAAAGCAAATGTACTTACGTGTGTTTCTGCTTTCCTAGGTAAACAGTAGCATCCTACATACGCTTTTATTACTTTGTTAATACCCTAGTTTCTGACAAATTATTGTTCATCTTTCTTAAAATTGCAGTGTTCTTCAGGCTTGATCTTCCCTCTTGTTGAAATAAGTTGTTGATGGGTATCATCAGAAGTCTAACCTAAATGAAAATGAGTTTTTGTTTTTGTTTTGAGACACTGTCTTGCTCTGTCACCAGGCTGGAGTGCAGCGGCACAATCTCAGCTCACTGCAACCTCTGCCTCCCAGGTTCAAGCAATTCTCCTGACTCAGCCTCCCAAGTAGCTGGGATTACAGGCATGCACCATCACGCTTGGCTAATTTTGTACTTTTAGTAGAGACGGGGTTTCACCATATTGGCCAAGCTGGTCTCGAACTCCTGACCTCGTGATCTGTCCGCCTTGGCCTCCCAAAACGCTGGGATTACAGGCGTGAGCCACTATGTCAGGCCTGAACCTGAGTTTTATAAAAAGTACTGTTATCCATTCTATTACTTCTGGCAAAAGTTTGCGTGGGGAAGAGTTTGGCAGTCCTAAGCAAAGTTGTCTGGCGTGAGTGATGGCATCGATACCCAGGATTTTGTGTGTGTGGTAAAATGTACATGGCATAAAATGTACCGTTTTAACTTTTTTATTTTTTGTTTGAGACGGAGTCTCACTGTGTTGCCCAGGCTGGAGTGCACAGTGCAATGGCAAGATCTCGGCTCACTGCAACCTCCGCCTCCCAGGTTCAAGCAATTCTCCCGCCTCAGCCTTCTGAGTAGCTGGTATTACAGGCATGCGCCACCAGGCCTAGGTAATTTTTGTATTTAGTGGAGACGGGGTTTCACCACGTTGACCAGGGTGGTCTTGAACTCCTCACCTCAAGTGATCCACCCGCCTTGGCCTCCCAAAGTGCTGGGAGTACAGTTTGAGCCACCCAGCCCAGCCCTTTTTAACCTTTTGTTTTTTTTTTTTGTTTTTTTTTTTTGAGACGTCGTCTCGCTCTGTCGCCCAGGCTGGAGTGCAGTGGCACCATCTCGGCTTACTGCAAGCTCCCTTTCCCGGGTTCACGCCATTCTCCTGCCTCAGCCTCCCGAGTAGCTGGGACTACAGGCGCCTGCCACCACGCCCAGCTAAATTTTTTTGTATTTTTAGTAGAGACGGGGTTTCACCATGGTAGCCAGGATGGTCTCGATCTCCTAACTTCGTGATCCGCCCGCCTCGGCCTCCCAAAGTACTGGGATTACAGGTGTTAGCCACCAAGCCCGGCCCGTTTTAACCATTTTTAAGTGTACAGTGTAAGGCACTGAAACCGCCTTTGCAAAAGTATAACTGAGGAAATTATGACAGTGAAAGAAATCAGACCTAACTGACTCTATCTTGCTTCTAACCCTTAAGCTGTCCTTGTTCGTTCCTGGGTGTAGGCGGAACTAACTTTGGGAAGGAATTCCGTTCATGATTTGACTCTGAAACAAAGTTGCTAACAGCCCTTTCCTGAAAAAGACTCCCTTCTTGCCTGGGGTCCAGTCTGCCTTTGCAGGACTAACAAATTAGCTACAAGATTAGAAATTACAGTTTAGGGGTCTTGCTGCTTCCGGATCCAAGAGTCTGAACCTCTCCAAATTTGCTCCTGTGGATAACATCACTATTGTAAAACCTAAGAGCAGTGCTTGAGATATTTTGCAGACCCTGCACTCGATGGATCAGCTGACACCACCTGGACCAGTAACCTGGCCCAACCAGTTCTGCCATCGCAGATAGGAACAGAAGACATATGAAAACCTAACTTCGACCCCCGCCTGATTCCATCTCCAACCTGACCAATCAGCACTCCCCACTTCTCAAGCCCCTACCCGCCAAATTATCTTTAAAAACTCAGGGCGGGTTGCGGTGGCTCATGCCTGTAATCCCAGCACTTTGGGATGCGAGGCGGGTGGATCACCTGAGGTCAGGAGTTTGAGACCAGCCTGGCCAACGTGGTGAAATCCTTCTCCACTAAAACTACTAAAATTAGCTGGGCGTGGTGGCGGGCGCCCCTAATCCCAGCTACTCAGGAGGCTGAGGCGGGACAATCGCTTGAACTCAGGCGAAGGTTGCAGTGGGCCGAGATCGCCCGTGCCACTGCACTGCAGTCTGGGCGACAAGAGCGAAACTCGGTCTCAAACAAAACAAAACAAAAAAACCCGAAAACCAACCAAACAAAATCTGATCCCCGAATGCTCGAAGAAACTGATTTGAGTAATAATAAAACTCCGGTCTCCCGCACAGCTGGCTCTGCGTGAATTACTCTTTCGCCATTGGAATTCCCCTGTCTTGACAAATCGGCTGTCTACGCAGCCGGCAAGGTGGACCCACTGGGCGGTTACAGCATTATTAGGTATATTAACACTGTTGTGCAAACACCCCCACTCTCGGTCTCCAGAACTTTTTGTCATCCCACATTGAAACTCTACCGATTAAGCACTAAGTTCCCATTCCCTTCCCAGGGTTTTTAACAAGGCCACGTTAAACAGAAGGGGCACCTGCTTGCCAGGTGGAGGCCTGGGCACTGGCAGGGTTCTGCCCTCCCGACTGAGCAGGGGCTCCCGAGGTGACTAAGCAGGCTCTCTGGGTAGTGCTCCCGCCCTCACCTATTGTCCGGGTGGAGGAACCGGTATTTCCGGATGGGGGCCTCAGACCCAGTGATCCCGGCTAAGGGTGAGGCTGGCGGGGGAGGGGAACGGAAGCGGGTCGTAAAAGTTAACTTTACACTAAAATCATTAACTTTTCTCACACCCCCCAATAAAAGCAGTCACCTCCCCCCCCCAAGAGCCCCCCACGCACCCACAGTGGCCCACAACCATGCTTCCCGGGGGCTTTGAAGGGTAGAGGAGCTGACATCCTCCTTGCCCAGACCCTGGAAAGGATTAGGAAGCGGACCTGGGCACGAATAGAGAAAGAAGCCCAGCAAATTCCTCTTGCACCAGCTCTGGGAGGAAGCTCAGCTGCAGTTCTACGTAGAAGAAAAGAGGCGGCAAAGTAGGCGCGCGGGCTCCAGTGACAAAGGTCTCCCAGGCAGCCGCGGCCCCTGCCCCACCGCTGAGTGGCGTGCGTGCAGGCCCACCCTCTCCGCCTTTCCCGACACCCCAAAGTAGCGCTGCGAGCAGCTGCGTCTCCCTCCCGGGGCTCGCGCGCCCAGAACCCTCCGGTCTCAAGGAAGCAGGTGACAGCCGCCGCCCACCCCCTTCCCCTCCCCGCCGCTGCTCTCTGGCTCGCCACCGCCCAACTCCCCCTGCCCCCACCCTGGATTTTTTTTCCCCTTCTCTCAAACCTCTAAACAGGAAATAGCCCGAATCACAATAATATACGGGAGCAGCCGCGGAGGCCGCTGGCGCCCTCCCATTCCCGGGGAGCTTCCCGCACTCCGGCTTGGGTGAAGTGCAGCCAGCGACGCGCGCAGGGAGCGCAGGGGGACACCAGCCCAGCAGCTAGCGCCGCGCCGCCCAGCGCCCCGGAGAGCCGCCTTCGCCCTCGCCCAGCGCCCGACACCGCCGGCCGCGGCGGCGGCCGCCACCGGCTCTAGGCAAGTACCCTCCTCTCTCTCCCTCCCCGGCCCAGGTGCTGCCTGCCGCACGCCCCGGGAGAGCCGCCGAGGCGCGGCAGCCTGTGCCCAGGCGTCGCCGGGATGCCTTCCCTCCTGTCCCGACTTTGGCCAGGGAATGATTTGGTGGGCGCGAATTCGCGCTGGTGCCCTGGGTCGTTTGTGCAGGCGGGGTGAGGGGCAGCGCGAGTAAACGGGTTGACATCCCCTAGGTTTCTCTGCAGAGTGCGCTGTGTACTTCATCGGGCATTTACTTTTTCACTGCTTCCTCATCGCCCCCGGGGCGGCAGCGCCTCACAGGGTCTCTCTGGGGGAATCATCAACAGGTGTGCCTGAACACGCACCTGCGGCAGCCACAGGTGTCTGGGAGCCACCTTTTTTCTTCTCCCTGGCCTGGCACCCTTTCACTCAAGGGATGGAAACTGTTTCACTTTCTGCTGAGCTTCTCTTTTACCCGATTAAAAGGGCCTTTGAATTTCTGTTGGCGCAGCCAACTGCATCGGGTGGGGGCAGGAGCCGGTGCCTTGGAGTGACGCGGGCGGAGCGCGGCGCTGGTTATTGGAAGCTGGTGGGGCTGCTTGAGTGCCCGCTGAGCCTCCGCCGCGGGGCTTGAAAACTCCGCACTCCAGAAAGCTTGACCGTACAGCCCTGGGGGTGCTCGCCCTGCCCGCGTGGTCCGCAAAACGGGGATCTCCTCCGCCTAACGCGGCAGAGACTTAGAAAACATTTAAACAACAAAAAAATTTTCACTTTCTGACCCATTTGTAAGGGAGGGGCCGAGCTTGTCAGCATATACAGGGCGTTGTAAGTTTCCCAGGGCTGCATTGCAAGGTTCTTCTATAGGGAGCTCTCAGTCAAAACCGAGTTGGAGATCTTTATGTTGGAAAAAGGCCACTGAATTCCAGGCATTCTTCGAGCTTGAGAAGGGCATTTTCAAGACTATTTTGAAGTTTGCACGAGGGCTTTCTGCGCAACTGAGTATCTCAACTATCCTTATTGTCTGTGGCTACTTCCCAGTCCCAGAGGTGGGCGAGTTCCGTAGGGAGGCCTCCGCAGGCAGGTCTTCTGTCCAGGTTTCTGAACGCATTTCCACAAACGTGGTCGGTAGGTAAGTTAAGCCCTTAACCAATCCACTTGAGAGATACTACCTATCCTCTTCGTTTCCTGGTGAGGAACCTGTTATTCTAGTTGCTGATAGGGTGACATTCTGGGTACTTTCAAGTGTTCACGTGTCTTGCCACTTTAAGGTCACGGGTGCATTACCTGTCGACCTTTTGAAATGCAGGATCTCAGGCCCCACCCAGATCTGCTGAATCAGGATCACCCAAGGGATCCGTTTGCACATTAACGTCTGAGAAGTACTGGCCTAGGTATGTTGGAGTGAAGTTTTCTGTCCAGTGTCAAGGAGTGCTTTACATTTCCATCCGGTTATGTATTTGAATCTTTGTTTTGCCCACCAGGACACTCTACAGCCGCATGGGTTAGAGCACCTGCACCCCAGGGTGACAGGATATGTGATTAACATACTGGCCGGTGATGTTTTTGATTCTGTGGTAAAATATACATAAAGTAAAATGTAGTATTTTAGCCGTTTAAAAATGGACCCTTAATTCAATATTGTGCCACCATCACCACTACCCATTTCCAGAACTTTTTCATCATCCCAAACAGAAAGCCATTAGAATACCTTATTTTCTCCTTTCCCCAGCCTCTGGGCTTCTGGATACTTTTAATTATTATTATATTTTTTGGAGGGAACAGAAGATGTTGACTAAGAATGTACAGTAAATGTCTCAAAAAATAAGAGAATGTATAGTAAATGTGTAGTAGAATCACGCTGGCAGAATATGAACAAACATTTGGGAATTCCTGGGTAGACAAAAGCACTATAGCTCAAGGTTCTTAGAGTGCACGTACTTTCTTTAATAGAGACAACTATAAACCTTCAAGCGTTTCCTATTTTGACTGAAATGGAATGGAGTTACCCAGTGCTCAACCTGCTCTAATTAACTAGGCATAGATGCTTGATGATCTGTAACTCTGTGATTCTTTTAACTGGCCTCATTTTAGGTGTCCTGTTGATACTGGGTTTAGTTTGTTTTTGTTTTTTAATTATTTTATTTTATTTTATTTATTTATTTTGAGACGGAGTCTCGCTCTGTCGCCCAGGCTGGAGTGCAGTGGCGCCATCTCGGCTCACTGCAAGCTCCACCTCCCAGGTTCACGCCATTCTCCTGCCTCAGCCTCCCGAGTAGCTGGGACTATAGGCACCCGCCACCACGCCCGGCTAATTTTTTTGAATTTTTTTTCTTTTTTTTAGTAGAGACGGGGTTTCACCGTGTTAGCCAGGATGGTCTTGATCTCCTGACCTCGTGATCCGCCCACCTCGGCCTTCCAAAGTGCTGGGATTACAGGCCTGAGCCACGGCGCCCAGCCTTATTTTATTTTTTGAGACAGAGTCTTGCTGTGTTTCCAGGCTGGAGTGCAGTGGTGTAATCTTGGTTCACTGCAGCTTCAACCTCTCAGGCTCAAGTGATCCTCCCACCTCAGCCTCCCAAGTAGCTGGGACTACAGGTGCAAACTACCATGCCTGGCTAATTTTGTTTATTTTTGTAGAGGCTAGTTTAAATTATTATTATTATTTTTTTCTGTAGATTGGGTTCTTGCTTTGCTGCCCAGGCTAGTCTTGAACTCCTGGCTTTAAGCCATCCTCCCGCCTTGGCCTCCCAAAGTGTTGGGATTACAGGTGTGAGCCCCCGCTATTTTTTCTTGACCCTTGCCTCTTCTTGTGTTACGACTTTCATCACAATGAGGTTATCAACTTGTAGTAAGAATTTACAGCTTCCTTTGATTGAAAAGTCCCTTTGAAATGGTGAATGAAGATAATTCAAACGGCAAGATTTGGCAGAACATTCTCTCTTAAGAAGACTCCTGCATTCACAGACTTTCAGAATGTTATTACTTCCTTTTAATTCTAGTAAGGCAAGAGAGAAAAGGTTTACCCTCCTATAGTATGTTCTCTTCTGAACAATATAGTTCAGAGTTTTATTTGGTAAATGGATGCATTTTGCAATCTACATGAGAAAACATTTCTTAGAAAATGTCCAGTGAATGGTTTTATCAGTGATTTCAGTGATGTTTGGGGAATCACCTGGTAGCTTAATAAAAATGGAAACTCTCCAAATATTCCAGATTTATTAAGTCAAACTCTTTTTTTGTTGTTGTTGAGATGGAGTTTCGCTCTTGTCACCCAGGCTGGAGTGCAACGGCGCGATCTTGGCTTACTGCAACCTCTGCTTCCCAGGTTCAAGCGATTTTCGTGCCTCAGCCTCCCAAGTAGCTGGGTTTACAGGCATGTGCCACCACGCTTAGCTAATTTTTGTATTTTTAGTAGAGATGGGGTTTCTCCATGTTGGTCAGGCTGGTCTCAAACTCCTGACCTCAGGTGATCCACCCACCTCGACCTCCAAAAGTGCTAGGATTACAGGTGTGAGCCACTGCGCCCGGCCAAGTCAAAGTCTTTATACTACAATCTGTGCGTTTAATAGCACCCTGAGTGATTTTTTTTTTTTTTTTTTTTTGAGATAGAGTCTAACTCTGTTATCCGGGTTGGAGTGCACTGGTGCCATCTCAGCTCACTGCAACCTCTGCCTCCTGGGTTCAAGCAATTCTCGTGCCTGAGCCTCCCAAGCAGCTGGGACTACAGGCATGCACCACAATGCCCAGCTAATTTTTAGTAGAGACGGGATTTGTCCATGTTGGCCAGGCTGGTCTTGAACTCCTGGCCTCAAGTGATCTGCCCACCTCGGCTTCCACCTTCCAAAGTGCTGAGATTACGGGCATGAGCCATTGCACCTGGCTCACCTTGATTCTGATATGTAATTAGGTTTGGGGGTCACTAGAATAAACACATGCACACACACACACTCGAATGTGAGTGCAAACCAAGATATAAAATTAATCTGAAGTTACAAGATAACACAATTTTATATACAACATGAAATAAAATTAACAATAGTTTCTTCCTTATAATTAGGTAGACAGTTCAAGTTTGGCAAATCTAATTGGCACCTTTTGATATTGATCATCACTGAACTTTAGAATCCCCAGTGTCCAGAACTACTGGTCTCCATAGGAGATATCAAGGTACTGGACTAGTATTTGATTTAGCATTAATGAACACTAGTTGTGTACCCATTGTGAAACAGGGATTTTCAGATATACTGTCGTTAAATCTTTACAACAACCTTGAGCATGGTATTTCTTTTTTTCTCATTTTACGGAAGAGAAAATTGAGGCCACTTTGGGTCTTCTTGCTTGAAACCATGGTTCTTTTCCTGGTCCTCCCATTGTAGAATAAGAAATTCCTACCTACTCACTCCCCTTCACCTCCAGCAGTTATATTGAGATGTAATTCATGACAAGCTATGTACAGTATTCATAAATTCTTCATGCAAATCTTTTGGAACATCAGGTACTGTGCTAGGCCCTGAGGCAAATAAAAAGATGAGCCAAAATGGAAATAAATTTCAAAAGAGCAAAGGACTCAAGAGCCAAGGGTTCTTTTCATGGTACCCTGAGACCTCTGATGAGTTAGATTATACTTGAATGGGGTCTTAGGTTGGCTGGGCCAGCTCCCCAGAAAATCAAGTCGTGGGCATTTGCTTATTGAGATGGGTCAGAAGTACTCTGCATGACAGTACCTACCTGGCACCCTGAAATGCCACACAGTGTAAAAGAAAGGACCCAGGCTTTAGGTGTGGAAGAACTGACCTCTGCTACAACCAGCTGAATGAACCACAGTAAATCTCATAAGCTCGAAGCTGCCACATGCTGGTATATAAAATAAAGGAAATAATTATCTTGCTCCTGAATTATAGTGAAGACTCAAAAAGACCTTATTTGTACAAGGGCTTGTAAAATGTAAAATGATAACAAAGGCTACGCACCTCCATTTGGGAGAAATTTATAATGCAAAGGAAACAGAAAAAGCCATAAATTTACCTAGCACTTTTCAGTGTACTTTTTAGTTAACTGAGGCTGTTGATAATTCTCTTTTAGCTTTGGCCATTTTTGTTTTAAACAGTTACATTGAGATATAATTCACATACTATACAATTCACTTATTTAGTCTACAATTCAATGTCTTTTAGGATATTTGTGGAGTTGTTAACCATCACCACTGTCAATATTAAGATATTTTCAAGGCTAGATGTGGTAGCTCATGCCTGTAATCCCAGCAGTTTGGAAGGCTGAGGTGGAAGGATTGCTTGAGCCTGGGAGTTCAAGTCCAGCCTGGGCAACATAGGGAGACCCCTGTCTCTCTCTCTCTTTTTTTTTTTTTGAGGCAAAGTCTCACTCTATCGCCCAGGCTGGAGTGCAGTGGTGCGATCTCGGCTCACTGCAAGCTCTGCCTCCCGGGTTCACGCCATTCTCCTGCCTCAGCCTCCTGAGTAGCTGGGACTACAGGTGCCCGCCACCACGCCCGGCTAATTTTTTGTATTTTTAGTAGAAACGGGGTTTCACCATGTTAGCCAGGATGGTCTCGATCTCCTGACCTCGTGATCCGCCTGCCTCAGCCTCCCAAAGTGTTGGAATTACAGGCGTCAGCCACCGCGCCCGGCCGCAAGGGAGACCCCTGTCTCTACAAAAACTTTAAAAATTAGCTGGGCATGGTAGTTTATGCCTATAGTCCCAGCTACTCAGGAGGCTGAGTTGGGGGATCACTTGAGCCCAAGAGATCGGGGCTTCGCCAAGCTATGATCATGCCACTGGGCTCTAGCCTGTGCGACACAGTAAGATCTTGTCTCAAAAAAAAAAAAAAGATGTTTTTAATGCCCCCTCAGAGAACATTTTCCCCAGTAAACCCCCTCTACCCCTTAGCTGGCTCCTGTCAATATTCCCCCTCTACCCCTGACCAGGGTACCAGGAATCTACTTTCTGTCCCTATAGATTAGCCTATTCTGAACATTTTATATAAATGGAATCATAGACTATGTGGCCCTTCATTGTCTGGCTTCTTTGACTTAGCATGTTTGCAAGGTTTATCTATGGGAGCCGTGGTTTACTCCAGTAATCCCACTCCTTTGGGGGACCGAGGTGGGAGGATCACCTGAGTCCTGGGCAACATGGTGACTAAAGGCTTATGTACATTGTAGTATGTATCTGTTCCTTTTTTTTTTTTGAGTCAGGATCTTGCTCTGTTGCCCAGGCTGGAGTGCAGTGGCACAATCATGGTTCACTGCTGCAGCCTTGAACTTCTGGTCTCAAGCAGTCCTCCTGTCTCGGCCTCCCAAAGTGCTAAGATTATAGGTGTGAGCCATCATGACAGGCCAGTACTTTATTCTTTCTATTGCTGAATAATCATCCATTGCATGGACATGTCATAGTTTGCTTATCCATTCATCCATTATGGGCATCTGGATTGTTTCTGCTTTCTGGCTATTATGAATAATGTTGTTATGAACACTCATGTACAAGTTTTTATGTGGACATACATTTTCATTTGCTAGAGTACATACCTAGAAGTGGAAAATATATGGTAACTCCATATTTAATATTTTCAGGATTTGCCATACTGTTTTTTAGAGTGGCCATATTCTTCTACAGTCCCATCAGCCAGGTATTTGGAGTTCCAATTTCATGTCTGCATCCACATACATTATTACTGTTGTCTGTCTTTTTAAATTTTAACCACGCTAGTTGGTGTGTGATTTTGGTTTTTACTTCTCTGATGGCTAATGATGTTGAATATTTATTTTTTCATGTGCTTATTAGACCATTTTTTTTTTTTTTTTGAGATGGAGTCTGGCTCTGTCGCCCAGGCTGGAGTGCAGTGGAGTGATCTCGTTTCACTACAAGCTCTGCCTTCCGGGTTCACACCATTCTCCTGCCTCAGCCTCCCGAGTAGCTGGGACTACAGGCGCCCAACACCACGCCCGGCTAATTTTTGTTGTTATTTTTCAGTAGAGACGGGGTTTCATCGTGTTAGCCAGGATGGTCTCAATCTCCTGACCTCGTGATCCGCCCGCCTCGGCCTCCCAAAGTCCTGGGATTACAGGCGTGAGCCACTGCGCCTGGCTATTAGATTATTATTCCTGGACTTTTTTCTTGATTCTTTTCCAAGGGAAAAGGACATAGGGAAAGAGGAAATTCTGTTTTGAATAAATTCTCCAGTTTCAATGGTTTAGATTAGAAGCATACTGAAAATGTAAATTGAGCCATTTGCTCTTTTGGAATTTATTGCGGCTTAGGCCTCTGGGCCTAGTGTAATACCTGATGTTCCTAAAGATTTGAATGAAGAATTAATGAATACGTAGTTTCTTGGGGTTGATGGGGAGTACGTAAGCAGGGACTTACTATTCTACCTGCTGATTTAATGTCCATGAAAATAATCATACACTAAAATGTTAATAATACATACACACAAACGGACTAGTGTACATGGTGGACATTTTAAACTCTTTCACCAAAATATTTATTGATTAACATCTGTCAGGGCCAGATGAGGTGGTTCATGCCTGTAATACCAGCACTTTGGGCAGATCACTTGAATCCAAGAGTTCGAGACCAGCCTGGCCAACATGGTGAAACCCAGTCTCTACTAAAAATATGAAAAATTAGCCAGGCATGGTGGCGTGTGCTGTCCTTCCAGCTACTCAGGAGGCTGAGGTGGGAGAATCCTTTTAGCCTGGGAGGTCCAGGCTGCAGTGAGCTGTGATTGCACCACTGCACTCCACCTGGGCAACAGAACAAGAACCTGTCGCAAAAAACAAAAAAAAACCCCGTCAATTCTACTTACTAAAATATACAATAATATAGTTTAAAAATCATATTAATACATTGTCTATATATTTTATTAGGGTACTCTTTATTTTATTCTCAAGTACTGCCAAAAGAAGAGTAGACTAAGGCTGGGTGCGATGTCTCACGCCTGGAATCCTAGCACTTTGGGAGGCCGAGGCGTGCGGATCACTTGAGGTCAGGAGTTCGAGACCAAAGCCAGGCTCACGCCTGTAATCCCAGCACTTTGGGAAGCTGAGGCAGGAGGATCACCTGAGGTCAGGAGTTCGAGACCAGCCTGGCCAACATGGTGAAACCCTGTCTCTACTAAAAATAAAAAAATTAGCTGGGCGTGGTGGCGTGCCTGTAATCCCAGCTGCTTGGGAGGCTGAGGCAAGAAAATCGCCTGAACCCGGGAGGCGGAGGTTGCAGTGAGCCAAGATCACGCCATTGCACTCCAGCCTGGGGGACAAGAGCGAAACTCTGCCTCAAAAAAAAAAAAAAAAAGAAAAAGAAAAAAAAGAAAAAGAAAGTAAAAAAAGAGTAGATTAATAAGACATTTTTCACGAGTCAGTGCATTTTTGTTCCTTGTTTCCCAAGCTGCACGGCAGTGTTTTTCCTTTGTAGCCACAGAGAATTTTCTTCATTCTCTACAGTCACAAGCCAGTATTGAGTTTCTTAAATATCTGTTGTGTTTTGGAGGCTCGCTATAACCTGACCTCAGGTTATACTGTTTGGATCTTGTATTATGGGGAAATGTTGGTAATAGCAGAGAACTAGGGAAGTCAGCTGGATTTAGAAAAAGAAAACTTCCATTTGAGGGTTCTTTGAGACAGTAGTGGGATAGGTGAGTGGAAGTGTGTAGCGCAGTGATTCTCAAACATTAGTTTGCATCTGAACCATCTGGAAGGCTTGTCAAAATACAGATTGCAGGCCCCCCTCCTGGAGTTTCTGATTGCGTAGATCTGGGGCGGGGGCTCAAGAATCTGTGTCTCTAACGAGTGCCCACCCAGGTCATGCTGCTGCTGCTGCTCTGGGAATCCCGCTTTGAGAACCAGTGCTTTGGAGGCCTTTGGAAGTGCAGGTCTGGAACTTGCATGACGGAAGGGGCCGGGCTTGAGGCTGGTCTGGGCATCCTGTGTGTGCAGGGGCTTGGTGGAGCTGTGGAAGTGGGTACCAGCCAAAGCAGGGCGCATAGACAAGTGCTGAGGACGAATTGAGGAATACTGTGGGGAGGGGTGGCTGCGAGGAAGAACAGAGCTGAGAGATAAGGAAGAAATGGACAGAGGGTTATGAGGAGACCTGGGTGAGTGAAGACCCACAAACTCCTATGTAAAGGTTCAGGAGAGTGAGGACATGTATGGGTATTGGTGTCAGGGGAGGGACTGAGTGGTCACCCGGATGGTAGGTGTTGTAGCTGTGCAGGCCTGGCCTTTCCACCATTCTTTCAGGAAGGGCAGCATCCCCGGGCAGTGGGATGTGCTGCTTGTGGCCACAGAGTCACATGTGGACTTTCCTGTAAGAAAGGGAATTCTTTTAGTCTTTCTGGCCGTAGTCCCAGGGATCATGACTAAGTTCTCTCCCTCTTTCTGCCTGTCACTGATAATTAACGTAAAACCAGGATGAGTTTTGCAAACCAGAAGCAAGATTTCTTTGTGCGAGGAGTGACTGTCATCTCTAAAACTGGAGTTTGTGTCCTTGTGTGTATTTGCCTGCTCAGCTTAATAGCTTTAGGCATGCAGTCATCTTAGCATAACTTGATATAAGCCGATTCTGAGAGTGGGTGCTGACATATGGAAGTGTTTTTGACAGTCCACGTTGTGAAGGTCAGGAGGTTTGCTACAGGAAAGAAATCCAAGAAGGGCAGTGGCCCACTGGTGTTGGGTCCTCTGAGAGTGAGCTGTGTTCTACTCTTCCCACTCACGTCACAAAGTCGAGAGAAACATCCCCTAATTTGATTGTATATTTCATTTTAAAGGAATCCTCATTGCGTCTGAGGATGTAAAATATTTCTCTTGGGTTTCGGAAAGAGGCCAAAGCCTGCCCCAAGGTGTTCTCTGTTATCATTTGGGGCATCTGTTGTTAGTAGAGAGCAAAGTGATTTAATATCAGTGCTTGTAAACCAACTGCCTGGTGACTTGCTGTATGGTCAGGAACTGAGTAGCAGCTCCTTAGTTTAGACTTTCCAATTTGCCTTTGATCCCACTCAGCCCTTTGCACAGATGAACATTCCTGCTGGCCCCTGTAGGCCCTGGGTGTGTGATTCCTCTGGTTAATGGACAGGACTGGAAAGGAAATATTTCACAACCCTGCATCTGTGGAGAGGGAGTGTCCTGGAATCCCCAAGACCACCCCCAGTTTCAATGATTCACTAGGAGGACTCACAGTACTCAGCACAGAGTTGTACTCATGGCTATGATTTATTATGGCTCAAAGATGCAAAGCAAAATAAGCCAAGGGGAGAAGTACTGGAGCGAAGTCCAAGGCAAGCAGGCACAAGCTTCCAAGGCTCCTCTCCCAGTAGAGTTACACATGATGTGCTTAATTCCCTGGCAACTAGTTGTGACCACACATGTGAAATGTTATCAACCAGGGAAGCTTATAAGGGACTCACTGCCCCGGGTTTTTACTGGGGGATTGTTACACTGGTGTCCTCTGCCTACCAGCTACCCAAATTTCAGACTCACACAAGGAAAGCAGCTGTTCAGCATAAACCACATGGTTGTACAGTTTAAGGACAGTGTGAGACTCTTACCAGTCCTGGCAGTGGTGGGAATCCAAATTCCCAGGCATCAGCTGAGAGCCACCTTGTAAGTGGGTCTTTCAAAGGATAACAGTCAGGCTTGCTATGTTACCTTTTGGATGGGGATGAGAGTGGCAGGTGAGGATGGTGGTGGGGACCCCTGAACTTGGAGAAGGGATCTGTTAATGCAGCCTCGGGGCCTGGTGCTGCAGGAGAAGGTGGAAGGAAGTGAACTGGGGTTTTGCACCTAGATCCTGGGTTCAGAATGATAACTGGGATTCCTGCACTACACGGATAGAGAAGGGTGGAAAAGAGTTCAAAGTCCTGTGCATTCATTCATCCATTTATTCATTCTTAACAGGCGCTTATCAATGCCTATGCCCTTTGAGGCACTGTGGCAAGGTGCTAAGGATACCACGGTGAGCAGGGTAAATTCTCTGCTCTCATGAGACCCACTTCTAGAGGGAATGAATGAGGAAAGGGGCAGTTAAATTCATTGCTATGGGGATATACCAAAGGCCCTAGGGTACCTACCTGGTAGGCTTAGTGGGAGTTCAGAAGGCATGAATTTTATAATCAGACCAACCTGGGTAGGAATCACACCTCTACTACTTATTACCTGTGTGCCTTGGGCAAGTTACTTAGTCACCTGGTGCCTAGATTTCTTCATTTCTTCATCTAAAAACAGGGAGAATTTATTGCCTTTTTTTTAAGATAGGGTCTCACTGTGTTGCTCAGGCTGGAGTGCAGTGGTGCAATCTCGACTCACTGCAACTTCTGCCTCCTGGATTCAAGTGATCCTCCTACCTCAGCCTCCCAAACAGCTGGGACTACAGGCATGTGCCATCACACCTGGCTAATTTTTGTATTTTTTGTAGAGACAGGGTTTTACCATATTGCCCAGCCTGGTCTCGAACGCTTGAGCTCAAGCAACCCTCCTGCCTCGGCCTCCCAAAGTGCTGGGATTACAGGCATGAGCCACTGTGCCCATCCTTTCTTTTAAGGCTGTTGTGAGAACTAAACAAGGCCGTGTATGTAGAGTGCTTATTTCAGGGGCTGGCACAGTAGAAATGTTCACTAAATAATGGCTTAGCGACGCCTAGCCAAGGATAGGTGTGTATTCTCCGGAAAGACTGGCGTCTGCTGCATCTTCACTCTGCAAGTCACTTCAGAGGCATCCCCTTCAGCCCTGGGCTCATGGGTGCACACAAGCCTGCATTCCTGCCACACTGCTCCGCTTGCTGGTCTAAGAATGCTTTCCTGTTTCATTTTTCTGGCTTTTTTTTTTTTTTTTTTTTTTTGAGACAGGGTCTCGCTCTGTCACCCAGGCTGGAGTACAGTGGCGCGATCTCGGCTCACTGCAGCCTCTGCCTCCCGAGTTCAAGCGATTCTCCTGCCTCAGCCTCCTGAGTAGCTGGGACTACAGCGTGCACCATCATGCCCAGCTAAGTTTTATATTTTTAGTACAGACAGTGTTTCACCATGTTGTCCAGGCTGGCCTCGAATTCCTGACCTCAAGTGACCCGCCTGCCTCAGCCTCCCAACGTGCTGGGATTACAGATGTGAGCCACCATGCCCAGCCTCATTTTTCTGGCTCTTGAACACACTTTTCTCTTTACCTGGATGCCCCAGATTTCTTTTGTCAGCCTAAGGAATATGTACTCCTATTATTAAGACCCAACTCAAGTACTTTCTCTTTTCTCTCTTTCTCTTTCCCAAGCCAAGTCCCTCGGACAGGATTGCTCATGCTCTCCTATGTCCTACCCTGGTTCCATGGTCACTCACATCCGTATTACAGCATGCTGGGTCGCAGTTGCTTGTTGCAGCATTAGACTGGGTGATTTTTGAAGGCAAGGATGGCTTGGTATTATTTGAATCTCCAGTGCCAATCAGACTGTTTGATAGGGACCAGCTCAGGGGATGTAGAGGGAGTGAATGAATGAGTGTGGAGTTGGACTGGAACACCCAACGTGAAATGGATACAACGTCAGCAAAATAGGTCTCTGCCCTCAGAGCAGAGCTTACAGTCTGGAGGAGGCAGATGGTGCACAGGTAAACATAAATATAACAATTAGAGACTAAGCAGTGACACAAGTCCCACAGCAGGTGCAGGGAGTCTCTCCTGGGAAGAGGGAGAAATAGGAAGTTGGAATGTTGATACCCTGGGCAATGTGGGGCTGTTGTCTGGAGTGTGAGTGGTGTTGGAGGCCTGAAGGGCTGGTCCTGTGGGGTGCACACCTGGAGAGCTAGGAGGCGGATAGTGAAGCAGTGGTCACTGGCACCTCAGCTGCCAGAGGGCAGGATTGCAGCAAGATCTAAGTGTCCACTTGGAAGGCTGAAGTGCTCCACTCAAGCAAGACAAACTGGGTTCGAGGAACCCAGGGTCAATAGAGGAAGTACCACCCAGCGAGCTGAAAGACCTGTCTGAGCTGGGCCTACGACCTGTGTCTTAGTCAGCTCGGGCTGCTATAATGAAGTACCAATGACTGGGTGGGTTAAGTAACAGACATTTGTTTCTCAGCGCTCTGGAGACATGAGGTTTGATACCAGGTGCCAGGATGGTCAGGTTCGTGGTGAGAACCCTTTTCCTGGCTTGCAGACAGCCACCATCTTGCTGTATGCTCACATGGCCTTTCCTGGATGCATTGTGTATGGAGAGAGAGGGAGAAGAGAGAAGAGGAGAGAGAGAGAGAGAGAAGAGAGAAGAGGAGAGAGAGAGAGAGAGAGATCTGTTTCTCTCATTCTCTCTCTTGTTGTAGGGACACTAATCCTATCATGAGAGTCCCACCCTCATGACCTCATCTAAACCTGATTACCTCCCAAAAGTCCTATCTCCAAATAGCATCACACTGGAGGTTAGGGCTTCAACATATGAATTTTGGGGAGATACAAACACTCAGTCCTTAGCAACCCAGGCCAATAACGATTTGCTGAGTAAATAATCATGGCTGGCACTCTTAATAGCTCTTTGAATGGGACAGGACCTAAATGTTTTGCATATAGTCATTAAAATTCATTCTCAAACAATCTCACTAGGTATGGCCATTATTTATTATCCCCGGTTTACAGATGAGGAAACCCAGGCCCTGAAGAATTTAAGTGATTTGCTAATTAAGTGTGAAGCTGGGATTCTGACCAGGCAGTCTGCTTCTAGGGTCTAGGATTTTGTTGTTGTTGTTGTTTGTTTTTTGAGGCAGAGTCTCGCTCTGTCACCCAGGCTGGAGTACAGTGACACGATCTCAGCTCACTGCAACCTCTGCCTCCCGGATTCAGGTGATTCTCCTGCCTCAGCCCCCTGAGTGGCTGGGATTACAGGCATGCACCACCACACCTAGCTGATTTTTTTTTTTTCTTTTGAGACGGAGTTTTACTCTTTTGCCAGGCTGGAGTGCAGTGGCGTGATCTCGGCTCACTGCAACCTCCACCTCCCGGGTTCAAGCAATTCTCCTGCCTCAGCCTCCCAAGTAGCTGGGACTATAGGCTCGCGCCATCACGCCCAGCTAATTTTTGTATTTTTAGTAGAGATGGTGTTTCACCATGTTGGCCAGGCTGGGCTCAAACTCCTGGCCTCATGTGATCCATTTGCCTCAGCCTCCCGAAGTGCTGAGATTACAGGCGTGAGTCACCGTGCCCAGCCAAGTGTAGGGTCTTAATCATTATACTTGCCTGACTCTTAATTAAGAAGTAAACTCTAATATTATTGGACGTCAGTCAAGTGCTAGTTCCTGAGTGAGGAGAGATATTAGAGATAGAAGGATGACTATGACATCATACCTACCTTTTAGGCTATCTCAGAATGCTCAAAGAGATATTATTTCTTGATGTCAATTCAAATTTGATACCACCAAGAAACTTTTATCTTTGTCTTGTAACTGTGGTCCATAGAACCAATAGCAGAGGAAAGTGTTTTGCAATTTCAAATGTGTCTCGTGGCTGAACTGCTGACAAAAAAATATGTTTTTTAAGAATAATGGGTGCAGTGGCTCATGTCTATAATCCCAGCACTTTGGGAGGCCAAAGCGGGAGGATCACTTGAGACCAGAAGTTTGAGACCAGTCTGGGTGACATAGTGAGACTTCATCTCTACTGAAAAAAATGAATAAATAATGAGCTGAGTCATCAAGTTAAAATGTACAGTTCATTTTAGTAGAGTGTATACTATAATGACAATAACTTCAATGATGGTAAAAGGTATCCTAAAATTTATAATACTAATCAAATCATAATACAGTTTGAGAAAATATAGAACCATTTATGTAAAAAAGTTTTTTTTTAGCTAAAAATAAATGTAGATGATTTGGAAATATTTTACAGGAAAATTTAGAACAAAGTGTCTTAAAGACTTTGCGGTGTTTCTGGATCTTGACTACTAGGGTCATGTGCAAGCTCAGTGAATGCAGGAGGAAACTACATCCATTTCCTGGTTGGGGGTGTCTGGGAAAAACTCAGCCCATGAGGGAGAAGGAGAGGATGAGGAGGACAGCGGCCCTTTGGTGAGAAGCCTGGTGATGGTGGTAGGGTGTGTTCACTCAGGCTTCCTGGAGAAGGAGAAGGAAGAGGATATCCTCTTGTCATGAACTCCACATTTGGATTCACTGGAAACAGATTTGGGAAAGAGCAGGAGGAGAGGGAAGAGGTTGGGGGTGTGGGACCCTCCTGTCTCCGAGGAAGCAGCACCACTGCTCAGGGCAACGCTTTGTGTGTGTCATCAGATGCTAGAGGATCCACTTCCAGAAGGCACTGAGCAGAGTGGAAGGAGTCAGCCCTGCTGCGTAGGAGCTGTGCGATCCAGGCCAGGTTCCTTAGCTCTGCCTGATCCCTGAATTATGTGGCTCGAGTTTCATTGTTCTGTTGGTTATTCTCTTTCTCAGGTCGGCAGCCTCTCGTCATGAGCTGAGGTTTTGTCCAGCTGCCCACACTCTTCAACCAATGATCATGAGCTTCTTTGTTTTCTTTCCTTCTTTCTTTCTTTCTCTCTCTCTTTCTTTCTTTCTTTCTTTCTTTTTCTTTCTTTCTTTCTTTCTTTCTTTCTTTTCTTTTCTTTTCTTTTCTTTTCTTTTCTTTTTTTTTTTTGAGACAGGGTTTTGCTTTGTTGCCCAGGCTGGATGGAGTGTGCAGTGGTGTGATCACAGCTCACTGCAACGTGTGCAGTGGTGTGATCACAGCTCACTGCAATGTCTGCCTCCCAGGCTCAAACGATCCTCTCGCCTCAGCCTCCTGAGTAGCTGGAACCACAGATGCGCACCACCAGGCCCGGCCAATTTTTGTATTTTTTTGTTGAGATGGAGTTTTGTCATGTTGCCCAGGCTGGTCTCGAACTCCTGGGCTCAAGTGATCTGCCCGCTTCGGCCTCCCAAAGTGCTGGGAATACAAGCATGAGCCACTGTACTCAGCTGAGCTTTTTTTTTCAAGGGACAGAATCTGGCCTTGAGAAGAAGAAACTTTCCAGCTTTTCTTCAAGGTCTTTGAATCTCTTTCTGTGGGTCCCCAGATCTCCTGGTCACAGCTCATCTTGTCATTTGCCTCAGATCTTTCCTCCTCTTCCTCTACTTTGACAGGTAATATCTCAGCAGGCTCCATTTCTTTCTCGTGACAATGTGCAGTCATTTCATTTCCTCTCTCCAGAAGACTTTGGGCAGCTCAATCCAGACATCTTAAGATGCCCCTTTGGGTCTGCTTTTCTGTTCTGTTCTTCCACAGGGTTAGTATAGAATTGATTTTTCTCTCCCACTTGGTTGGTCAGAGGCATGCTTGACTTTGGAACATCAATCACTTTCTGGCCTCATCGTTCTGCCTGTCATCAACAGGATCTCCATCCTGATTCCAACTTAACAGCCCTGTTCTCTTCTCCAAGAGGCATTACCAGTTCTCTCATCTTGAACCAACGTTCCGCCCGTTCCATACCCAGACCCTCCATGCTGTCTGGAGGTCCCATGTCTTTGTTTGCTCATAATAGTTATAAGTGGGTTTTAGCTTCTTCCTCTTGAGTTTGGATGGATTTGGCTTCTGCTGCCAGAGCCTAGATTGTTCTCACGTATCAGACATTGGCTTATCTTGAGGGTGGAGGATTTTCTTTTCCCAGCTGGTTTGCTATAAAGTATATAATGGGCTCAGTCACAGGGCTGGACAGATCCAGGCCATCAGGAACTTCTGGGCTTTCACCTTTTTCCATCACAAGACAAAACTGGATGAGAACTTTACAAAAAAAAAAAAAAGGGCCAGGGACCATGGCTTATGCTTGTAATCCCAGCACTTTGGGAGGCTGAGGTGGGCGGATCACTTGAGGTCAGGAGTTCGAGACCAGCCTAACCAACACGGCAAAATCCTGTCTCTACTAAAAATACAAAAATTAGCCAGGCAGCCGGGAGGCTGGGCATGGTGGCTTACACCTCTAGTCCCAGCACTTTGGGAGGCCAAGGCGGGAGGATCACCTGAGGTCGGGAGTTTGAGATCAGCCTGACCAACATGGAGAAACCCCATCTCTACTCAAAATACAAAATTAGCCAGGCATGGTGGAGCATGCCTGTAATCCCAGCTACTTGGGAGACTGAGGCAGGAGAATTGCTTGAACCTGGGAGGCGGATGTTGTAGTGAGCTGAGATCGCACCACTGCACTCCAGCCTGGGTGACACAGTGAGATTCCATCTCAAAAAAAATAAAGGGGGCTGGGTGCAGTGGCTCGGGCCTATAATCCCAGCATTTTGGGAGGCCAAGGCAGGCAGATCACCTGAGGTCAGGAGTTCGAGACCAGTCTGGCCAACATGGTAAAACTCCTGTCTCTACTAAAAATACAAAAAAATTAGCTGAGTGTGGTGGCTCACACCTGTAATCCCAGCTGCTGGGGAGGCTGAGGTGGGAGAATCGCTTGAACCCTGGAGGCGGAGGTTGCAGTGAGCTGAGATTGAGCCACTGCACTCCAGCCTGGGTGATAGAGTGAGACTTCATCTCAAAAAAACCAACCAACCAAACAAAATGTTTTACTTTAGTCAGTGTTATGGGTTGAATTATATTTCCCACCTCCAAAATTTCTATGTTCAAGTCCTAACCCCCAGTTCCTCAGAATGTGCCTTTATTTGGAGATGCGGTGTTTATAGAGGTAATCAAGCTAAAATGAGATCATTAAGGTGGCCCCTAATCCAATCTGTTCTTATAAGAGGAGGAAATTTGGACACAGACACATACAGAGGGAAGGTAATGTGAAGACATAGAGAAAAGATGGGCCTTCCCAAGCCAGAGAGAGTGGCCTGGAGCAGCTCCTTCCCTCACAGCCCTCGCAGGACCTACCTTCCCAGCACCTTGGTCTTGGACTCGCAGGCATGAGATAATGAATTTCTGTTGTTTAAGCCACCCAGTCTGTGGTATTTTGTTGTGGCAGCCCCAGGAAACTAATTCAGGCAGAATAAGAAATTCTACCTAAAACCAAGAGAGCTATTAATGCAGCAGCTCATGGCACAGCCACCATCTCCCATTGATGAGCAGTGAGAGCGAGACCAGGTCTCCCATAGCCAGGTCCTTGTCTCGAACTCGGCCGTGTCTTCTAGGTTTACCAAGAGCAATAGCTCTGTAGCAGGACAAAGTTCCTCCATAGGGCCCTATACTGCCACAGAGTCCCCTGGGGCCTTCCTGGCCAGCAGGAAGGTCACAACACTGTGGTCACTGGGCAGGCTTCTGTCTGGAGCCAAACCTTCGTCTAGAGCAAGTAGGCGACCGCTGCCGTGAGCGTTGGGGGCAGGCTTAGATCAGTATGGAACTCAAACACCCTCAGAGCTGCCCTGGCCTCCTTCTTTCCTCCTCAGGTGCTTAAACACATTTTAAGTCATCGTGTTCCAGTTTTAATTGATGAAGCCCAAAGTATGTGAGAGGGCAGAATAGGAACACCAAACCCAGTCTGGGGATTCAACGAAAGAAAGCTTTTTGGAAGAAATGAAGCCACAACTAGTCAGCAAAGAAATTAAAATACACTTACACGGTGTATATTATGTGCTGGATGTTACATGTGCTCAGTGCTTTCCATGTAATAACTGGTGTAATTTTAAAAACAACTCTATGAGGTAGGCACTATTATTAGCCCTGCTTTACAGATAACTGAGGCAGAGACATTGACTCTTCCAAAGCCACACAGCTAGTCAGTGATGGAGCTGGACTTCAATCTCAGGCAGTGTGGCCCCCCAATTCATGCTACAGAGTGGGAGGGGTGTGTCAGCAGGTGCAGCGTGGGATCATGTGAACTACTCTCTCCAGCTGCTGTCAGCCAACTGCTGTATCTCAACACCTCATACCCGGTATAGTCACTACCAAGTTCCCAGTTCTGATGTGAGGGGTGTTCCTTTCCTAAAATTCCAGAGCAGAGGTGACTGATATTCCCCTCACCCAATGAATGGCCAGGCCACACTTGTCTTAAACCAGCTCCTGCCAAGATTCTGAATTCTGTGCAACACCTCATCGCTCATGTGCTCCCAGGCAAGGGAACTGCTAGAATCCTACAATTCTAGGCTCATAGTAGAAACAGCGTAGGATCAATTTCTACCAACAGTAATAGGGAGCGGTGTTCCCTCACATAAGGAGTTCAAAGTTTTTTATTTCTCTTTGTTTTTTTGGGAGACGGAGTCTCGCTGTCGCCCAGGCTGGAGTGCAGTGGTGCGATCTTGGCTCACTGCCACCTCTGCCTCCCAAGTTCAAGTGATTCTCCTGCCTTAGCTTCCCAGGTAGCTGGGACTACAGGCGTGCACCACCATACCCAGCTAATTTTTGTATTTTTTTAGTAGAGATGGGGTTTCACTATGTGTTGGCCAGGCTGGTCTTGAACTCCTGACCTCAGGTGATCCACCCGCCTCAGCCTCCCAAAGTGCTGGGATTACAGGCGTGAGCCACTGCACCCGGCCTGAAAGTTTTTTATTTCTTAGGACTGAGAGTACTCAGAGAATCCATGAATTATTATATATATGCAAGTTGTTTGGGAAGGGCAGTCAATTAAGTGATTTTAATGTTGGCTTGAACTATTCAGTAGCAGGGGTTAAAAATCTAGGACGTATCACAACCATAAGGGAGGGCCTCCCCAGTTGGCCCACCAGAGCCAGGCCCCTTTCCTCTGCTCCCCCGAGCAGGACCCAGGAGCCTACTTTCCTTTCTTTGTGGTGTTTTCCACCGCCCACTCCAGCCCTTGGGTCCCTGTACCCTCCAGCCAGCCTGTCTTTCAGTCTCACTGTTTTTCCCACAAGGACCACTCTTCCTGAAGAGGCATTAGGAATGGAAAAAGAAGGACAGATGGGAGAGAGGAAGGGAGGGAGGGATGATATCCACCGAATGTATATACATTACGGCATTATTTATTAATTCATTTTGAGACAGAGTCTCACTCTGTCACTCAGGCTGGAGTGTAGTGTCATGATCTTGGCTCACTGCAACCTCCACCTCCTGGTTCAAGCGATTCTTATGCCTCAGCCTCCCGAGTAGCTGGGATTACAGGTGCCCACCACCATGCCCGGCTTTTTTGTATTTTTAGTACAGACAGAGTTTCACCATGTTGGCCAGGCAGGTCTTGAACTCCTGGCCTCATGTGATCCACCCACCTCGGCCTGCCACAGTGCTGGGATTACAGGCGTGAGCCACAGCACCTGGCTGCATTTATTATTTAAAACAAGCCCTGTGTTGTGGTCTTAGTCTAGCTGTACGAATGATGGAACAGAGGTTCAGAAAGGTCAGTAACTTGTTCAAGGTCACCAGGTCTTAAACAGTAGAGGTGGGATTCAAACCAAGTCTTTCCCCTGTGTCATGGGGTTGGTATGACTGGGGACACACAGGAATGGATGAGGGTGTCTTCAAGGTCTCATGCTGGGTGAACCAGGAGGTGGATGCACAGAAGCCGGAAAAGGCAAGGGGCACTGTAGCTGGCGCTGGGCACATGGGTTATTTCCAATAGATACTGGGTTGTGCCAGAGGACAGGATTGGAACGATAAATTTGATGACATCCAGTTGAAGGTAATAGTTTAAACCTAGTAGTGAATATGTTCTGAGGATGAATGACTCTGAGGAGAGAAGGCTAGTTTGGGCTGAGCAGGTGAGTCTAAAAGAGCCACACTAAACTTTATTAACTCTTTGGTAATTCTTTTACATCACGTAATCTGCTTTTCTTACAGTGTATTGGTGGGGCATCTGAGTAGCAAATATGTAAAGATATTATTTATGAGCATATTAAGGAGGAGAGAAATGAAATGCTTTTTTCAGTAGAGCTAAAAAAGCAAAAACAAAAAAATTGCTGTTTCCCTAACTCTTCTACTTTTAGTTAAAGCTTTTTTCAGCTCCTGAAAAGCAGACCACACCCTATAAAACAGACTGTACAGGGCATTAGTTCATTTCCCTTTTTATACTTCCAAAGCACAGTAACTGTTAAAACACCCAGTGAAGAAGCATGGCCACTGTCTTTCTCCAGAAGAAATAAAGTAGAAATATTAGTTGAAAGGAAATGTCAGTCTGATCTGTGAAGTTTTATGTTCAATTTTAATCATCCAGAAAGAAAACTTGAGCATCCTGACTTAAAAGCTTTTTTTGGATCATGTATATTTAAAAACACTTTTAATAGATAAATGATTTTTAGTTAATAGTTCCAGTTATAAACAATTTCTAGAATTGTAAGGGAATTAACCCAATATATGCATATTTCTAAATAATTTCTAGAATTATGAAGTGTCATATCTGGAAGGGGTATTTTGGCTAGATTTGTTATTTCCTGTGTTATTAACCTTATGTATAATTATGAGAGATTCCACACAAAGATGACAATTTTAAAAAATGAATAAATAAATTAGCAAGTTGAACAGTCTGATTTATGGAAGAAAAGCAAATTCTTTCTAATATTTGCTAAGGCAGAATTATTTTCCTAATGAAAGACACAATTTTAATTTTATGTGAAATCATCATAGATAAGAATCACTTTGTAAGAGCTGCATGTTAAATGCATCGAAAATTCCAATAAAAAATGAAACTTTAAAACATCCCATTTGCAAAATATCATGTCACTTTTCACTGCAGGAGAACAGCTTCCAATGGGTAACAAGTTTAAGTTGATTTTTTCTTGTTGTTAGCTCAGGCTTTGTTACTTATTTAGAGTGTTGTATAGTAATTTTTATCATGCGTCATCAGAAATACAATTTGTTAGAACAATGACTGTTGTGTGAGTGTAATTACATCTTCCTGTATGATTAAATGAGGGCTGTATGGGACCTTTACTCAGAGGTGGCAGCTGTAGCCAACCAAGTTCAGCCTATAAAAGAATTCCTGGGACTAACTGGTACTAATTGTTTGCAGAACAACCAGTGGGAGTAATATTCATGAATACTATGGAAATGAAATATTCCAAGACCAAATGCTTTAGCCCTTGTTTTTTACTTTATTGTGGTCAGATTATATTAATTGCATAATCAGGCCAAGTGAAGTGGGAGCTCTTGGTCTTTTGTTGTTTTTGGAAGAAAACTTAGCCTTCATCTATTCAGTCCTCTCATCTTATAAACAGGGAAATTGAGGCTTAGGGAGTAGTTGAAGGGTTATTTAAAGTCACCAAACTGTAATATACCCTGTCAGAGTTTTAAGTACACTCATATACCCCTGTCAGATTTTTAAGTACACTCTACCGTATACATGAGTATATTAGTTTGTAAATAGTGTACCTTATTACAATTTAAAAGATATTAGTTCTCAAGGTAAATATTATGAATATTCAAAACACAAACATTCAATTTTATTTTTTATTTTTTTGAGACAGAGTCTCTCTCTGTCACCCAGGCTGGAATAAAATGACACGATTATAGCTTACTGCAGCCTCGAACTTGTGGGCTCAAGTGATCCTCCTGCCTCAGCCTCCTAAAGTGCTAGGAGTACAGATGTGAGCCACGTGCCCAGCAACACTCAAATTTTTAAAGCATGAGAGAAGAAAAGAGGAAATAGATGGCATAATACTTTCTTCCCACATCCCAAAGATTGTTGGTATGTGCACCTCACTTTGGAGATTTAGGTCATTTAGGTCAAAAGAAACTTGCTATTGAGGAAAGAGAATCTGTAGAAGTAGGGTTTAAGATTTGCGGGGATGGGGAAGGGTTTGGGACACTCACTTTGGACATCTAGGTTAATCAGAGTTACTGCATAATGGCTCCCCTTCTATTTTGCTTCCCTTTATGTATGGGTTTGTTTAGACAAGGAGCAGCATGACTCTTGTATGTTGCCATAGCACATCAAATAGGAAAAAAAAATAGCTTGAAGAAGTTGGTGAGGAAGGAGCTATTTAAGTCAGAACTCTCAGAGTGACAAACTCAACTAAAATTAAATTTCACAAAAGTCAATTTATTAGCTTTCATAAACGATAACTGTAATCTCCTAGGGTGACAGTGGCCTCCGGCATAGCTGGATCCAGAAGCTCGAGTGATGTCATGACATTTTTCTTGGTACTGTTTTTCTCAACTATTGTAATACTAGTGAAGAGCCCTCTCCATGTGGCGGGGCACATGACTACTATCAAGAGCTCCAACTTCCTATCAGCCCTGGTTAGCAAATCCAATGGAAACAGGACATTTCCCTCCTACAGTCATCTGTTCACCCCAGGGAAGACTGGTTGACCCAGTATGTGGATCATGTGTACCATGGCCCATTGAGTGGGCCACCATGATAGGTGGTCCACCTTTACCCATGGACAAAGGGTAAGGAAGCTCTTCAAAGCCAAGAGGAGACTTAAAGAAAATGGAGATGAGGTAGATTCTGAACCTCTCCAAACGATATATTTTCATGATGGCAGGGATCACACATGTTGGGTTCTAGAGGTATTTAAAAAGTTGTTTTTAATAATAATTTTAAAAACCCACCAAATTGTTTCTTAATTAATTAATCTTTGCTATTGACCCAAGCAAGGAGTTTATAGTGCTTAGAAATGCATTGCTATAAAATGACAACTAGAATTCCTTCCTCACTTGTCAAAGCACAGGCTTTTAGAGAGAGAGATATTTGTAGAAAGAGCAAATCTGTTTCTGATTTTAGTTCATCCAGTGGCAGGCAGGCTTTTTGGACCAATTATTACCAGACCTTGAGATAAATCACCTCATGAGCCATTAGTTCTTGAAGGATTAGCGGCCTCAAAGATTTATGTGCGGATTAATTGGAGTGTACATTAGATCGCCGTGTTTAAAACCGCAGTCATTCCTGCAAATCATTTTCATTAGTGCTTTATTCAGAATTATTTAGCCTTGTATAATACTGCCATTGCAGGGAAATCTGAAAGACGTTCTCTTTATTTGTGGTCTGCCCCCCCATCACCACGGTTGTGTTTAATAGATCTAGCTAGGGCTACATAGAGAACATCCAAAGGAACAGCAGCTTCCATTAAAGATTAGTTCAGTTGCTTCAGGTGAACAGTGACTGAAATTTACAGGACCTTGTACCGAGAGAGACAAGATGAGGTACAAGAAATATATCGGTATTCTGGAAGCAGCAGTTGGTATTACCCCACTTAACAAAAGAGAACTTCTACCTGAGAGCAGAAGACACGTGAACCTTTGGCAACAACCTGGGTAAGCAGAGGAGGCTGGAAGCTTCTCACTATAGATGTAAATACTTTTTGTCTGTTTTGGGGACCCATATAGAAAAAAGGGTCCTCTGTCTTGTGGGGATAATAAATGAGTTCTTCATTAAGAACTTGTTTCTTCTTGGTGGAGAATGGAACTCCTAGACTGATTTAAAAATAGGAATGAAATTGTTGGATAATATTCTAATACCCAAGAAGATGAATAATGGGTGTGTCTAGAGCCCATTTTTACAATCTAGACATTTAATTTTCTGATTTTGAAAATGTTTTTTTAACATGGTTTACAAATGTAGCAATTCTTAAGAATGAAGAAAATATGCCTTATTACTATAATGTTTTTCAACAATACAAGTGTTTTTCTGATTAAAGTGTATGTGCAGACTATGCTTCGGGGAAATACTTTGCTTGAAACAGCAGTTTTCCTTCCACATCTCTTTCTGCAGCCCCACTGATTTACCATGATGAAGAAAGGTTGAGAAGTTCTTTATGCATAGCTACAAGCCTTAGTTCTAACTTTCTTCTCTGAAGTCTTCTTTTGTGCTTCTTACACATTAAAGACAAGGTGAATTTAAGGTGCCTTTATGGTAGACGATATTTTTAGGGCCTGAATTTAATTTTCAAACTGAATGAGTCACACAGTAGCATGTACTGATCAACTTGCATCTGTGTAGCAAATATTTCTTTTTAACAATTAGATAGTTACTAGCTTATTTTTATCATATGAGCAATGTACATTCATTATAGAAGATTTAGAAAATACAGAAAAATAAGGGGGAAAATTACCCATTGTCCTATCTCCCCAAGAGAACTACTAGAATCGTTTAGGTCAGTGGTTGTCAACGGGGAGGTGGAAATAGGGAATTTTGCTCCCCAGGGGACAATTGTCAATGTCTGGGGCATTTTTTTTGTTGTTATAGCCCAGGGGTTGCTATTGGCATCTAGTTGGTAGAGTCTGGGGATACTGCCCAACATCCCACAAGGTACAGGACAGCCCCCTGCAACAACGAATTATCCAGCCCACAGTGTCAACGGTGCCACTGGTGAGACATTTGATTTAGATAGGTTTTCTTCCCATCTGTAAAAGGGTACATTTTATTAGAAAAAAATAAATATTTCTTTGGGAAATCTTAGAGATGCTTTAGAATGGAATTCTGAGGCAACATTTTAATTATATTATTGTTATTCTACTGTTATTGTCTTGAAAGTAAATGGAAGTGTGTATATGCGTGGAGAGGGCAGGGGGCATACAGAGACTCTATCAGAGTCCATGTAGGTTAATGCTGTTCAGCCAGGGCTGTGGAAAACATTGTAATGACTAAACTGAGATTCTCCAAGTAGCCTCTCGTGATTGGGCATGCGGTAGCCTAGACCTTAGTCTCAGAATGACGAAAGTTTAGAACTGGGAGGACCTTTGCCAGGGATGGCAAACAGGTTTCATGTGGAAGACAGGTGCCAGTTGATGGTTGGCTGCTTGGAGTATCTAGCTAGGAGGACCTGGAGGCCAAACCTGGGCTTAGCGGGAAAGGAATATCGCAACTGATTAGGGATGTTTGTTCTGAACCTATGATTAGGGAATTGGGGAGATGCAAGCCGTGGCCTATATATTTACCATTCCTGAATTCTAGTTTAGTGTTCGAATTTTACAAGTGGGAAACTCAGCCTCATTGGAGTCATCCTGATCAAGGGCCTGGCTCTCAGACAGAAACGGGATGTTCTTAGTTTCTGCCTCAGGGTCTTTCATGAAGGGATTCGGCCTAAACAAGCTCCCATGATTCAGATGTGCAAGTTGATTGCTAGATTATTAATTTTTGTTCAGAGATAACCTCTACTAGCAATTGGAATAAGTACCCTAAATAGACCTAAATAGATCTCTGCTTCTCCTCATTTCCCCAAATCAAACCAAACAGAAGTCAAATTATTACAAAGTAGCCCTTAATAAGGGAAGTTGAATGTGCCTTTTTTTTGAGAGAGAGAACGTTTCCTTAAGCTGGATGAAATAGCATTGGATCAGAGGACGAACAAGATCTTCCTTGTACCTATAATACTCTTTGAGTTCTGTGAATACACAGGGATAAAACATTTCACTGATCACTTTTTTTTTTTTTTTTGAGACAGTATTTAGCTCTTGCTGCCCAGGCTGGAGTGCAATGGCACAATCTTGGCTCACTGCAACCTCCGCCTCCCGGGTTCCAGAGATTCTCTTGCCTCAGCCTCCCGAGTAGCTTGGATTACAGGCATGCGCCACCACGTCTGGCTAATTTTGTATTTTTAGTGGACACGGGGTTTCTCCACGTTGGTCAGGGTGGTCTCGAACTCCTTACCTTAGGTGATCTGCCCATCTTGGCCTCCCAAAGTGTTAGGATTACAGGCATGAGCCACTGTGCCTGGCCCTTTCTTTTTTATATTTTTTTTAATTTTTTTTTTTTTTTGAGACACAGTCTCAAAAAAAAAAAAGCCACAATTGGAAGTCAGGTTATAATCCAGTATTTAAAACCTCAAGGAATTCATTCATTCTTCTCATGCTTCCCCCTCTGTAATACTTTTTTTTTTTTTTTTGAGACGGAGTCACACTTTGTCGCCCAGGAGGCTGGAGTACAGTGGCAGGATCTTGGCTCACTGTAATCTCTGCCTTCCGGGTTGAAGCAATTCTCCTGTCTCCACCTCCCAAGTAGCTGGGACTACAGATACCACCATGCCTAGCTATTTTTGTATTCTCAGTAGAGATGCAGTTTTACCATGTTGGCCGGGCTAGTCTCGAACTCCTGACCCCAAGTGATCCACCCGCCTCGGCCTCCCAAAGTGCTGGGATTATAGGCATGAGCCACCGCCCCCCTCTGTAATACTTTTTCTTGCTGTCTGCAAGCAGGGATGTGCTTGGGCTTCTATTCTGCAAACTGTACAGTTGCATGATTGGCCAAAACGAATGGCTACCAACCGACAATTGACTGAGTATTGCAAGTTCATTGAAACAGAGATTGGATGATTTACACATGTGTATATTTGCCCATTGCCCAGCACATGGTAGGTGCTCAACAAATATTTTCCAGTGCTAACTCGGTTTCAGTATAGCCACAATGGAGAAAGATAGAATAAAAATAATTGATACCCAAATACTAACCTAAAATACCCAGCCACCTATGAATCTTCCTTTTGAAATCTGTAAAGTTTTTCAGCTTTAACTCATGTTACCTGACAATTTTACATTATCTCTCAATACTATTGAAATCCAAGAATATATTTTATTTCTTTCTGCCAAATGTTCTTTTAATTTAGAGGCCCTATTCAATAATAGTGTATTTTAGAAACAACTGATTGTTATTGGGGGTTTGTATACATGAAAAAACTCCTTGGATTATTATAGAGAAAGTTAAAGCCAGGATACATTAGAAATGCAGAAAACTCCTTAAATTAAAAAGCAAGCCATTTTAATAAAAGAAATAAGCTCTCCTTGGAGCTGATACCTGTAGAAAAGTTTGCATATGAAGCCAAAAGCATAACTAAGTACCTCTCGATTTGTAAGCCATTTATTTATCTTTGGAAGTAATAATAGAAACCATGTATGGGCTGGGCTTTAATCCCGTTGCTTGCTTTGTAGGATGTCCAGATGGCATAGCTTTAGCCTTTGCCTACATTTCCTGCTGATCCTGGGAGAAGGGAAATGTGCCTCCCGCCTGTACAAATAAAACTGACACCATCTTTTCTTTCTATTTCATCGTGTAGGGAGTAGAGTGTTTTGCACAGACGCCACAATATCAGTTTGTCTAGCAAACAGAAGAGTATGTCCAGAAGTGGTGAGAGGCTGCATTCTTCCTCCCACTGAAAGTTTTTCCTGTGACTGCCCGAGTGAAGCTGCCTTCACAAGCTCAACCCAGAAAGGAGCTTGCCTCCTTGTGGTATTCGAAAGGCACATGCAGGCTTCATAAGAATTTGCAGAAGGGGTATTTCTTGGGTTTTCTTGGTCTTAGGGGTAAAACGAGAAAGTATTTGCCATCTTTCCTGCTGGTGAGCAACCCATAAATATAAACACAAGCCTAGGCCAGTTGCGGTGGCTCATGCCTGTAATCCCAGCACTTTAGGAGGCCAAGGTGGATGGATCACTTGAGGTCAGGAGTTCGACACCAGCCGGGCCAACGTGGTGAAACCCTGTTTCTACTGAAAATACAAAAATTAGCCGGCCGTGGTGGCACGTGCCTGTAATCCCAGCTACCTGAGAGGCTGAGGCAGGAAAACTGCTTGAACCCAGGAGGCGGTGGTTGCAGTGAGCCGAGATTGTGCCACTGCACTCCAGCCTGGGCGACAAGTGAGACTGTCTCAAAAAACAAAACCATAAACACAAGCCAGTGTTATAAATGCTATGAAAAACAAATTCCCTTTTGGTTTAAAATGTTTTCTCTGTAGTATACTTTGGAATGGTAAATTTTATGTTATGTGTATTTTACTATAATAAAAAATTTTTTTCTTTTCTTTTTTTTTTTTTGAGACAAGAGTTTCACTCTTGTCGCCAGGCTGGAATGCAGTGGTGAGATCTCACCTCACTGCAACCTCTGCCTCCTGGGTTCCAGTGATTCTCCTGCCTCAGCCTCCTGAGTAGCTGGGATTACAGCACCTCCCCACCATGCCCAGCTAATTTTTGTATTTTTAGTAGAGATGGGGTTTCACCATGTTGGCCAGGCTGGTCTTGATCGAACTCCTGGCCTCAGGTGATCCACCCGCCTCAGCCTTCCAAAGTGCTGGGATTACAGGCGTGAGCCACCATGCCCAGCCTAAAATATTTTGTTCTAGCTATTTTCTCACCCGCTGATATTTGTTTAACCTGAAAGGCGAATTCTTATAAGATCTTGTTTCTCAGAGTGACCCTCAGGTGGACTGGTGATACCAAAGTTTAGGTGGCAATTCACTTTCTCCATTTTTTGAAGACTGAAAACAGGGGCAGCAATTCCATTATTTCTGAGAGAAATGAAAACATATGTCCACATAAACAATTGTACACAAGTGTTCATAATGACCAAAGAGTAGAAACAACCCAAACTTCCACCAACTGAAGAATAGATAATAAAATGTGGTATATCCATACAATGTAATATTATTTGGCCATAAAAAGGAATGAAGTGCTGATGTATGCTATAACATCAATGAACCCTGAATACATTATGCTAAGTAAAAGAAGGCAGTCACAAAAGGCCTCATATCATATGAGTCCATTCATATGAAATATCCAGAATAGATAAATCTATAGAGTAAAAAATTAGATTGGTGGTTGCCTAGGGCCAAGAGGCAGAGAGAGAATTGGGGGCTCAGGGAATGATGGCTAATGGTTATGGGGCTTTTCTTGTGGGGTTAATGAAGATCTTCTAAAATGGATTGTGGGCCGGGCGCAGTGGCTGACGCCTGTAATCCCAGCACTTTGGGAAGTCGAGGTGGGTGGATCACCTGAGGTCGGGAGTTCAAGACCAGCCTGACCAACATGGAGAAACCCCGTCTCTACTAAAAATACAAAATTAGCCGGGCGTGGTGGCGCATGCCTGTAATCCCAGCTTTCCGGGAGGTTGAGGCAGGAGAATTGCTTGAACCAGCAGGCAGAGGTTGCGGTGAGCCGATATCACACCATTGCACTCTAGCCTGGGCAACAAGAGCAAAACTCCGTCTCAAAAAAAAAAAAAAAGGATTGTGGTGACAGTTGCATAACTCTGTGAAGGTACTAAAAGCCATCCTAAAAACGGGCAAATTGTATGGTATGT
This sequence comes from Homo sapiens, assembly GCF_000001405.40. Taxonomy (NCBI): domain Eukaryota; kingdom Metazoa; phylum Chordata; class Mammalia; order Primates; family Hominidae; genus Homo; species Homo sapiens. The sequence continues at coordinate 69,151,572 of NC_000009.12, forward strand.
GGACTTCAGTGCATTTCCCAAAATCTTACCATTGCAGGGAATGAGCATGTTGGATTTTTAACAACACTGTCTTTTCCAGGGTGCGAAGTACCACATTACTGTCATCTCCCTGTGAGTGGGATTGGCACCCCGGCTGCAGCTCCAGGAGCAAGTACTCCAGGAAGCACAGAGCTGTACCAGTACACGGCCCACGTTGCCAGGTATTTGCTTATTTAATCTCTCATCAACCTAGTTACTGGTCTCCCCCAAAATTTGTTCGAATAGTTACCGTTTTCACATTCTAGAGGTAGTCAGAGTTACCATTTTTGATGTTGCTGATATATACATTTTCATAGAAAATTTAATGGTAATGTCCTATTTACCAAAGAATAGAAACATCTTACCTGAATTAATGGACTGAATTGATAGGTATAACTTTGCCATGGTTGGTGAATGCTTATTGAGGATGACCTTTCTGGCATGTAAGTAAGTACAACTTCTGTGGTTCAAAATAAATGCCTAAATTGGCATTTGGTGCTGATGATGTCTGGGATTGGAGGTCATTTTAATAGGTTATATTTTTTCATTATCATTGAGGTAGTAAAATTATATAACAGTGGTAAGCACTTTGATGAAAAGATAAAGGACATCAGTCACACTGGCTTCTAAAGATTAATTATGTCCAAGCTTTTAGTGAAAGAGCTAGGAGCGAGTATTATCTATTTACTGATTCACTTTTAAGAGTGAATCAAATGAGATTTACAAGGTCTTAAATTTTGACAGATGTGGGATGCATTTGTTTTTTGTTACACTTTGACCTCTGTTTATAGGCCAGGCCATGGCTAGCTGGAATGGGGTTGTAATTTTTTTCATGTGCTTGTTTTATAATTCCTGTCTGTTGAAGTTGGCAGCCCCTACTTGGGTGGATTCCAGATAAATGTGTGAACTGGAGTTTAGTGGAGTGTGAATGGCACACTCCAGAAGAGCAGATAGTCGTTCAGATCCTAGTCCTGCTGCCTTCTAATTGTGTGATCTTGGGCACATGTCTTAATGCTTCTGAGCCTCAGATCCTTCATCTGTAAAAAGGGAACGTCGACATGAAACTAAATGAGTTAATGGGCCCAGCAAGTACCAGGCCCATGCTAAGGCCTTTCTCAGTGTCTAGTTGTCCAAATGAGGACATTCAAGTGGGGGAAGTCCTCATTTTCCACTGAATTAACAGGGCTGGATGTGGGTTTTGTTTACTGAAATGTTCTCTCTGGAGCTCTTTTTTTTTTTTTTTTTTTTTTTTTTTTTTTGAGACGGAGTCTCGCTCTGTCGCCCAGGCTGGAGTGCAGTGGTGCGATCTCGGCTCACTGCAAGCTCCGCCCTCTGGAGCTCTTAAAGGTCCCAGCCAGGCAAGGCAGCTCATACCTATAATCCCACTGTTTTGGGAAGTAGAGGTGGGAGGATCGCTTGAGGCCAAGAGTTTGAAACCAGCCTAGGCAACATAGTGAGACCCTGTCTCTATTTAAAAAAAAATAATAATAATAATTTGCTGGGCATGGTGGTGTGCTCCTGTAGTCCTAGCTACATGAGAAGCTGAGGTGGGAGGATCGCTTGAGCCCAGGAATTCGAGGCTGCAGTGAGCTATAATTGCACCACTGCACCCCAGCCTGGGCAACAGAGTGAGACTCTATCTCAGCAACAAAAAAACGTCCCAAACATGAGAAGACAGATACCTGCTCAGACTCCAGAAATTGTTTTCCTTGTCTGGGCGCGGTGGCTCATGCCTGTAATCCCAGCAATTTGGGAGGCCAATGTGGAAGGATGGCTTGAGCCCAGGAGTTTGAGACCAGCCCGGGCAACATGGCGAAACCCCATCTCTGCAAAAAATACAAAATATTAGCCAGGCGTGGTGGTGCCTGCCAGTAATCCCAGCTACTCGGGAGGCTGAGGCACGAGAATCACTTGAACCCAGGAGGTGGAGGTTACAGTGAGCTGAGATCGTGCCACTGCATTCCAGCCTTGCGATACAGAGAAACTGTCTCAAAAAAGAAAAAAATTGTTCTCCTAAAATCTTTAGATTTCTAGATAGGATCTGTTGATTATTCAAATAAATTGGAGGGGTACTATAGAGTATGGCAAAGAGAGATTGGAGCTAGCATTGTCTGTTGGAGGAAAGGCTCTTTCTGACTCTAGCCAGCCCCTCCTGATAAATACCTCCCTTGTTCTGGTTCCCTGTACCTGCACTATGAACTGCATGCCTTTCCAACATCAATTTGATTGCCTAAGTCAGTGCCTTACTCCAGAGTTCTTTCATGTGTAAACACTTAAGCTTGGCTTTCTGGGACGAATCAGCCTTGGGTGAGCTTGAGTGATGTGGATTTTTTTCCCAGGCATCTCACGTCGCCCTAGTTTCAGATCCAGCAAACACTCATTAAGGGCCTTTTATGTGCCAAGCAAGGGGCAAGGTGCTTTCACCCATATGGTTCCTCCTCACAACAACCCTAAGAGGAAAGTATTAACTAGCTCCCATTTGTAAATAAAGAACTTGAGATTCAAAGATTTTAAATGATTCCTTTGTGGTTGCACAGCCCCTGACTTCCAAGTTCAGTGAGATTTGTATTTCTATACTAATTCTACAGAGCTTGAAGACTTAACTCCTTAACTCAGACGAGTAAAAAGGTTTCTCTCTAAGGCCAGTTTGGATCAATTGCTAGGTGGCTGCCTGGAGTTAAGGATTTGCAAGTGCCGCTCAAGTTTGTTGAGCAAGAATGTTGTGATCGATTGGCAATGTCCGGCGTGGGTGGAGCAGGTGTCTGCCAAACCGCTCTGGACCTGAGGTTTCTAATCATCAGCCTCTACTCATTCTGCTCTCCTCTGCCATTCTGGAGTCTCTCCTCTGATGAGCACTGTTTGCCTGAGGCTGGATTTTTGCAACTTTAAGGGGCTTTGATTATCACCTTTCTGACTTGGCAGGATCATCTTTGCCTTCAGAAATAATGCTAAGGCTTTGGGAGGCTGAGGCGGGAGGATCGCTTAAGCCCAGGAGTTCAAGAGCACCTGGGCGACATAGACCGACCCTGTCTCCATTAAAAAAAAAAAAAGAAGGCCAGGCATGGTGGTTCGCACCTATAATCATAGCACTTTCAGAGGCTGAGGCAGGAGGAGCCCTTGAGCCCAGGAGTTCAAGACCAACCTGGGCAACATAAGGAGACCCTGTCTCTTTTTCAATTTTATAATTTTATATAAAAAAATTAATAAATAAAAATTAAAAAAAAGATGCTAATAGTCTGGTGAAGAGCTTCATTTTCTAGATACGAAATCTCATTGTTAGGCAATTTAGATACCTTAAAGTTATCACTGACTCACCCCATCATATAGGCTTAGAAAAGTGAGTTGAGGTTGGGGTCAGTGGCTCACGCCTGTAATCCTAGCACTTTGGGAGGCCGATGTGGGTGGATCACCTGAGGTCAGGAGTTCCAGACCAGCCTGGCCAACATGGTGAAACCTCATCTCTACTAAAAATACAAAAATTAGCCTGGTGTGGTGCTGGGCACCTACAATACCAGCTACTCAGGAGGCTGAGGCAGGAGAATCACTTGAACCTGGTGGGCCAGAGATTGCAGTGAGCCGAGATCGTGCCACTTCACTCCAGCCTGGGTGAAAGGGCGAAAGAGTGAAACTCCATTTCCAAAAAAAAAAAAAAAAAAAAAAGGAAAAGAAAACAAAAGAAGTGAGTTGAAGGTGAAAGCTCGAAACTTTTACTTCTGTGCACCTGGGAGCCCCTCTATAGCTTCTTTCCCTCTTCCCTAGGGGCTCCTCGGTTTACAGGAATTCTCAGGGAAATCACTCCAGCAGCCAAACTTCCATACTGGGATGGACAGACCCAGAGCAGTGGCACATCGGTATCGCCTGGAGGGCGTGTTAAAACACGGATTCCTGGGCCCCACCCCCAGGGTTTCTGCTTCAGGCAGTCTGGGGTAAGTCCCAGGAATTTGCATGTCTGGTTTCCACTACTTTGACAACCACTAACCTGGAGAGTACTTGTAATGGCTGGTTTAGAGCATGGGCTTGTTTACAGATGGTGTGTGTGGCCAGTTTCTCTATCTGTGGGGAAGGGATTCTGTCCTCAAATATTTAATGAGCATCTCGCACTGTGCTGCTGAGGGAAATGTAGAGGAATATTAAGCTTGTCCCTGGTAGACTTTGGAGCCTAATTTGGAATCAGTAAATTGCATTGCTGTGTGTAAAGTACTGCCCTCACCCCCTTAAGAGGATGTGGCAGAAGGCCTGAAGCAGTGACTAAGTCAGGGGAGGATTCCTGCGGCAGGTGATATTTGAAAGGAAACCTGAGGCTAAAAAGTTATTGGCTATGTGCACTTATGGGGGAAGAGAAACTCGGAGCAGAGCCTGTACATTAAAAGAGTCTGGAGATGCTGCACTAGGTGAGAAGAAAAGGTTTGTGTTTGTTCTGAGAATTCCATTGTGACTCCTATATGTAAACCAGAAAGTATCAGAGACAAAGTCTCAATCAACTTAGAGAGTTTGGCCAGGCAGGGTGGCTCACGCCTGTAATCCTAGCACTTTGGGAGGCCCAGGCTGGAAGATCGCTTGAGGCCAGGAGTTTGAGACCAGCCTGGCCAACATGGTGAAACACCATCTCTACTAAAAATACAAAAATTAGCTGGGTATGTGGTGTGCACCTGTAATCCCAGCTTCTTGGGAAGCTGAGGCACCAGAACTGCTTGAACCTGGGAGGCAGAGGTTGCGGTGAGCTGAGATTGCCACTGCACTCCAGCCTGCGCAACAGAGTGAGACTCTGTCCCAAAAAAAAAGAAAAATTTAGAAAGTTTATTTTGCCAAGGTTACAGGACATGCCCATAACACAGGCTCAGGAGGTCCTAACGACATGTGCCCAGGGTGGTCAGAGTACAGCTTGCTTTTATACATTTTAGGGAGACATAATACATCAATCAATACATGTAAGATTTTTTTTTTTTTTTTTTTTTTTTTTGAGACGGAGTCTCGTTCTGTCGCCCAGGCGGGAGTGCTGTGGCGCGATCTCCGCTCACTGCAAGCTCCGCCTTCCGGGTTCACGCCATTCTCCTGCCTCAGCCTCCCGAGTAGCTGGGACTACAGGCGCCCGCCACTGCGCCCGGCTAATTTTTTGTGTTTTTAGTAGAGACGGGGTTTCACCGTGGTCTCGATCTCCTGACCTCGTGATCCGCCCGCCTCGGCCTCCCAAAGTGCTGGGATTACAGGCGTGAGCCACCGCGCCCGGCCAATACATGTAAGATTTACTACATTGGTTCCATCTGGCAGAGCAGGACAACTCAAAAGGGGTAGAGGGGCTGCCAGGTCATAGGTACTCTACTCTAGGGGTACCTAGGGGCTGCCAGGTCATAAGTACTGCTATTCTAAAGCCTCCAAGTAACAGGCTTTAGAGAATAAACTGTAAACATTTCTTATCAGACTTCAGGTCAGTGTTGATGTTAATATTGGAGGGGTATGATGGGGCATGTCCAACCCCCACTTCCCTTCATGGCCTGAACCAGTCTTTCAGGTTAAATTTTAGGGTTCCCCGGCCAAGGAGGAAGTCCATTCAGATGGTTGCAGGGGCCCTTCAAATTTTATTTTTGGTTTATAGATATGAAATAAAGATGCAACTGTATAATGATCATGATGAAATGTGGGTGCTTACTGTGTAGTTGGTGCTGTGCTAAACATGTTACTCAAACATGTTACTTCCATCGTCTTATTTCTCATACCCATCCCATGAGGTGGAGGTCCAACTCTAATCCCCATTTGTAGTAGTTTGCCGAAGCCACAGTAACAAAGCACCATAAACTGGGTGGCTTAAACAGAAATTAACATAAATTATTGTCTCATGGTTCTAGAGGCTAGAAGTCTGAACTCAAGGTGTCTGCAGAGTTGGTTTTTTTTTTTTTGAGACAGAGTCTCACTCTGTCGCCCAGGCTGGATTACAGTAGCATGATCTTGGCTCATTGCAACCTCCACCTCCCGGGTTCAAGCAATTCTCCTGCCTCAGCCTCTTGAGTAGCTGGGATTAGAGGCACACGCCACCATGCCTAGCTAATTTTTGTATTTTTAGTGGAGACGGGTTTCCCATTTTGGCCAGGCTCTAACTCCTGACCTCAAGTGATCCATCTGCCTTGACCTCCCAAAGTGCTGGGATTACAGGTGTCAGCCACCACGCCTGGTCCTTATTCTTTCTTGCTTTCTAATGACTTAAAGCTAAACATATTTTCCAAACAGAAATCAGAGTGTGTGCTTTTTTACTCATGAACCAACAAGACAGAGTGCTGGTCATTTGGCCTATCCTTGGAAATCTGTGATGTCTGGACATCTTAAGCATAGCATGTAGATGAGTAATACTCAAGCTAGGTTCTGAAGCATAATTTAATTATACTCCTGCATGTTTAAAAGAATTCAGAACCTAAGAATTAAAAGCTGACCCAGAGGCAGGCACAGTGGCTGGCCGGGTGCGGTGATTCACTCCTGTAATCCCAGCACTTTGGGAGGCTGAGGCGGTGGATCACCTGAGGTCAGAGTTCCAGACCAGCCTGACCAACATGGTGAAACCCCATCTCTACTAAAAAACAAAAACAAAAAATTAGCCGGGCATGGTGGTGCACGCCTGTAATCCCAGCTATCCCAGCTACTCGGGAGGTTGAGGCAGGAGAATCGCTTGAATCCAGGAGGTGGAGGTTGCAGTGAGCCTAGATGGCGCCACTGCACTCCAGCCTGAGGGACAGAGCAAGACTTTGCCTCAAAAAAAAAAAAAAAAAAAAAAAAAGCTGACCCAGAGCCCTAGATCTCTTAACTTTTCACAGCCAAATCTTAAAAGGCTTCTCTGTGCTTTTTGTTCCTTTTCCTCACTATCACCTGCCCTTCTGACACTTTCTCCTCTACCTATGCCAGAAACTTAGAGGCCCAGTAAGTGGTTTCAGGTGTCCTATGGGCTGCGCACAGCACTAAATAAAAGCACTTCCCTTAGCTCTTCCCTTAAACGTTGCTGTTTAAGGAAGCTTATTCTTCTTCTTATTTTCAAGACAGGGTCTTGCTCTGTTCCCCAGGCTGGAGTGCAGTGGCATGGTCATAGCTCACTGCAGCCTCCATCCCCTGGCCTCAAGCAATCCTCCTGCTTCAGCCTCCCAAAGTGTTGGGATTATAGGTGTGAGCCACTGCACCAGGCTGGAAGCTTATCTTATGATTTCCATTTCATCTGATAAAATTGAGATGAAGAATTTGCTTCTAGTTCTGGCTGGAATGGGGGGGTTCTTCACTCACATCGGTTTTGATTCTTCACTCATATCAGTTGAATGGTTGGTGACAAAACTTTTCAGTTCAGTCAAAATTTTTATTCATTTAGAGGTAATCTGATTGTGTAGTGAGATTAGGCAATCCCCTTGGGCAGGATTCACCGCCCCCCCCCCATCAAAATTATTTGATATTTGAAAAAAATATGCCGGGCACGGTGGTTTACACCTGTAATCCCAGCACTTTGGGAGGCTGAGGTGGGCAGATTGCTTGAGCTCAGGAGTTCGAGACCAACCTGGGCAACATGGAGAAACTCTGTCTCTACAAAAAATACCAAAAAGAAAAAAAAATAGCTGGGTGTGGTGGCGGGCGCCTGTAATCCCAGCTACTTGGGGGTGCTGAGGCAGGAAGATAACATCACTTGCGACCAGGAGGTCCAGACTGCAATGAGCCAAGATTACGCCACTGTACTCCAGTCTGGGTGACAAAGTGAGACCCTGTCTCCAAAAAAATAAAATAGTGATGTTTGAAAAAATATATACAATTTTTATTATAATTATTGCTGTTTGATATTGATATTTGAAATATAATATTGATATTGATATACAAGTAATCAAACATTTATGCATATATAAAATTATTTTTACTTCACATCTTAAGACTGGTTACTTAAAATAATTAACTCTGTCAATACGCTTTGAAAGAGGCTTTGTAAATTGTTAAAGTTACATTTGTCTCTTCTGATAGCTTTAGCTCAGCAGAATAAATATGGTAATAGTTGGCTGGGTACAGTGGCTCACGCCTGTAATCCCAGCACTTTGGGAGGCCAAGGTGGGCATATCAAGAGGTCAGGAGATCGAGACCATCCTGGCTAACACGGTGAAACCCCGTCTCTACCAAAAATGCAAAAAATTAGCCAGGTGGTGGAACGCGCCTGTAGTCCCAGCTACTCGGGAGGCTGAGGCAGGAGAATCACTTGAACCCGGGTGGCAGAGGTTGCAGTGAGCCACTGCACTCCAGCTTGGGCAACAGAGGGAGACTCTGTCTCAAAAAAAAAAAAAAAGAAAGAAATATATACATATATATATATATGTGTGTGTGTGTGTTTCTTTTTTTTTCCTAGAGTGTGTATATATATATAGCAATAAAGAGGGATGCTTTCCCAAGACTTAGAACAAGAAATCAAAATACTTTAGCAACTGAAGGATGATTCAAGCAAAGGCAGAACTCGATCAAGAAGGGAGAAGATATGTAAAAAATAAAGTGTCATTGGGAAGAATAGCTAGGATTGGCTCTGGAAAAAATAATAGAAAAACACTCTGCTTATGTGATTTAGTGTTTACAATGTAAATCTGAAGGACTTCTGAATCTTTTGGAAATAAACCTGGATTGACTTGTTTAAAAACTTAGATCATGTCTCAGTGACAGAGCTCAGCAAAAAACAAAAACAAAAACAAAAAACAGAAACAAACAAAAACTTAGCTTATGACTTTGGAGGTAGGAAAAGCTGAAAGCTCCCTACATTCCTGAAATTAAATGAAAGATTTCACTCTTGTGTTTAACCTGGCCTTCAGATCCTAGATTAGCAAAGAATTTGATGTACCTTCTACAAACCTGATTTTGTTCATTATGACTCCACACCTTGCTTGCTTTCCTTCACTACTCTAGGAATGTGGAAAAGTTTAGCTGGATGTAGTCCTGGCCTACCAGCAAGCTCTCCCAGAGAGCATGGGACAGAAAAGCTCAGAGACCAAAACCAGGTGTTAAAATCACACGATTCACTCAACTTGAAAACATAGTGAGAAGCAAGGGGAAAAAGATGGTGTATTAGTCTATTTTCATGCTGCTGATAAAGACATACCCAAGGCTGGGCAATTTACAAAAGAAAGAGGTTTAATTGGACTCACAGTTCCACATGGCTGGGGAGGCCTCACAATCATGGCAGAAGGTAAAAAGCACGTCTCACATGGCAGCAGACAAGAGAAGAGAGCTTGTGCAGGGAAACTCCCTTTTTTAAAACCATCAGATCTCGTGAGACTTATTCACTATCATGAGAACAGGATGGGAGAGACTTGCCCCCTTGATTCAATTACCTCCTACTGGGTCCCTCCCATACCTTGTGGGAATTCAAGATGAGATTTGGGTGGGGACACAGCCAAACCATATCAGATGGAGACTAACAGGTAGGTGAGGATACAAATGGGGTGAGAGATCCACACTTCTGGAACCCTATGCTTGCAGTGTCAGCTTTCCCTGCTGATGGTGTGGTCACAAAAACCAAAGTTAAGGTTGAACAAGGGGCTTCAACGGATGGGAAGTATCTGAAGTCAGCACATGCGTGCTGTGTCGGAGGGATGCAAGGTAGTATGCCTGGCCAATAGCTGTAGGTCATCAGTGATGTGTGTGTGTGTGTGTGTGTGTGTGTGTTTAAGATGGAGTTTCGCTCTTGTTGCCCAGGCTAGAGTGCAATGGCATGATCTTGGCTCACCGCAACCTCCGCCTCCTGGGTTCAAGCCATTCTCCTGCCTCAGCCTCCCAAGTAGCTGGGGCTACAGGCATGCGCCACCACACCCAGCTAATTTTTCTATTTTTAGTAGAGATGGGGTTTCACCATCTTGGCTAGGCAGGTCTCGAACTCCTGACTTCGTGATCCATCCGCTTCAGCCTCCCAAAGTGCTGGGATTACAGGCATGAGCCACTGCGCCCGGCCTGATCTGTGTTTTATCTACATTTTGGGGCAGAGTATATGTGGGGCCAGAACTGAACATGATGGATGTCACCTATGGGTGATCAATTTAGGAATGACATAGCTGTCAATCTTGGGGTAACATGAGCTGAGCACTATTATATATTATTAATATTTATGAAGTGTCTATTATTAACAATGTAAATCATAATCTAGAAAAATACTTTATATATAATTATATATTATATAAACAATATATAATTGACCGGGTGTGGTGGCTCACGCCTGTAATCCTAGCACTTTGGAAGGCCGAGGTGGGTGGATCACCTGAGGTCAGGAATTTGAGACCAGCCTGGCCAACATGGTGGAACCCTGTCTGTACTAAAAAATACAAAATTAGCCGGCGTGGTGGTGCATGCCTGTAATTCCAGCTACTTGGGAGGGTGAGGCAGAATTGCTTGAACTCAGGAGGCAGAGGTTGCAGTGAACCAAGATCATGCCATGGTACTCCAGTCTGGGTGACAAGAGCAAAAACTCCATCTCAAATAAATAAATAAATAACAGCATATAATTATACAAATTATATTTTTATAAAATTGTATTATATAATAAATATAATTTTTATATATTATATATGAATATATATGCCTTTATATATTATATATATACATAAAGTATAATTTTGTATTATATATTATATATAAAATACAATTATAAGTTAAATATTTATTAACTTTACTATTAAGTAAATATTGTAAGATTTAAAATTTATTTCATTCCTCCATTTCTTTGTATGTATAAGTAAAACTCTCATTTGTTTCATTCTTTTAATCTATATTTAACACAGGAATATTCTATTCTGTTTAACATCTTACAGGTTATTATCTTACATGTCTTACAACTTACTGTTTACACTTAACACATCTTATGAATTCTGCGTGAGTCTTACAAGCTACTTATTTCCTCATTATCTATGCTAAATGAATCAGGAGTTTCATTCATCTGATTTTTAAATTGTCCTCTATACTAGTTTGAAGGAGAACTTTAAATGAAAGTATTTATTCAGCCAATTATGGTATATTCATACAAATGGAATATTATGCAGTTAGAAAAGATGATGATAGAGATCTAGTTCATGAAACAAATAGTCAAACTCTATTCTTATGTAGAAATAGGTTGCAAAAGAGCAAATTTGGTGTATCCCAAGTGTATACCCCAGGTGTCTAAGTTGTGTACAATATGTACCTACTTGTCTGTGCAGAGAGATACCTGGAAAGGTGCTCAGTAGTTGGCTCTGGATGGTGACATTTTAGTTGTACTTTACCACTTTTTGGTGATCTACTTACTGCATAGTTTGAGTGAATAAACAATTATCACTTATATTAAAAACTGAAATCCAAATGTGTGTTTGTACAAACATATGTAAATAACATAAAAAGAATTGTAAGACCAGACCCTTTTCTTCTGAAAAACGTACACAGCATTTTGCAAATAATTATTTTTTAAAAAGTATCTTTATTTTATTTTATTTTTTTTTTTTTGAGACGGAGTCTCGCTCTGTCGCCCAGGCTGGAGTGCAGTGGCGGGATCTCGGCTCACTGCAAGCTCCGCCTCCCGGGTTCACGCCATTCTCCTGCCTCAGCCTCCCAAGTAGCTGGGACTACAGGCGCCCGCCACTACGCCCGGCTAATTTTTTTTGTATTTTTAGTAGAGACGGGGTTTCACCCTTTTAGCCGGGATGGTCTCGATCTCCTGACCTCGTGATCCGCCCGCCTCGGCCTCCCAAAGTGCTGGGATTACAGGCGTGAGCCACCGCGCCCGGCCTCAGTATCTTTATTTTAAAACATTTTTAGCTGAGTGCGGTGGCTCAGGCCTGTAATCCCTGCACTTTGGGAGGCCAAGGCAGGTGGATTGCCTCAGTTCAGGAATTCAAGACCAGCCTGGGTAACATGGCGAAACCCCATCTCTACCCAAAAGACAAAAATTAGCTGGGCATGGTGGTGCACGCCTATGTTCCCAGTTACTTGAGAGGCTGAGGTGGGAGGATCACTTGAGCCTGGGAGGCAATGGTTGCAGTGACCTGAGATTGTATCAGTGCACTCCAGCCTGGGCAAAAGAGTGAGAGACCCTGTCTCCAAAAAAAAAAAAAAAATTGAGATGGGGTTTCACCATGTTGCCCAGACTGAACTCAAATCCCTGAGCTCAAGCCATCCATCCACCTCAGCCCTCCCAAAGTGCTGGGATTACAGGCGTGCGTGAGCTGCCATGCCCAGCTGCAAATAATTATTTTTTTAAACTTCAAAATGTTTTACCTGACTTCAAAATTGTAATCTTTCTGTCTTGTGTCAGAGAATTGTAATGATGTCCCTTTAGCAGAATTTCCTAAACCTCTCCCATGATGAGAATCACCTGGGGGGGCATGTGAACGCTGTCAGATCCCAACGCCCTTCTCAGACCCACTGAATTGGAATCTCTAGCAAGGGACCTAGGACACTGGTTTTAACAAGTGCCTCTGGTGATTCCTATCATCAGAGAAATTTAGGACACTGTCTTATAGAACCATAAATTTTATGAGCCACGTTTTCAATTTTTATTGAACATCTCCCGGAGGTGCCTTTTCCAGGCCAGTTTCCTTTGTTTAAAGAGGCCCATGCAAATTTGCATGGCTACCCTGGAAAGCTATTTGCTTGCAGGTTTTTTCTAAGGCCACTTTCAGATCCGAAAATTCTTTGTGAATCTAAGATACTCTTCAACTTTAATCTGTGTTGATCGAGGATCCTGAATTCTTAGAGCTAGCCGATTCTGGTGATAAGTTTTTTAAAGCAATTCAGGAATGCAGAGGGCCCTCTGGTTTCCCCAGAGTACTGGACAGTCCCCTGGGCCTTGCTCACCTTATATTCCCTCTTAGAGCCCCTGAGAGGAGGGCCTTTTTATTTAGTGAAAATTTTTGTTTACTGAAGTGTTTTTCTTAAAGTATTTTGGGGGTGAAGGGAGCTCTGAAACTCAGTTAGACAATAGAACGGCATTTGAATCAAGGATTCTCTCGTTGGAGTCAAATCGCATTTGTGGCATTGACCTTTTTAATATTTCATAGGAAGAGTTTCACAAACTTGATTCCCCAGCATTGCTTGGATAAAACTCACTTTAGTTGCTGCGAGAGCAAAAATCGTCTTGCATTCTGTTAAAAGAAGCTAAAAGGAAAGCAACAATAACAGCCACACCTCTCCTCCCACCCCATGCAATTGTTTTACTGGGTAGAGGCAAAGAATAGAGGGGCCGGAAAGCCGGGAAGTGAATGGGCTTTGAATCTGACAGACCTGGACCTGGATTTTTTTTCTTTTTTTTGAGATGGAGTCTTGCTCTGTTGCTCAGGCTGGAGTGTAGTGGTGCGATCTTGGCTCACTGCAAACTCCGCCTCCCAGGTTCAAGCGATTCTCCTGCCTCAGCTTCCCGAGTAGCTGGGATTACAGGCGCCCATCATTACGCCCGGCTAATTTTTATATTTTTAGTAGAGACGGGGTGTCACCACATTGGCCAGGCTGGTCTTGAACTCTTGGCCTCAAGTGTTCCGCCTGCCTTGGCCTCCCAAAGTGCTGGGATTACAGGCTTGAGCCACGGCGCCTGGCTGGATTCTTTCTTTTTTTGAGACAGGGTCTCAGTCTGTCACTGAGGCTGGAGGGCAGTGGCACAATCACGGCTACTGCAGCCTCAACCTCTTGGACTCAAGTGATTCTTCTGTCTCAGCCTCTGGAGTAGCTGGGACTTCAGGTGTGTGCCATCACGCTAGCTCATTTACTTTTATTATTTTTATTTTTTGTAGAGACAGGGTCTTCCTATGTTGCCTAGGCTGGTCTTGAACTCCTGGGCTCATGTGATCCTCTCACCTTGGTCTCCCAAAGTGCTGTGATTACAGGTGTGGCCACCATGCCCGGTGGGTTTGGATTCCATCTGCTTGAGGACAACCATGGGCAAACTGCTTTCTCTGAAGCATAGTTTCTTCACGTATAAAGCAGGGGCAAGAATACTGACTATATAGTCACTACATTGAATGACTTAGTATAGTATATGAAAAGCTCTTGGCACAGAATATGCATTTAGTCAATCATTGTTTATCAGAGTTTCTCCACTGCTTCTCAGTGGAGGGCTAACAAGGGGTCTCTATCCCCGAAAAGAGAGTGTGGCTTTCATATATTCTGCAGTGTAAACAGCAGTAAAATAGTAAAAGCTGTCATACTTTGGAGCACCTTGGAGTGCCTCTGAGGACCCAGGGTGTCCTGCCAGGAAGAAGTGCTCCCTCCTCCATGTTGCAAAGCACGCTCCCCAGCAGGTATGTCTAAACTAGAACGTGTGCCATAGGATGCTTCTTGGCTTTCCAGGAGTGGATCAGGGTTACGCTCTGCCTCAGCCCCAGGCGGAGCACCACCGTGGCCTCTGCCCACCAGCCTGAGCACACCCAGATGAGCCCTATAAGTCACCTAGGAGTCTGCATGTGGTCAGCCTAGACTACAGTCATCTCCTTCCAACCCAGGACTCTCCCCAAACACCAGTCTAGGGCACCCCAGCTTCTTAATCCGTTCAGGCCATAGCTGACTCTGAATTGCACAGCTAATTCTTTTTTATTTTTTTTTGAGGCAGGGTCTTGCTCTGGCACCCAGGCTGGAGTGCAGTGGTACGATCTCGGCTAGGCAGCCTCTGCTTTCCAGGCTCAAGCCATCCTCTTGCTTCAGCCTCCCAAGTAGCTGGGACTACAGGTGTGTACCACCAGGCCTAGCTGTTTTTTGTAGAGATCAGGTCTTGCTATGTTGCCCAAGGCTGGTCTTGAACTCCTGGGCTCAAACAATCCTCCCATCTTGGCCTCCCAAAGTGCTGGGATTACAGGCGTGAGCCATCTGCCTAACCTTATTTACTGTTTTTAAACAGTAAACAGTAAAACAGTTTTAAACAGTAAAACAACACAGGGCCAGGCACCGTGGCTCATGCCTGTAATCACAGCACTTTGGGAGACCAAGGTAGGAGGATAGCTAGAAGCCAGGAGTTTGAGGCCAGCCTGTGCAACATAGCAAGACCTCATCTCTACTAAAAATAATTTTTTTTTCTGAGTAGCTGGGATTACAGGCATGCGCCACCATTCCTGGCTAAGTTTTGTATTTTTAGTAGAGACGGGGTTTCACCATGTTGGCCAGGCTGGTCTTGAATTCCTGGCCTCAAGTGATCTGCCTCCCAAAGTGCTGGGATTACAGGCGTGAGCCACCGTGCCCAGCCTTAAAAATATATTTTTTAAAAAATTAGCCAGGCCTGGTGGCATGGGCCTGTAGTCCCAGCTACTTGGGAGGCTGAGGTGGAAGGACTGCTTGAGCCCAGGAGTTGGAGGCTGCTGTGAGCTATGATTGTGCCACTGCACTCCAGCCTGGGCCAGAGTGAGACTTTTTCTGAAAAATAAATAAAATAGGCTGGGTGCAGTGGCTCACGCCCATAATCCTAGCACTTTCGGAGGCCAAGACGGGAGAATCACTTGAGGTCAGGAGTTCAAAACCAGCCTGGCCAACATGGTGAAACCCCGTCTCTACGAAAAAAAAAACCCCAGAAAAATTAGCTGGGCGTGGTGGCACATGTTTGTAATCCCAGTTTGGGAGGCTGAGGCAGGATAATTGCTTGAACTCAGGAGGCGGACGTTGCAGTGAGCCTAGATCATGCCACTGCACCCCAGCCTGGGCAACAGCAAGACTGTCTCAAAAACATAAAAATAAAAATAAATAAATAAAAATAATACTGTAGTGGGATCTCATTTTTGTAAACATTTTTCGTTTCTTGATAAGTCATCCATGTGGTCTTCTGTCTGTATATATGTCTGGAATGTTCACCTAATGTCGAAGACAGGTATTAGGACTTTAGTTTTTAAATTTCTTGGTGCTCTTCTGAACTCCTCAGATGCTTTATAATGAGCACCTTATTCTTGCAAAACTCAGTGGTCTAAAAAATTAACAAAAATGAAAATAGTTTTTAGTAACTATGGAACAATGTAAATAGCCTTACACCTTAAGTTACTTGCTTTAATAAATAGAAGAATGTCTACCTGGCCTGGTGTGGTGGCTCACGTCTGTAATCCCAGCACTTTGGGAGGCCAGGAGGCTGAAGCAAGCAGATCAATTGAGGCTAGGAGTTCAAGACCAGCTTGGCCAACGTGGTGAAACTCCACCTCTACTAAAAATACAAAAATTAGCCGGGCATGGTGGCACATGCCTGTAATCCCAGCTACTTGGGAGGCTAAGGCACGAGAATTGCTTGGACCTGGGAGGCAGAGGTTATGGTGAGCCAAGATTGCACCACTGCACTCCAGCCTGGGCAAGAGAGCGAGAGTCTGTCAAAAAAAAAAAAAAAAAGAAGAAGAAGAAGAATGTCTGCGTGAAAATTTGTTCTGTTCTTTGAGATACTAGAAACGTAGATGCCAACGTGTTGGGTTTAATGGCAAAAACCGCAATTACTGTTGCACCAACCTAAAATAATTGAAAAGTGGCAACTTAGAGCAGCTTTGTTCTTTCTACATAATATCAAGATGTGGGAACAATCCTGAAGACAGGTAGTCTGAAAATTACTTATGAGTGATCCACTGAATGTTTCTAAAGGAAAAGCAAGAATCTTCAGTTGCCCAAAAGATGGAGGAGGTCTGAGAGTTCTTAGAGTGGTTTAGAATGTGTTCCTCTGTGCTGGAAGATAGCTTGAAAATACTTTGCTGTCTTTGTAATCTTTATACATCTATGATTGCTATAAAGTCAGCTTTGTTCTCTATTTCTAGAACCATCATGTATTGGAATGAGGAGCATCTCAATTCACAGGTCTATTATTTCTTGGGGGTGGGTGTCAGAGGGCATATGGCATTAGAAGCAGCTCTGTGTACAACTGAAAACAGTGTCGAAGCTATTTAGGATCTGGGAAGTGTACAAGTTAATTACCCCCACCCTCAAAAAAGAAAAAAGAGGAGGACTTTAACAAACTTTGAAAGTGATCATGAGGGCAGGACGCGGTGGCTCATGCCTGTAATCCCAGCGCTTTGGGAGGCTGAGGCAGGTGGATCACCTGAGGTCAGGAGATCGAGACCATCCTGGCCAACACGGTGAAACCCCATCTCTACTAAAAATACAAAAATTAGCCAGGTGTGGTGGTGGGCGCCTGTAGTCCCAGCTACTCAGGAGGCTGAGGCAGGAGAATCGCTTGAACCTGGGAGGCAGAGGTTGCAGTGAGCTAAGACGGCGCCATTGCACATTGCAATCCAGCCTGAGCAACAAGCGCGAAACTGTCTCAAAAAAAAAAAAAAAAGAAAAAAGAAAGTAATATATAATAACTAAAAGTGAAAGCATAAGGGGGAAGCAGAACGTTAGATGCCGCTCTCCTGGAGGTAATCACAGGGGCCATTGAGTGGGGTGATTATTGTGGGAGGAAGCCTGCAGGTGAACCGGGTGGTTATTGTTAACTGGTGTTTGGACTGAGGAAGATGGGTGGAGCCAGGAGAGGAGATGAGGCTACCTGGAAGTGGGGGCGGGGACGGGGGAGGACACAAGGCCTTTACTGAAAAAACATCAGGTCCTTCTGGCGGAGTTTTAGCTGCTGCCTCAGCACTTTAGTCATCTCTGTAGTTGAGCAATTCTCCTAACGTGTCACAATGTGTTTACATATCGTTGTCTTCAACACACTGTGAGCAGGCTCCCTTTTATAAATTGTCATTATCTTCTGTATAGCTACCCCAGGGTATATGGTAGGCATTCAAGAAAGGTTTGTTAAAGGAGAGTTACGATTCCAGTCTACTTTACAGTGTACACGTTAACTAAATTGTTTGGTGAACCTGTAAACTTTTCTCTTTTTTTTTTTTTTTGGGGGGGGGATGGAGTTTCACTCTTGTCGCCCAGGCTGGAGTGCAGTGGCGTGATCTCGGCTTACTGAAACCCCCACCTCCCAAGTTCAAGTGATTCTCCTGCCTCAGTCTCCCAAGTAGCTGGGACTACAGGCGCCTGCTACCATGCCAGCTAATTTTTTTGTATTTTTAGTAGAGACGGGGTTTCACCATGTTAGTCAGGGTGGTCTCGAACTCCTGATCTCAGTTGATCCATCCGCCTCGGCCTCCCAAAGTTTTGGGATTACAGGCGTGAGCCACCGTACCCGGCTGAACTTGTAAACTTTTCAGTGTTAGTTTTCTTTGCTCCCAGTTGATGATACTTTATAACCATATTGCAGATATATACATATATATATATACACACACACAGATATGTTTCTTAAGATCTCCACATTCTTGAGAAAATATGACTAAAAGGCATTTAGTTTATCTCATTAAGGTCTTCTGACCAACTTATTTCTTATTTTTTGAGACAGTGTCTCTCTCTGTCACCTAGGCTGCAGTATAGTGGTGCAGTCATAGCTTACTGCAGCCTCAAATTCCTGGGCTCAAGCAATCCTCTCCCCTCAGTCCTCGAGTAGCTGGGACTACAGGCACATGCTACCATGCCCAGGTAATTTTATTTTATTATTAGTTTTTGTAGAGACAGAATCTCACTATGTTGTCCAGGCTGGACTCAAATCCCTAGGCTCAAGCAATCCTCCTGTCTAGCCTCCCAAAGTGCTGGGATTACAAGCATGAGCCCCTGCACCTAGCTGACCAACCTATTTCAGAGACCTTATATATTGTAATATACACTGAAAAGTTGAAAAAAATTGTCCATTGCACAAACAATAACTAAATTTAAAAAGAAAAATATATGCACAAGCCTGTCTTTTCATGAAGTCATTTTTTTGCATACTTTCCAGTTTTTATTTTTTTTATAATTTTATCACTGTCATCATCATACATTAGATGTAATTTGTGTTTTTTTGTTGATAATTATAGCATTATCATTCTCCTTGTTGTATAGACTTCCTTATTACAATTTTAAATGATGGTCTGCTATGCCAATTATGTTGATTTACTGTAATTTAATAGCCCAGCCCACCATCATTGGACATTGGTGGTTTCCATCATTCATTATTAGATACAGGCATATAGTGAAGTGCTGCCTCATACCTAGTCATCCACTGTAATCTAACCTCCAGTCGTATCTTTCCATTGAAAAGCTCTGGCCAAGATAAGCAGTGGTCCTCCACTTAATGAACATCATCAGTTCTTACCTTAATTGACCTCCTCGAAATTCCATGTTGTTGGCCTCTCCCTCTTTCCTGAAGTTTGTTCTTTCCTTGGCTTTTTGGACACTCTCCTCCAGAAGCGTTTTCTTTCCTTTCTGGCAGCTCCTCTTTGGTCTCTGTTCTGGCAACTCAAGTCTGCCCCCTAAATATTGGCATTCCCAGAGATGAGTCCTGTCCTTAGTCCTCTCTTGGCTTAATCTACATCACGTCTCTGAATGTGGGATTGTCCCCTCCCAAGACTTCAACTTTTATGATACATTGATGATACCCAAATCACTCCCAAATCTCTCTCCTCAAATACTCATCAGTGCCTAGCACATAGGAGACACTTGATACATATTTGTTAAATTACTGAACATCTTCACCTGGATGACCCATAGCACTTGAAAATCAGTCTGTAACTAAACTCATCATCTTTCTTCAAGCTCCTCCCAAGATCTGCTCCCACTCCTGTGTTCTGTTTTGATAAAAGCCACCGTCATCTCCTTTAAGTAAGCCAGAAACCTGAGAGTCAGCGTAGGCTCACTTCCCGCTCGCGTCTCCCCATATCTAGTCAGGCAGTCATCCAGCCTGCTGATCTACTTCCTTAGTTTCTCTAGAATCTGGCTCCCTTTTGTCTAACACTGCCTAACTTCATAGCCACGTCATCTCTCACCTGCATTCCCACAAAAATGCATTTTTGGCCGGTCTTGTCATTCTTACTAACATTCTCCTCCCCCACCAACCCCTGTCCCCCACCAACTGTCAAATCCATCTTTATACTTGCCTGGGCAACTTCACCTTCTGGCACCTCAAGAGTAAGCCTGCTGTCTCTTCCTTCCTTACTTCTCTCTGTGTTATTTATTCCCCTTACCTGGAAGGCTTTTTTCCTTCTTTGTGTCTTAAAAACTCATTCCGACCTCTCCTTTAGAATGTATAAGCAACCCCATCTCTGGAAAGCCTTCCCTAAGTCTCTCCTGCTAGACCACTCTGAGCCTGCCAGGAATCTCAGTGCTTACACAGTTTATCATTACTTGTTGATTGTCTACTGCAATAGACTGAGTTTCCTAAGGCAGGATCCTGAGTATTTTATCAAGGGGTTGACAGAGGTGTTCAGTAAGTACCTGTTGAGTAGAAGAATTTTTTTTTTTTTTTTTTTTTTTTTGAGACGGAATCTCGCTCTGTCACCAGGCTGGAGTGCAGTGGTGCAATCTCGTCTCACTGTAACCTCCGCCTCTTGGGTTCAAGCGATTCTCCTGCCTCAGCCTCCTGAACAGCTGGGACTACAGGCGTGCGCCACCACGCCCAGCTAATTTTTGTTATTTTTAGTAGAGACGGGGTCTCACCATGTTGGCCAGGATGGTCTTGATTTCTTGACCTCGCGATCTGTCCGCCTCGACCTCCCAAAGTGCTGGGATTACAGGCATGAGCCACCGCGCCCTGCGGAGTAGAAGTTCTTTGGATAAACACATTCTAGGAGTGGGGTCAAAATGTGCAAACCCACACGTGAAGAAGATGACTAATAAATTGTTTCTCCAAAGAGTTGTATTGATTTACACTGCCACCAGCAAAAAAGCTAATATATCAACTGAACCGTGTTTCTAACAACCATTTACTGAATGCTTATCATCTGTCAGGTGTTGTGCCAGAAGAATGGAGTTTGTCTATAAATATTTCATCATTTCGAGTAGTGCAGTCCAACAGAACTTTCTGCATTGATGGAAATATTCTATATTTGCACTGTCCAATAGGGTAGCTATTAGCCACATGTGGCTTCTGAGCCCTTGAAATGAGACAAGTGTGACTGAAGAACTGAATTTGTCATTTCCTCTAATTTTAGTTAATTTACATGTAAATGTAAACACTTACTGGTGGCAAGTGGTCATCTTATTGAACAGTGCCGCTCTAGAGAGAAAAAAGGAAATCAGTCAGTAGATGTAACTGCCACATTCTGGATTATTTTTTAAATGTTAGTGGCTCTAAGCCCACATCATTAAGGTGTGGCCACCTTTCAAGTGCTATCATTTTTATTAGTCAGCACCACCTAATTTGGGAAATATTTTATTTTTTTTTCCTTTTTTTTGATTAAAACAATTTTTAAAAAATAGAGATGGGGTCTCACTATGTTGCCCAGACTGGTCTCAAACTCGTGGGCTCAAGTGATTCTCCTGCCTTGCCTTCCCAAAGTGCTGGGATTACAGGCATGAGCCACCGTGCCTGGCCAGATTTGGGAAACATTTTATAAATAGGTGCTTAGATCAGGAGAGCAATGCCTTACATCAGGAATACAACCAAAATGTCTAAGTCCGGAGACTCGAGGCAAAGTGGGAAACGTTACTCACAGTGCTTTTTATCCAGAGGCGTGGACTTAGTTACTCCAAAGGAGTCCAGAAGCATAACACTTCTGGAGAGGCATCTACTGGACTTGTTTTTCCACGAAACTTCTAGACTTGTTTTGATCAGGCAGGAAGTGAAGCAACTTTTCAGGGAGAGAGCCCAGCATCTGCATCTCCTCTGGGACAGACCACACCTTTTACCTTCTACTTGTGAGCCTAGGACGAGTTTTGCTTTCCAATTAAGGGAAGAGCAGGGCAGGCAAAACTATTCTCTTACAAGATGGTTTTTTAAGATTTCAAACCCAAGGTTATATTTTTAATCGGTACCTGTTTGGATTCTCCAAATTAATTTATATGCTCTTAAAATAAAGACACTTAACGTCACTGCACAATTCTTTGCACATGGAGGACTTCGAAAGGAATAAGCACACTGAATTGCATTAGATGAATCCTGTCAGATAAGCACTTGTGACCTACTGGCAACCTTTTATAAGCTGATGATGGGAGAGGAGTTTCAATCTCTTTATTGGAGTTGTTGGAAATGTGCCAAAGAGATAACCTGGAATATATTGTCCTGAAAAGTCCTGTTTTAATATTTAATACGAACATCTTATAACCCTCGGAATTCGGGTAGGCAGTTGTTGGGCTGAGAAATGTGGGGTACAAGGCCGTGTATGTGTTGGTTAGCCGGGCAGGCCTCTAGACAGGACCTAAAACTTTGAGGTTTTCCCAGTTCGACTCTTCGTAGGAGAACTGAAGCTGCCTGTGTGAGGCCCTGCGAACCTCGCCAAAAAGTCTTCCTACAGGATGCCCCCGCGACCTCACCGGGGAAACACCGCGGACAGTCGGGCCAGCAGCGCCCGGAGCTCACTCCAGGTCTCCAAACTTGCAGCACTTCCCAGAGCGCGCGCGCTCGGAGCGGGACCTGCTTGCTCCAGTGCACGCCGCGGAGCGAACCATCGGGCTGGCGGGGGTGGAGGGGTGCAGGCGTGGGGGCTGCGGGCCGCTCGGGCCTTGGGCTTCTCCTGCCGCCGCCGCCGCCTCCCGCCCCCGGCCAGGAGTCGCGCGTGACGCGGTTCGCCGCAGGAGCCTCGAAGGCGCGGCGCCGGCGAGCCCTTCCCCGGCAGGCGCGTGGGTGGTAGCGGCCAATTTGACAGTTTCCCGGGCCGGGCGGCCAGCGCGGAGGCGCCACGCTCGGGTCGGGGGCGGGCTGACGCCGCCGCCGCCGCGGGAGGAGGGACAAAGGGGTGGGTCCCCGCGGGTCGGCACCCCGGCGGTTGGGCTGCGGGTCAGAGCACTGTCCGGTGGTGCCCAGGAGGAGTAGGAGCAGGAGCAGAAGCAGAAGCGGGGTCCGGAGCTGCGCGCCTACGCGGGACCTGTGTCCGAAATGCCGGTGCGAGGAGACCGCGGGTTTCCACCCCGGCGGGAGCTGTCAGGTTGGCTCCGCGTAAGTGCCTCCTTGTGCCGCGCGGTTGGGAGGAGGGTCGTGAGCGTGAGCGTGGGAGCGCTGGGGGCTCTGCTCGCGTGCTGCTCTGAAGTTGTTCCCCGATGCGCCGTAGGAAGCTGGGATTCTCCCATCCGGACGTGGGACGCAGGGGAGGGGTAGGTTTCACCGTCCGGGCTGATGACTCGTGGCCTCCGGGGCTCCTGGAACCTTTACTCTGAAGTCACTTGGGCTGGAGATTAAGGCGCGAGTAGGGGACACTGTCTTGAACCCGGTGTCCTGGATTTCTGCTGGCTTGGAGGCATCTCGTGTCTGTTGTGTCGCTTGCATGTCTTTGTGTTTTCCTTCTCTATTTCAAACCACACTCGGTATTGATGCAAAGTTACAGGCTTGTGTACGTGAGAGAAACTGAAAACTCATCACAGAGCAGAATCCCTTTTCCCTTTCAATCAGCTGCGTCTGTAATAGAAGTAAAAGTTGTTTTTTTTTTTTTTTTTTTCCAGTAGGGAATGGGGATGGAGGTTTGGAAGGACCCACAAAAGAGGAGTGTGATGAATGCTTTGTATTCTAGTACTAGCCTACCTGTCACCAGTTCTTTTTATGTCTTCATTTGTCAAGTTTCTGCTTTTACACGGTAGTTTAAGTTATAAATAATCAGGGATTTCTACCACAGGGTTTTAACATTCTTGAAATGTGGACAAACTTGGGAGTGAGTGCTCCCGCGCTTAGTAATGGAATACAGCCTCCCACCTCTATTTCAGCTTCAGTTCTTAGGCTAGGCTGCTTTTCTGGCAGCTGTCTGGCCTGAGTAATGATGGTTGTGGTTTCCCTGAAGTTCCCAGCGGAGAGTCATCCCATGATAGAAACTGCCTTGCGCTTCTCACTCACGCTCTCAGCCCGGGGAATCCCAGCGGGGAGGAGGGAGGGAGGTCGTTTTCTTCAGCTCCCCAGGTGGTCTGTGCTGGGTGTGCTGACGGTCCTTTTGGGAAAACAGGTCCACCTTTGCCAGCGTAATTCAGAAAGAGATGTAATTTTCTGAGAGCACACACCTGGGCAGGAGATCGCTTGAAGTGAGAAATTCGTAGTGGTAAATGTATTTGTAGCAAAGTACCACTGCATATCCTGCTTGAGAGGATGAAATTTGATTATTTAGTAAGTTTTCATGAACAACTCCACTTCAGTGTGGGGATTACGCAGATGAGCAAGAGCGTGGCTCTGTCACACAGTCCCGTTGGGAAAGCCTGCAACTCATTAAGAATCCGATGAGTGCCATTTAGAAATGTGGACAGGGTACTGGAGCTTCCTCATTGTGGGGAGATGGCAGAAGCGGAGGTGCTTTACTAAAGCACCGGTGGCTTTTGAGGTGTTTCTTGTGTTTTTTTCAGAACTACTTCTGCAGTGGGGCCACTTTATTTCTTTTCAGAGCTACTTATGCAGATTGATGAAGGGGAACTTTCCCCTCTGAAATGCTGCTGTAACTTTTTCAGTACCATCCAGATATTATAATACTGAATGAGCCCCTACTCCTGCCAGTCACTGTGGGGGATACAAAGATGAACAAGATTCAATTTCTGCATTTAGGGGTCTAGTGGACCTGAAACTGTTAGACTTTACTCTGCAATCTGTGTCGGGATTCCTGAGACTGAGGGAGGGAATGTATGATGCCGATGCACACTCTGCAATACAGAAATTTAGCAAAGAGTGGGATTGGTCCTATATGCATTCCCTTCAGGGGATTCTTGCTGGGAATAAAGGGCATTTGAACAGTTACCTCACCCGAGCAAGCCACTATAGAAAATGGGGCCAGTAATGCGCCCACCTCACCGGGCTGAGTGAGGTCTGAATGAAATGACAGAGAGTACAAGGCATGTGGTGGATGCTACGTAAATGGTGGTAGCTAGTAATAGGAACAAAACGGGTGCTGAAAACTCTTAAGTGTTGGGTCCTGGGTTGATAAGGGAGGTGAGATCTAAAGATACAAGTAGGAGGTGCCAGGTAGGTGTCCAGGAAAAAACTGAAAGAGTTGTTGTTCACACTCTGTTAAAAGGCCTTGAAGGCCATAACGAAGCTTTGGGTGGGGGGAAGTCAGAAATCCCTCATGTATTAAATGACTTGACTTTCCCTACAAAAGAAGCGAACCAGTTTCCCAGTAAACATCCCACCCCATAACTATTTTTGAGGCATTCATAGGCTTAAGACCAATGAATTTTTACATCACCCCCGGGGGAATTGCATTTGCAATGACTTCTGCCTACATTTAACTTTTGATCTAGTTCTTTGTACACTGACAAAAGTTCACAGCCAACCATTTCTCTTCAGGACAAGTGTGAGAACTTTCTGCATACTGCTGAAGGCAAGGGAGATTTTGAGTTTAGCAAGGTTTTCTCTCCTTAAGAAGGTTATCTTTTTACGAGACACAAGTTATTGAAACTAGGCGGGGCCACTTTAGTCCTGTGTACAATAATATGTGTAGTAATATAAATAGTAATTTAAAAAGTCATGCAGACTTGGTTGGGGAGAGGCATGAAGTTTGGGTGTGGTGGGGGCGGGGTGAAGCGGTAGAAGGGTTCGCAATCACTGCTGAAACTTTCAACATATTCTACCAACAATATGAGCCACCAGGGAATTCCTTGCCTCATCTCTAGAACGAATCCCATTAAGCAGTTGTGGCTACAGATGAATTTATCTAGGTTGAGAGCTGATTCCCAATAACATGCCTCATTGATTTGACTCTAAGCAGTAATCAGGGGCCCAACAGTTGTTGGACCAACCAGCCTTGATTTTCCAGAGAAGGTGATTTGGTATATGGTAGTGTCTGAGGGTGAGATTGCCCCAGATGGGAGTGGAGGGAAGCAGAACAGTTTTCTCTGGTGTTTTACTGAGTTTTTGTCTTGATCCTAAATCCAAGGGTTAGGGTCAGAAACACAGACTCAGAGGTTAGATTTAACACCCATTTAGTGGGTTAAACACATCAATGGTTATGTGAACTTTGTTAAGGTTTAAAAAGCTATTTAGGGCCTGTTTCTCCCTCATAGGAATTTTTGCAATCAGCCTTTTTAGTAGATGCCCATATAGAAAGTGAATTTGGGAGGGTCTAAGGTGGTATTACTATTAAACTTTTTGAAAAGGCTGTGTGATAGCAATGGAAAAAAAAATTCAGGCATGGAAATCCAATATGCAGTATTGCAGTAGCTAGTTTTAATTTTATTTTTGTTTTTTTGGTTTTTTTTTTGGAGATGGAGTCTTGCTCTGTTGCCCAGGCTGAAGTGTGGTGGTGCGGTCTTGGCTCACTGCAACCTCTGCCTCCCGGGTTCAAGCGGTTCTCTTGCTTCAGCCTTCAAAGTAGCTGGGATTACAGAAGTGAGCCACCGTGCCCGGCCACTAGTTTTAATTTTGGATGGTACCTAGGAAAGCAGTTGAGCTAGTATGCTGCATACATTGTAGTGTGAGAGGCAGAGTTCCGAGTTGGAGAGTGTCTGCTTCCACTTTTTCCATTTGATTAGGAAAAGCACTTCTTAGAACTGGGTGACTGACAGCTAGAGCCCCAGAAGACCTGCACAAGCTGGGGCAATGGCTACCCATAACAGTGACGGCTCCATTCTGTTTTTTAAAGGGATTGGTGTCTCTATCATCCAGCTGGCCATTAAACAACCAAAGCTTCATCATCCTAGATAACCTGTGAGCTCTCAGAGGAGACAGAGTAAGGACTATCATACCCCCAAAATACCTAATCATTTAATAAAGCATTTTCTCTACCTTTTATGCTATCCCAAAACAGTGCTTTCCAAAGTCTGGTATACAGACAGACTTACAGGTGGTGCAGAGAGATACATATTCTATTTTTCAATTATGATGCATGAATATTATATGTTAGGAATAAAAACAGAAAACCAGCTACCACATCCATTTATTTCATGGCTAGATTGCTTAGAATGAGGCAAAAATAAATATTAAGTAAAGCAGTGAGTTTGCTTTAAGAAAAATTATCAACTCTGGGAATGAGTAATATGAGGCTAAGGCAAAAATGGTAAAGCTAGCCCTTGACATCTGAGGTGTGCATAATACTGCTTAAAATATGAGTGTGGTGCTTACTTATAGAGAGCCTGGTATACCTTGACCACGCCTTCAAGAAAGTCAAACACAGAATGGCCCAGAATAGCCAGGAAAGTTGAATTTGATGGACTTTCTGTCTTAAGCGTGTGCATCCTGCTCTTATCCACTCAGATCTCTTAGATGTGGTTGCAGACAGTGTATTTGTAGAGCTAGCTGTTTGTTTTAACGTCTGGCCCAATTCTCATTCCTTTCTCTGCTTCCACAAGCCATTCTGCAGTTTTTAAAGGTCTGTTGGTATGATATTTTTGATATGATAGAGTGATAGGGGAGGAAGTATTTTGACACTGATGAAGGACATCACTGTATTATCAAGTGACTCTTGCTCATGATTCATTGCCGAAGAATGTGGACAGCCAAACAGCCTCACCTGTAAATGCATTTAATTTCTCAAAGTCTTTCAGAAGAATGCCAACTGGATGAGTTTTTTTTTCTTATTTTTTTTTTAATATGAAGCTTGTATTGGTCTGTAAAATAGGCTTTAACAAGGATTTTCGTAGGAACAGGAAGCCTTGAGGTAGAAAACAAGTATCCCTGCTTTGACCTAGAGAGATGCATGCTCATGGCAGGCGAATGAATCAAGGAGAAGAGAAAATACTGTTTCAGTAGACTCTCTAGTGATGTGTGTGTTCACACCATTTATGAGAAATCCTAAGCTTTCAATTAGTAACTTGTACTTTAGTCATTTAAAATCAGCACAGATGTTTGTTTAGTGCCTCTGCCAGATGGTTAAAGTTAAATCAGGTTTTTTAACCTGAAAAACGTAATGTAGCTTTCCTTAACCATTTACACACCATTGTATATTGCAGACCATAGTCAGATACATTTTGTTATAATGAATGTTTATTTTACCTTTTAGCTCAATTAGAATATCAGTGGTTATGGTTTCTATTTTGTTTTCCTACAGTTACTGTATGGGGGTGCAGTAACAGCGGTGGTGGTGAAAGTAAGTTACTTTTTTCTTTTTCTTTCTTTTTTTTTTTTTTTGAGACGGAGTCTCCCTCTGTCGCCCAGGCTGGAATGCAGTGGTGCGATCTCGGCTCACTGCAAGCTCCACCTCCCGGGTTCACGCCATTCAGCCTCCCCAGTAGCTGGGACTACAGGCGCCCGCCACCACGCCCGGCTAATTTTTTGTATTTTTAGTAGAGACGGGGTTTCACCATGTTAGCCAGGATGGTCTTGATCTCCTGACCTCGTGATCCACCCGCCTCGGCCTCCCAAAGTGCTGGGATTAGAGGTGTGAGCCACCGCGCCCGGCTGAAAGTGAATCTCTTAATGGATCTTCCATGAATCAAATATTTGTGTTTTAGTAAGTTAGGCTGACCAAAAGATTTCGAATCATACCTTTAATCATGGCAAGGATCTTATGTCACATTCTTGAGTACACATGTTCACTAAATTTTACCTATATGTGTATGTGAACATGGACTTCAGAATTAATTAGTGTGGTAATTATTATTTCTATTGTAGACTTTAATCAGCCATATTAAATATATGCATTATGTTCACAGAGAAAACATGGTATCATCTTTGGAAACTTTACAGTATGCTCTATATTATAGATACCCTATATAACTATGGTACTAAACACACGAGTTAGTGACAAGTCAGGCATTTGGAGGGAATGTTTGTAACCCATTGTGGGAGAGAGTTATTAGAATAGTTATTCTTACTGGTAGGTAACAGTTATGGCTGTAATGAATAGAATGTGACTAAAATCCAGTTATGCCTTTGCCATCGTATTAAAAGCTTTGGTGGAGACGTGAGAACATTGCAGATACTTTGGATTTTGTCACTTGAGTTGAAGGTAAACAGAGAAAACAGTACTTTCTAGTCATCAGTAGGAATTAACTCTTCCAGGACATGTAGCTTCAAGGACCTTCTAGGTTCTTCTGAGGGGGAAATAATGTTCCACTTGGGGCCATTTTTTTCCATTTGTTGAGAGTCATTTGTTTTCAGAGTATTAAAGGAAGTGTTCCGAGTTCTAGGTTGTGTTTCTTTGATGCCTACTAAAGCTGAGCACACCTGAGACCCTGGGTGGAGCTCTACAATGGGAATAGGAGTAAGTAATGTAGGCTTCGAGAGACAATCATTCTGCTCTCAGTCCTTGGAAGACTGTTCCTAGGTATATATGGCAAAGCAGATGAAATTATTTGAGGGAATTAATTAGCAAAACTAAACATTTCTGTTTTTGAAAGGAATGAATCATTTGGAAGGAACTTCCTGGTGAGCTCAGTTTTAGCAGCCTGGTTTCTGCGTTACCCTTCTGCAGTCTGGCTGAATCAATTGTGTTCTTGCCTGTGATTGGTGAGGATGCACATGCTAGTATTTATTCTAGCCCTTATCACTTCCCATCAGCCCTGAGCCCCTCCCTGGTCTGAGTCATCTTGGTAACCCCAGAAGCTAACAGAGCACCAACACATCCACTAAACGTTGGACTGACTTGATTTGGGGCAGGCTTGTTGTATAAGCTAGTAGGAATAAGAGACTAATTGAGAAATTAGGACAGTGGATTCCTGACATTTATATAGTGAGTAGATGATCGTTTGTTAGAATTGCGAATTTCATCCAGAGAATTTTGTCCAAAAAAAATTATAGAATTTCATCTAGACCATTTTTGTAATGGCATGGAAGCAGCATTAGCTGCACCACTGATTAGCTGGGTGGCTTTTGCTGTCTTGTGACTCTAGTTTGCAATTTCTTTTTTTTTTTTTTTTTTTTTTTTTTGAGGTGGAGTCTAGCCCTATCGCTGAGGCTGGAGTGCAATGGCCCGATCTCAGCTCACTGCAACGTCTGCCTCCTAGGTTCAAGCGATTCTCCTGCCTCAGCCTCCCAAGTAGCTGGGATTACAGGCACACGCCACCACACCCTGCTAATTTTTTGTATCTTTGGTAGAGACGGGGCTTCACCATGTTGGCCAGGCTGGTCTCGAACTCCTGAGCTCGTGATCCGCCTGCCTTGGCCTCCCGAAGTGCTGGGATTATAGGCATGAGCCACCTCGCCTGGCCTAGTTCTCAGTTTCTTTATCAGAAAATGAGTAGTTACAGTTGATCATCTCAAAGTCTTTTGTGCTTAAGATTCTGAAGGTTTTGAAGTTTGAGTATAAAGCCTAGAGAACATTCTAAATTATTTCCATTGGTTCTTCTCATCTTAAAATGTTTTTGTGCTCCTTAAACTACGTTTGTGTTTGCTTGCTTGCTTTCTTTTTTTTTTAGAGATCCAGTGGATTATCTCTGAAAAGCATTTTTTAAAAAGACAGAGTCCAAGAGTGGCTGGTAGTTGTTTTGCTCATAAAGTGATGGAAAGATCTATTATTCAGTTGCAGCTTAAATTATGTACCAGCACCACGTGTGCTGGATTCTCTTCCTTACTTTGCAGCTTAAGCCAGCAACTGCAACCATCTTGCAGAGCTTCTTGAGAATCCTTCTTCCTCTTCCTCTTCCTCTCCACCCCCATGGACTTCTCCCCGGGCCTCATTGCCTGTGACATACGCTTGGAAGGAGGGGCAGGCCTGCAGCTGGGAGCCCTTTCTGATTTGTTCTTCACAAATGTGTTGAAGATGAGCCTACTGGTCACTGCTGCAAAAAACCACATTGTTCACTGGTGTAAAATCACTGCTGTCATCTGAGTTTCAGCATAACTTCAGGCATGTTGGAGTTTTTCAACGTCACCTCAGGCAGAGCACTTTGCCTTCCTTGGGCTGGTCTGTTTAGTGTCTGGGTGAGTTTTAAGAGAGGAGAGACATTGTGGCATCTTAGACACTCACTGAAATTTTCCAGAAATGGAGCTGGAAACATTTGTGCGTTTCCTTCTGGTGTTATTGTTAAAGCCTAAAAACAAGGGCAAGTGGCAACACATTGAAATGAAGAAGCCCCAAGTTTGCAACACATTGAAAGGAAGAGGCCCCAAGTTCGTTTTGAGCCTAAATTGAATTTTAATCAAAGGTCTGAGAGAAATATTTAGTCTACTTATACTATTTAAGTGCACAGTTTGGCAGATGACTTTGGGCAGTGAAGGATCTGGAAGAGGCAGGAAAGGTAGACTCAATCTGCCAGACTTAGAGCTAAAAAAATTTGCCTGGTATGTTTCCATGAAGAAAATTTTCCTGTAGAAGCAGTGGCACGACCTCTGTTACAAGTCTGCTTATTGATAATGAAGCTTTTTCTGTGTTATCAATTTCGTTGAATTTATATGTATGTATATACATATACACACACACAAATCTCAAGTAGAGAGCTTGATGAATTTCTTTTTTTTTTTTTTTTTGAGATGGAGTTTCACTCTTGTTGCCCAGGCTGAAGTGCAGTGGTGCCATCTCGGCTCACCACAACCTGTGCCCTCCAGGTTCAAGCAATTCTCCGGCCTCAGCCTCCCGAGTAGTTGGGACTACAGGTGCGCACCACCATGCCCGGCTAATTTTGTATTTTTTTTTTTTTTAGTAGAGACAAGGTTTCTTCATGTTGGTCAGGCTGATCTCGAACTCCTGATCTCGGGTGATCCACCTGCCTCAGCCTCCCAAAGTGCTGGAATTACAGGCGTGAGCCATTGTGCCTGGCCAGGGAATTTTATTTATTGTGGTAAAGTACACATAACATTAAGTGTACCATTTTAACCATTTTAAAGTATAAAATTCAATGGCATTTAATACACTCACAGTATTTTGTAAACACCATCACTCTCTAGTTCCAGAGGTAGGTGAATTTTTACATGAATGTATTCACCTGCATGATTACCACCTAGATTAAAAACTAGAATTTTCCATCACTCTGGAAGGTTCTCTCTTGCCACTTTTCCAATGATTACCACACCTACCTAAAAGAGAACTTCTCTTCTGACTTCTCTCACCGTGGAACACTTTTGCTTGAACTTGGGAGAGGACCCATATATAAATAAAATCAACATTTTATGTCTGTCATCTTTCACTCAACCTAACCTCTGTGAAATTCATCCGTATTTGTTGCGTGAGATTCAGTAGTTCTTTTTTGCCACTGAGTCGTATTCCATTTATATGCATCTGTCACATTTGGCTTATCTCTTCTGTTGATAGGTATTTGGGTTATTTTCAGTGTTTTTGCTATTATGAATAAAGCTGCCATGAAAAGCACCTACACATTGCCTTGTGGACATGTACACCCATTTCTCTTGTGTGAATTCCTAGGACCATAGGTTAGGGATTTTTTAAAAAACTTATTTTAGATTAAAAAAAATATTTTTTGAGACAGTCTCACTCTGTCACCCAGGCTGGAGTGCAGTGGCATGATCTCAGCTCATTGCGACCTGTGCCTCCCAGGTTCAAGTGATTCTCCTGCTTCAGCCTCCCAAGTAGCTGGGATTACAGGCATGCGCCACTACACCTAGCTAATTTTTGTATTTTTAGTAGAGACAGGTTTCTCTTCAACTCCTGAGTTCAAGCAGTCTGCCCACCTTGGCCTCCCAAAATGCTGGGATTATAAATGCGAGCCACCACGCCCAGCCAGGTTACAGATGTTTAACTTTGATTCTTTACCTCTGAAGTCAAATAAACCTGGGTGTGAATTCTTTTGTCCTGCCACTTGCTTGCTTGACTTTGAGCAATTTACCTTTTTCTCATGTTCAGTTTTCTCAGTTGTAAAATAGGCCTACCCTATCAGTCATGGTTCAGTCAAGAAGACATGTCATTCTAGCTATTTCAAGGAGAAGGGGATTCAATACAGAGTATTAGTTGCCTTCAGGACAAAGAAAAGGCGAGATGCGCAAAAAATGGAAGCCCACCGCTGGCTTTCTGATTTGCCGCAAAAAAAGTTAGAAAGCTGCTGCCACCCAGAGAAGACTCAGAAGGTCTTGCTTGACCTTCCACCTTCTCAGCATCTCCAGCCTTGAGGCTGGTGAAAGGGCAGGGAATCTGGACATGCTGTAAAGCTCATGTCTGAGGAATCCAACTTTTGCCTGCTACTGCTGCTGTCTGTAGGAAGAAGAAAAACAAATGGCTTCTGCTTTCCTTCATCCTTCCAAATCTCAAACACGTGTACCTCGCTGGTAGAACCCTGTTGGCAAGAGAGATGGGGGATCTCTGGTAGAAACAGAAACTCAGTGCCAGCAAAGAAGAAATGGCATAGATGCCACCTGGGGTTGCTTTGAGGTGCTCAGTAAATGGCAGTGGTTATAATTTATTATTTTCATCATTCCTCAAGAACTGCTGCTGCAGTTCAGACTGATTTCTCTCTCTCTCTCTTCTTTTTTTTTTTTTTTTTTGAGACGGGCTTGCTCTGTCACCCAGGCTGGAGTGCAGTGGTGCCGTCACAGCTCACTGCAGCCTCGACTTCCCTGGCTCAAGTGATCCTCTCACCTCAGCCTCCGATTAGCTGTAACCACGGGCATGCGCCACCATACCTGGCTAATTTTTAAATATTTTGTAGAGATGAGGTCTGTCTATGTTGCCCAGGTGGGCCTTGAACTCCTGGGCTCAGGCGATCCTCCTACCTCGGCCTCCCGAAGTGCTAGGATTATAGGCGTGAGTCACCACGCTTGGGCAGCAGACTGATTTCTTTTTTTTTTTTTTTTGAGACAGAGTCTTGCTGTGTTGCCCAGGCTGGAATGCAGTGGTGCAATCTCAGCTTACTGCGACCTCTGCCTCCCGGATTCAAGCAATTCTCCTGCCTCAGCCTCCCGAGTAGCTGGGATTACAGGTGGGTGCCACCACACCCGGCTAATTTTTGTATTTTTAGTAGAGGCAGGGTTTCACCATGTTGGCCAGGCTGGTCTCGAACTCCTGACCTCAGGTGATCTGCCTGCCTTGGCCTCCCAAAGTGCT
Organism: Homo sapiens; assembly: GCF_000001405.40. NCBI lineage: Eukaryota > Metazoa > Chordata > Mammalia > Primates > Hominidae > Homo > Homo sapiens. The sequence continues at coordinate 69,185,330 of NC_000009.12, forward strand.
GGGATTATAGGCGTGAGCCACCGTGTCCGACCCAGACTGATTTCTGTAACGGATGTTCATTCTTTTCACTTTATAGTCACATGGATGCCACTGTAAGAGCTCCGTGTCACATAAGGTGTTGTTTTTCTGGAAGGGCCTTCCAGATTCTGTATCTATTGCTCTGTGATTCTAGGTACTTTTCTAAAGGTATAAGCTTGAGAAATTAGTTTTCAAGTCTGTAAGTTAATGTAGAGCTGAAAGGTGACTTAATTCTAAGAGTTGCTGCTTTAATGTATAATTTTATGGAACCTAATGAGTGTTTTCTTTTTAAAGTCATTCCACTTTATTATTAATAAAATAAAAGGTAATATATAAATCTGGCTGATAGATGGGGTTACTTTTTTCCCTGTCTTTAGCTTCCTTTGTGTTCTGATAAATGAGATGGAAGATTTTTATCATATTTTGTACCTCAAATCTCTCGCGGAGGGAACACTGTAGTCTACCAAAACAGCTGGCAGAAGTGTCTGTCCTATTATAAGTTTATTTTATGAAACATGAGCTATAATGTAGTCCTTTTTTTTTTTTTTTCTTTTTTTGGAGACGGAGTCTCGGTTGCGCCTGGCTAATTTTTTGTATTTTTTAGTAGAGATGGGGTTTCACCGTGTTAGCCAGGATGGCCTCGATCTCCTGACCTCATGATCCGCCTGCCTTGGCCTCCCAAAGTGCTGGGATTACAGGTGTGAGCCGCCGCGCCCGGCCAATGTAGTGGTTTTAAGACATTTAAAAATCTTGAACCAATGTTGGCAACAGCCTGTCTGTAATGATGTCACATGTGGAAAGAACCGAGTTTTTCTTAACTTTAGAATGTGAATTTTTTCCTCCTTCAAATACTTTTTCCTATAACCCAGACCTATTTTACTTTCCAGGGACCCTACTATTACTGCCCTAAGGTAATTTGCTAGAAATGGAGTGGTCAAGATGTATTGATTAACGTTTTAGGCATACTTCTGTAGTACTACTTCCGAAGGCTCCTTGCAGAGAAATTTGAAGTGATAAGGAAGGCAAATATTCGAAATGGAAAGATAAGTATAACCAGTGACTATTTCAGCCACTGGTTTAGCAGTTCAAGTGAGCTGGCTGTTTGTAAAGCTTGCTTAGTAAATGAATGTGCTAGAAATATATTGACAGAATTTGGTTTTATCTCTTTTTCTCCAGACTTTTAGTCGGCCAGGGCTAACAATGGATGTCCAAACAGTTTACAGTGGCTGATACACAATGCACAAAGGGCTTCACTGTTTGGAGACTGGAAAATAGAGCCAGAGGGGAGCTTCTTATGGGCATTGACCTAATTCACTCCTTTTGGCAAAAATGCTTGGTTTTAAATCAATGTATGTATTTCTGACCCAAATATCTATAAATATTTCAGCTAGTAGTGTTACAGCTGGAGGAAGGGACCCGTGGTGTTGCTTCGTGTATTTTGATTTGACAATATTCTTTAGAAATAAATTGTCAAGTGAACTAATATTACACAAAAGTTAGGGAAAGTTAAGAGAGGCAGCTGAAATTCCATCAGTTTCCTCCTTAGTCCCTGGAACCTCCCCACAATCAGGAATTTGTTAGTCACCTGGTTTTTAAAGATAAATTTCTCTGTGGGCGTTTCTGCTGAGAAATGTGGGGAAACAGGACTGGGCTAAAAATAAAATTAGTTCAGGCATTGCTAAACTTCTAAGTATCATGTTTGTGATGTACTTTTCCAGGAAACATAAATTGGCAATATTTTTGCTCCTTTTTACTACCACAGAAAGAATATTTGCAGTCAGCATGCACGGCCTGAAAGAATCTCTCTCGCCTATTAATAGAACAGAAGGAACATACACATGTCTATGTGGGGGAAAAACATCTCATTTGGCTTAGTAGTAAGCTCCAAATAACAATTGCATTGTTGTTCTGAATTGTCTTTGAGTGTGATTGGATGATTAAATATAAATGTTGACCTGATTGGATTATATCACAGCAATGAACTGTCCTGAAAAAACAGCTGTAACATACCACTCCAGACTGTTACCAGACTTAGTCGGCTGGCTTTATATTTGTGTTGTCAAAACTGGGATGCTGTCATTTCTGTTTCTCTGTCTCTTTCGTCTGTTCCAATTTGAGATATACTGACTATGTTAGTGTAGTCTGCTACATGGATAGTCCTTTATCTTTCAGCAACATAAGCAACATAAGCTTTTTGACTGAGACGAGCGTAATCAAAAGGAATGCTGGGAAACAGTGAACTGTAAAAAATGTCCTCAATTAGATACAGGCTTCAGTGCATGGGTTTATCCTTTCAGAAGATCGGTGTGTTTTCAGTGAGGGTCTAAACCCACTGGCCTGGATTCCACCTCTTGTTGGATGGGTGGTCAGTTTTAACATTAGGGGGTGTTGATTGTGAGCTCTTGAGAGCAGGGCTGGTTCTTTGCATTCCTAGGTAGGCATGATGTAGAGTAGTTGCTCAGTAAATAGGGGAAGGTGAAAGGAAGAGAAGGGAGAAGGTGAGTCTCAAAAGACTGGAATGTGATAAGCACACGTTTATCACACTGGGGGTGTATTCTCTCCCTTTTCTTAGAGTATTCCTTGCCTCCTGAAAAAAGCACTTTGCAGGAAATATGGAGATCTTCTGAACCTGTGGCTTTGTGTTATTGGACTGAGAAGTCCAAAATGTGCATTAGCGGAGCTTATAGAACTGCTCTGAGAATGTGTTCTTGAGTTCTACAAATATTATGGGGTGCGTTGGGGGCTGGCTCACTCCAGCTCAGTTCCCATGTGTTAAGTGGAACTTCTGATCTGTTGAATGCCTAACCATGACGGAGCCCAGGAGACAAAGTAAGGTGTGGTTTGTTTTGCTGTAAGACCACGTTTGGTTAGCTTTTCTCTAGCAAAGCTGGGGAAGGAGATCACAGGGCTGATGTGGTGGTAGGCCCTTGGTGTAGATCTCACTGACTTTTCCCAGTCAACTAGGAGTAAATGTTAACCCTATTTTATAGGTGGGAAACGGAGGCTCAGAAACATTAAGTAAATTGCCCAGTGTCACACGGCTTGTGTGACAGGGAGGGGATTTGAGCCAAGGTCCATTTGATGAATTTGAAACCTGTAGATTCTGTCAATTCCACCAGTCTCTGCTTTTTAGAATCACAGTGGCAAGAAAATAGGAGAAGCTCAAGGCCCTGTGTTGATTATTAGGAGTTTAAACATCATCGCTGAAAGTGCATAGAAATATTTGTATTCCTAGAGAATCTTAAGTAAAAGTAACATATCAATGTTGTCAAGAGATGTCTTCATTCATCAGAGACCTCTGTGTGTTCATTACTGTATGAGACCCCAAAGACTCTAAGTTGCCTCTAAGACACAGCCTTACAGGGAGGTATTAAGTGATTATGTATACAGCTAGCTAAAACCACAACTTTATTATAGAAATATTAAGAATATGTCTTATCATGTGAGAGTATTCTTTCTTCAAGTCCATAGCCTCCAGTTAGAAATGGCTGTGTTGTCCCATCAACCCCTTCACTCAAAAACTATCATTAATATCAGGAAAAACTTATGGTTACAAACTCCTGGGTTATAGAATTGGAAGGAAAAACTTAGATATGCTGTGTTTGGGAGCTTGCCTTGAGGATTGGAATTCCATTGCAAGTTACCTTGGGGTCAAAGTACATCCCCTAAAACATCAAATACCTCCAAGAGGTTTTAGGCTATCAGACAGCCACACTTTAATGTGGAGTAGACTAGTCAGCTTTCTTCTACTATCTAACTGACACCATACACATTGTTAAAGAGATAATTTTGATTGGGAATGAAGATAGGGAATTTTGAAGCCAGAACATTCTGGTGATGGAGCAGATACTGCCGAGATGTTGGCCTCGGGACAGCCTGGAGGAGGAGGACACTGATAAACAGAGCAACCAGCCCAAGGGGTGGAAAGACCTAGGAAGTCTCCACATACAAATTTTGCTTCTTTCCTGTTTCTCCACTGAACCCTGGGAAGGGTGCTTATTTCTCTCCTCACTGTCTTTCCCCAGGACCCAGAATTGATAGGTTAGTTGAGTTTCTGTGGGCAGTCTAAGGTAGTGTTACTATTTAAAATGTTAGTAACATTTTCAGATTCACTGAGATTCTTGCTGAGTGTGGTGGCATATGCCTGTGGTCCCAACTACTTGGAGACTGAGGCAGGCAGGAGGATCGCTTGAGCCCAGGAGTTGGAGGCTACAGTGAGTTCTGATTGTCCTGTGAATAGGAATAGCCACTGCAGTCCAGCCTGAGCACCACAGTGGAGACTCCACTTTTTTTTTTTTTTTAAGTTTAAAAAAGTTAAAAAAAAAAAAAGACAAAGAAAAAGGAAAGTTGATTTTTGGTTCTAACTCAGTTGTGACAAACGGTGGATATATGGTTCTGACCACATTCTAAATTGGACTTGATGGTGGGCAAGGGAAACTTCCAATGCCTATCCCCTCACTTTAAAAAAACTTCTCCTGGGCCAGGCACGGTGGCTCATGCCTGTAATCCCAGCACTTTGGGAGGCCGAGGTGGACGGATCATGAGGTCAGGAGATCGAGATCATCCTGGCTAACACGGTGAAACCCCGTCTGTACTAAAAATACAAAAAGAAATTAGCCGGGTATGGTGGTGGACGCCTGTAGTCCCAGCTACTTGGGAGGCTGAGGCAGGAGAATGGCATGAACCTGGGAGGTGGAGTTTGCAGTGAGCCAAGATGGCGCCACTGCACTCCAGCCTGGGCAACAGAGCGAGACTCTGTCTCAAAAAACAAACAAACAAACAAACTTCTCCTGTAGCAGTTTGCTTTGAGTTGTGGGTGCCACCTCCCTCACTGTCTTTTTCTGAGGGTACATAAATAAATTGCATCCTAGCTTGAGATCAGGAGCAATGGTTTTTAGTTCTCTGTGTCCAACACAATTCTTCTACACAGTGTCTTGCCCAATACATGTGTTGGTAATACTGACAAACATAGTTAATCTTCTTCTTTGAAGATTATCTGAAGCAAGATTTTGACCTTAGGTCAGCTTCCCCTGAAGTATGTGATTGGAAACTGAACGAGTTCAGATTTTAGTTTAGGTAAAAATATAACCAGAGAAGTTGCTACCAAGCATAGTTGACTTTGAGCTGACCTAACTTTTGGATTATGTACTCACTAAGAACTTACCTCTTATTAATTAAACAAATACAAGGAAATAAATAACCCAATAAAAACACTCAAAACAAGTTTATCCCCAAATAGTGTACTTGATGCTAAGGACAGACCTAAAGTTTGTTGAGGATAGAAATGAAAAATGAGGCAAAAGAAACCAGGAATTGAGATGTGTGTGTGCCTGTACCAGCACCCGTGTGAGCCCCTTGCAGGTAACGACCCATGGTCCCTGCACATCAGTCTTCTGTTACTAAGTTTTGCATAAATTGAGTCTGGTGGTTGGCAAGCTACATATAGCCAGCTGCGTGTTTGTTGTTTTTTCTGCCTGCTAGCTAAGAACTGTTCTTGCATTTTAAATGGTTATGTAAGTATCTATATGATCTCCGTGATTTTGCCTCTTGTAGTGGCAAGCCTAAAATATTTATTGTCAGGCCCTTTGAGAAAATGTTTCCTGGCTCCTGCCTCAGACCTCCTGGAAGCAGGGTGTTGGCTTGATTTGTCTCCTGTTCTGCAATCTGGGAATAGTAGATCAGGATGCTGACTTGTGGGAAGATGCTGGCTGCATGAGATGCCCCTGTCTGCAGTCACTCATAGCTTGGAAAAGCAAAAAGGAAAAAGGGTTGGATCTGAGCACTGACAGACAGGTTTGCTTCTGGTTTCAATGTAGTAAGGTGACCTGATAACAAGGGCCACTTGAGAAGTTGCAAATGCAGATTTCCTCCGTGTTAGGTGGTGACCAATAAAAGCATATTTTGTTTTTAGGATGTAGAAAGGCTATAAAACTGCAATGTCTTTGTATCATCAAACATTTCTGTGTTTCTGATGTTTCAGATGTTCCTATTTCTCTGGATTGCAGGATTTCAACTTTGCAACATGTACTGTTGTGTTTCTGAGTTGTTGACTATTTCAGTTCCAAACAGTTCGTTATTTCCTGTCAGAGGAAACTTCAGAGTAACAATAAAGTGCTGGTGTGGCTTCAAAGGCTTGGAGAAATGAAAAGCAGTGGAGAAATTTTGTGAGGTTCCTTTGGCTTAGAAGGTTCAGAAAGGCTTTGAGCGAATGAATGTATGTATCAGTCACTGTTACTCCAGGTCCGTTAGCTGTTTCCAGACCTTTCTGTGTCCTAAAAACAAACATCATTTTGAGGGTGGGGACTGTGTCCTATGTTGACAGGTCTTTGTTTTCAAAGTCTGATGTACAATAGAGACTAAACGTTCAATGACTGAATGCAGTTCATTTTTAAAATTTTTTTTTTTTTGAGACAGAGTCTCACTCTGTTGCCCAGGCTGGAGTGCAGTGGCATGATCTCAGCTCATTGCAACCTCCACCTCCCAGGTTCAAGCGATTTTCCTGCCTCAGTCTCCTGACTACCTGGGATTATAGGCACGTACCACCACGCCTGGCTAATTTTTGTATATTTAGTAGAGACAGGGTTTTTGCCTTGTTAGCCAGGCTGGTCTCGAACTCCTAACCTCAGGTGATCCACCTGCCTCTGTCTCCCAAAGTGCTGGGATTACAGGCGTGAGCCACCATGCCCAGCCGTATGTTTTAAATCTTATATTAAGCTTATACCACTGTTGATTGCCGTTGCTACAGTGGGGCTTATATTAATATTAGAAACACCCCTCATTTGAGTGGTACTTTACAGTTTATAGCAACCTCTACATAAAGCTGGGCATGGTGGCACATGCCTGTAATTCCAGCTGCTTGGGAGACTGAGGCAGGAGGATTGCTCCAGCCCAGAAGTTTAAGACCAGCATGGGCAACATAGCAAGAACTTGTATCAAAAAAAGAAAAAAAAAACTTTCATGTTAAATTCTCACTTGATCCTCACCAAGAACCCTGTGAGGTGAGTGTTATTCACTGGATGCTTAGAGAACCTAGAGATCATACAGCTGGCTAGTGCGTACCAGGAACTTGAACTACTTATAAACTGGAGCAGTCGGAGAAAGCTTGGTGTGTTTGACATTGTCTGTCTCTTGGTCTCCAGGCCCCAAGAGGAAGCAAAAGCCTAATTCATCTTGGCAAATGCTGTAGAAGTTCTTGCTTGGATTTTCTTTCGCTAGACAGTTTTTGGTGGTGGTTTGTTGCTCTCCTTCAGATAAACATTTCTTGATAGTGCAGTTTCTTCCTTCAATATGTTCTTATTCTGGTGTGTACATCCGTTTCTCAGAATGTTTAGTAAACATTTCTGTTGCATACCCTAATGCCAGTTTCTTACCTACTCCTCAGTAGCGTGCTGCAGCAGTGGCTTTGGGACCTGGTGTAGACATTATGGGTTGCTTTATTCATTCCTCACAGTGACAAGGGGATCTTGATTGGTGCTAAGTCCTTGGATGGTTCCCTTGGCCTCAGTGACTCTGAGAGAGCCATCACTGCAGGTGTGATCAGTGCCAGGGTCTTCCTTTCTTCCTTCTCTCTCACTTTTTTTTTTTTTTTTTTTGAGATGTGGTCTCACTCTGTCACCCAGGCTAGTGTCCAGTGGCACAGTCTCAGCTCACTTGAGCCTCCTGGGCTCAAGCTGTCCTCTCACCTCAATCTCCTGAGTAGCTGGCACTACAGGCGTGCGCCACCACACCTGGCTAATTTTTGTATTTTTAGTAGAGACAGGGTTTCACCATGTTGCCCAGGCTGGTCTTGAACTCTTGAGCTCAGACGATTCACCCACCTTGGCCTCCCAAAGTGCTGGGATTACAGGCATGAGCCACCGTGCCTGGCTTTTATTGTAATTTTTAAAGTCTATTTCTAATTTCATCTAAATTATGTTTTGAAATTTTCAATTCGTAGGGAACCGGCAGTCTCTCCCTTTTTATTTCTGCATGACTGCACCACCTAGTGGATAATACATCTGTTACCAGGCAGTGGCCTTTGATGATTTCCTATAGCTACAAATTCTACAAAAAGGAAAATTGGGTGCCTTTTTATGCTTTGAAATCACATATAATTTCTGCCAGTAATTTTTGTTTCTAGGCAAGTACGGACTTTTTGAGAGGAGCTTAATAACGTTTAATTCAGAATTAAAAAAAAAAACGTCAGCCCATACCTGAAGTTTCCCGTGTCACCAATGGACTAAGGATGCAGACTGTCAGTTTCACTCAGTTTATGTGATAATGGCATACAAGATAGAATAATGAGGTCTTTTTCTAAGTTTAGAAACAAGGCTATTTCAAACACCTGAACTTTTTTTTTTTTTTTATAACTTGCTTGAATTTCATCTGCTGTGTTTTATTAAGTCAAAAGAATTAGGAAGGCTTGTTGATTTTTGCATGGCTTTGGCTCCACATTTGATACAGGAAACCTCACCTTTCCCCTCCCTGTCTCTTGTCTTTGCTGCCCCCTGCCTGGATGGAGTATGTTCCAGTATGATGGAGCAATTGTTTCTTTTTGTCTGTTGATTTCCATTAGGTGCAGTGGGCATTGGTCATTGTGCTAAGTATACCATGCAAGAACACATTCAGTTATTACGTTTATGGTATTTTAAATATGTAACATACTTATGCAGTTGAAACCATAAATTGTAAGATTTTTAGTCTTGTCCATAGATTAACGGTTTAAAATAAAATTATTGTGTCTCTTACTGACAGCTGGTTAAATCAGTATTTTCAAAGTATCAATTTACTAAGTTTTGTCATGTGCCTCTATAAGGAATTCACAGTCTTCCTCTGCGCTCCCACAGCCTTTTTATTTTTCCTTCCCAGGAAAAATTTTAGAGACACCAAAAGGATTCTTAAAGTATAAAAATGAATTTCACTGTTTTTGAAAATAAGTACTATTTTTTTCTTAATACCTGGCATTCTGCTCATGGTTGCAGCACTGTAAATTGCTGAAAGTTATAGGTCATTACACATGAAGAGGCTTAAAAATGCCGTTTGATCTATAGTTAACTACAAAATATGGAGGGGGAGCTATATGCACACAGTGTCTGCCATAGCATTAGTTATACTAGCAAAAAAAAGGAAATGGCTTAAATGACTGCTAGGGATATGGTTAATTATATAGTAAATATTGCTATTTACAAATTTAAATTAACTAAAATTAAACATTGCATTCTTCAGTTGCAGTAGCCACATTTCACATGTTCAGTAGCCACATGTGGCTAGTGGTTACTGTGTTGGACAGCACAGCTATAGAACATCGTCACCATGGTAGAAACTTCTGTTGGAGAGTACTGCTAGACAGGTGCTTCTCAAACATTATTTTCCCCGTCACCTCCCTGATGGGAGGTGCTTCTCAAACGTTAATGTGCATATTAATCACATAGGGGCTCTAGTTAGAATGCATATTTTTATCAGTAGGTCCAAGTTAGGGCTTGAGATTCTGTATTTTTAACAGGCTCCCAGGGGTTGGCTACGTAATACCCAAAGGGTGGGGTTCTTGCCTTTATTCTCCAATTCTAATAGGAAAGGCATGTGTTTGAAGCTCAGGACTCCGTATGTAGGCTCACTGGCTTTATGGGATTAACCAGGCTCATTGCTAGGTGGTACTAATGTGTCCCTCTTTTCTGTGGGAACCATCATCTGATGGTGCCCCAGGTCTGGGAGGGAACGATTGACCTTGTGTGTTTCCTATGGGGCCAACCTTGATGGTGACATTTAGCTGAGCAGCTCTAATAATTGTTTTTTCAACCTGCCTTTTTGACAAAGCCGTTTATGATTATCTTTATCTTGGTGCCTATTATGGGGGTGGTGGTTTGTATGTATGTTTGTTTTTTTAAAGTGAAGCTATGTTTTAGTGTTATATAAGTTTAGTCAGGTTTAAAATTATAGGGTACACAGGGCTGTGCCTGTGTTGCCAAATTAGCACCTTCCTTTTGGCTTATTAATGGCTTCTTTGTAATTACAAATAAGAATGATCTGTTTATAGCTTAGCTTAGTGTATCAGAACTAGGAACATAGAGGTCTTAAATGTAACTATCAGCTGATTTTTTTTTTTTTGGTCTCATATCTTATGAAAATTGGACTCATGCAAATTTGCATTCAAATTGTGACCAGGCACCTGTTAGCTGTGGGGCCTTGCCATGGGCAAGTTCCTTGAGATCTCAGGCCTTCTATTTTTGTATGTGAAAAAAGCAGGAGTAGGGTTAGGGTATAGGGTTTTTGGAGGATTAATAGGCAATAGCCATAAAATACTTAGCACGGTGTCTGGCATATTGTTAATGTCCAATCAGTGATGATGTGTTTCAGGCCCCCCCTTTTCCATGGTGTTCACAAAGGCGTAGGCATTAGGGAGCTTGTGCATATATACCAAAGCTGACTGTTCAAACAGCCAGAAATAAAATCCGACTCGACTCCCTTTCTGCACCCTCTTCTTACCAACTCACTGCAGAAGACTTATTGGGCTGTGTTGACTGGACCCAGGCCAGTGGTGTGGAAATAGCTATCATGCTTGTGAAGATGTTCTGAGTTGTCAGAGTGATTGAATCCATGATTGGTCTGGTGCCCAAGCACCAACAATCATGTTTTTGTTTGTGTGTTTGTTTTTTAAGAGACAGGGCCTCACTCTGTCACCCAGGCTAGAGTGCAGTGGTGCCATCATAGCTCACTGCAGTCTCAAACTCCTGGGTTCAAGCAGTGCTCTCTCCACAGCCTCCCAATGTGCTGGGATTACAGGCATGAGACACTGAGCCCAGCTGGGATTTCTTTTGGTGTGAAGGCCAGTGATCAGTCACTAGTAGGTTTTGGAAGGCACAATAGGTGTATAGTGGAGAGGCAAGGTTCTTCAGTGGAAAGGATATAAGCTTTCTAGTCACACCAGCCTGAGTTAGAATCTGTCCTCTGCCACTTTTTACTTGTATGACCTCAATCAACTTACTTTACTTCTGACTTCAGTGTCCTTTCTGTAAAATGAGTCTATTAATAATGATATTGATAATAGCTAAAATTGAGCATGTACTATGTGCCAGGCATTACCTTGATTTCTCTACATGCACTGTCTGATTAAATTCTCACAACAACCTTAGAGAGGTGGGTCTTGTTACTGCTACTGCCTCTGCTTTACAGATGGAGGAAACTGAGGCAAGGAGAAATTAAGTAACTCGCCCAAGGTAAAGGGTGGAGCATGGATTTGAATCCACACTTTCTGACTACAGACTCTACGATGTGATCTTTTTTTTAAAAACAGCTTTATTGAGATATAATTCATATACCATACAATAAAAGTGTGCAACCAGTGGCTTTTAGTACTGTATATTCACAGAGTTGTGTGGCCATCACCACAATTCATTTTAGAACATTTTCTTCACCCCAAAAGGAAACTGCATACCCATTAGCAGTCACTCCTCATTTCCCCCAAACTCCCATAGTCTTAGGGAACCAGTAATCTTTCAGCCTCTGTGGATTTGCCCCTCCTTGACATTTCACATAAATTTGTCATTTTATGTCACATAATTTGTCATTTTATGTCTGATTTCTTTTGCTTGTTTTATATATATATGTGTGTGTGTGTGTGTGTACACACACACACACACACACACACACACACATGTTTTCTGGAGGCAGAGTCTCACTCTGTCGCCCAGGTTGGAGTGCAGTGGCACAATCTGGGTTCACTGCAACCTCCGCCTCCCCAGTTCAAGTGATTATCCTGCTTCACCCTCCCCAGCAGCTGGGATTACAAGTGCCACCACACCTGGCTAATTTTTTGTGTTTTTAGTAGAGATGGGGTTTTACCAGGCTGGTCTTGAACTCCTGAACTCAAGTGATCCACCTGCCTCGACCTCCCACAGTGCTGAGATTACAGGCGTGAGCCATCGTGCTTGGCCCTGCTTATATTATTTTTAAGGATCATCCATGTTGTAGCATGTGTAGATACTTTGGTCCACCTTATTGTTGAGTAACAGTTCATTGTATGGATATACCACATTTCGTTTATCCAGTCATCAGTTGATGGACATTTGGGCTGTTTCCACTTGTTTGCTATTTTAAATAATACTGTTATGAACATTTGTATACAAGTTGTTGTGTACACATGTATTTTCAATTTTCTTGAGTTCTGTGATGTACTTGTTGGTTTTGTTTTTCTTTTTTTCTACCATGTGTTCGTAATGCTCTTCTGAGAGGAAGAAAACAGACTTTCTTACTTGGGAGTGGTCAGCTTATTTGCTGCTACAATATTAATGATGGAAAACCCTTATCAAGAGTGCTTATCCTGTGATGGGTACTGAGCAATGCTCTCCAGAAGCATTACTTTATTCAGTTCTCAGAATTCTAATAGGGTAGGGATCTTGACCTCATTTTGCAGATAGGCAACCAAGTCTTACCAAGTGAACTGTTCCAGATCACAGAGCTTGGAGAGTGTGTAGGGGGACTGAGCTTAGACCCAGGTGTGTGTGACGGCCTCCAGAACTCCTGCCACTGTGTTATGTGGACACCATTGTCTACCTCCCACTGGAAGGTTTACCAGCCTGGATTTTACAGAGTGCTTTCATGGGGTTTGCCTGGTTTCACCCTGTGAAATGGGTGATGATGCCATCGTTTGATGAAGCAGCAGTGGAATTGAGTGAGCGCCCAAGCTCATGGGTGAATTGAGGCGCAGTCTTGGATGGAGGTCTGTTTTTGGAGTTTAAATTTATTGCTGTTTGCATTTCAACACAACTGCTTTGAAAGCTACAGGTTGCCTCAGGCACCCTGTCATCCTTTCCCAATTCTTTTTTTTTTTTTTTTTTGAGACTGAGTTTCACTCTGTCACCCAGGCTGGAGTGCAGTGACACTATCTCAGCTCAGTGCAGCCTCTGCATCCCAGGTTCAAGCGATTCTCTTGCCTCAGCCTCCAGAGTAGCTGGGACTACAGGCATGTGCCACTACACCCAGCGAATTTTTTTATTTTCAGTAGAGATGGGGTTTCACCATGTTGGCCAGGCTGGTCTTGATCTCCTGACCTCAGGTCATCTGCCCGCCTTGGCCTCCCAAGGTGCTGGGATTACAGGCGTGAGCCACCATGCCCGGCCACCTTTCTCAATTCTTTATTATCTATTTAAATGCACGCTAAAAAATTTACCTTAGGTAAATAAAGGAGAATGTGGTTAAAAAACACAACTCAGTAAACCTGGCACTCTTCAGTAGTAGGTCTGGGATCTAGTTGTGTTGATTCTGGTGACCTATCACAAACCCCTCTCTAAGCTTATTGCTTTTTGCTGTTAAACTTGGTCATAAGCAAGCTGTGTCCATTGTGAAGTGTGTGCTGTGAGCACATCGCATACACTAGATTTAATCATCCACTGCCGGCACTCAGTGCATTGTGAAGGGAGGGTAAGGAGCTGGTGAAATCACATGTGAAACTGAAATACTTGTGGAATAAACGATGAAAGGGTTTTGTTTGTAAAACAAACGCTACAGAAAGTATTGTTGGATGCGGTGGCAACTAGTTTATTGCTACCAAGAGGGGTTTAAGTTTGAATAGACCACAGGTAAGTGCCCTGAAGCCAAAAGGACTTGGTTTATAATGTTAAAAATTATTCGTTTTTGGAAGAACAAGAGTTGAACTCATTTTCTGCCTTCTCTGGGAAAAAGCATTTCCTGTTTTGTTATTAGACAGCTGTTTCAAAGTTTTGTCCAGTAAGCAGAATTTTGACTAAATTCTTCACAATAGTTAAAACCAATTTCCTGGGGGCAGGTGGGGAACTATAAAAGTCCTCTTTTCATCTGGAGGTAGGTTTACCTACCAGCCTAGGCCAGCTAGCTGTTTCTTTACACTATCCCTTTCTAAGGATTTGAGTTCGTTTGTAAAATGACATAGCAGACACAACATAATACCAGAGGGGGCTGAACGTGGTGGCTCACATCTGTAATCCCAGCACTTTGGGAAGCCAAGGCAGGAAGAGTCTCAGGAGTTCGAGACCAGCCTGGGCAACATAGCGAGACCTTGTCTCTACTAAAATTAAAAAAAATTAGCCAGGTGTGGTGGCATGTGCCTTTAAGTCCCAGCTACTCCGGGGCTGAGGCAGGAGGACCGCTTGAGCCCAGGAGGTTGAGGCTGCAGTGAGCCCTGATTGTGCCACTGCACTCCAGCCTGGGCGACAGAACAAGATCCTGTCTCAGACATACACACACACACACGCATGCACGTACGCACGCACCAGAGGGAAACATCATGCAGAAAACCATTGGCCCATTTATTGGATGGTGTCCTCCCGAAGTTTCACATCTGCTGTTTGGAGCTACTGAGAACCTGGCTGATTTCATTTAGTGCTCCCTCTGTCTTACTTTGTCTTTCCTTCCTTTCTTTCCTTTCTCCCTCCTTTCCTTCTTTCCAGCTATCCAGTAACATGTATTAAGGACTCAGCATGTGGAAAGCACGCATGACATTGTTCATGGAGACGAGGGTCTGGAGTCAGGCAGCAGCTCGGATCCCATCTCTGACAGTGGTGGGCTGTGTACACTCTCTGGCCTCAGCTTCCCTATTTGTAAAATGGGGATGGTGGTGCTAACTCACAGGGTTGTGGGCATTCAGGGAAAAATTGTATATTTAGTACTGGGTGTGGTGCCCTGCCAAATGTTAATGACTTCCTTCCTCTCCAGTTTTCACACTTACCTTGTCTCCCATTTCTGAGGTGAATATGCATTTTAAGGCTCCCAAGCCATAGATTAAGCTGTTTTGACATGTCTGTCCCTGCTGAGAACGTGAAATCCTGTGTGTGTTATTAAACAGTTTACTGCCCGGCCGCACTGAGTACTCGCAATGTCTTGAACACCCTTGCAGGTTACCCCTCCTGGCTCTGAACGGGCTGTTCCCTCTATGCAGAATGCCCACCCACCTGACCAGTTAGTCATCCTTCAGCATGGAGCTGTGGGAGAGGGAGCCTCCCTGTGGTTGGGACATACCTCCCTCCACCCCAGGCCTCTCATCCTCAGTTAACAACCCGCCTGTGCCATCAATTACACTGTTTTGTGGTTTTTTACACCTTTTTTTCTAGACACAGGATCTCACTGTATTGCCAAGGCTGGAGTGTGGTGGCATGATCATAGCTCACTGTAGCCTCCAACTCCTGTGCTCAAGTGATCCTCCTGCCTCAGTGTCCTGAGCAGCTAGGACTATAGGCACATGCCACTGCACCTGGCTAGATTTTAACATTTTTCTTTTTGTAGAGATAGGATCTTGCTTTGTTGCCTAGCCCAGTCTTGAACTCCTGGGCTCAACTGATGCTCCCACTTCAGCCTCTTAAAGTGCTGGGATTATAGGCTTGAGCCACCATGGGGGCTGGCCTCGCTTCACATTTTATGTAGTTGCTATAACCCCACCACTCACCCTGCTCCAGCCCATGTCACCTTTTCTCTTTCCTAAATGTACTAAGCTTGTTTCCCACCCCAGGGCCTTTGCATTTGCTGTTCCCGCAGCAATCTGGAGAGCTGTTCAGATTTTCCTAGGATTAATTCTTCCCAGTCTGCCATCCCATGGCACTTATTACTACCTGAGATGATGATATATATTGACTCTTGTCTGCTTTCTCTGCTAAAATCCTCCCTGTGAGGAAACGAGTTTGGCACATATCCCCTGGCAGCATCTGACATGGCATAAGTACTCAGGGAGTATATGTCGAATGAATGAGCCTCTTGGTGGGCTCTTGTACTTGCACTGAATTGTAATTGCTTGTTTACACATCCCACCTCCCCACTGGGCTGTGTGACTTCCTTTGCATCATAACTTGGGGTGATTTGTCTTTCTGTCCACAGGGCCAGGTGCATGGTTGCTTTTGGGTCTGTAAGTATGGAAGCTAGGAATCTTTGAGAAGGCACATCCTTAAACCCATAAGCTCTTCTCATGGAGGTAGCTGTCCACCACAAAATGTCCTTCTGATGCCATTGGTAGAACAAGTACTGGTTGGAGCAGGCTGCAGTTGTTCTTACGTTCTGATGGCCATCCTCTACTGTCCCCTCCCCCTTTTCTTTGTCAGGTCTTTGCCCTGTGCTGTTCTTTGGACCCTGAACAAACCCTTCTCCCCACCCCGCTAATCCTGTCCTTTCCTTCAGACCTCATCTCGGTGTCCCTGGCTCATGGAAACCCTCCCTGGCCAACCTGCCTTGATCAGATGCTGGCTCCTGCAAAGCTTCCTGAGGGCAGTGCTTTATTTGTTTTGCTCTTCATTTGTTCCTCAGAGCACATTGCACTTGGTCGACATTTGTTGAATGAATGAGTAAAGAATTAGTGATGGCATATTTACATACCCATGTTCATGGCAGCGTTTTTCACTATAGCCAAGAGGTGAAAGTAACCCAAGTGTCTGTTGACAGATGAGTGGATAAACAAAATATGTCATATACATACAATGGAATATTATTCAGCCTTAGAAAGGGAGGAACTTCTGACATACGCCGCCACCACGTAGACGAACCTTGAGGACATTATGCTATGTGAAGTAAGCCAATCACAGGAAGACAAATCTTGTGTGAGTCCACTTATATGATGTGTCTAATGTAGTCAAATTCATAGAATCACAAAACAGAATGGTGGTTGCCAGGAGCTGAGGGGAGAGGGAAATGGGGAGTTGTTTGATAGGCATGAGTTTCAGTTTTGCAAGATGAAGAGTTCTTGAGTTCAGTATATTCTGAAGTGTGAATATACTACTGTCTTAGTCAATTCCTACTCCTGTAACTGGGAAGTTTATAAAAAACAGAAATTTATTTGCCCACAGTTTTGGCTGGGAAGTTGAAGATCAAGGCAACAGCAGATTTGGCATCTGGTGAGGGCAGCTCTCTCCTTCCAAGATGGTGTCTTGTTGCTGTATCCTTACATGACAGAAGAGGTGGAAAGCAAGGGGGTTTAGCTCAGTCCCTCCAGCCCTTTTGTAAGAGCACAAATCCCATTCATGAGGTTGGAGCCCTCTTAATCACCTCCTAAAAGCTCCTCCCCTTAACACTTACTGTATTGGGTCTTAGGTTCCAGCACATGAGTTTTGGTGGGACACATACATTCAAACCTTAGCAGGTGCTACACTGTATACCCTAGAAAAATGAGAGGTTAGGAGTGCCGACCCTCACACAGTCAAAAATCCATGTATAACTTTTGACTCCCCCAAAACTTAACTAATAGCTTGCTGTTTACCAGAAAACTTACCATAACATAAACAGTCAATGAACGCATTTTATATGCTATATGTATTATATACTGTTTTGTCACAGTAAAGTAAGCTAGGGAAGAGAAAATACATTTATTACTCACTAAGTGGAAGTGGATAGTCCTAAAGGACTTCATCCTGATTGTCTTCATGTTGAGTAGGCTGAGGAAGATGACGGTTTGGTCCTGCTGTGCCCAGGCGGCAGAGGCGGAAGAGGTGGAGGAGGTGAAGGGGAGGCAGGGGAGGCAGGCACACTCTGTATAACTTTTATTGAAAAAAACCCATGGATAAGTGGACCAGGGCAGTTCAAACCTTGCTGTTCAAGGGCCAACTGTACTTAGAAATGGTTAAGATAATAAATTTTAGGTTATATATTCTTCAGCACAATTAAAAAAAAGAATTACTGCTGCTAGAAACTATGACCTCTGGAAATCACTGTAGAAGAATCTGGAATTCTTAAATTCTAGGACACCTCTGACTTCTGGGTAGTATGCATGAACTTAAGGGAAAGAAGTATTTATTTCCTCATGAGGATAAGCTCAGGTGTTTTCCTTAGGACTGTCAGAGTGAAGGAGTGGGCTGGCCTGAACCCTCCCCGAGTTGCCTGGGTTCTCAGGCTCCTCTGCACCTGGAGCTAGTGAGCCAGCCCATGGGCTGAACCTGGCTGGTGTGTACAGAGCCTGCACATGTCTGCATAGCCTAGGTTGAGGTTTGGACACTTGCTTAGATTCCAAGGTCCTCCTTTGTACCCATTTATTTATATAATAAATAATTTATTATTATTTTTTTGAGACGGAGTTCACTCTTGTTGCCTAGGCTGGAGTGCAATGGTGGGATCTTGGCTCACTGCAGGAGAAGTGATTCTCCTGCCTCAGTCTCCTGGGTAGCTGGGGTTACAGGCACCCGCCAACATGCCCGGATTTTTTGTGTGTGTTTTTAGTAGAGACGAGGTTTCAACATGTTGGCCAGGCTGGTCTTGAACTCCTGGCCTCAGGTGATCCTCCCACCTCAGCCTCCCAAAGTGCTGGGATTATAGGCATGAGCCACGGTGCCCAGCCTGGATTTTTTTTTTTTTTTTTTTTTTTTGAGACAGGGTCTCGCTCTATGGCCCAGGCTGGAATGCAGTGGCCCGATCTCAGGTCACTGCAACCTCCGCCTCCTGGGCTCAGGTGATCCTCCTACCTCAGCCTCCCAAGTATCTGGGACTACAGGTGTGCACAACCATGCCCAGCTAATTTTTCTATTTTTAGTAGAGATGGGGTTTCACCATGTTGGCCAGGCTGGTCTTGAACTTCTGGCTCAAGCGATCTGCCCATCTCAGCCTCCCAAAGTGCTAGGATTACAGGCGTGAGTGACTGCGCCTGGCAAAGTGTAGGATTTGAAACATAAACTTGTATTCATTTTTGATCTCATTTAACTGTCATAACATGAAGAACTCAACTCTTAGGGAAGGACACACATTTCCCAGTGCCTGTCCAGCACCAGCACGAGTGCTTTGTAGAGATTGCCTCATTTCTTGCCGACATTGCCCTTCTGAAGTGTAGATGGTTTTATCGCCACTGTATAAAGAAGGGTATAGTGTATCCAACGCCCCACAGCTAAGTGACAGGACAAGGATCTCACTCCAGATCTTGTGACTTTAAAAATCACTTTCTTGGCTCTGCTTCTCCTTGTTTCCTAGATGGTGGCCATCTCATGGTCCAGATTTATATACATCTCAGCCTCAAATCAAATGGCACACTTTACATTTGCACGCTGTTTGGCCAAGCCCATTGGCATATAACATACACTATGGTAGCAAGAATTGGCCAGAGGCTCCCCAAGACCAGACTTCTGAATTCCTAACCCCAGCTCCCAAGCCCCAGGCATCCCATAAAATCTTTGCTAGATGTTCAGAAACCTAAAATTTGCTTCTCCACCCCTCCCTTCTCCCCAAGTGGTAAAGACAAAGAACAGACGGCAGGGCTCTTTGTTATTCTTTTATCTGCTAAGTTTACAAAAAGGTTAGACAGTGGAACTTTGCTGAGCAAGCATTCTGTCCCTGAGTTGTCTCTGAGCAGCACCAAATGAGTCTTATCTTCCCCTTGTTATCTCCAAGGACGTAAAACATTTTCTTTTCATGCTTTTTAATTTCTGTGTAACATTAGCCATTCAGTTGACCTGAAACATTGCTAGTTTATTTCTAGCTGGCGTGTGTGTGTGTGTATCAGAGGGTCTATACTGTATAAATACTTCTCTAAATATTCTTTTCCATAATGTTGCTCTAAAGTGTCTCATTTACTCAATTCTGTCAACTTAGATGCTGAATCATTTTATGTGCTTAAAAGAAATATCTACTCGGATGCTCTAGTTCCCTGGCAAGGGAGAGAGAGGGAGAGAAAGAAAGCTGTTGAAGTGGTGCAAATCCAAACTGCTTTCTTTTTTGCTCATAAGTAGTGCTTTTCAAAGCGTTTGGCATCCCTGCCATATGGATGTGTCACTGTGTGAGATGACAACAGGATTTGCTGGAAATGTGGGCCACTATTGTATCCGCCTTACGTAACCACATGGAGTGATGGAAATGGGTGAGCAGCCCGGAATGTAGGCGGTGGCCTGGCCCATGCATCTCCAGAGACCATGAAGACTGCTCAAGCCCTACATAGGATGTGGATCCAGGCTGTTAAAAAGTTGAGGAGATGGAAAGGCCGTGTGAGTCCCTCTGCAAGCTCTCCCCTTGTTTTCCCCAACCTTTCTTCATGGGAAGGGGAGGGAAGCAAAACCATTCTCACAGTGAGTCCTTTATCCTCAGATTGATTTGTGCTTCTGGCATCTTTCAGCAACAAATTGTGAGATTGTAGGTTGTAGTCACTGGTGGGTTTTTAAAAATACTTGTATTAATTTTAGCAGATCTATGTGAAACTGATAGCCTCTTACTGGATCTGTGGATCAAAGGCTGCTGTTTTCCATGTGCTAGGAATCTGTAATGGTTTTGCTTCCTGGGTAGAGCTTAACATACTGGCTTTTGTGTTTGTTCATGTTTGAGAATTTCTTGTTTTGGGATAAAACTTTTTGCTTTCTTACACTGCAGAAATCTATATTCTTATTATGTCTAGGCTTCTAACTTAGAAGAAAAAGTGTTTTTCACATGTTCTTTTTTCCTCTTACAGTTTGAACATGTGTGAGTGTTTACTTTGATGGCTTGAGACTTTTATGAAGCATGTCCCTTACGTGGACAGCTTGCGATTAATCTTTGGTTTTAGCTTTGACCTCCATCACTGGGCAGCAGCAGTCTGTGGATACAGAATCTAAAAGCCGCCTGTTCAGGGGGACTTTGGGCAGTGAACACTTCGGTATCTGTTTTGGGGTTGGCTTTTAACATGTTTCTACATTCTTTATGTAAAATATATAGGATTTTTACCTATCTGGCCAAGATTTTTCAAAGGAAAAAAGCTTTATAAAAAGATTAAAAAAAAACACAATAAGTAACTATTTGCCTTAGTTCCTTTCTCTTCTTTTGTCACACAAAAACCTTACTGTTAATGCATTAAGTTTTTTGTTTATGGTAGAAAAGTTAGCTCACTTTTAACTTTCCATGAGGTCTTAAGAATGACCTGTTAGATATAAAGGGGGTTGTCATGAACACTACTTACGTGAAAAGTAAAAGTGATAAGGAAAGATGATGAAAGCACATTGAAGATCCTCCTAATGGATAGAATGTTGACACTTGGATTAAAAAGGTGACTTGGCGTTTTCTGCATACACCTCCCCCCACAACTCCCCAGACCTAACCTGCGTCCCCACTCTGCCCACCGCACCTGCCTTGCTTTACCCTCTTTGCCCCTTTCAAATTACTGGTACCATCCTTCAACTCGCCCTCCTTCCAGTTGAAATTATTATCCCCTCTTCACTTTGCAAAATTCTAACTGCATTGAAAAATTTGCTGTTAAATATACTCGTACCTCTTGGGTATTAGATCCTTCACCAGGAGTCAGTATTCATTTTGGTGTTCACCCACTCATCTCCCTATTTTTTATTTATTTATTTATTTATTTAATTTTTTTATTTCTTTTTGAGACGGAGTCTTGCTCTGTTGCCCAGGCTGGAGTGCAGTGGCGCGATTTCGGCTCACTGCAAGCTCCACCTCCCGGGTTCGAGCCATTCTCCTGCCTCAGCCTCCCGAGTAGCTGGGACTACAGGTGCCTGCCACCACACCTGGCTAATTTTTTGTATTTTTAGTAGAGATGGGGTTTAACCATGTTAGTCAGTATGGTCTTGATCTCCTGACCTCGTGATCCACCCGCCTCGGCCTCCCAAAGTGCTGGGATTACAGGCGCGAGCCATCGCGCCCGGCCTCATCTCCCTATTTTTTAAACTTATGAAATGTTTGGTACCATAAAAGAATTAAATATCTAAATCATGGAGCATAATAATTAAACAAATGCCATGAGCCCATTACACATATCTGCAGACCATCACCAAGACAAAACACGAAGGAAATTTGTGTACCTCCCACCATACTCTGCCTCCTGCCCAGGTCACCTCATCCTGAATGTTATGTTTTTCATTTCCTTGCTTTTTCTTTATATTTCCACTGCATGCGTGCGTACACACACACACGCCCCTAAACAATAGATTAATTTTGTTGGCAATTTTTTACTATAGTGAAAAACGCATACCAAAATTTACTGTCTGTACCATTTGTAAATGTACAGTTCAGTAGTGTTAAGTATATTCAAGTTGTTGTAAAACATTGTTTTTTGAGCTATATAAAAATGGTATCACACTCTACAAATCCTTCTGGGGTGTTTTTTTGCTCAACTTTATGTTTGAGATGCATCCCTTTTGTGGTGGTCTATGTGACTGGTTTGTTCGTCTTCATTGCAGTAAAACATTGTATTTTAATAATGTATCAATTTGTCCATCCTGCCCTTGAGAGATACTGGGATATTTTCCAAGTTTTGGCTGTTGGGAACATTGCTGCTGTGAATACTCTATACATGTGTCCTTGTGCATTTAGTCACACGGTTCTCCCGGTGCCTCTGCCCAGGTAGAGGAATCACTGGGTCGTGGAATGTGCATACCTTTAATTCTGATATATGCGTGCTCTTTCTATGGGCCTGCCTGTAAAGCTCCCCCTGGTGCTAAGCAGCTACCTGCTGTCATTCAGAGAGAGGTCAGATATTGCTAGCAAGTCTGATCTGCGCATAGCCAAGCACAAGGTGGTGGGTGGGACCAGAGCCCGGTGGCCTAGTTTGAATGTCAGGACCACAGCTCTCAGCTAAGCTGCTGCACCCTGGCAGCCTGTGCCCAGGGATGTTCCTAGAGCTGATGTTCTGAGGAATAAGGATGATTATGTGGGGTGCTCTGTGTTTCTGAAAAATTATATAAATGAGGCAGGAAAGACACTCAGTAGTTTGCTCTTTGGGTACACTTGTAGTTAGTTGGTAAGCTGCCCAAGGGCTTTGGCGATTTTATTCACTGATGTCTCTGAAGTGCCACAAACCACTTGCTTGGCAGAAGGTGGATGCTTAATAAATGTTTTTGCATAAATGAACAAATGAGTGCACAGTGAAGAGTTTTCTGTGAGACCTTCCCAAAAAGTCACAGTTCTGTAGGCTAAATATACATAGTTATGGTGTATTTTTAATGTTCAACAGAGCTACTAAAATTTATTTTTGCTCTAGTTCCCTTCCTTTACAATTAAGATTTTCTCTTTATCACTTGGCTTAGCAGAGCATATATTCTTTGAATATTATGTTAAGTAGCTAATAGTTAATTTTATTACCCGTTAACCATAGGTAAGAAGAAGCCTCGCAATCTGATTGGTTTCAGGCACCAGGCAAGTTAATAGCAAGGTCTGATTGGTGGTGGTAGTGGTAGGAGATTAATCGTCTCTCTGACAAATTTAATTTAAATTACGCTTGCAGGCATCACAGGACACTTAAAGATGGTAGCATCCCATTATTGAAGGGCTGTGAATTTCAAAAGCCAGATTCATTCTACTTGAGCCACATTTAAAAAATAAAATTTTGCAGGAACTCATTTATTTGGCTAAATGATAAACAAATTTAAATCCAAAACTTTGAAGAGTTTATAGTTTTAAATTCCAAAATAGAAATGTATTTTAAAAGTAATGTACTCATAAAAATATTCTCTATAATAGCACAGCTCCTTGGGATATTCAACATTTTTTTGGTATGTAGCATTGCCCAATCCTGGGGATGATTGTCATAGTCCCAGTTAGTTTTTTTTCCTGATAATTTTAAAGTAAGTTTTGTGGGGAGGATGTCATGTAATTTTTTTTCCCCCTTAATTCATGGGGCTATAACTATATCCAAAGAAGAGTTGGCAAATATATTTATTTTACCACAACTTCTAGATTAATTCACTTTGTTGAAATTTGACAGCTTTAAGGTACAAGAAGGCATTGAGAAGATGAGCTTGGAGAAGTGGGCATGCTCATAAGGTCATTTCTGGGTGGTAGTGGCTTAGTTTTACTAAGGCCACATCTAAAACTGAAGTTGGCAAGGAGTTAGTAAGGTGTTCTATGGAAATGGAAAAGGGCAACCAATTCTGACTTACTGCAGGAGTTCAGTTGAGTGTCTGCTTTCTTTTTCTTTTCTTTCTTTATTTTTTTTGAGACAGAGTCTCACTCTGGAGTGCAGTGGCGCAATCTCAGCTCATTGCAACCTCCACCTCCCAGGTTCAAGTGATTCTCTTGCTTCAGCCTCCCAAGTAGCTGGGACTACAGATATGCGCCACCACGCCCGGCTAATTTTTTGTGTTTTTGGTAGAGATAGGGTTTCACCATGTTGGCCAGGCTGGTCTTGAACTCCTGGCCCCAAGTGATCCACCTGCCTTGGCCTCCCAAAGTGTTGGGATTATAGGCGTGAACCATCACGCCCGACCCGGTTTCTGCTTTCTGTTTCCATTTAAGAAAACTTTTTGGCCGGGCGTAGTGGCTCACACCTGTAATCCCAGCGCTTTGGGAGGCCGAGGTGGGCGGATCATCTAAGGTTGGGAGTTTGAGACCAGCCTGACCAGCATGGTGAAACCCTGTCTCTACTAAAAATACAAAAATTAGCTGGGTGTGGTGGCGCATGCCTGTAATCCCAACTACTCGGGAGGCTGAGGCAGGAGAATCGCTAGAACCCAGGAGGCGGAGGTTGCAGTGAGCCCAGATCGTGCCATTGCACTCCAGCCTGGGCTGGAGCAAAACTCCATCTCAAAAAAAAAAAACAAAAAAACTTTTTAACAAATATGTACAACTTCATTAAAATATTGGAAAATTTATTGTGCTTCCACATATTGGAAAATGCTGTTTTAGACACATGCAGAATTCCAGAGAGGTATGGCTATAGAGCACATCTAGAAAGTCAGACCATGAGCACCTGAGTTTTTAGTTCACCCACCTCACGTATGCTATCAAAGAAGCAGAGAGCCACGAATTTGATACAAACTTTCTTTAAGAAAATTTGTAGGCTGGGCACGGTGTCTCACACCTGTAATCCCGGCATTTTGGGAGGCTAAGGCAGGCGGACCATTTGAGGTCAGGAGTTTGAGATGAGCCTGGCCAACATGGTGAAACCGTGTCTCTACCAAAAATACAAAAAAATGAGCTGGGTGTGGTGGCGCACAACTGTAATCCCAGCTACTCGGGAGGCTGAGGTATGCGAATCACTTGAACCCAGGAGGCAGAGGTTGCAGTGAACCTAGATCACACCCCTGCATTCCAGCCTGGGTGACAGAGTGAGACCCCGTCCCCCCCCCCCCCCAAAAAAAAAAAAAGTAGCAGCAGTCAGTGCTTCAGTTATATTAATTGAATGATGAATGAATAGTGTATCCATCTCTAGATGTATTAAAAAGAAAAAACTTTGAGTGCCTACTCTGTGTGCCAGACACTGTTGTAGCAGATAATGGGACAAAGATGAGTAGGATACAAAAATTTCACCTGAAAATTCACTTTTATTTTTTAAAATTGAAGAACAGTCGTCACAGTGAACAGACTTTAAGTAATTGGGGAGTTTTACATAATTTAGATAATAATCTTTTGGAATGTTTACATATTTCCTTGTGTTGATGGGCCTTCATTTAATCTAAATCTTGCACTTTTGGGCTGCTTGCGTCCCTGGCACCCCAGGCCCCATTCACCACCCAGTCCCAGGATTGCTGGTAGCACAGATCTCTTCTTCTGGCCTTTTTCAGGTATTTTGAGTTCTTTTTTTTTTTTTTTTTTTTTCTTATTAAATATACAGATGGGGTCTCACTATGTTGCTCAGGTTGGTCGTAAACTCCTGCACTCAACTGATCACCCCGCCTCAGCCTCCTGAGTAGCTGGGACTATGGCATGTGCCACCATGCCTGGCTAACTTTAAAAATTTTTTGTAGAGATGGGGTCTCACTATGTTGCACAGGCTGCCCTTGAACTCCTAGGCTCAAGCGATCCTCTCGCTTCAGCCTGAGTGCTGGAAATACAGACGTGAGCCACTGCACCCAGCCCTCTTCTAATTTCTTAAAACATAAACACATAGTCCGGGTGGCTTGGTGGCTCATGCCTGTAATCCCAGCACTTTGGGAGGCCGAGGCAGGTGGATCACAAGGTCAGGAGTTTGAGACCAGCCTGATCAACATGGTGAAGCCCCATCTCTACTAAAATACAAAAATTAGCCGGGCGTGGTAGTGCGCACCTGTAATCCTAGCTACCCAGGAGACTGAGTCAGGAGAATCGCTTGAACCTGGGAGGCGGAGGTTGCAGTGAGTGAAGATCACGCCACTGTACTCCAGCCTGGGCGACAGAACGAGACTCCGTCTCAAACAAAACAAAACAAAACAAAAAACCAACATATACACATATTATAGATACTCCATTTTTGTCTGTGGCTGGTATTTCAAATATTTAAAGTCTTTGATTCTTCAGTTTATGTTTCTTTTACCTCTCACTCATGGTGATGTGCATGTTTAAATTGTGGGCTCATTTCCTTGGATACATACTATCTGGGGAATCTTTGAGGGCTGTGTTTGAGTGTGATCTCTGGAGAGGATTCGCATCTGCCTCTGTGTACTTGGTGGTATGGCCAGTGCAGAGCCCCAGTAGGCATGAGTGTTTGGCAGGGTGTGGTCACGTCTGTAATATGAACGCCCAAACCTGTGTGAATACAGGTCTGTTGATAGAAATTCTCCAGGGTTTTATTTTTAGTTATTTCCACTCTACCCATAGCCAAGGATGAGACAGTCACTGCATCTCCATCTGTGTGCTGGTATTTTTTTCCCCTAATAGATCCACCCAGACCTGATCTCCCACCCTGTTTGGATCCCCAGCCTCCTCTAAATGCCTGCTTCAGTGCTGGCTTATCTCTGTGGTTCTGAGTGTTCTTGGCATTTCTAGCTTTCTCACAGGCAGCCTGCATTTAATGGATTATTATTTTTAAAATGATACCACCAGTTGTAGTTTTTTCTGGATACCTACTTTGGAATATTGTCAGAGATGGAAGTCCCAGTGGTCTATTTATGAAGACATTCATCTTTCATACTCAGTGATACAGATGGAGAAAAAGCCGAAAGATCCCGCAGATCACCCAATTGGGCATACCCTATGATAAGGCTAAGGATATTTTTAGACATAAACATGCAGAAAACTTGCCTACGAGGTCACCTTTGACAGGAAGAGGGGGAGAATGATTTTAAAAAAAGAATCTATTTGAAACTAGATATTTTTAAAGGGGTTTTATGATGATAATGTTTTGGAATAGTGATAATAAAAGGACTCAGCACTTAACATTCCATTCTTTTTAGGGTCTGTCTCTCACTATGTATTTCACTTACCTTTCAAGTATTGTTTCTAGTTTCATTTCATTGAAGGAGAGTGTGTTTGAAAATAGGTAGCATAATGAACAGATATTAACTCTTTTTTGGTATAGAAAGTGTGAGCTGGACTTTATGTCGAGGCATTTTGAATGATAATTTTATTTCTAGCATTGAAAAGGTTGTGGTTTTCATCAGATTGGTTTTGTTCTTTTAAAACAGGCCCCAGGCATGGAAGAGCTGATATGGGAACAGTACACTGTGACCCTACAAAAGGTGAGTTCTGCACATTTCATATATTCTACAGTCATGTTCTTGATTTTACGGATCATGGATCTTATTTATTTTCACCTACACACAGTTTTGGCTTTTTTTTTCCCTTGAGGTACATAATGTATTATAGATACTAACTGGCAATAATTGCTATGTTAACAAAGATTTGCATGCTATTGTATTTTTTGATTAAGGACTGTTTAGTATGGAACATTTTAGAGGTTATTTAGTGTATACTCTTATCTCCAGCTAGAACAGGTTATGAAAGAGAGAAAAGAAAGGGAAGAATGAAAATGACCTGTACTGTTTAAGGATGTGGAGGGAGCTTTTTACAACTTCTGTAATTTTAATTATGACATATTATACATACCTTATAACTCTTAAAAAGTGTAGCATCCAAGAGACTGTAAGTCATTTGTGTGAGGCTGAGCTGGAGAACTGCACTCGTGGTTCTGCATTTTTTTTTTTTTTTTTTTTTTTTTGAGACGGAATTGCACTCTTGTCGCCCAGGCTGGAGTACGGTGGTGCAATTTCGGCTCAGCGCAACCTCCGCCTCCCGGGTTCAAGCAATTTTCCTGCCTCAGCCTCCCAAGTAGCTGGGATTACAGGCGCCTATCACCACGCCCGGCTAATTTTGTATTTTTAATAGAGACGGGGTTTCTCCATGTTGGTCAGGCTGGTCTCGAACTCCTGACCTCAGGTGATCCACCCACCTTGGCCCGCAAAGTGCTGGGTTGCAGGCGTGAGCCACCGTGCCCAGACGGTTCCGCATTTTTATTCCGTCAAGCTGCCTTCCGGTCATCATCACTGTGATTTTCCTGGTTTTTCTGCAGGGTTTCTTCTTCTGGCTCTGAATTCCTCCAAGGTCTGACATCTCCTAGAGGGACCATAAGTTCCTCATAGGAAGAGTTTTCCTTTGACCCTCAGAACTGTGAGCTTCAAGCTTTGTCTTCTATGAAAATTAAAGACATTCCCGAATTTAATGTTTGTTGAATTAATCCAGGTAGAAAAAAATGTCTCTGGGCCAGTGCCCAGGTACCCAGACTTCCAGATCAGTAATCACAATTTCCTCATTTGAGGGGTTTTGTCTGCTTAGGTCTTATTTTTCAACTTTCCTCGTCTTTCTGACTCTCCTCTGCCCTTTCCCTGAGCATTTCATGCATTCCTTGAGTTGTGGACCCAAAATTGGCAGAGGTCAGAGATTTTTTTAGGCTTGGCATAGAGGATGGAGCTGCCTCTGTCTAAAACCAGGTGCCGGCTGGTGGTGCTGCCAAATTCAAAGCCATGTGATTAATAGACAACACCCCCAACCTGTTTTGAGTTTGTAATTGTGTATAATCAGTCAGCATAGTGGGCCTCACGTGGGAAACTTTCCTTGGAAAGGAAGATTTTCTTTTAGTCTCGGAGTAAATTTTTATATAATCGAACCCAGATTTAAGAATATACAGTCAAATATACTCATATTATCTGGATGAAACTGGGCTTAGATACATATATATATTTTTGAAATGGAGTCTCATTCAGTTGCCCAGGCTGGAGTGTAATTGCATGATCTCAGCTCACTGCAACCTTCACCTCCTAGGTTCAAGTGATTTTCCTGCTCCAGCCTCCTAAGTAGCTGGGATTACAGGGGTGTGCCACCACACCTGGCTAATTTTTGTATTTTTAGTAGAGATGGGGTTTTGCCATGTTGGCCAGGCTGATCTCGAACTCCTGGACTCAAGCAATTCACCCGCCTTGGCCTCCCGAAGTGCTGGGATTACAGGTGTGAGCCACCGCACCTGGCCCAGACTTAGCTTTTTAAAACACAAATGAATTAGGATTATGTATTATCTATGCTCACCATTGTGCATTGCTAGACTGATCATGGATGTAATAAATCTTATTTCCGATCTTCCATGCATGAAGAAAAGGGTTTAGTGCTTTGCTTTTCATGAGATCTCAACACATATTTTACGTTCAAATTTTATCTTTAAAATCCAGTTACGGGCCGGGCGCAGTAGCTCACGCCTGTAATCCCCACACTTTGGGAGGCAGAGACAGGTGGATCACAAGGTCAGGAGATCGAGACCATCCTGGCCAACATGGTGAAACCCTCCCTGTCTCTCTACTAAAAATACAAAAATTAGCTGGGTGTGGTGGCACATGCCTGTAGTCCCAGCTACTCAGGAGGCTGAGGCAGGAGAATCACTTGAACCTAGGAGGCAGGGGTTGCAGTGAGCCAGCACCACTGCACTCCAGCCTGGCAACAGAGCAAGACTCCATCTCAAAAAAAAAAAAAACAAACAAATCCATTTACTTCTTTTTCACTGTATGTTGAAATGAAACTACCAACACATCTACTTTGAAGTTAAAGGTATACTTTAAAAATATAATTTTAGGCAGACATAAGAAAGAACGAAATATGTCCTTTGCAGCAACACGAATGTACCTGGAGGCCATTATCCTAAGCAAATTAATGCTGAAACAGAAAACCAAATACTGCATGTTCTCACTTAGAAGTGGGAGCTAAACATTGGGTACACACAGACACAAGGACAGGAACAGTAAACACTGGGAATTCCAAAAGTACGGAGGGAGGGAGAGGAGCAAAGTTTGAAAAACTACTTCTTGGGTACTGTGTTCGGTACTTGAGTGACAGGATCATTAGAAGCCCAAACCTCAGCATCAGACAATACACATATATAACAAACCTGCACATGTACTCCTGAATCTAAAATAAAAATAAAATTAAAAAGGATTGGCTAGCACTGGGAAGAGCAGTCTTTTCCCGCCCAGCTAGAAAGTTGTGGTTTTTTTTTTTTGTTTTTTAGAGACTTCTCCATTTGCCCAATTTAAAGTGCAAAAGCTGCCTTGGCTTGTTGAAGCCTTGACCTCACAGGCTCAGGTGATTCTCCCACCTCAGCCTCCCAAGTATCTGGGACTATGGATGTGCACCACCATGACCAGCTATTTTTTTCTATTTCTAGTAAAGACAGGGTTTTGCCATGTTGTCCAGGCTGGTCTTGAGCTGCTGGACTCAAGCAATCTGCCTGCATTGGCCTCCCAAAGTGCTGGGATTATAGACATGAGCCATGAGCCTAGGCAGAAGGTTTTTTTTTTTTTAATATGTCAAAACATCACAATATACAGAAGAATTAAAAATATTTACAGTACAGGCCAGGCACAATGGCTGTCTGTTGTAATCCCAGTGCTTTGGGAGGTTGAGACAGGAGGCTCATTTGAGCCCAGAAATTTGAGGCTGTAGTGAGTAGTGATCACACCGCTGCACTCCAGCCTAGCAACAGATCAAAACTCTGTCTCTTAAAAAACAAATACAATAAGGAAATCTGAAAATTAAAAAATACAGTTTTAGTACAGGTTCAGTTTTTACTGAAGTTGTTCCAGCTCGGGCCAGCATGATGCAAAGAGGTACAACTGGTGCTTCAAACAGTACGTCCCTATTTGGACTGAAGACATTGTTTCCTATCCCGGCCAGCTTCTAGTGATAACTCCAGTCTGCACTATCAATCTTTTCCAGCCTCTACAGGCTGTTTCTTTCAGATAAGGAATTTCCCTTTATAAACCTGTCAGCTGACAATGACTATGCTTTGTTTTGTTTCTCATTTGTTTCTGTAAGCCCATCTGTTCCTGAACAGTCTCTGGTTATTGATTTGACCTTTATTTTATTGAGTGCTTGTAATAAATCCTGAAAGCCACTTATTGAAGGATTTTTAATATTTCTCCTCTCTGATGTACAGGATTCCAAAAGAGGATTTGGAATTGCAGTGTCCGGAGGCAGAGACAACCCCCACTTTGAAAATGGAGAAACGTCAATTGTCATTTCTGATGTGCTCCCGGGTGGGCCTGCTGATGGGCTGCTCCAGTGAGTGTCCTCCCTCGCTCCGCAGCCCCTACCAGCCCTACTGGTTGGCCCTAGACGGGGTATTTTGGTTGGTGTCCACTTTATTTAAAAAAAAGAAAAAAATAACAAACTTTTATATAATATTTGAAAAGTCTTCAAGCTGGAATGGAAGCCATAACACACCATGTTTGAATAATGCCCAAACCTTGGGAACACCCCAGCTTTGGAGCGAGGAGGGCAGTTGTTTCCGTAAGAAGATAGTTCCAAACATCCCTCCTAGGTTTAGGAATCATTTCTGAACATGGAGTTTTAAATTGGCATGCTTCTCAACCCCGATGCTTAACCAACACTGTTTATGTTTGTTTTAATTTATATTCTTTAAGAATTTAATGAGGAGACTTTGGTTTATTGATTATCTTATTTGTAAGAGTGATGTGGAAGTTGGGACAATTTACTATAGGAAAACCACAAGTTTTCCAACTGCCAGCTTTCTGACCTGAAGAAGTAACACCATTTTATTTTAATTTTTAATAAATTTTTTCTTTTCTTTTTTTTTTTTTTTTTCAGACAGAGTCTTGCTCTGTCACCCAGTCTGGATTGCAGTGGTGCGATCTCAGCTCACTGCAACCATCACCTTCCGAGTTCAAGCAATTCTCTTCTGCCTCAGCCACCTGAGTAGCTGGGATTACAGGTGCCTGCCACCACTCCCAGCTAATTTTTGTATTTTTAGTAGAGACGGGTTTTCGCCATGTTGGCTAGGCTGGTGTCAAACTCCTGACCTGAAGTGATCTGCCCACCTCGGCCTCCCAAAGTGCTGGGATTACAGGCATGAGCCACCATACCCAGCTGGTAACACCATTTTACATGATACATGCCTGATTCCCACAGGATAACTTCTCAGGACGAAGTCTAAAGTTAACTGTATGGCTGCATTGGATAAATAGCTCAAAAGTTTAGGTTTTGTTGGTGTTTAAAGCCTCTGTGAACTAAGCACAGTGGCTCACGCCTATAATCCTGCACTTTGGGAGGCTGAGGTGGCAGGAACGCTTGAGGCCAGGTGTTCAAGATCAGCCTGGGCAACCTAGTGAGACCCTGTTGGGATGGCATGTACCTACTCGGGTCCCAGCTACTTGGGAGGCTAAGGTGAGAGAATCCTTTGAGCTCGGGAAGTTGAGGTTGCGGTGAGCTATCATCAGTCACACTACTGCAGTCCTTCCTGGGTGAGAGAGGGAAACCATGCCTCTTAAAAAATAAAATTATAGTTAAGAAAGTCTCTATAGTTTTATCAAAGTTAGTAGTCTTTCATATGGAGAAATGCAAAATTTTAAAGTAATATTTGGGATGAACTGGAACAATAGGATTCTGTGATCTCAAAATTTCTTAAGAATCCAAGGCAAGCCCTTTTCCTGCACAAAAGCACAAATGGATATACACCTACTTGGAAGGAGTGTTTTTAGACTTTTCTGAAGCCCACCGTGCACCTCAGGCAATAGGGGACTGATAGAGAAATTCCTTTTGTGTCCAGACCTCACCGTCATCAAGTACCTCCTGGTGTGATGCTGTGGTTTGGGGAGATCAGGCCTCTCTCTTCCCAGATGATTTCCATTTAGACACTCAGAATTGAGCTGTATGGCCCCCAGTTCCTTTCTTTGGAAGATCTCAGGCCAAGTTGACTGGGCCTTGGGCGCCACTAGACACTGAGCCCTTTAGAAAGCCTTTCAGGTCTATTTGCTGCTTCTATTTGTTCCTAAATAAATAATTTACAATGAATAGATGGGAGTTTTTCATGACCCATTTTTATTTCTTGTTTACAGAGAAAATGACAGAGTGGTCATGGTCAATGGCACCCCCATGGAGGATGTGCTTCATTCGTTTGCAGTTCAGCAGCTCAGAAAAAGTGGGAAGGTCGCTGCTATTGTAAGTACTGGGTTTGCTTTCAGCTTGCCTTAATAGCATTTTGGTTTTTTGCCCAGAAGAAAATTACCCCTTGCTTTTAAGCATTTGACAGAATTACATAACCTAGGGACCGCTGTTCTTGGATCCTCAGTACTTTTGGAGGGGTGTGAAGATATGTGTAAGTTATCTTCCTACTTTTCCTTGTGTCTTCTCCTGAGGCCAGTGATTCTCTGATCTGAGTTAGTTTGCCTTAGGAACCAAGTTAGGCAATTATTCCCTAAGAGAATTAGCTAGATTCAGAATACTGGTAAAATAGTATTAATTTAGAAAAAAACTTTCAGCTCAAAAACTCACTTGTAAAGGCCCAAGCAAGGTATATTATATCTTCATAGACTAAGAGTTTCATTAGAAGACTGTCTATAATCTTCATTCATCTATTCCTTCATTCATTCACTGGCTGAGAATCAACTGTGAGCTGGATGCCATTAGGCCCTGGGGCCAATCTGTGTTGCAAGATGTGTTCACTCCAGTGGGGCAGGTAGACACACACAGTGAGAATGGTAATAAAGTGTGCTTAGGGGCAATGCTAGTAGGCATATACCCACATATATGGTTGTGTGTGTGTGTGTGTATTTTTTTTTTTTTTTTGAGACAGAGTTTTGCTCTTGTTGCCCAGGCTGGAGTGCAATGGCACGATCTTGGCTGACCACAATCTCCGCCTCCTGGGTTCAAGCGATTCTCCTGCCTCAGCCTCCCGAGTAGCTGGGATTACAGGCATGCACCACCACACCTGTCTAATTTTGTATTTTTAGTAGAGACGGGGTTTCACCATGTTGGTCAGGCTGGTCCCGAACTCCCAACTTCAGGTGATCCGCCAGCCTTGGCCTCCCAAAGTGCTGGGATTACAGGCGTGAGCCACCTCACCCGGCCACATATATGGTATTTAATGTTTTTCAACTTTATATTATGAAGATTTTCAAAGAAAAAGGAAAGTTGAAAGATCAGTGTAATAAACATTTATCTTCTAAAATATTACTATTCTGCCATCTTTACTTGGTCTCTGTATGTATATAAACACTCATGTCTTTCTGGGCAACCATGCGAAGGAAAGTTACAGACATGACAGTTCATTTCTACTTACTTCACATGCATTTCCTATGAATGAGGACATTCATCTATATAATACTATTATCCGATCTAAGAAAAGTAATAATTTTACAGTATTATCTAAAATCCAGTCCATATCTCAAGATGTCTTTTTCATTTTTAGAGATGGGATCTTGTTGTGTTTCCCAGGCTGATCTTGATCTCCTGGGTTCAAGCGATCCTTCCACCTCAGCCTCCCAAGGTGCTGGGATTACAGGTGTGAGCCACCATACGCAGCTCTCAAAATGTCTTTGATATATGTTTTCTTCCCTATCCAGGATCCAAAGTTCACTCATTGCATTTAATCATTATCTCTTTAGTTCCTTTTAATCTAGAAGGGTTCCTCTTTCCCCTTGCCCCTCTACCCCACCCCCCACTTTAAAAATGGCATTGGGCCAGGTTCAGTGGTTCACGCCAGCACTTTGGGAGATGGAGGCAGGCAGATCACCTGAGGTCAGGAGTTCGAGACCAGCCTGGCCAACATGGTGAAACCCCGTCTCTACTAAAAATACAAAAATTAGCCAGGCATGGTGGTGTGCGCCTGTAATCCCAGCTATCGGGAGGGTGAGGCACGAGAATCGCTTGAACCTGGGAGGCGGAGGTTGCAGTGAGCTGAGTACAGTCCAGCCTGGGCAACAGAGCGAGACTTTGTCTTAATAATAAATTAAATAAATAAATAAATAAGGCATTGACTTTTCTTCCTTAAAATTTTAAAAATTTATGCATAATGCATAGTTATAGGGTATGTGTGATTAATTTAATACATTAATATGATTTGTAAAATTCAGATGAGATTGGGCACGTTCAGGATGGTATGGCTGTAGACATGATTTGTAAAATTCAAATCAGTGTATTTGGAATATCCATCACCTTAAATAATTGTCTTTTCTTTATGGTAGAAACGTTCAGATTATTTTCTTCCAGCTATTTTGGAATGTACAGTAGATTCCTGTAAGCTGTAGTCACCCTACCGATCTAACATTAGGTCTTATTTCTTCTATCAGACCATATATTTGTACCCATCAATCAACTTCTCTTTATCCGCCTTTGCCCCCTTGGCAGCTATGTATAGAATGTCACACTTTCTGGATTTTTGTTTTTTGAGTTTTATAACTTAGTGATTTGGGCCTCTGAGACTTTTCAAACTTGAGTAGAAGCAGATTTTGGAGATACTATTTTATTATTACCTTAATTCAAGGCCCTGTACTCAGAGCTTCACGGTCATTGTCCTATTCTAACCCTGTGAGATTTTTATTGTCCGTTTCCGGATGAGGAACCTGAACCTTAGTGAGTCGGCAGGGATACGGTTTTCCTGAAACCAGAACCAGGGCTCTTAACCACTGCCTTCTCCACATTCAGTTGTGATTGTCCTGCGTCCACACTGAGTTTGTTTTGACAACAGGTGGTCAAGAGGCCCCGGAAGGTCCAGGTGGCCGCACTTCAGGCCAGCCCTCCCCTGGATCAGGATGACCGGGCTTTTGAGGTGATGGACGAGTTTGATGGCAGAAGTTTCCGGAGTGGCTACAGCGAGAGGAGCCGGCTGAACAGCCATGGGGGGCGCAGCCGCAGCTGGGAGGACAGCCCGGAAAGGGGGCGTCCCCATGAGCGGGCCCGGAGCCGGGAGCGGGACCTCAGCCGGGACCGGAGCCGTGGCCGGAGCCTGGAGCGGGGCCTGGACCAAGACCATGCGCGCACCCGAGACCGCAGCCGTGGCCGGAGCCTGGAGCGGGGCCTGGACCACGACTTTGGGCCATCCCGGGACCGGGACCGTGACCGCAGCCGCGGCCGGAGCATTGACCAGGACTACGAGCGAGCCTATCACCGGGCCTACGACCCAGACTACGAGCGGGCCTACAGCCCGGAGTACAGGCGCGGGGCCCGCCACGATGCCCGCTCTCGGGGACCCCGAAGCCGCAGCCGCGAGCACCCGCACTCACGGAGCCCCAGCCCCGAGCCTAGGGGGCGGCCGGGGCCCATCGGGGTCCTCCTGATGAAAAGCAGAGCGAACGAAGGTAGGCATGCTTGATGTGGGAAGAAAAGCACTGTTGTGATATGAATAACCTTTGTTTTCTTAATTTTTTTTTTTCCCCCGAAAGTGTTGCTCTGTCATCCAGGCTGGAGGGAAGTGGCGTGATCTCGGCTCACTGCAACCTCCACCTCCCGGGTTCAAGTGATTCTCCTGCCTCAGCCTCCTGAGTAGCTGGGTCTACAGGCACCCGCCACCACGCCCAGCTAATTTTATGTTTTTAGTGGAGACAGGTTTCAACATGTTGGCCAGGCTGGACTTGAACTCCTGACTTGAGGTGATCCGTCCACCTGAATCTCTCACAGTGCTGGGATTACAGGCATGAGCCACCACGCCTGGCCAGGAATAGCTACTTTTTTTTTTTTTTTTTTTGAGACGGAGTCTTGAGTCTTGTTCTGTTGCCCAGGCTGGAGTGCAGTGGCGTAATCTGGGCTCACTGCAACCTCCGCCTCCCAGGTTCAAGCAGTTTTCCTGCCTCAGCCTCCCTAGTAGCTGGGATCACAGGCGTGCACCACCATGCCTGGCTGATTTTTTTATTTTTAGTAGAGACGGGGTTTCACCGTGTTGGCCAGGCTGGTCTTGAACTTCTGACCTCAGGTGATCTGCCCACTGCAGCCTCCCAAAGTGCTGGGATTATAGGCATGAGCCACTGCACCTGGCCAGCTAACTTTTTTTTTTTTTTGAGACAGAGTCTCACTGTGTCACCCTGGCTGGAGAGTGCAGTGGCATGATCTCGGCTCACTGCAACCTCTGCCTCCTGGGTTCAAGTGATTCTCCTGCCTCAGTCTCCGAAGTAGGTGGGATTATAGGTGCCTGCCACCACGCCCGGCTAATTTTTGTATTTTCAGTAGAGACAGGTTGGCCAGGCTGGTCTCAAACTCCTGACCTCAGGTGATCTGCCCACCTTGGCCTCCCAAAGTGCTGGGATTACAGGTGTGAGCCACCGCATCTGGCCGAGCTATCTCTTAATTGCACTTAACCAGCATTGTACCCAGCATTGACCTAAATGCCTAACACCAATTCGTTCGTTTAATCCTCAGAACTACCTCATGAGGGAGGACTCTTGTTTCTCCATTTTATAGACAAGGAAACTGAGGCACAAAAGGTTCATTGATATACACAAAGTTGTGTCATCATTGGAAGAGCCAGGCTTCAGAATTTTGGCTTTAAACTAGGAGACCAGTGGTTCTCAAAGCAGTGCATCACCTGGGCACCCCTTAGAAATGCAGACTCTCAGGCCCAACCCAGTCCCACCAGCTCAGAAACCATGGGGTGGAGCCGGGTGCAGTGGCTCACACCTGTAATCCCAGCACTATGGGAGGCCGAGGTGGGCGGATGACTTGAGGTCAGGAGTTGGAGACCAGCCTGGCCAACATGATGAAACCCCATCTCTACTAAAAATGCAAAAATTAGGTGGGCGTGGTGGTGGGTGCCTGTAATCCCCACTTCTCTGGAGGCTGAGGCAGGAGAATAGCTTGAACCCCAAGGGGCAGAGGTTGCAGTAGCAGAGATCATGTCACTGCACTCCAGCCTGGGTGACAGAGCGAGACTCTGTCTTGAAAAAAAAAAAAAAAAAAAAAAGAAACCATGGGGTGGGCCCTCAGAGTCTCTATGTTAATAAGCTCTCCTAGTGGCCTTGCTGCATCTCAAGTGGAAAACCACAGTGGAGGACAGTACTCCGCCTAATCATTGTTGAGTTTCTGCTCTATGCAAGGGCTATGTTGAATATTCTTTTACGTAGTCCTCACAAGAACCTTGTGTGTTAGGAGGCTTCGTTTCTGTTTTGTTTTGTTTTGTTTTGTTTTGTTTTGTTTTGAGACGGAGTCTCGCTCTTTCGCCCAGGGTGGAGTGCAGTGGCGCGATCTCGGCTCACTGCAGGCTCCATCTCCCGGGTTCACACCATTCTCCTGCCTCAGCCTCCCAAGTAGCTGGGACTGTAGGCGCCCGCCACCACACCCGGCTAATTTTTTGTGTTTTAAGTAGAGACGGGGTTTCACCGTGTTAGCCAGGATGGTCTCGATCTCCTGACCTCATGATCCGCCCACCTCAGCCTCCCGAAGTGCTGGGATTACAGGCGTGAGCCCCCATGCTTGGCCAATGAGTGCATTTTTTAAGAGGATTGAGGAATTGTTGAAAAATGCCAGAGAGATGTTATCACTCAAGCTTGTCTCACTCAGCCTTCTGTTCTGGGCTGTGAGGCTGTTTGACCACTAGGGGCTCGCCATCCATGAAAGTAGCTTTGCCCTTCCCTTATTCCATTCTTGACTATCAGCTTCCTAAAGGACTAGGGCATGGGCCACAACACTTCTAATCTTTGTGGTAAGATCTGGCTGACAAGTTTACCGTAAATCATTTAAAACTTATTTTAAAATTGACTTCATACCTTTCCTGAATTGTGGAAAGTTACTTTGTTTTGTAATTATAAGATTTTTAGTTTGAACAATAATAAAAAATTTTGTGCCTGTTTTAAAACCTGCTCTGTTGTGGTAGTTTCCTAAAATGTGAACAGTTATTCTTAAAATAATGTATTTTTACAAGTTTATTAAGTAAAACCAGAAGAGTCTTAAGTAGCATTGAAAGTATTTAAAAATATGCATAACTTAGTAATTACAATGTTTTTGTTTTTGATAGCAATTCAGAGTCCATAAACTCCCAAAGCTATGCTGGTTTTAGTTGAATGCTTTATTAATTACTTTGCCTGACTTCTTTACCCCTTTTCTTCACCCACTGAATTCCTTTCAATGCCAAGCTTCATATAATCTAAAATGCTAGATTTTTTGCAGTGCCTTCCTGTAGACAGCCTCATTGTCAGCAGAACATGCCTATTAAGGTGTGCTGAATTGTTTTTTTTTCTCCCCAACATTTTATTTGAAAAGTGTTAATTTGGCCAGGCGCAGTGGCTCACACCTGTAATCCTAGCACTTTGGGAGGCCGAGGCGGGTGGATCACCTGAGGTCAGGAGTTCGAGACTAGCCTGGCCTACATGGTGAAACCCTGTCTCTACTAAAATACAACAATTAGCTGGGCATGGTGGTGGGCACCTGTAATCCCAGCTACTTGAGAGGCTGAGGCAGGAGAATCACTTGAACCTGGGAGGCAGAGGTTGCAGTGAGCTGAGATCATGCCCCTGCACTCCAGCCTGGGTGACAAAGCAAGATTCTGTCTCAAAAAAAGAAAGAAAAAGAAAATGTTAATTTTATAGCAAATAAACATATAACCTTCATCTAGTTTTACCAGTTGTTAACATTTTGCCACACTTTCTTTTTCCTCCTCCTTTTTTTTTCTTTCCTTCTACTCCATCACCCTTCCTGTTACCTCTCTCAGTGGGTTTTTTGGTACTATTTAAGTAAGTTGCAGGCAACTCACCATTACCCATAAATATTTCAGAGGTATCTTCCAAAGATAAGAACATTCTCCTACATCAGTCACCGTAATACCATTATAACACTTAAGAAGATTAACATTAATATCCCTTTCATATATTATAGTTCATTTTCAGATTGCTCCAAATGATGTAACTCATTCTTCCCCCACCCTCCACTGGATCAGGGACCTATGGTAGTTCATGCATTGCATTTGGTTTTTATGTAACTTTTAATCTGGAACAGTTTCTCTACCTTTTTTGTTTTTTATGGCATTGACTTTTTTGAAGAGTTCAGGCCAGTCATCTTACAGAATTTCCCATATACAAAATTAACTTTTTAATACATATTTTAAAATAGTCCTATAAACCAGACTAAGTTTTTTGAACAAATTGATAACATACGTGTATGTTTATGTGTTTGTCTCCTAGAGTATGGTCTCCGGCTTGGGAGTCAGATCTTCGTAAAGGAAATGACCCGAACGGGTCTGGCAACTAAAGATGGCAACCTTCACGAAGGAGACATAATTCTCAAGGTGGGTAGATGGGGGCAGAGAACGGTAGTGTGCATACTGCCGTTCATCGCCTGCATGTCCACATTCAGCACCCACACAGTGAGACTTAGATCCAGTGAGAGTCAGTGGTAAGACAGAGGTGGCAAGAGCAGCATAATGAGACGATTTTTATCAGAAAAACCAGACATTGAGGGTCGTAACAGTTTAATGTCAGTTTAGAAAACAAAAACAAAAAAACTCCATGAATATTTTCTTCTTTCCTGTTTAAAGTTTAGATCCCTATTCCCTAAACTAAGGAAAGATGAGAAGGAAAGTTGGTGATATATGAATGCTGAATATTTAATAGGTCTTGTAAACCTCTCCAGTCAGGAAACACGTTCCAGTAGTAAACCAAACCGTTGTCTTGAGCTTGGAAGTTAAATAAATTAGCAGAGTAACTTACACCTGTATTTGGGATCCAGGCATGCAGGATTATATTTAATTTAAACGACAATTCATTTTTATTGAGTCATCCTAAAGCCAATATCTGTTTGAATATCTGAGCAAAGCCTTTACATTTTTAGAAGGGGAAAATATGAATTTTCTACTGTGAATAATTTTATTGCATTTAACATTACCATTTTTTATAAACACAGATCAATGGGACTGTAACTGAGAACATGTCTTTAACGGATGCTCGAAAATTGATAGAAAAGTCAAGAGGAAAACTACAGCTAGTGGTGTTGAGAGACAGCCAGCAGACCCTCATCAACATCCCGTCATTAAATGACAGTGACTCAGAAATAGAAGGTAAAGGAAGAGGAGGCTGTGAGCTTAGCTGGAAGTAAGGAAGGCTGTTGCTTCCCCATTCTTCTATTTAGTGTAGCTATCCAGCTGGAAGTTAAATTTCTAAGGAAAGACCCCTTGAAACCTTAATCTCCAAAGGTCACTGGTTGGTTGTTATTTGCTTATTAAAGTGCCTATTGAAATTAGGTTTCCAATACAAAATTCTGGTGCATTTGCGAACTCTCAGAGAACTATTAATTAGGCAATTGAAAGCAAAACTTGTCAGTAAAAAAATGTGTGTTTGAGTGGTTCAAAGAACTAACCATATCATTTATATATTTGCTAATTGCTTATTGTTTTTTTTTGAGACAGAGTTTCCCTCTGTTGCCCAAGCTGGAGTGCAGTGGTACAATCTTGGCTCACTGCAACCTCTGCCTCCCAGGTTCAAGTGATCCTTCTGCCTCAGCCTCCTGAGTAGCTGGGATTATGGGCGCCTGCCACCACACCTGGCTAATTTTTGTATTTTTAGTAGAGACGGGGTTTCACCATGTTGGCCAGGCTGGTCTTGAACTCCTGACCTCGTGATCTGCCCGTCTTGTCCTCCCAAAGTGCTGGGATTACAGGCGTGAGCCACCAGGCCCAGCCTTAATTGCTCATTCTTTAAAAGTGGCTATTAATATCTCTAATAGAGAAGACAATTTGGAGGATAGCTAAAACAAGTAGATGCTCAAAAAGAATCAAAATGGCTAATATTGTGGCATTCATTAATTAGCAGTCTGCATCACCTCTTCCCTTTTAAAGAGCTATATTCATTATTTGAATATGAATTATACATAGGATAACATTTTAACCTTGTAAAAATTGCCAATAAAAATAGTTAATCACAGTATATTCTACTGAACCATCTACTGTTGCTTTTATGCAGAGAAGTTTAGAAAATATTAAGTTACGAAGTTGTAAAGCAGACTTTTGTTGATTTTTTTTTTTAAAGGAATTTCTTTGTAAAACCTTAAAACTTAATTCACTTTCCAGTGTATCAGAAGTTGTTGATGACTGTTACGGGTGCAGTGCAGGAAAACAAAAGGAGCATGAGAAATAATGCCAGCATGTTAGGGGGTTTGCAGTTTATTTCCTTGCTACTCAGTATGTGGTCCTCATCCCCCAACCCCTGACCCCAATAGCATCTGCATAATCAGGTAACTGGATAGAATTGCAGAATCTCAGTCTCCCCTCAACTGCCCCACAACAACTGCATCCTAACAAGATTTGTATGCACCTTAAAGTTTGAGAAGCATTGGGCTGCTTGGGAAGAATTAGTGTATACATCTATGATCCAATAATAGAATTTTGACTCTTCTGTAGCAGCTTTGATGGAAAATGAGACAAAAGAGAAATACACAATTCTAAATTTGCCTTCCCCTTTATTAATTAATGCCTTTCCCTTAAAACGAGCAAGTTTTTCTCCAGGGGAGGACTATTAGACTAATAGCACATTTCCTGCCTACCTCGTTTCCATTTCCCGTGTTTCCTACCCAGAGAATAGTGCAATTTCTCTGGGTAGGAGAATATTTTAAATATTTTATTTAAAAGTCTTTTCTTATTTTTGAAACTAGATATTTCAGAAATAGAGTCAAACCGATCATTTTCTCCAGAGGAGAGACGTCATCAGTATTCTGATTATGATTATCATTCCTCAAGTGAGAAGCTGAAGGAAAGGCCAAGGTAAGATGACATGAATATTCTCTTGTACATGTCATTGTGAATGTACACACATATGTATTTATGAAACTGTTATCTCTTGAGACATTTACGTATGACATGTGATTCAGTTCCAGAGAGGACACGCCGAGCAGATTGTCCAGGATGGGTGCGACACCCACTCCCTTTAAGTCCACAGGGGATATTGCAGGCACAGTTGTCCCAGAGACCAACAAGGAACCCAGATACCAAGAGGACCCCCCAGGTGAGCCATTAAGACCACTCAGTTTCAACAGTTGTGTTCAGAAGTGTGTGCTCACACAGCCATAACAAAGAGTGAAATCATGTCCTTTGCAGCCACGTGGATGCAGCTGGAGGCCATTATCCTAAGCTAATTAACATGGTAACAGAAAACCACACAGCACATGTTCTGACTTTTAAGTGGGAGCTAAACATTGGGTACAAATGGACATAGAGGTGGCAGTAACAGAAACTGGGGACAACTAGAGGGGAAACTACTAAAGGAGGAGATGGAAAGGGTTGAAAAACTATTAGGTATCATGCTCACACCTTGGTGACAGGATCAGTTGTACCCCAAACCTCAGCATCATGCAGTATATGCATGTAACAGACTTGGACGTGCACCCACTGAACCTAAAATAAAAGTTGAAATTATACACATATATGTAAATACATAGATATGTATACATATATGTATGCATGTGTGTATATATGTATACAGATATGTATGTACATGTATATGTGTATGTATAGATAAGTGTGTACTTAATTCCAGAGGGTGGCTGAAAGGGAAGAAGGAAATAAAAAATTATATATGG
Organism: Homo sapiens; assembly: GCF_000001405.40. Taxonomy (NCBI): domain Eukaryota; kingdom Metazoa; phylum Chordata; class Mammalia; order Primates; family Hominidae; genus Homo; species Homo sapiens. Next base: position 69,228,689 of record NC_000009.12, read on the forward strand.
AAGAGGCCTTCCTTTCTCTCTTTTGACGTTGACAAAATATAAAATAATAGCCTTGTCTAAATGCCATTAGAATTGGTCACACTTTGTCATATTTGATGAGTTGAGGTCATTGTTTTCTCCCATCCTTGATCCTGACCTCTTCCCCCAACCCTTCCCCACCACCCTACAATTATCATCATAATTTTATATTCATAAATATTTAAGGGGAAACAGTATCATTATTGTATGTTTTTTAAGTTGTTAAAAATTCTATGTTCTTGTGCATGTGATTGTACACCTTGCATTTTAGAGGTTCATTTTTTATCTCTTGTATTTTGAGAAACCATTGGCACCTGCTAATACTTCAGAGTTAAACGGCACTTTAGAGACTTCTTTTTGTTTGTGGTGACATATGTGGCATAGACTTACATTTTTTGTGGATTTTGTGATTTTTCTATTTAGAAACGCACTCTTGTTAGTCCAGATTGATAACAGTAGATGTTTCTTAACCTACAGCTCCTCAACCAAAAGCAGCCCCGAGAACTTTTCTTCGTCCTAGTCCTGAAGATGAAGCAATATATGGGTATGTATTTCCGTCTCTCTTTGTTTTCCCTTCTTCCTTACAGCTCTGTCTCTGTAACTGAAATCCAGAAGAGTGGTGGTTTTTGCCTAGATGGTGATTTTGTACACTGTCAGCCACCTGTAACCAATCCCCATTGGTAGTGCTTATGAGAAAGAGGAATGATTTGTGGGAACAGCAAAATGCGGAAGTGGGTGAACTTTGTGATGTTAATGTTGTCTGTTTACCTACCTATCTAGCTACCTTTCCAGAGTGTTACTCTGAATATTTGCGTTTGTCAGATAAATTCACTCCCAAATAGGTGAAGTATTTATTGCTAAACTACGGTGCCCTGTGGTGACTGCACTGATGTGATGGTCCCAGTGTCAGTCCGTGTGGGGGAGGGAGGAGGAGTGCTGCTGCGCTCTGCACTTGATAATCAGAACCCCTAGTTCAGCAGGGTTCAAGGGCAGCAGCCTCCTGGATTAGGATTCTGCTTCTTTGTACCCAGACTGTGTCTTTATTTGACAAGAATGCAGTGCAAGCGGGCCTTCCTTTGGAAGAATTTTAGCCCTAACTCTGCCCTTTATTTGCTTTCTCATCTTGAAAGAGTTGCTGTAAAGATTCTATAATTCTATGTCTTCACCAGTAACCAGGGACCTACTGATACTCATCTCATGGTCCCAAGAAAGATAAAATTGTAGGATATATGAGATAGATGAGAAAAATGAGAGGGCTTTGTAAACTATAAATCACTCTGTAGCTAGAAGAAATTAAATCTCTCATTTGCTAATGTTGTTCTCCCTTTTAAAAAATATCTCCCATCTTTCCTTTCTGAAACGGAACCTATTGCAGCCCTAATACCAAAATGGTAAGGTTCAAGAAGGGAGACAGCGTGGGCCTCCGGTTGGCTGGTGGCAATGATGTCGGGATATTTGTTGCTGGCATTCAAGAAGGGACCTCGGCGGAGCAGGAGGGCCTTCAAGAAGGAGACCAGATTCTGAAGGTAAGAACAGCCCAGCTCTGTTTCTAGAAGTTACTTGTAAGGAGTGCACTTTTCTGGGTGTTCTTTCTGTAAGGGAAGACAAAATGGTTCAGCTGGTGAAATAGAGCAGCTGCAAGTTTGTTGATGCCCAGCATTGAAGTCTCTGTATTCCTCAAATGCGTCCTGTCTTCTCAGTCTTGGAACCCAGAACTCATCCATGTATCTGTGAGAACTGATAGTGTTTCTGCCCTTGCCAAGATTTTATTAGTCTGATTAATGTGAAAATATTGAGACTCTAAGTAAGCACTTACAGGAAAGATTTTTCAAAAAGATTTTTCTGATTTTTGCTTTTTTCACTGTGTTCCCCCTGCCTGCCATCTTTCTTAAGGCAGTGTCCTGAAATTGAACAAAGGTGAGTGGTTGGCATCAGACTGGGTGATTGGAATTTCGTCCCAGCCTCTGATTAGTTCTGTGACCCTGGTTCACCCTGAGACTCAGGTTTCTGTATCTGTTTAATGGGGATGAGAATACCTGCCTCGCAGGGACTGTGGGAAGATTAGACCAGGTAACACTTACAAGGCACCTAGCAGAGTTCCCTGGCACAGAATAGGAAGGTGAGTGTCCATTCTTTTTTCTTATTGGAAGATAACAAATAGCTGCTACTCAATGTTATTTACATCTAAAATTGTCCAAGAAAGGGAATTCCTGGTTAATCAAATATTGATACTTTTAAAATTACTATGTGTTTGTATAATCTGTTAAGGAATTAAAAAATAACTCAACTTGACATTTGTGTATGTGTGTGTGTGTGTGTAGCATTCTTTGTTGACTTCGGAATAAATTTCAAGAACATCAAGTATCTCCTTACAATAAAAATATAGAGTACTAGGGAACTGTTTTTTTTGTTTTTTTTTGTTTTTGACAGTCTCGCTCTGTCACCCAGGCTGGAGTGCAGTGGTGCTATCTCAGATCACCGCAACCTCCGCCTCCTGGGTTCAAGCAATTCTTAGTCCTCAGCCTCCCCAGTAGCTGGGATTACAGGTGAACTCTTAATTTTTGTCTTTTTAGTAGAGACAGGGTTTCATCATGTTGCCCAGGCTGGTCTCGAGCTCCTGAGCTCAAGCAGTCCACATGCCTTGGCCTCCCAAAGTGCTGGGATTACAGGCGTGAGCCACTGCGCCCGGCTGGGAACTGTCTTCATTGGAATTTCTTCCTGCTTCTGCAAACTTGCAGTTCATATATATGAGGTTTTTTTTTTCTTGTTAATGTTAGTAAAAAATCCATATGTAGTAAACTAAGGGGTCTGGTAGGGGCTTCTAGGCTCCAAGGAGAGGGGAGAAAAAAGTTCTAGAATTCTCAAGGAAGCAAGCAGCAGCAAAGTACAAAAGCAGGTGGCCCCCTTCCTTCTTGGCCCCGTTGCAGTATTTCAGATTTCATTTCTGGAGCAGATGAAGGGCAAACCTTGATCATGAGCTTTGCAAAAGCTTTTCAGTGAAATTCTAGACCCTCCTTGGCCCTGGTCAGGATCTAGAAGACTATGTACCTGCACGAACCTCATGTTGCCTTATGATCCTAGGAAATACCACTCACCAAATGTTACTGATGAAAACCCATCTGAGTGCCAGCTCATACCAGTTTACTCTTTGCATATATGCTGATGAAGGAAAAAGGCATTTTTTCTAACTATTGTGAGGCCATAGGATGATAGCTAGAAATGTGGAGCTTTTGCTCATTAAGGTTCAATGATAAAATATTTTCGTATGTTCAGGGGCTGGGAGATTTTCTAAATTTCCGTGAAGAAAAGTAGTGAATTCACCTAGAGGCTTGGCAGTCAGACCTCTCTGTAAGTTGTTGTTAGATGGGGAGAGTCGCTTTGGTGGATAAAAAGTCATGGTATCAGCATTTATACTTAAGGTGTTTTGTTTCTTGTTATCACCCTGGCAACACGGAAGGAACTCTGGGAACTGGCTTCTTTTGCTGTCATCCCATATGGAGGTCAGGCAATAGGTGGTCCTCATTTCTTGGGTGCGAATAAATTTTCTGTTGACTACAAAAGAAGCTTTCCGTTCTAGAAAGGGGTGAAAAAGATTGAGTTTGCCTACGAGGGCGGAGAAGCTGCTGCACAATACTAAGCTGTGGCTGATACAGGATCCTCTTCAGGCTCACAGCAGACACGGCTAGACCCTGTAGACTACTAAATAGCTAATCAAAGAGGATATTTATTGGAAAGGACTGTTCAATGTAACCTTCAAGTAGAAAAGTGCTGCCCTAGCCTTTTTTCACTTTAATTTGTTTCAATGCTCCTTTTCATGGCCAAATTGAATATATAAAGTGAGCCTTATACACATGCTAATCACTTTATTCTGTTGTGGGGTTTTTAAGTGTGGCTCTTTGTTTTGCAAAGGTGACAGCCTAATGTGTGGAATGAAGACGTGAGCCAGATATGTATATTCCTTATCAATAATGGAGATATATGTGCTTTTGCTCATTCCTGCTTGGCTGAACTACCTCTTTGCTTGTTATTTATCTGATAGAGTTGTCATTTCTCTTTCAGAAACTTTTATGGGATGGAAAAGAGAAAAAAGACTTCTAAGTTTGGTTATTAACCATGTAGATTTTTAAAATATAACTACCATGTGTGCTTTAATTTTGACCATTATAGTTTTTGGCTATCGAAGACTGTGATCGAGACTGATCTAAGGTTAATCTCTTGTGGCCAGAGAGATGGACTGAAGGACTCCCAAGGTCCTCCCACAGCCTTGTGGCCCTGTCTTATTTAAGTAAACAAATACAAGCATGTATAGTACATGTGAAAATATACATATGGCTATATGTAGATACAGATGTAGATAAACAAATGGCACAAGAAAGGATACCAAAATGGGATGATTCCTAATTGGGGGACAGAGAGGTACAAATGACAGTACCTTAAATACTAAATACTGTTTCAAAGGAAAAATTAACTCAATTGCTTTAGCACATCACTTTATTTTAAAAGCACCAAATTAGTTTTAGTCTAATGCCGACTTTCACTTAATCATAAATTTTGGCCTTAATTAAGGCCCACCCAACTAAGGATAAGTTTCTTCTTTAATAAAGCATTACTCTTGTGATTAAAAGGATTCTGTAATTGTCAATGACTGAAGAAAATATTTCATAGGAATTTTATATCTTTATTTCTACAAAATATTATTAACATATCAGGTACTTTAATATGGTTTTTGCATTTTACTTATTTATAATTCTGTTTTAAAATAGGCTGAAAGATACAGAACTATGGGCCAGGCGTGGTGGCTCACGCATGTAATCCCAGCACTTTGGGAGGCCTAGGTGGGCGGATCACCTGAGGTCAAGAGTTCGAGACCAGCCTGGCCAACATGGTGAAACCTTGTCTCTACTGAAAATACAAAAAAAATTAGCTGGGTGTGGTGGCACATGCCTGTAGTCGCAGCTACTCAGGGAGGCTGAGGCAAAAGAATTGCTTGAACCCAGGAGGCGGAGGTTGCAGTGAGCCAAGATCGCGCCATTGCACTCCAGCCTGGGCGACAGAGGGAGACTACATCTCAAAAAAAAAAACCACATAGCACTATGATTTCAAAATGTCTTGTTCTTTGTGCTACATTTCAATTTTACTTGCTTTGTAACTGTAAGGCTGATGCTCTTTAATTTGATACATACCTTTCAATTTTATAAACACATGTTAAACACTTTTAGGTGATAGAAGCTATAGGAGAAGGGTAGAATTGGTCAGAGTCTTTATTTGCACACTTTTATTTGAACCAGTTTAAAATTAGTGTAAATGCTGGGCCAGCATGCTCAGTTGTCACAGACCCCAACACTCCCCATGCTTCATACTTGTGTATTACCTTCTTGGCCACCTCTGTGAGAGACTCACAGAAGGGAGATGGATAGAAACAACCACAAGAAATTCTATTGTGATCTGGTGACAGATCCTTGCTTCAATGGCTTAACCTCTAAGGTGCGGTTGGCAGTATGGGGAGGCAGGAAGGTATAGTGTGCAGGCCCATAGCAAGGTGCTGGGCGCGAGGACTTGAATAGTGACATTAAGGACTCATTTGCATCTTGGCTTTGCTCTGGACAGGCCCTGATGAAAACAAACAAAAGGGTCAGTGGCATCTTACTATAAACTTCTCTGTTTTTTCTTTCTTTCTTTCTTTCTTTCTTTCTTTTTTTTTTTTTTCTTTTTCTGTTTTTCCTTCCTAATAGGTGAACACACAGGATTTCAGAGGATTAGTGCGGGAGGATGCCGTTCTCTACCTGTTAGAAATCCCTAAAGGTGAAATGGTGACCATTTTAGCTCAGAGCCGAGCCGATGGTGAGCAAATTTGGTCATTTAGTTTAGTTGGGGTGGGGGTGGGGAGTGGGAAGGATGAGAGAGGTGTCTTGGTACCAGAATAGGCAAATCTGGGTATTAAAAAATTGAGATGGATCTCAACACCTAGTCCTTGGGCCCTAGGTGTGTGAAGAAAATGTGAGTGCCGTTTAACTTTCCATAAAAATGTTTTCTATGCATGCACTGAAATAATTTTACTAGTTGTGTCAATTTGGAATAAAACTGCCTTCCTGAACAGTGATGCAGCCTTATGTTCTGCCTGGAGTTATTAGTGAGTTTACATACGACATGTGCAAAGGCCATGGCTGCTGGCTGGTGCGCCTGTTACCCCTGTCCAGTCTGACAAGTTGTTTCACCTTTCCAGGCCTTGTTCCCATCTGTTAAGTGGGTGTTGAGAGTGTCCTCCTTGTCTGCTTCAGAGCTTGATTGGCAACTGTGTTAATGTTCTCCAGAGAAACAGAATGATAGGAGATATTGGAATCAATAGGAAAGAAAGAGATTTATTATAAAGAATTGGCTCACATAATTATGGAGACTGGCAAGTGCCAAGATCTGCAGTGAAAATGGGCAAGATAGAGACTCAGGAGAGCCAGTGATTTAGTTCTAGTCTCAGTCTGAAGGCCTGAGAACCAGGAGAGCCAATGGTGTAGTTCCAGTACCAAGTCAGGGAAAAGAGCTGATGTCGCCTTTTGAAGGCCATCAGGCAGGAAGAGTAGTTTCCTCCTAATTTTTTATTTATTTATTTATTTATTTATTTATTTATTATTATTTTTTTGAGACGGAGTCTGGCTTTGTCGCTGAGGCTGGAGTGCAGTGGAGCAATCTTGGCTCACTGCAAGCTCTGCCTCCCAGGTTCACCCCATTCTCCTGCCTCAGCCTCCCGAGTAGCTGGGACTACAGGCGCCCACCACCACGCCCGGCTAATTTTTTGTATTTTTAGTAGAGACGGGGTTTCACTGTGTTAGCCAGGATGGTCTCGATCTCCTGACCTTGTGATCCACCCACCTTGGCCTCCCAAAGTGCTGGGATTATAGGCATGAGCCACCACGCCCAGCCTAGTTTCCTCTTAATTGAGAAGGGGTCTGATTGTCATTCTCTTCAGGCCCTCAACTGATTGGATGAGGCCCACTCGCATTGGGGAGGGCGATCTTCTTTGCTCAGTCTACCCATTTATACGTGACTGTCATTCAAAAACACCCTCAGAGAAAGGCATAGAATAAAGTCTGACCAAATACCTGGTTATTTCATGGCCCAGTCAAGTTGAAATAAAATTAACCATTGCAGCAAGCCGTGAAGCTGGTTATTTGTCCTTGTTCCTGTTGGAGCTGTGACTCCCATAGGACTTGTGCACTGAATGGAAGGAAGGTAAAGGGGAGATCAGAGATAGGAGAAGCTGTGTTGAGTGTCTAGTACTGTAACTTGTACTAAGCTGAATGCAACAAACGATGCTTTTGTCTTTCAGTGTATAGAGACATCCTGGCTTGTGGCAGAGGGGATTCGTTTTTTATAAGAAGCCACTTTGAATGTGAGAAGGAAACTCCACAGAGCCTGGCCTTCACCAGAGGGGAGGTCTTCCGAGTGGTAGACACACTGTATGACGGCAAGCTGGGCAACTGGCTGGCTGTGAGGATTGGGAACGAGTTGGAGAAAGGCTTAATCCCCAACAAGAGCAGGTAACAGAGATCGCATTCTCACATACCCCTTTTAATCCTTCCCCCTGCAGAAAACTAGAGACCGCCCCCCTTCCCCCGTAAAAGGAAACCCCACATGATGAGTTCATTACTTGTCACCATCTATTTCTTGTTTATGGAGAGTGGCCTGAACTGTAAATAGCCACCAGCCAGTTTATTGTGAGTAAATTTAGCATCATGTGGTTGGTTGCTGAATGTGGCTGTTTGAACAACTTCCTAAGGAGCATCCACTGCCTTGTACCGTATACAAGAGATATACTGAATGGCCGTAGCACACCAGCACACCTCTTAGAGACAAGGTACCCTTGTCCGGTGCCCAGTCTCCATCCTTGGAGAGGTTTATGCACCCCAGTGAACACTTGGTGTTTGGCTGACAGTGCAGGAACCTAGAAAAGAGGCCTGTATTTGAGCAGGAGTTCCAGGTGTGTGTACTGTGTACCTGCATATCAGAATGGGCCAAATTTCACATGTTTATTGCTGAGCCACTTCTGGGAGATTTCACAGAGACCCAGCCTTTTTCTGCTCCCATTTGGAAGTGAAGGTCCCCACATTTCCCACCCTCTGAAACTTCTTCATTGTCAAGCGGAATCTTCTCTGAGCTCAGAAGTAAAATTGACTGGATTTGATTAATGAAATGCATGTTAGCTGCGTTTTCTGGCTTTAGAGATTTACTTCCCGTGGTTTCTTCTCAGAGCTGAACAAATGGCCAGTGTTCAAAATGCCCAGAGAGACAACGCTGGGGACCGGGCAGATTTCTGGAGAATGCGTGGCCAGAGGTCTGGGGTGAAGAAGAACCTGAGGAAAAGTCGGGAAGACCTCACAGCTGTTGTGTCTGTCAGCACCAAGTTCCCAGCTTATGAGAGGGTTTTGCTGCGAGAAGGTGAGGAAGTCACATGGGGCCTGGAAATGAACTGACTGGGCTCTGAGCCTGTTCACCTTTATTTTCAGACTGTATGGTCAAGTTCTAACTTATGTATGTCAGTTATGCCAAAGGCAGTTTATAGAGTTGAAATCAAATTCTAACAAGGAGCATGATTTATAAAAAGCTGTTTCAGTTCCTAAATTGAGGCTTATTTCTGCAACTTAAAAAATGTTTTAATACCACTGTTCAAGAGTTTCGGTATATTGGCTGGGCACTGTACCTTATGCCTATAATCGTAGCACTTTGGGAGGCCAAGGTGGGAGGATCACTTGAGCTCAGAAGTTCAAGACTAGCCTGGGCAATATAGTAAGACCTCATCTCTGCAAAAAATAAAAAAAGTTTCCATATATTATCAATGGGAAAGTTTGTGTTTAAAAATGGTGAGGAGCTAGGCAGTGTAGTCCCAGCTACTCAGGAGGCTTGAGCCTAGGAGTTTGAGTTTAGTCTGGGCAACATAGTGAGATCTTGTCTCTTAAAAAAAAATCTAGGTTAGCATGTGGTTGAATGAAAAGAAAAAAATTGTTTTAAATGGTGAGGATAGTGAAGGCATATTCTTCAGAACAGAGCCAAGCTGAATTGGGGAGAAACCACAGTTTCTTTCGTTTAGTTATGTTATCAAAAGCCCATACAATACTTTTACTGCTTATCATAACAGCTAGGCAAGTGTGTATGCTTTAATGGCCTTTCTTGTCATTTCAGCTGGTTTCAAGAGACCTGTGGTCTTATTCGGCCCCATAGCTGATATAGCAATGGAAAAATTGGCTAATGAGTTACCTGACTGGTTTCAAACTGCTAGTAAGTCTGTCAGTGTTTTTTTTTCCCCCAAATTTTTATTTTGAAAAATTTCTAACAGAGGAGTTGGAAGAATCATGAACACCCACGTACCCTTCACCTGGAATCACCAGTTGCTGACATTTTGTCACGCATTTTCTCTCACCCACTGCCTGCACCATAGACACACATACACACACACATACACATACTCTTTGAAAAATTTCTGCAGAATCATTTATAACACTTTATCCCTGAATACTTGTGTGAATCTCCTAAGAACAAGGACTTTCTCCCACATAACTGCAATACCATTATCACAGCCAAGAAAGGTAACATTGATGTGGTGTGATTTTGTATATAGTCCATTTTCCACGTTTTCTTAATTGTCCTAGTTATGTGCTTCATAGCTTTTTTTTAAATTCAGAATACAACCAAGGACCATTCATGACATTTGATTTTTATGTCTTTTTGTGATTTTTATGTCTTTCCAGTCCCCTCTTTTTTCTAAATAACTTTGTTACACTGATATTTTGAAGAATCCAAGCTAGTTGTCTCCTAGAATGCTTCCTGTTGGACTGGCCTAACCGTTTCTTCATGATTAGATTTCCACTAAGCAGGTTATGTGGGTCCTTCCCACTGAATCTTGTTAGGAGACACTTAATGTCAGGTGTGCCATCATTGCTTGATGCTAGGTGGGAGTATTTGGTTGTCACTGTTTTCTAAACAATTATTTAGCTTCCTGTTTTTGCTTTTGCAGAAACGGAACCAAAAGATGCAGGATCTGAGAAATCCACTGGAGTGGTCCGGTTAAATACCGTGAGGCAAATTATTGAACAGGTGAGAAAATTCATCCACAGACCGTGTTTTCAGAAAGAATTAGATTATGGTTTGCTGCAGTCACTTTTAGGATAGTATCTGTACTTTTAATCATTAAATGTTAATAATAAAAAATTGGCCGGGCACAGTGGCTTACACCTGTAATCCCAACACTTTGAGAGGCTGAGGCGGGTGGATCACCTGAGGTCAGGAGTTCGAGACCAGCCTGGCCAACATGGTGAAACCCTGTCTCTACTAAAAATATAAAAAATTAGCCGGGCACAGTGGCAGGTACCTGTAGTCCCAGCCACTCAGGAGGCTGAGGCAGGAGAATCGCTTGAACTCAGGAGGCGGAGTTTGCAGTGAGCGGAGATTGCACCATTGCACTCCAGCCTGGGCGACGAGTGAAACTCCATCTCAAAAAAATATATATATAATGTAAATGCAAACCGTTTCACTGTGTGGAAACCAGTCACTGTTGGCAGTGAGCGGAGATTGCACCATTGCACTCCAGCCTGGGCGACAAGAGTGAAACTCCATCTCAAAAAAATATATATATAATGTAAATGCAAACCATTTCACTGTGTGGAAACCAGTCACTGTTACTGTTCTCTGGCAGTAACATACTGTTTTTTTTTCCAGAGTTCCCAGCATTATACCAAATAATGTGTTAATTCATTTTATCAGAAGTTCTAACACATTGGTAATATTGAAGTGGGCATTAGGTAGAAGGAAATGTGTTCTGCTTCTTGATTTAAATTTACAAGATAGGTGGCTCATGCCTGTAATCCCAGCACTTTGGGAGGCAGAGGCGGGCGGATCACCTGAAGTCAGGAGTTTGGGACCAGCCTGGCCAACATGGTGAAACCCTGTCTCTACTAAAAATACAAAAATTAGCTGGCCATGGTGGTGGCGGGCACCTGTAATCCCAGCTACTCAGGAGGCTGAGACAGGATAATTGCTTGAACCCGGGAGGCGGAGGTCGCAGTGAGCCAAGTTTGTGCCACTGCACTCCAGCCTGGGCAACAGAGCAAGAATCTATCCCAAATAAGTAAACAAACAAACAAACAAGATATATCTCATACAGCCTTTACTTATTAAAACAAAGTATTTGATGCTATATTACTTTATATATCCATTTCTCTAACTTTTCCCCTTTTGTAAACAGGATAAGCATGCACTACTGGATGTGACTCCGAAAGCTGTGGACCTGTTGAATTACACCCAGTGGTTCCCAATTGTGATTTTTTTCAACCCAGACTCCAGACAAGGTGTCAAAACCATGAGACAAAGGTTAAATCCAACGTCCAACAAAAGTTCTCGAAAGTTATTTGATCAAGCCAACAAGCTTAAAAAAACGTGTGCACACCTTTTTACAGGTAAGTGAAATGTAAATGTAGTCCCTTTGCTAAAAAATGAGAAATAAAGAATTGAAGAGTAGAAGAAATAATTAATTAATCTGAATGGAGAATTTGAAATTGTGTTCATGACTCCTTGAAAAATAGTTAATCCTATAAAATGGGATATTAGGCCAATGGCATTTATATATTGAACTTTGTAATTTTGTCTATTTGAAAATGACCATAAAGATCCATGATGTGGTAATAATTAGCTATTTTGATGAAGTTCATATTTTCCTGTGAGACTATAAGGCTAGTGATTGAGCCAGGCCAAACACCTATGTCTCTCTAGAGATTGTGTCATTGTTCTCTACTCACCATCAATACATGCATTAACTTACAAAGCGAAAGGAACTTGGTTTCATTATTTAAAAATATTCCTGTCCAGCATGGTGGATAACACTTGTAATCCTCCCACTTTGGGAGGCCAAGGCAGGAGGATCACTTGAGCCCAGGGGTTGGAGACCAGCCTGAGCAACATGGTGAGATCCTGTCTCTACTAAAAGGCCTAGCATGGTGGTGCATGCCTATGGCTGAGGTTGGAGGATCGCTTGAGCCAGGAATTCAAAGCTGCAGTGAGCTGTGATGGCACTGCTGCACTCCTGCCTGGTGACTGAGTGAGACCCTGTCTCTTCAAAGAAAAAAAAAAAAATCTAGAAACTTGGACACTCTGAATATTGGATGATTTAAAGATTTATTATTTCTCTTTGTTAGGTGTGATAATAATATTGTGATTTTTTTAAAAACAAAGTTCTTTGAGGAATGCATACTAAATAAAATATTTATGGTTGACCTAATATAATGTTGAGAATTTGCCTAAATAGTCTGCAGTGAGGGGAGTAGATGGGATTATAGACAGGACAAGACTGGCCAAGACTTGGTAGTTGTTAGTTGTTGAACTGGTTGATATGTACATCGGAGTTCATTAAACTGCTATCTGTACTTTTGTACATATTTAAAGATTTACCTAATAGAATATATTTTTAAGTCCATGAAATGAAGAGCCATTGCTATTACTCATGAAAGTAAAATGGTCTAAGAACATGACATATTTTAGTAACAATATATGCACTGTCTATATAAATGATTAATTCTGTGCATATGAGATTATTAAGAGTTTTAAAGGGTTACATAAATTTTGTGGTCATGCAGGGCATTATTTTGTTGGGGCAACACGAGGAGACTGCAAGGATATGATATCCTTAGGATGAGGATAGCTCATTGAGTTCATTGCCCATCATCATCCACCCATGTCATTTTAGTGTATCTCTGATACTGGAGAGGAAGGGGTGAATGATTGTGTTCACATTAGATGCTTGTTTTAGTGTAACTTGGTTTTTCTTGTTAAAGAGAGGTGCACTACTTGCCACTGTGGCCAAATGGAGAGAGTTTAACCAAATGCAGAGGAGGAAGTGGTCCATCATAAACTAGATTTCTGTGAATGTAGTCTTACGTACTCATACTCTTGGTATATTTATGAATATCCTTTCTGTCCTTTTTACTACTAGTATTATAATTATTATGATTATTACTATTATAGCAACAGTAAAGAGTGGTACAGCCTTCCATGTGTGCTGTCTTATTAGGCCATAAGAAAGGCCAGCACTTTTGCATAATCACAATTCTGATGTATGACTGAGCCCAGACTAAACTATAGCGTCCCTAACTGTCCAATATTGTACATATGTTACAGCACAGACATATTCTAATCCCAAAAGGGGTCACGTAATGCAGCCCTTCCTTTTGACAGATTAAAAAACTGAAGCCAAAGTGATTATAAATGAAGTTAAAACTATCCCCACTTTATTTTCCCCCCTGCTTTTGTCTGAGTACACTAAATAGCGAGCGTCTTCCCTCAGAGAGTTAAATTTGGGATTCACGTGAGGATGTAGGAAATCGGGAAGGGAATTACAGTGCATTGTAGAGGAAGAACTAGGCTGAAGGCGGCTGGACGAGGAGAGCAGGGCAGAAGAAGGCAGCCAGTGACTGTGGGGCTCTCCCTTGATCTAACCTGAGTCCGCATCATTTGCTCTTGGGAGCACAGGCCACGGTAGCTGGCTGAGTGTGAGTAAGAATCTAGAGGGGTCCATGTGTGTAGAAGGGGTTAGCAACACCTCTGTTAGCTCCATAGATGGATTTCAAGATCCTTGAAGGCAGAGCCTGAACATTTCCCAGCGTTGTGTGCCTGAGGCCAGCATCAGGACTAGCACATGGGCAAGGCATAAATGTTTGTAACTTACATTAGAACTGCCCCTGGCACACCAAGCCATTTCTTGCCTAAACTCATCAGGAAGTTGAAAGTTTTAGAATAACTCAAGTCAGAGATTGGAATGGAAGCACACACTGTAAGCATTGAGTTTCATCTAAAACATTGAAGTGATCTTATCTCACCAGAAATTGCCAATCTCTTATGTAGAATTGTACAGTCTTCAGGATAGATGGTGCAGGGTGTGCAGCAACTTTGACCAGCAAGCTCCAATTTTCTAGCAAGTGGTCTTTTACAGTACTCTTCCAGACTTCAAAGTTTGACTCCCTACAGCTGTGTGGATGACTGCACTAATAATTGCTTTTATTCCCCATCTCACCCTCGTCCCTCTTAGCTTGACCAGGTTTTGACTTGAGGCTGTGTGCCATGTCCAGAAACACTAGTCTTTACATTTGAGCAGTAGAATCTTCAGGCAGAATTAGTATTTTATAGTTTTTGTTTGTTTTTGAGACATAGTCTCCCTCTGTCGCCCAAGCTAGAGTGCAGTGGCACGATCTCGGTTCACTGCAACCTCTGCTTCCTGGGCTCAAGGCACCTTCCCTCCTCAGCCTCCCCAGTAGCTGGGACTACAGGCACACACCACCATGCCTGGGTAATTTTTGTATTTTTTCTGGCAACAGGGTTTACCCATGTTGCCCAAGCTGGTCTCAAACCCCTGGGCTCAAGCAATCTGCCCGTGTTGGCCTCCTAAAATGCTGGGATTACAGGCATGAGCCACCGTGCCTGGCCTATTTTGTAGGCTTTTAAAATGATTTTAAGTGTATGGCATTTTTGTGAGTTAGTAGTTGAGAATAATAGAGTGCTTTGATGAACACAGTAATTTGAAGTCAAGCTTTATGTTGCATTAGTCTCTTTAGGCTCAATATCCTTTTGTTTTCCTTTTTGCAAAGTAATAAGAAAGCTCCTCTTCCTCACGAGTATTTAATTATGACAATATGAAAATAGTTCTCCTTACAAGTCTTACAGTACTTCTCAGTTAAACAAGAGAAGCTTTATTCTGAGATTTGCCCAAAGGCAAGTTGACTTGTCATAATAAGTTTAAGTGTTAGGTTTGCCTCCCCTACTACCAATTTTTAAAAATTTTCTATAAAATACATTTGCATATCACAAATTTTTATTTTTAAAAAACAAACTTTGAATTACATGTTTTCTTGGAATCTTCAAAGTACTCAGTGCATGGTTCGAAGATCATTTAAGTTGACTTATGGATTTAGAGACCCAAGTGGGGCTACCCTTTTATGCTAATTATAGAATTTTAATTCCTGATTTCTCAAAGGATTATATAGACTAGCTAGTTGACCACAGAAAAGAGAAGGAAGATGCTGGGCCCCCTAGCTGGATACCTTTGCTGTTGCATGCCCATTTAGAGGGGGTCTAGCGTGCCACTGTTAACCGAGCCACGTGAAAAGCTTTATTGAGTTTTGACTTAGATACCATATAATCCACCCATTGAAAGTATATAGTTCAGCTGGGCATGGTGGCTCACGCCTGTAAATCCCAGCACATTGGGAGGCCAAGGTGGGCAGGTCACTTGAGCTCAGGAGTTTGAGACCAGCCTGGGCAACATGATGAAACCCTGTCTCTATTAAAAATAAAAAAATTAGCTGGGTGTGGTGGTGGGTGCCGGTAGTCCCAGCTACTTGGGAGGCTGAGGTGGGAGGATCACTTAAGCCCGGGAGCTGGAGGTTGCAGTGAGCCGAGATTGCACTACAGCACTCCAGCCTGGGCGACAATGAGACCCTGTCTCAGGAAAAAAAAAAAAAAAAAAAAAAAGTATGCAATTCAGTGGGCTTTAGTATATTCAGAGTTGTACAGCTGTCATCACAACCAATCAATCTTAGAACATTTTTATCATCCCCAAAAGATACCCCATACCCATTAGCAGTCATTCCCCATTTCTCCCTTTCCCTAAACCCTCTAGTCTTAGATGTTACCTTTTGCTGTCGCTCTTGGTGCTTCCAAACCTCCTTGGCTGGGGAGGGGGAGGTAGCACTGACCATACATGTCAGGGCTGGGCACACGTGCCCTCAGAACCTCAGTATTCCCAACTAAGGCAGTGGCTGAGTCAGCATCCTTTCAGTATTTCACTTTCTTGAGCTCAAAAGATAGAGTAAGTCTATCCAAGGGGATATAGGCATAACCCAGAGGTTAGGAGCAACAGATAATTAACTACTATTGCTCTAAGGCAAAGAATCTGAGAAGCGGAATGAGAGAATCCAATAATAAGCTAAAGGTACTTAATTCAGCAGAGTCAAGGGAAGGCAGCTTCATGTCTGTGCACCTGCCTGTTAAAAAGAGGTCAAGTGCATGAGTTGGATGTTACTTTTATATGCAGCTTAGGAAGTTAGCTACTGTGAAGCTCTCAATTTTTATTCATAAACTTGACTGTTAATGTGAATTCAGTAAGAGCTTTTGTGATTTTCTTTATTTTATCAAGGGGCAAGAACATATTTCCTGCATCTCACAAAATGCCGTTTTAACTTTAGGTTTTCTTTATGATGAATGCAGACCATACTTATCTCAGACAGCTGCAACATAAAGCTTTAAAAGACTGCTTAACATTTTGTATATATTTAGTGTAAATCACTCATTTTGTCTCTGGGGTACAAAATCTCACTTCTATTTTTAAGTATCATATTTTAGCTATGAGATGAGCACAGTAATCTTTGCAGAGTACCATAATAGGAATAGAGAAGTCCGTGGAATCAAAGTTAATTTTCTTCGGGTTGTCTAATGGATCAGTTTATTTCAGTGCTGTAAATAATTAATAACCAAGGAAATTGTAAGCTCATTCAGGATTTTCTAAGGTCACTGTTAGAACTTCTTAAACAGAAGAAAGCTATGTTACTTGGAGGAAAACCTGAAGCATCATTGCTTACAAAATTTGCTTAATGGTTCTTTTTGGCTTTAGAAGTGATAGTACAATAAGAGGCCATGGCAATGTAGTTTAAAAGAAATCCTAATTTACCTGCAGTCTGATAATTTTAGGGGTACAATTTGTTATTTTGGACTAACTTGCTTGTCTAATTTATCTCCATTAGGTCCATAATACATATTGCTGAAGAAATGACATATGTTGTACTTTGTTGGTATTTTATATCTGTGCTCTAAATTTCTGTTTTTAGATGGGCCATGTAGTGTGGTGGCTGAGACCATAGGCTCTGAAAGCAGTTTTCTGAGCTTGCATCCAAGCTTCACACTTGCTTGGTGTGTGGCCTTGGGCTAGTTAATTTCACTACTTTACCTTGGTTTCTCATCTATAAGATGGGCATCATAGCAACACCTACCTTGCAAAGTTTGTGTAGTCGTGAAATGAGCTAATCCAGGTAAGGTACTTGGAAAGTAACTGGTTGATGCATAGTAAGTGCTATTATGTAAGATATACTTTGTTCTGAGTAGAAAATGTATATTCTTTGAATACACACTGGTTGGGTTTGTTTAATCTATATGTATATTCTAAAATGTGTAAGTCTATCAAAGTGATATACAGTCAGCTCTCCATGTCTGTGGTTTCCACATTCATGAATTCAACTAGCCGTGTATAGGAAATATTTGAGGGGTAAAATGGATGGTTACATCTAAACGTGCAGGGTTTTTTTCTTGTCATTATTCCCTAAACAATATAGTATAACAACGATTTGCGTAGCATTTACATTGTATTAGGAATTATAAGTAATCCAGAGATGATTTAAAGTATATAAGAGGATGTACATAAGTCATATGCAAATACTGTGTCATTTTGTATCAGATACTCGGCATCTGTGGATTTTGGTATCCAAGTGGGGGGTGTCCCGGAACCAATCCTCTACAGATACCAAGGGACAACTTTATGTTTAAGTGTTACTTTTAGTATTTTATTGGAGGTAGCCAATACAGTATATTAGTGTATACTAATTAGTGTATACACCTCAGCCTCCCAGAGTGCTGAGATTACAGGCATGAGCCACCACACCTGGCCGAAAACACATGTTCTTAAAAACATTTTTAAAAGTTAGCCTTTCTGAAAATAAACATTCTAAAAATCTATTTTTAGCTTTATCACATCCACCTATAATGTGAACTCAAACAGCTACATGATTAGTAGTTTTAATTGCATTCATTAAAAGGGTTTTAATATTCAAAGATGTGCAAACATCTTCTTGCGTCTGCCATAGTCTTAAATATCACAGAAATGAGTGTAAATTATGTCAAATAGCATCCTTAATAAACATGCCTCTGGAAATTAATGCAGACCTTTTTGTTTATATTTCTATAGCTACAATCAACCTAAATTCAGCCAATGATAGCTGGTTTGGCAGCTTAAAGGACACTATTCAGCATCAGCAAGGAGAAGCGGTTTGGGTCTCTGAAGGAAAGGTATGTGGCATAGATATGCTGCTATGAGGTGAGAGTCCCTGTTCTGAAACTTTTCTCAAGAGGGCAGTGAATGTAGTCAAGCCATGCCCATTTGAAGTGATGCTCACATGTGTGCTAATCAAGTTTGAAATTTCGTAAATTCTCTGACCAAGTAATAAAAATGAAGGGACTTTTAAAAGAAGAGCAGAATGTGACATGTGCAGCCCTACATTCACTTCCCTTTCACTTTTAATGTAGTAACTAGTGTTATATTCCAAGTACACTAATCAGAGCTTACAAGATCTCATGCTGAGCTCCACAGCTTACTAAGGACGTGGGAAACTTAGAGTGCAGATGAGAGGTGAGGTTGAGCAACTTGGAGAATACGGCTAAACATTAATAAAAAGAAAAGCTAATGGAGTTAGAATTACTTAGAAAATAAGGTTGGTTGAGAATGTGCCATCGTTCTGGGAGTTTGAATGGGTGATATGAGAACGTTAGGGAATTTGTCTAGGCCTCTAGAATTGGATCGCTTCTCCCTCGGGGAGATAGCTCACACACAGCTGTGCTGCAGGGAGGAGAGAGGGAGATTCTATTACCTGTGGCCGCTTTTATTTTAGAAGCTTTTGGTGTTAGTATCCTGTTCACCAGCTGAACTGAGGTAGTTTTGTGAGACTTGACAGTGACTATTTTGTTGCAGAATTGACTAAGTTTTGCTCTTTGAGAACTAGATGTGTAGTCAAAGTATCTGGCATCTATGGAGTGCTTCCAGTTTGGAAGGGGGATGCAAGCTTCCCTGGGGAGGACAGGTTGAACAGGACATAGCTTCTGCCTTTGAGGGTCTGAGAATCTTGTAGAGGCATGGATGTGAGTGTAGCACAAGGCAGCGTGCAATGTGTTGATATTACTAGGAGAGTGGTACCAGGAGAACAGGCTGCAGAGGAGCTGGATTCAGAAGAAAAGCAAGACAGACTGAGAAAGTGTGGCTTAGCCGCGGTATGGAGGATGGATGGTAGCACAGATAGGCTGCAGGGCCCCTAATTTGAGTTCCTGCACAAAAACGACCATAATATCAACATTGTACCAAAGCCAAGTGATCTCAGGGAGAAAAATAAAAGATGCCTTCCCTGGCGAGCACATCAAGGTTTCAGTCGCTTGGCTGTGTCCTTGGGAATTTTCTTGAGTCCCCACTCCCAGGAGCCACATCAGACCCCACTGACCGTCCAACACAAATTCCTCTAGATGGAAGGGATGGATGATGACCCCGAAGACCGCATGTCCTACTTAACCGCCATGGGCGCGGACTATCTGAGTTGCGACAGCCGCCTCATCAGTGACTTTGAAGACACGGACGGTGAAGGAGGCGCCTACACTGACAATGAGCTGGATGAGCCAGCCGAGGAGCCGCTGGTGTCGTCCATCACCCGCTCCTCGGAGCCGGTGCAGCACGAGGAGGTGAGGCGAGGCAGGCCACGGGCAGGAACAGGAGAGCCTGGTGTTTTCCTTGCACTCTCGTGGACAGCTGTGTGTTCAGGGTGCTGTGGAAGGCATTCCTAAGGGTTGGAGCAGATGACTTCCAGGGAGTCTCTCGCTTTGAGTCCACGCTGGCATGGTTGCAGTCTGTGGGAAAGTGGGGCAGGCAGGTGGACTTCAGAAGAGCTTGAGGGGTCAGCACTCCGCACACCCATGCCCTCAGGTGCGATGGATAAACAGAATGGCTTTAGGTGCCGTCTGTCCAAATTACCAGCGGAACCTTCCTTCCCATGCAGTATTGTTGTATGTACTTGTAACCTTTGATTAGGTTTCTCTCTGTACTCTTAGATGTCCTTGCTTTTCTTCCCCATCCTGCCTTTAACCTTTCTAATCTTGCCAAAGCTCTTGAGTGTTTCCCCATCAGTTTCCTTCTCTCTTATATTTCAGTTTTTTAATTGAGTTCATGATCAAACCTTCATCTGATCACATCACATGTACTGTGCATCCACTGTGATTAGATAGCTTATGGGATCCTTGAAATCACATTGACAGGCACTGTAAAGTCACAGCCAAGTTAGCAATTATTAGTTGCACCTCAGAGAATGTTGGAATAATGATCTTTGAAGATGGGATTGTTCATATATTTGGATAATTATTGCTGTGGATTTCTCTCTAGCATTTTAGCTCATTCCAGTAAATGATTTTTTTCTTTATGAAATAGAACTACCAAAAAAAAAAAAAAAAAAAAGTTCAACAACAACAAACTGAAGGGGGAGAAAAATACACCATTACCACAGCAACAAATTAGTTTATGCTAGACAACTTGTAAAGAATAAATTAACTTCCAAATGCCTATAGACATGGATATTAGTGACACAAGAGATTTTAGACTTTTGGAGGGTTCTTAAAAAATTGTGCTTTAAAGGAAGAGACTCTACATTGGATGCAGCCAGTTTTTAAAAATGTGTCTGAAGCATTTGGTGATGGTTTCTGCCTGTTCAGTAAAGAAGCACCGGCTCAGAACCTCAACTTCTGGACTTACTCAAGTTTGCAGAACTCCTCCAAAGCAGTCGAGTGCTCTGTTCTCTCTGCTTGGATGTTCTTGTTGTGAATGAACCTTTATGTCTTGTAGAGCATAAGGAAACCCAGCCCAGAGCCACGAGCTCAGATGAGGAGGGCTGCTAGCAGCGATCAACTTAGGGACAATAGCCCGCCCCCAGCATTCAAGCCAGAGCCGCCCAAGGTACGTGGCTGGGAAGCCCAGGATGGGAAGGAAGAGGAAGCAGATGCCTCTGAAGCCTCCTGGACGGCCAGGGAGGAGCATGCACACTGAGATGGTGTTTAATTACGGTTCTGACTCACTGTGTTCTCTATTAGAGCCTATCTTTTGGCCTGTTGGGTGAACTCCCAAATTAGGGAAGGGCAAAAAGGAAGGAAAGGCAATATTAGGAGAGCATATGATTTTAGGACTGTTAGTGTTTATTTAATTTACTCTTCTTGTTAAAAAAAGATTGTAAAGAAAAAGATTGAAAAATACTGTACTGTATACCCAGAATCACCAATCGCAGAACGTGTTTTTCTTTTGCTGTCCAGCTAAAGTTTTCTGCCCAGTCTGATTTAGATGCACCAGATAATTCTTACTGGTGATGTGCTAAAGAGAATAATCATCACCACTGCTTACAATGCCTCTCATTAAGAGAGCTGCTTATTTGTTTAATAAATCATTATCCAGAGCAGAATCAATATAAAGACACAAGGGCTTATATCAAAAGATTATTTACCTTTAGTCAGAATCAGAGCTGTGACTCTATGTTTTTCCTTATACCAGAATAAAACCTATTTAACTCAATAATTTATTATTTATTATTACTATTTTTTGAGACAGAGTCTCACTCTGTTGCCCAGGCTGGAGTGCAGTGGTGCAATCTCGGCTCACTGCAACCTCCACCTCCTGGGTTCAAGTGATTCTCCTGCCTCAGCCTCCCGAGTAGCTGGGACTTAGAGGTGTGCACCACTATATTCAGCTAATTTTTGTATTTTTAGTAGAGATGGGGTTTCGACATGTTGGCCAGGCTGGTCTCGAACTCCTGGCCTCAGGTGATCCACCCACTTCGGCCTCCCACAGTGCTGGGATTACAGGCGTGAGCCACTGCGCCCAGCCTAACTCAATAATTTAGATGAGAAGAAAGCCATAATTGATTGTGTGAGCCATCAGAAGTAGTAAATGTGATAGGTACTAAGTAATAATAAGTGACCTCATAAAATACATCAGCGAAAATTTGCAAGCCGGGCAAGACTGGAAGTGTGAAGGAAAAGTGGCTGTTAGCGTGAAGCAGTGCTCTCCTCGCTCCCCACCCCAGTCTCATTCCTCAGCTGGACATGGGTCTCACCTGGGCCGGCTCATGTACCCTCAGTGCAGCAGTGACCTCAGAAGCCCACTCTTCGAGTCCCAAAGCCTGAATTGTTCTGAGATCTTCTCCAAGATGCTGATCTCCTCTAGAACAAAATTATTCCAGGTCTGATCTTACCTCCAGCAATCACAGCCCTCCCAGCACTTTCCCTATTCCTTTTTGGCTTCCTGACATTCCTAATAGACTAGTATAGGAAGGGAGGTAGGGCTCAGGAAGCCTGGCCAGTGGCTGTTTGCCCTGCTGTATTACATTCCTTGTCAGAATGGTATTTGTGGACCACCTTTGGAAACTGATCAGGAAATGGAGTGTATTAAATCACTAATATAGATTTGAAAATAAACTTAAAAGCCCAGGGTGAAAACGTGTCATTGCTCTCCGCAGGCCAAAACCCAGAACAAAGAAGAATCCTATGACTTCTCCAAATCCTATGAATATAAGTCAAACCCCTCTGCCGTTGCTGGTAATGAAACTCCTGGGGCATCTACCAAAGGTTATCCTCCTCCTGTTGCAGCAAAACCTACCTTTGGGCGGTCTATACTGAAGCCCTCCACTCCCATCCCTCCTCAAGAGGGTGAGGAGGTGGGAGAGAGCAGTGAGGAGCAAGATAATGCTCCCAAATCAGTCCTGGGCAAAGTCAAAATATTTGAGAAGATGGATCACAAGGCCAGGTTACAGAGAATGCAGGAGCTCCAGGAAGCACAGAATGCAAGGGTAATTGTTTTTAAACTACACATCATCAATAAGAGTTTTAAATAAGTTTGATTTCAACATAACAGCGAACAGCCCCTTTGCTGCTGCTGCAGATGTGGCAGGGATGCACTGCACCAAAGGCAGGTGCTGTGTATGTCACTTCAGATTGCCAGCTCCCAGCACGTCCCTTGTTCTTCCAAAGAAGAAAACTTGACAATATAGGGGAAGAAGATTCTGCTCTTTATACACAGAACTTTGTATAGAGTTCTGGAATGAGGAAGTGTGAGGAGGGAATCAGTGCCTCTCGGAAGTCGTTTTAATTAGAATGTGATTTTTTTTTCTTAAACGTGTCTTCATTGGCTCCCAGATTTGCCGTAGAAACCAAGCAAACTGGGTGCTAAAACAGAAAGGCCCATAGATTGTACTTTTTGAGCTGTTTGAATTTGTATACCATATGCACATAGAACTTTTCAAACAAAGAAGAATTTAACTAAAGGTCTGTGGAGTATATTTGCCCAGTAGATGTGGGAGTTTTCTTTCAGGTCTAGCACAACAGCAGCAGTACATCTGAGCATTTTTCTTTTCTTGTCGTAAAATATACATAACATAAAATTTACCATTTCAACCACTTTTTTCTTTTATTTATTTTGTTTTGTTTTGTTTTGTTTTGAGACAGGGTCTCCCTCTGTCACCCCGGCTGGAGTGTAGCAGTGTGATCACAGCTCGCAGCAGCCTCCACCTCTCAGGCTCAGGAGATACTCCCACCTCAGCCTCCTGAATAGCTGTAACCACAGGCACATGCCACTGCACCCAGCTAATTTTTCGTATTTTTTGAAGAGACAAGGTTTTGTCATGTTGCTAGGCTGGTCTCGAACTCCTGGGCTCAAGCAATGCACCCTCCTCAGCCTCCCAAAGTGCTAGGATTACAATCATGAGTCACTGCACCCAGCCTCAACCATTTTAAAACGTTCGGTTCAGCGGCATTAAGTACCTTCACATTGCTGTTCAGCCATCACCACCATCCATCCCCAAAACTTTTTTATCCTTCCCACGTGAAACTCCGTACCCATAAAATACTAACTCACCACTCTCCTCTCCCCGCAGTCCCTGGCACCCACTCCTTTACTTTCTGTTTTTTGTGAATTGGACAGTGTAGGAACCTCCTATAAGTAGAATCATACACTATTTGTCTTTTTGTGATTGGCTTATTTCCCTTAGCATGATGTCCTCAAGGTTCATCCAGGTTGTAGCATGTGTCAGAGTTTCATTCCTTTTAAATAGTTTTCCTGTCTGACGTGTACCGCACATAACCATGGAAATGAGGAGGCCGCTTCTGTGTTTCCTCTTCTTGAAATGGGATGGGAAAATAAGTAGGATATGGGGAAAGGGTGGGACCAGCAGGAAACCAGCAAGCAGAGTGCCCAGTGGTTCATTCTTTCACTCTTATTCTTTTCTTTTTTAATTACCACAGATCGAAATTGCCCAGAAGCATCCTGATATCTATGCAGTTCCAATCAAAACGCACAAGCCAGACCCTGGCACGCCCCAGCACACGAGGTAAGGGCTGCCTAGTGGGTACAGGTCTAAGGCGGGGACTTCTCAAGGACTGGGACTTGAAGAAAGAATTTCCTTTACCCAAATTTCAGAGTAACAGGAGGATTTTTTCCCCACAGATTGACTGTTTGCCTTACTCATTCCATCAAATTTAATTGTAAAGATTACAGAGTCAAAACTTAAGCATAGTTTGCTTGTGTGCTAAAACTCTGACAAAGTGTAATCATTGATGTTTCCAGCCAGTACATTTGACACATTGGAGCCTGGTTATGTTACATTGCACATGGTTAGCACATGAGCAGAATTCCTACGGCTTAGACCTGTTTTGTCTTGTTTGCTGACTCTCAGCCAAACTTCTTAATTCCTTTGCATCATCCAGCAAAGTCAGACCGCTTGTGCTGCCCTGGGGTCTAAAGGGACCGTGACAAGCAAATGAGCAGTCTTGGTAAATGCCACACAAACAGTAGGAATGTTCACAGTGTCTTCCTGTTGAAGTTTTATACTGGATTGCTTCCTGCTTCCGAGAATAGAAAAAAAAAAGTCACATTTTCTTGTGGCCATTCTTTTGTTTTTTTTGGAGACAGAGTGACTGTCGCCCAGGCTGAAGTGCACTGGTGCAATCTCAGCTCACTGCAACCTCCGTCTCTCAGGTTCAAGCGATTCTCGTGCCTCAGCCTCCCGGGTAGCTGGGATTACAGGTGTGTGCCACCATATCCAGCTAGTTTTTGTATTTTTAATAGAGACAGGGTTTCACCATGTTGGCCAGGCTGGTCTCAAACTCCTGACCTCCGCCCGCCTCGGCCTCCCAAAGTGCTAGGATTACAGGTGTGAACCACTGTACCCAGCCTCTTGTGGCCATTCTGACTGGAAGCTGAAGTCTAGTTTTCCAGTGATAGAAAACTGGAAACAAATTTCTTCTTTACCAGCTGAGTGGTAACACAGTCAACCAGGTTGCCTCTGGCAACAAAGAGTTCTTGGTTATGATGGACTGAAACTGGCAGAGACCTCGCTGCTGGGTGAGACTAGCCAGGGAGCTTAGGGGTAAGGAGGGCACCCCCTGTCCAACAGGGAGATTCTTAGGTCAGGGAGCACCTGGCTGGCTTCCTCACTCACCGCCGAAGTGGGCATTGGATTTGACCTATTACGAACCTGGAGCAGGACCAGGGATGCCCTGGTTGCTCTGCAGAATGTGGCTCAGAGGTAAGTGATCTGCTCGGGATACCCAGTCACTGTGCTCAGAGCCATGCCTCCCCGGGCAGCCGGAGGACATGGATGTGCTCTGGAATGTCTTTAACACCCTTTTTTTGTTAGTTCCAGACCCCCTGAGCCACAGAAAGCTCCTTCCAGACCTTATCAGGATACCAGAGGAAGTTATGGCAGTGATGCCGAGGAGGAGGAGTACCGCCAGCAGCTGTCAGAACACTCCAAGCGCGGTTACTATGGCCAGTCTGCCCGATACCGGGACACAGAATTATAGATGTCTGAGCACGGACTCTCCCAGGCCTGCCTGCATGGCATCAGACTAGCCACTCCTGCCAGGCCGCCGGGATGGTTCTTCTCCAGTTAGAATGCACCATGGAGACGTGGTGGGACTCCAGCTCGTGTGTCCTCATGGAGAACCCAGGGGACAGCTGGTGCAAATTCAGAACTGAGGGCTCTGTTTGTGGGACTGGGTTAGAGGAGTCTGTGGCTTTTTGTTCAGAATTAAGCAGAACACTGCAGTCAGATCCTGTTACTTGCTTCAGTGGACCGAAATCTGTATTCTGTTTGCGTACTTGTAATATGTATATTAAGAAGCAATAACTATTTTTCCTCATTAATAGCTGCCTTCAAGGACTGTTTCAGTGTGAGTCAGAATGTGAAAAAGGAATAAAAAATACTGTTGGGCTCAAACTAAATTCAAAGAAGTACTTTATTGCAACTCTTTTAAGTGCCTTGGATGAGAAGTGTCTTAAATTTTCTTCCTTTGAAGCTTTAGGCAGAGCCATAATGGACTAAAACATTTTGACTAAGTTTTTATACCAGCTTAATAGCTGTAGTTTTCCCTGCACTGTGTCATCTTTTCAAGGCATTTGTCTTTGTAATATTTTCCATAAATTTGGACTGTCTATATCATAACTATACTTGATAGTTTGGCTATAAGTGCTCAATAGCTTGAAGCCCAAGAAGTTGGTATCGAAATTTGTTGTTTGTTTAAACCCAAGTGCTGCACAAAAGCAGATACTTGAGGAAAACACTATTTCCAAAAGCACATGTATTGACAACAGTTTTATAATTTAATAAAAAGGAATACATTGCAATCCGTAATTTTCTTTGTGGTGGATTTGTATGCTACTTCCTATTTTTAAATGCAACTTTTATTTCAGTTACTAATCATAGAAGTGATTACTAACCTCCTTGTCGAACATTGGAAAATGGAAACGTGAAAAAGAAAATTATACCCATAATCCCATCCCTCAGATAATTTTGGTGTATTTTCTCCAATTACGTATTTGTGGATGTCTGTGTGTATGATACTTGAGGGTGTACTGTGTTTGTAGTTCTATTTCCTATTTTTTCTGTTTATCATTCTATCACTAACATTTCTCAAGTGGTTACAACTGTGCAGCAAGGTATTTAAAGCGTGGTGTACACATCATCATTAACAACCACAGAGCAATATATCCCATGGCTGCTTCATAAGTGAACAATTCTGTTGTTGGCTGTTCGGATTATTTCCAGTTGTTTGCCTTTTTTTTTTTTTTTTTTTTTTTTAAACATGAAATGCACCTCTTTGTATGTAATCCAGTTTTGTATATCATTGATCAGCATTTCAGTATTTTTCTGCAGGCAAGTTCTCAGAAGTAGAATTACTGAGTAAAAGAATAGGAACATTTTTAAGGCCCTTGATGTTTACTGCCAAATAGCTTCCTAGAAAAGTTGCATCAATTTACACCCCCACATCCACTCTTCCTCTTCCTCTTCTTCCTCCTCCTCCTCCTCTTCTTTCTTTTCCTTTCCTTTCTTTTCCTTTCTTTCCTCCTCCCTTCCCCCCTCCCTCCCCCCCTTCCTTCCTTCTTTCCTTCCTTCCTCCCTCCCTCCCTTCTCTCTCTCTCTTTCTTTCTCTCTTTCCCTTTTTTTTTTTTTTTGACAGGGTCTTGCTTTGCTGCCCCCAGGCTGGTCCTGTTCTTGAACTCCTTTAGCAATCCTCCCACCTCAGCTTCCCAAAGTGCTGGGATTACAGGCGTGAGCCACTATGCCCAAACACCACTTACATTCTTGAAGTACTAAAATAAATTTAGAATTTAAGCAAGACAGATTAGGAATTTCGGCTTGTATTAATAAAAAGAACAATGAATTTGGAAAAGGAGAAAAGAGTCTTGGTTCCATTAAGGGTCTTTTATGATATGAATTGACACAAAGGAGTTAGGCTTGTGTTTTAGTGGTGGCAGAAATTTGGCTTACTGGTAACTGAGTTATACTATAAAGGTGCCCTTGCTTATGTCTCTTCCAATATGGGTGCTGTCACTTATAAATCATTTAATGTATCTCGAATTTCTGAACACTCCTCAGGGCATTGACTAAAATTTGCATATTCCATAAATAAAAGCCACCTTTTGTGAACAGGAGAAAAATGTACTAGTTAACTATATGATAAGACTGTTTGTTTGTGTT
This sequence comes from Homo sapiens, assembly GCF_000001405.40. Taxonomy (NCBI): domain Eukaryota; kingdom Metazoa; phylum Chordata; class Mammalia; order Primates; family Hominidae; genus Homo; species Homo sapiens. Next base: position 69,256,552 of record NC_000009.12, read on the forward strand.
CTTTAAATCCAGGAATGAGCCCTTTGCAAACATAGGTGGGGAGGCGAGGAGGCTTTCAGCAGGAGCTGGGTTGTCGTCTGGTTCCAGCAATTTTGTGATGCGGGCAGTGCCACTGTTCCTCAGAATGTCCAGCAGTGTGCCTGATGGACCCCCAGTGCCTTCACCACCCCTTTTTATTCATATCCTCCTTTGTTCTGGGAAAGATTTAAAGCTGCCTACAGTATACATGGAACATAATGAAAAAAAAAAAATGATGCTAAGCAAATGAAGAAACAGGGAGAAGAGTATCAGTAGAGGGAAGATAGAGCCATGAGTGAGAGCCGTGTTCATTTTCTGCGCCGTCAGGACTCTGCAGCTCTCCAGAAGCCAGTGTGGCCCCAGCGGCACCTGCATCTATGATAGAATTATGCCTGTGCTTCTAGCCCAGTGAGATAGATGAGCGATGGGTCTTCCAGAATGACATCAGATGCTACTGATGTCACTAACATCAGTAGTAATTTGACACTAACAAATTTCTTTATATGAAGTAAAGTTGGTTAGGAACAGTCCATTTAAGCAATCGCAGCTGTCTTTTAAGAGAAAGGTTCCCAGTCAATCTTCTCCCTCCTTTTCGAACCTCTTTTCAGTTGGGGTCATTTTGCCAGTTCTAGCTTTCATATACATATGTGAAGAGAAAGAGATTTATTTTAATGAATTGGCATACAGGGTTGTAGGGGATTGGTAAGTCTAAAATCTGAAGGGTAGACCAGCAGGCTGGAGACCCAGGGGAGAGATGCAATCCAATCCTCCTAGCTGGTGTGAGGTCAGTCTTTGTTCTGTTTTAAGGCCTTCAACTGATTGGATGAGGCCGACCTACATTTCAGAGGGCAATCTGCTTTACTCAAAGTCCACCAATTTGAGTGTTAATCTCCTAAATAAAACAACAACAACAACGAAACTTTTACTGAAACAACCATAATAATGTTTGACCAAATATTTGGGCATCATGGCCCGGCCAAGTTGATGCATAAAAATTAACCATCGCAGTCCCTCATCCTGTTTACCATGTAGGCCACCCTACAGCCATCCTTTTTGTTTAGTGTTAAAGCATGAGTGAATGAATGAACCAGAAAAAGGGAGAATTATTTACATACATATACACGTATGTATAGGTTTTGTACAATATATATACTCTGGATATACATGTATTATAAATTTTGTTTTTGTTTTATTATTTTTTGAGACACAGTTTCACTGACCCAGGCTTAAGTGCAGTGGTACAGTCACAACTCACTGCAGCTTCGATCTCCTGGATTCAAGCAGTCCTCTCACCTCAGCCTCCCAAGTAGCTGGGACTACAGGTGTGTGCCAGCATGCCCAGCTAATTTTTGTATTTTTTTTGTAGAGAAGAGGTTTCACCATGTTGCCCAGACTGGTCTTGAACTCCTGGGCTCAAGCGATCCATCCACTTTGGCCTCCCAAAGTGCTGGAACTACAGACTACAGAACTACAGAGCCACCGCACCCGGCCTATATTTTGTTTTAAATAAAGATGAGCAAATTTGATGAATAGAAAAGCATTAAAAATGGGCTGGCGTGGTGGCTTATGCCTGTAATCCCAGCATTTTGGGATGCCAAGGCAGGTGGATCATCTAAGGTTAGGGGTTCGAGACCAGCCTGGCCAACATGGTGAGCCACCGTCTCTACTAAAAATACAGAAAATTAGCTGGGCGTGGTGGCGGGTGCCTGTAATCCCAGCTACTTGAGAGGCTGAAGCAGGAGAATCGCTTGAACTCGAGAGGCAGAGGTTGCAGTGAGCCGAGATGGCTCCATTGTACTCCAGCCTGGACAACAAGAGCAAAACTCTGTCTCAAAAAAAAAAAAAAAGAAAAGCCTTAAAAATGAAGAAACAAAAATGAATGAAATTTGAATAATAGAGCTGAAACTCCAATAAAAATAAAAATACTTCATATTTAAAAATAATATTTAGTGAAATAAATGAGACAAAAGGCTGAATGGCAAATAATATGTATATATGTTTGTGTATATATACAGAGACAGATAAAACATATTTCCATCCTGCTTTTTATTTTAAATCTCATTTATATATACATAGATAGAAAATTGGCACATTTTATATTCCCCACACTAGTGACTGCAAAGGCACTTATAGCACTTTGGCATTTATTTTGCGCAATAAGAAGTGGAATGTGGTTTGATTGCTTCTGCACTGTCCTCGGATGCCGTTCCACCTTCGAGAGTCCAGGTTGCTCTGTCTTTCTGAGTTTGAGTCTGTCTAGGAAGGATAACTGGGGAAGAAGATCCTGACTGAAAGTATCCTGGGGCCAGGTGCGGTGGCTCATGCCTGTAATCCCACCACTTTGAGAGGCTGAGGCAGGTGGATCACTTGAGGCCAAGAGTTCGAGACCAGCCTGGCCAACACGGTGAAACCCTGTCTCTAAGTAAAATACAAAAATTAGCAGGGCGTGGTGGCAAGTACCTGTAATCCCAGCTACTCAGGAGGCTGAGGCAGGAGAATCGCTTGAACGCAGGAGGCAGAGGCTGCAGTAAGCTGAGATCACACCACTGCACTCCACCCTGGGCAACAGAGCGAGACTCCGTCTCAAAAAAAAAAAACACCAAAAAGAGGCCGGGCACGGTGACTCACGCCTGTAGTCCCAGCACTTTGGAGGCCAAGGGGAGTGAATCACCTGAGGTCAGGAGTTCAAGACCAGCCTGGCCAACATGGCGAAACCCCATCTCTACTAAAAATACAAAAATTAGCCAGGTGTAATGGTGCTTGCTTGTAATCCCAGCTACTCAGGAGACTGAGGCTGGAGAATCGCTTGAACCTGGGAGGTGGAGGTTGCAGTGAGCCGAGATCGCACCATTGCACTCCAGTCTGGGTGAGAAAAGCGAAACTCCATCTCGAAAAACAAAAATAAAAACAGAAAGAAAGTATCCCGAGAGACATGGGTTGAGCTTTGAAAATGCAGCTGTCCCTTGGTGTCTGTGGAGGATGTTTCCTATGACCTCCCATGGATACCAAAATCCAGCGATGCCCAGGTCTTTGATATAATGGTGTGGTAGGCCGAGTACAATGGCTCATGCATGTAATCCCAGCATTTTGGAAGGCTGAGGGGGAAGGATCGCTTGAGGCCAGTTCACCTGGGCAACATAGTGAGACACCACCTCTAAAATAAAAAATAAATTAGCTCAGCATGGTGTCGCGTGCCTGTGGTCCCAGCTTCTCTGGAGACTAAGGTGGAAAGATGGCTTGAGTTCAAGAGTGTGAGGCTGCAGTGAGCTATGATCACACCTCTGCACTCCAGCCTGGGTGGCAGAACGAGATGCTGTCTCAAAAAAATAAATAAAATAAAATGGTGTGGTATTTGCATATAACCTACATACATCCTCCTGTATACTTTAAATCATCTCCAGATTACTTATAGTAGCCAATACAGTATAAATACTGGGTAAATCGTTGTTATCTTGTATTGTTTTTCTATTTGTATTTTTTATTGTTTTTCTTTACCCCCGGGGAATATTTTTGGTCTGAGGTTGGTTGAATCCGAGGATGCAGAACCTGCAGGTATAGAGGGCCCAGTGTCCAGGAGACCCACCTCTGAGGTTCAGGGGAGAGAGGAATGGAGAGAACCTGGACCTGGAAGAAAGGAGGGGAGGGCTGGAGCAGGGCAGGAGCTTCCCCTCTCTCCTCCCCCTCCTTCCCTAATCTCCCACCACATGCTCTTTCTTTTCCGCTTTAATTCCCTTCCCTCTGCCCCCGTTCCATTCTCACACATTTCCATTAGGAAGCACAGAGGGGCCCACCATAGGGTCTGTGGGAAATGGAAATGGTGACTCCACACAGGAAACACGGCTCCACCTCATGAGAAGCCTGGGAAACGGGCATGACAGCAAGACAGTTTGGAAGGGTATTAAAAAGGGAACCGCTAGATCCTGAATGCTGTCCAAATAAATGCACCTTTGAGTCCCAGTGAAACATATGATTTTCTGGGCAAATCTAATATGTAAATTATTCACACCAGATATTTTAAAATATTAAAATGATGTTATACATCTATAAATACACTGGCATTTTATTACTCAAAATAATATGGTGAGTCAGAATATAAAAACCACGAATGAAGTCCCTATCCCAAATCAGATGTTAGTTCCTCCCCAAAGCTGGTTCTCTTATTATCCCCATCCTTCTGAGGCAGCCACAAAAATTATGAACTCAGATTCTGAAATCAAAGTGACTTTCATTCAAACTCCAGCTCTGTCAGGTACAAGCTGTAAAACCTTGGGCAACTTACTTAAATGTTTTAAGCCTCAGTTTTCTCATTTATAGAATAGGAATGGAAAACTATAACTAACATGATGCCCTAAGTTTTTTGTGGCATGTTAATCAGATCGCATATATAAAATGTTTGCAATAGTGGCTGGCACAAAGTAAGTGCTCAATAAAAGCAGCTAGTATTATTATCACTGTCAATGGTTTTGCCACATCAATTTAGAAACCTGAGTGGTGTCTTTGATTTTCTTACTCTTCCTCCAAGTGATGACCTACTTTATTATACTTAATAACTATTTTTAACTTGTCCCTCTGTCCCTTTTCCCACAGCCACTACCCTAGTTCAGATGGTTGTAAACTTTCTAATCCTCCACTCAGCTAGCAGGCAGAATCATCTTTCTAACTTAGATCTGAGAATGTCTCCCTCCTGCTTGAAAAACAGTGATGACTTCCCCTTGCCTAGAACCAATTTCTTTTTCTCTTTTCTTTTTTTTTTTTTTTTTTTCTAAGATGGAGTCTCACCCTGTCACCCAGGCTGGAGTGCAATGGCGCTATCTCAGCTCACTGCAACCTCCGCCTCCTGGGTTCAAGCGATTCTCCTGCCTCAGCCTCCCGAGTAGCTGGGGCTACAGGCGCGTGCCACCACACCCAGCTAATTTTTTTTATTTTTAGTAGAGACAGGGTTTCACCATGTTAGCCAGGATGGTCTTGATCTCCTGACCTCATGATCCACCCGCCTGGGCCTCCCAAAGTGCTGGGATTATAGGCGTGAGCCACCGCACCCGGTCTCAATTTAATTTTTTTACAGCATTCAAAATGATTTTCCACACCATCTGTCCCTATAGTAGACTTCATCACTGGCTTCAGTTCTTCATCCCTCTATGTCCTCTATGTATCTGTGTCCTCTGTCCTGTGACTTTACAGCTCCTCCCACTAAAGGTCAGAAGTTATTTCTTTGACCCTTGGCTTTGGATTGGCCATATGACTTGTTGTCTTGCACCTCTGCTACCCATGAGAGGTGCTGTGTGCCCAGGGCAGCACGAGAGAGATGTAAACAGAAGCACTCTAGCTGAGTCCAGCCTAGATCAGCCAACCCACAGATGTATGAGAAATAATAAACAAGGGTTGTTTTAAGCCACCGAGTTGGGGGGTGAGTTGTTATGTAACAATAAACCTCCAAATCCTTTCCATGTAACTTCGTCCTGCAAAACTCACGTATGCTCTGATTATATGGAAGCACTCCCTGAATTCTCTGTGGCTCCCTCCACTGGAGGATATCCTTCCTCTTTCTTTACCATCTTTTAAAACCCTATTATCCTTCTAGGTCCAGTTACTATGTCACATTTTCTGTCAAGCCTTCTCTGATGCCCCCAATCAAATTTGTCATTGACTTCTTCAAAAAGCTCCCATATCCCTTTATCTATATCCTCTGGCATTCTAGTTATTGATGCACAAATCTGCTTCCCACTAGCTGCTTCTCCTCCTCCTTTTCCTCCTCCTCCTCTTCCTCCTTCTCCTCCTCCTCCTCATGGAGTTTTGGTCTTGTGGCCCAGGCTGGAGTGCAATGGCACGATCTCGGCTCACTGCAACCTCTGCCTCCCGGGTTCAAGCAATTCTCTGGCCTCAGCCTCCCGAGTAGCTGGGATTACAGGCACATGCCACCATACTCAGCTAATTTTTGTATTTTTAGTAGAGATGGCATTTCACCATGTGGGCCAGGCTGGTCTCAAACTCCTGACCTCAGGTGATCTACCCGCCTCGACCTCTCAAAGTGTTGGGATTACAGGCGTGAGCCACCGCGCCTGGCCCCCACTTGCTTCTAAGTTCCATTAAGGGAGGTGTATCTGTATTCACCTATGTATTCTTATCAGTGCCCTATATGAAAAATGGAGTGAATTAATAAGGAGAGAAATAAATTGAAATTCACTATTTGCTTTTATGACAAAAGAGGGTTGATGACATAATGATTTTCTCACATCATGCCTGGTTTAAACTTCAACACTTGACACCACTGACACAAACTGGAAAACATTAGTAGAAGTGGAGAAAATCTGCTAAGATCTTAATTTGACCAGACTAATGTTAAAGTGTAATTTTCAAAGGGGTGAAATTATTCTCATGCAAGTATAAAATGAACTCAGTACTAAAAGAGGGAACCAATACAATGTTAAGACTCGTTTAAAGCGCATTTGAGGAACTAGGTAATATTAATATAAGCAATTTAAGAAATATTCGGATAAGAACTTTGAGTTGATACAAAATTGATTAATTACCTACAGAACAGTAAATGATAACCTTTGTAAATATCTTTTCCACTAGACAGAAATTATTTGCATCTCTACCAGACAAAAATTTACACACTGACATGTAATTTCAGTAAGTCTGGGAATTTTGATCAGTAGTTTTAGCACTAATCAGTCATTATGGAATTATTATGCTTAGTAATCACCTAAACTATTTTGTTGGTCATTTAATTCTCTAGATTTGGATTATAGCAGGAAGGCATGTTAAGTCAATTAAATATTTATTGACTGCCTCTGTGTGCAGATAAACACAGGCATTATGGACTAAATATGACTTATTCTCTGCCTTCACGTTCAACATTGTAAATTTTTTAGTTTGCTCTATTCTTTAGAGTTTACGATAAAATTTCCTGAATAGTTTGATTTGTTCTTTGTAACAGCCCTGCATAGTAAGAATGGCAGGTGTGACTATGTCCATTTTATTAGTAATCCATACCTTAGTTCTGTAACTTGGTTGGAGTCCTTCAGATTATAAGTCACACATACAGTCTAGATTCAAAACAGTTTCGTGCTTTTGAGTCCAGTTTCCCTCTCTTTCCATCTAGAGCTCCCTTCTGGAGGATCTCTTGAAACAGTTTGTTGATCATGTCTTATGGTTCTCTATTTACATTTTTAAAAAGCACTTTAGAGCTGAGTCTGCAAACTGACAGAACCCATGGAACTAACCTAGCTCAAAATACGATTTATTTGGCCTGAGTGAGGTGATGACATTTTTAAATTTAAAAATGAAGTCCAGATTTCGGACTTTTCTTTTTCTTTTCTTTTCTTTTTTCTTTTGAGATGGAGTCTAGCTCTGTTGCCCAGGCTGGAGTGCCATGGCGTGATCTCAGCTCACTGCAACCTCTGCCTCCCGGGTTCAAGCGATTCTCCTGCCTCAGCCTCCCAAGTAGCTGGGATTACAGGCAGACGCCACCAGGACCAGCTAATTTTTTGTATTTTTAGTAGAGATGGGGTTTCACTGTGTTGGTCAGGCTGGTCTCAAACTCCTGACCTCATGATCCGCCCACCTTGGCATCCCAAAGTGCTAGGATTACAAACGTGAGCCACTGTGCCCAGCTGGGACTTTTCTTTTTAAAAATGGTAAGTTTTGGCGGGTCACAGTGGCTCATGCCTGTAATCCCAGCACTTTGGGAGGCCGAGGCAGGCTGATCACCTGAGGTCAGGAGTTTGAGACCAGCCTGGCCAACATGGTGAAACCCCGTCTCTACTAAAAATTAAAAAAGCCAGGCGTGGTGGTGCATGCCTATAATCCCAGCTACTCGGCAGGCTGAGGCATAAGAATCGCTTGAACCCGGGAGGCTGAGGCATGAGAATCACTTGAACCCAGGAGGCAGAGGTTGCAGTGAGCTGAAATCACACCACTGCACTCCAGCCTGGGCAACAGAGATAGATTCCATATTAAAAAAAGAAAAACAAAAAAAAGGTAAGTTTGGTGGTGCTGGGCATCCATCCTTGCATGACAACTGTAGGCTGGAGCTGGGTGGCTGCTGCTCCGTACAGACAGCACTCACCCAGACTGACTCACTCATATGGCCCTCCTAATGTCTCTGGGCATTGAGTTTGCAACCCTTGCTCACCTCTTTGCTGCTTCCTCTTTCCCCTTCGAGTCCCATGCAACGTGCAGCACCCACACGGCCTTAAGGAGAGCCAGCATTTTGAAAGTGCATGCAGAAGGAACTCTGTAGCTCCCTGCGTGGGTCTCCGGCTTCCTCTGGAAGACGGGCTCTGTCACCAGGCTCTGGTGGGAACTAATGAGCATATGTTTTCAGGTCCTGTTCTCTGTGGCTATTACAGTTTAAATGGGTTGAAATAAGACATAGAGATTCAGGGGAACATGGGGAATATATTTTTGTGGTTTAGAATTTTATTTCCCAAAGCTGTGCTTTCTGAAAGATTGCTGTTCTGAAAGATTGCTGTGTTAGCAAAGGTTAGGTTAGGTTAAATTAGGCTAGATTAGGTTAGGTTTAGCAAAGGTTAGGTTAGGTTAGGTTTGTGGACATGGTCCTGGAAAAAGCATTCTGATAATTCTCTAAAGAAATAGAATGTTCTCTAGCACATAAGCAGGAGATTAGATAATAATTTTAAGTGCAGCTGCCGGGCTCCCTGTGCCTAACCCTAACCCTAACCCTAACCCCTAACCCCTAACCCTAACCCTAACCCTAACTCTAACCCTAACCCTTTAGGACTAAGTTAATTAACATCTCCTAAATTGAACACTAGTTATTCATTAATAGATACGCATGTGACAGAGGCAAAAGGAAATTAATTGCCTAGTCTTTCCCATTTGGACTAACTTGCCTAAGAGGAGTCGATAGAGGTTTATTTAGCCAAAGTTTGAGGATGCACCCAGGAAAAAAACCTGCAACCTGTGCTTTCCTAAGAGAGTTTTGGGAACTCAGTATTTAAAGGGAAAAGGACAAGCAGGAGGGAAATAAAGGAGGAAGGGTGGGCAGTGAGGCAAATGGTTATGTTCTCCTGAGGCTCTGATTAGTGCTCAGTAAATCTATATTTTACATATGATAAAGTAAACGTGAAGAGAGGGAGTAGCTGGAAAGTCAATTATGCGTTTTTCTCAGGGTGGGTGGAGGGGTGATTTCTGGTCTCGTCCTTGTCGATAAGCTGGGCAATTGACATTGTCGGGTGCGATTGAACAGAACTTGGTTTTAGGGCTAGTTTATAGGGGGTGATATTTATCTGGAGAGATTTAGGGGCTCACAAGAAATTTCCTTGTGAGCAAATTCTGAGAGAGGCCATCTGAGGAGATACTTGGCCTCCTATCCTTGTGGGAGCCTGGCTTATGGATGAGGCTATGACACAGGGCTGTGAAATGACACCCATCTGAGAACAAAAGGAAAGGCAGTATTTTGTGACTCATTTCCCAAGCTTATCTTTCCCTTTGGCCTAGTGAGTTTGGGGTTCCCGAGTTTTGATTTACTTTCACATCCCAAGGGATAGCAATGCTCAGTGGGACGGGAAGGGGAGGCGGGTGCCTCGTCGCTATTCACCACTTTGTTACTTGCTGCACAAATAGTTGCTCTGTGCGAGGAAAAGGGCCTTGTGAGAGGGAGCCTGGGAGGCTGCGAGGCTGGTAGACAGCTAGTCACCTCATCTCGGGTTCAGAGCAAGGGCTGACATCTCAGCGGATCTGGCTTCAGCTCCTCACGGGTCCTGTGCCCTGTCAGTTGCCTACCCTTTCGGGGCGTCAGGCTCTTCATCTGCAAAATGAGGAAAGCAGAATTTCTTTCCACAAAGTGTGGTTGTGATAATTCAGTGAGGAACCTGGGTGAGTGACTGGCTAGAGCAGACACTACAAAAATAGTAGCCCCGCCCCTTCCGCCAATATACATTAGCTTCCTTTCTTCTCAATGCTAAAAGCGTGGAATCCCTCCGAGGGCAGTGAATGGACAAAGTACAGCGATGGAGAATGTTGGCCCTGGAGCAGACTGCCTGTGCTTGAGCCCCTCCCTGAAAATTGGTGATGATGCGACCTTGAGCTAACTGTACAACCTCTTTGTGCCTCAGTTTATACTTAATACTAGGTATAAAAATTGCACCTATCTCAAAGGGTTGATTGTGAGGATTATATACTATAGTGCAGGTAAGCACTGAGCACAGGGCCAGGCATATAGTAGAGGCTCAACGAACATCAGTCTTTTAAAAAAATAATAATAATAACTAGATGCAGCCGGGTGCTGTGGCTCACACCTGTAATCCCAGCACTTTGGGAGGCCAAGGCAGGCGGATCACCTGAGGTCAGGAGTTTGAGACCGGCCTGACCAACATGGAGAAACCCTATCTCTACTAAAAATACAAAATTAGCCGGGCGTGGTGGCGCATGCCTGTAATCCCAGCTACTCGGGAGGCTGAGGCAGGAGAATCGCTTGAACCTGGGAGGTGGAGGTTGTGGTGAGCCGAGATTGCACTCCAGCCTGGGAAACAAGAGCAGAACTCCGAACAACAACAACAAAAAAAAAACACACACAACAACAACAACTAGATGCAAAAGTTCATCTCTTTTTTTGAAAACTGAAGTAAAAATTACATAAATAAGAGTAACTATTATCCATTTATTTATTTATTTATTTATTTATTTATTTATTTATTTTTGAGACAGAGTCTCACTCTGTCATCTAGGCTGGAGTTCAGTGGCACGATCTCGGCTCACCGCAACCTCCGCCTCCCAAGTTCAAGCAATTCTCCTGACTCAGCCTCCTGAGTAGCTGGGACTAAAGGCATGCGCCACCACGCCTGGCTGATTTTTGTATTTTTAATAGAGACGGGGTTTCATCACGTTGGCCAGGCTGGTCTCAAACTCCTGACCTCAAGTGACCCACCTGCCTCAGCCTCCTAAAATGCTGGGATTATAGGCGTGAGCCACTGTCCCTGGCCTATTATTATCCATTTTAAAGTGTGCAGTTCAGTGAAATTTCGTGGGTTGACAATATTGGGCAAACATCACCTCTATTTAGTTTGAAGATATTTTAATCATCCAAGAGGAAACCCTGTACCCGTTAAGCAGTCACTTCCTATGCACCCCTCCCCTAGCCTTGGCAACTACTGATCTACTTCCCGTCTCTATAGATTTGCCTATTCTGTATATTTTATATAAAAGGATGCATACAATATGTAACCTTTTAAGACAGGCTTCTATGGTTCATCATAATATTTTTGAGGTTCAAAAGCCATTATTTCGATTATTGCTATCCTCTGAACTCCTCTGGCTAATATCCCAGCATTATTAGCTTACTTTTGGGGAGTGAAGGTACTTTTAAAAAAACAAGTTAATGGTTAAAATGCTCTTTCTGGACAAATGGAGCCTCTTTCTGTGCATGTTTAAGTGTCAGACACCTTAGGGTAAGTGGGAAAGAAAGCTATCCCTGGGTCACTGAAGCCCCACAGTGGCACAAGTGACAGGGCGGGATGTGCCTGCCTTGCTAGTGGGAAGACCCAAAGGAACAGATTAGGGCTGAATTGTCCCTTACCCACAGCTACAGTTTATGAGGCTGGAGAGCAAATACCAACATTTAGGGAGCAGAATGCTGAAGACCAGCATGAAGAACTGTGTCCACATTTCTCCATGTCACTGGGCCTTAGGCAGGTGTTGAGCATTGAGGTAACAGGCAAAGGGGTCGACAAACAATGCCTCACACTAGGAGCAGGAGAGAGAAACTCCAGGGATGGCAGCCCAAAGCCCTTGCCCAGGGAGAAGCTCCTTTTAAAAGAAAGTCATCAACCTGACAAACCAGTCATAGGTCCTTTCCTGTAATATGCACTTATTGAGTGCCTGGCTACCAGGGTCATGAAAATTAACAAAATGAGGTCCTAGGAATGTCAGTGTCATGAGGAACAAATAAGTGAATCCGCATAAAGGGCTTAGACCAGGGTCTGGCATATAGTACTCAATGAGCATTAGCTGTTATTATTACTGTTATCATGGTGGCTTGATTGATGGATTATTTTCTGATTATTAATTGTAGTAGTAGCAGTAGCAGTAAGATAGGGAAATAGATGGGTAGATAGATACATGCACAGATAGACAGATAAATAAATATCAATTCAGTCCTTTGGGGATGGGGGATTCTGTCAGTTGCTGTGTAGATCTTGTGTTAGGCCATTCTTGCATTGCTACAAAGAAATATCTGAGACTGGGTAATTTATAAAGAAAAGAGGTTTAATTAGCTCCCAGTTCTGCAGGCTGTACAAGCATGGCACCAGCATCTGCTTAGCTTCTGGTGAGGCCTCAGGGAGCTTTTACTCATGGCAAAAGATGAATTGAGAGCAAGAGCATCGCATGGCTAGAGCAGGAGGAAGGAATAGAGAGTAGGGAAAAGTGACACACACCTTTAAAGAGCCAGATCATTGGGCGCGGTGGCTCATGCATGTAATCCCAGCACTTTGGAGGTCGAGGTGGGTGGATCACCTGAGGTCAGAAATTTGAAACCAACCTGGCCAACATGGTGAAACCCCGTCTCTACTAAAAATACAAAAATTAGCCGGACGCTAAAATTAGGTGGTATAAACCTGTAGTCCCAGCTACTTAGGAGGCCGAGGCATGAGAATCACTTGAACCTGGGAGGCCGGGGTTGCAGTGAGCTGAGATTGCGCCACTGCACTCCAGTTTGGGCGACAGAGCAAGACTCCATCTCAAAAATAAATAAATAGCCAGATTTTGCAAGAAGTCACTATCGCGAGGAAGGTACCAAGTCATTCACGAGAGATCCGTCTCTATGACCCAAACACCTCCCACCAGGCCCCACCACCAACACTGGGGATAACATCTCGACATGAGATTTGGAGGGGACACATATCTAAACTATATCAGATCTATTCCAATTACACGTTTCCAAAATGGGAAAATAACCACAGATGACTTCAGGGACCCACCACCACTACTGTGATGCAAACCTGAGCTCCATAGATCATGGACCTTCATAGGTCCTCTCTAACTGGTGGGCAACAGTGGCATTTGGTTCTCCAGAAAGTAGTGTCCATTCAAAGCCAGTGACTAGTAATCCCTCCCAAAGTCTGGTTACTCCCCCTTTTCCAATCCAAAGTCACTTAGTAGGTGACCTCAGGTGCCTTGGGGGAAGGCTGGGAGGTGTAAATTTCTGGTAGTTTAGCAAGTTTTTTCCTCAAGGGGCCCTGGGTCTAAGAACTGGTGCAAGTGTGGAAATTGACTAAGGGACCATATGTCTCCATTTTGATGATTCTAATCCGACTTCTCTTGACCAAACTTAGAGCTTTTTAGCTTACACAAACAAGTAAGACTTTAGAAAGCAAGCCATGTATATCAATTCTAGAGACAGCCTAATCAACTAACCCATTACTAAATCACCGCCAGTCTGGTTAAAGATTACTGTTCCACTCTACGGCCTATCCTTATAACCATACCCATCCCTGTAACCGTGCTCACCATGTCTTTGGCAATCAGGTATAGCCACGTGGCCTCTACCATCCAGAGTTCCCATCACTTCCCTATCAGAGAAACCCACCAACAGGGAAAGGATCAGAAATTGCAGCTGGACTTTTTAACTCCAAATGAATGTTTGAAGGCTCAGGTCTAAATTTCTGGATATTGATACAATATAAATGTGTGGTTAATACCTTGATCTATTCTTTAAAAAAAAAAAACTTCCTTCAAATCGATAAGGAAAGCTGAAAGCCCAATAGTAATATGGGTAAGGAATAAAATTTTTGAAAAAGCAATACAAATAGCAAATGAATATATGAAAAAATATTCAGCTCCACTAATAACAATATGAAAATAAGAAAACAATGAAATAATATTTTTCATCTGTGGGGAAGGATACAGAGAAAGAACCCTAGAGTTCATGTTTTGTAGTTGGAAGTATAAATTGGCACAAATTTTCTGCAGGACAACATAGCAATATACATCAAAACCCCTAAAATAGATTCACCTTTGATCCACACTTCCTTTTTGTGATATAATAGATTAAATATAAAAGTATATTAAGATGGCCGGGGACGGAAGCTCACTCCTGTAATTCCAGCAGTTTGGGAGGCTGAGGCAGGCAGATCACCTGAGGTTAGGAGTTCGAGACCAGCCTGGCCAACATGGCAAAACCCCATCTCTACTAAAAATACAAAAATTAGCTGGGCATGGTGGTGCATACCTCTAATCCCAGCTACTGGGGAGGCTGAGGCACGAGAATCACTTGAACCCGCAAGACGGAGGTTGCAGTGAGCCGAGATCATGCCACTGTGCTCCAGCCTGGGTGACAGAGTGAGACTCTGTCTCAAAAAATAAAAGTAAAAATAAAAATAAATGTATACATGTATAAAGTTGCCACAGAGATGTTTTTATGAGAAAAAACTTGGAAACAACCTAAGTGTTCAACAATAGGGATTTGTTTTAAATAAATTATGGTAAATCCATGGAATATTCAGATATTCATTCATTCATTCAACAAGCATTTAATGAGCACCTACCTTGTACCAAATACTGTTGTAAAATTATCTGTTTTTATGGAGAGGTTGGAGACACAGAATAGATAAATGTTTAAAGTTTAGGTCATATGAGTGCTGTGATGAGAATTAAAAGGGTGATGTGATAAAGAGTGACTGGGGGTAGGGTTACTTTAGGTAGGTAGGGAAAAGTCTGAAGAAGTATCACTTAAGAAGAGATGAAGATGGCAAGAGGGATATTAGAAATCATTATGTATATAAGCTTGTTTTTTTTTTTGAGACGGAGTCTCACTCTGTTGCCCAGGCTGGAGTGTGGAGTGCAGTGGTGCTATCTCGGCTCACTACAACCTCTGTCTCATGGGTTCAAGAGATTCTCCTGCCTCAGTCTCCTGAGTAGCTGGGACTACAGGTGTGCACCATCACACCTGACTAATTTTTGTATTTTTAGTAAAGGTAGAGTTTCACCATGTTGGCCAGGCTGGTCTTGAACTCCTGACCTATGGTGATCAGCCCACCTCGGCCTCCCAAAGTGCTGGGATTACAGGTGTGAGCCATCATGCCTGGCCAATCCTGTATTTCTTGACATGAAAATATATTAGAAAACCTATTTTTCAGCACTTTGGAGGCCAACGCAGGCAGATCACTTTAGGTCAGGAGTTGGAGACCAGCCTGGCCAACATGGCAAAACCCCATCTCTACTAAAAATACCAAAATTAGCTAGGAGTGGTATTGGGCGCTTTAATCTCAGCTACTCAGGAGGATGGGGCATGAGAATCGCTTGAACCTGGGAGGCAGAGGCTGCAGTGAGCTGAGATTGCACCATTGCACTCCAGCCTGGGTGACAGAGCAACAGTCTGTTTCAAAAAAAAATAGAAAACCTATTTTTTTTCGTGAAACCGTATATATGAGGGTAAGGTGGGGTGGGAGGTGGGGAATATGCTGGAAAGATGTCCAAAGGAACTGACTATGGTTAGACTACTTTCCCAGCTGCTAGTACCTGAAAACCCGTCTCAAAGCTCATTTAATAATACAGGAAGTTATTGATCATGAAACTGAAAAGTTGAGGCTTCCAGGGGCTCAATAATGTCTCAGAGGGGCTGGTTTCTTTCTGTCTCTTCTGCATGCTTGGGGGTTGCTTCACCTCTCATGATCCCAAGGTGGTGGTCAACAGTTCCTAGGGCTACATATTTCCTCATTCAGGGGGAGTAGAGAATATCTTTGCTTCAACATCCTAGAAACAGACATGAATGTCACTTTAATTGGACTGGCTTGGGTGGCATGACTGATCCCGAACCAAATTCCTTGGCCAGGGCAGTGGGCTATGATGATTGACTTAAACCATTGAGGACCCAACCACAGAGCTGAGAGTGAGTCAATCTCTGCACCACCAGCCTGAGCACTGGCAGGGAGAGGACATTTCCCAAAGGAAGGGTGGGGAAACCTTTCCTAGATGAAAGGGGGAAGGAGCTGCATAGCAAATACTAGTAGTTGAGTACAAAAAAAATCACCAAAAACAAATAATGGTTGTATCTGAGCTTTGAATCATAGGATAACTAGAGATTTTCATTTCCTTTTCTATACTTTACAATATGTCTGAATTCTCTCTCTCTCTCTTTTTTTTTTTTTTTTTTTTTTTTTGAGATGGAGTTTCACTATTGTTCCCCAGGCTGGAGTGCAATGGCATGATCTTGGCTCACTGCAACCTCTGCCTCCCAGGTTCAAGCGATTCTCCTGCCTCAGCCTCCTGAGTAGCTGGGATTACAGGTACCTGCCACCATGCCCAGCTAATTTTTTGTATTTTTAGTAGAGATGAGGTTTCACCATGTTGGCCAGGCTGGTCTCTAACTCCTGACCTCAGGTGACCCACCCCTCTCGGCCTCCCAAAGTGCTGGGATTACAAGCGTGAGCCACTGCACCTGGCCGTCTGAATTCTTAACAATGAAAGTATATTAATTTTATAACTACAAGACAACATAGCTTCTTCCACTTTTTAAATCTAGCAAAATGAATGACATCCAATAAGTGGATGAAGATATGTTTTTTGGCTTTGAACTTGCCTCTTCTTCCCTAAAGTATTGTCCTTGGAGCAAAACCGGCTATTCTGGCCTTTTCCCTAAGTTAAAAAAAAAAAAAGAAAAGGACCTGGTCACTGCTGGGCTTAAGGATCTTCACTGTTCACAGAATCTCCCTCCTATCCGCTCTGTCTCACTTAACAATTTAGCAGTGCCTGCACTTGTTCTTCCCCACTTCACGGTGCTATTCTGGGCCATGGTAATTATTCAGCCAGTGGAGAGTTCTCTTCTGTGACAACTGAGATACCTCAGGCTAAGAATAGGACTCTGACTGATGAAGGAAGGTGACAGCCGTGGGCTGGGAGGAACTTTGCTCTTAGCCAGGGCTTCATTAAAAGGCCTAAAACTCAGTTTAATTCTTTGCTCTTCGGTTTGCCATCAGCCTGTGGTTTTGCTGTTCCATGTATCTCTGTGAAATCTTGTCAGCTGTGTAATCACACAAATAATATGGGCTGGAGATGCTTATGGAGAGTTCCAGGGAATGTTTCTTCTCAGTAGGCTTCCAGCTTGGGACCCTGGGTCTAAGTTTGCCAGACAATTCTCTATTTCACCTTTGCAAGTCTTTCCTCAGATGCATTTTGGTTTGAGGCCCAAAGGATATTTTTGCATTTTCTAAAAGCTTCTAAGAAAAATCAGTGAAGTTCTCTGCCCCCTTTGCGCAGTAGGCGCTATTGTAAAGCAGCAAATTATCTTGAAGTTAGAGGATGGGGCTCCCTCACTGCCTCACTCTGCAGCTTTGGACAGTGTAAGCTTTTCGAACCTCAGCTTTCTCATCTGTGAAATGGGGGTTATTTAAACCCCACTCTTGGTGTTGTTGTGATGATTAAATGAATGTTTGGAGCATATCTAACACAATAAGCGCCCAAAGAATGTCAGCCAATAATCTCCTACAGAGGAGAATATCCACGTGTTTCTCAAGAAGTCCCTTGGGCTCAAGCTCCAAGGCCCAGAATAGCAACCTCAAAAATGCACCCTTAGACAGTACTGGTTTCCCCTTCTTCAGGATCTCATGCTCCTTCCTCCCTCTGACTTCCTCGGATCACCTCTCACATAGGCTAACCTGTATGAAGATCCTTGTCTTGGCCTCTGCTTCAATGAACCCAAGGCGAGATGGCCATAAATGAACAAAAACAGCAGAGTATTCTGAAGTTGTTTGTAGCTACACTTCGCAGGAGTTAGCATCATTTGGTCACATGAAAGATGATGATAACAACAATGTTGACAAGAATTAGGATGATTTGGTATTCCGCTCATTAGATTCTACAAATCTTGCTTTTAGCAAACCAAGGAAGAAGGACTGGATGTGCATGAGTTGCAGGAGGCCTTAAGGGAAGCCAAAAGCTGGAGGTGATAAAGCACAGAGGTATGGACTGATTCAAACTCCCCATACCCCAAATACCTTCTGTTCTTTCTTTAAAAAAAAAAAGTGTGTGCGTTTGTGTGTTTGTGTATGTTAGGGGGATTATAAAATACCAATGCCCAAAACAGAGTCCTAGTAAACATAACATCAGGATAAGAGATGGTCTGTGTCTCAGTCTGTTTTCTGCTGCTATAACAATACCACTGACTGGGTAATTTATGTAAAAAAGAATTTTATTTGGCTCATGGTTCTGGAGGCTGGGAAGTCCAAGAGCATGATGCCAACTTCATGCAAGGGTCATCCCATGGCAAAAGGCATCATGTGCTGAGGAAGCACAAGTGAGAGACAGAGAGAGGAAGTTGGGGAGAATTCAGCCTTTTTATCAGGAGTCCATTCCCAAGCCAACTAACCCAGAACCTAGATAACAGCATTAGTCCATTCAAATAGCCTTCACAACCTAATCACTTTTTATTTACTTTACTTATTTATTTATTTTGAGACAGAGTCTCACTCTATTGCCCAGGCTGGAGTGGGATGGCACAA
Organism: Homo sapiens; assembly: GCF_000001405.40. NCBI lineage: Eukaryota > Metazoa > Chordata > Mammalia > Primates > Hominidae > Homo > Homo sapiens. The sequence goes on from NC_000009.12 coordinate 69,275,031, forward strand.
TCTTGGCTCACTGCAACCTCCGCCTCCTGGGTTCAAGTGATTCTCCTGCCTCAGCCTCCCAAGTAGCTGGGATTACAGGCATGTGCCACCATAGCCAGCTAATTTTGTATTTTTAGTAGTGACGGGGTTTCACCATGTTGGCCAGCCTGGTCTCAAACTCCTGACCTCAGATGATTCACCCGTTTCAGCCTCCCAAAGTGCTGGGATTACAGGCAGGAGCCACCATGCCTGGCCCCTAATTACTTCTTAAAGATGCCACCTCCTAATTCTGCACAATGGCAATTTCAACATGAGTTTTAGAGGGAACATTCAAACCATAGCAGTCAGTGTTGGGCAAATTACATTTTATTCACTGCAGAGTCAGTTCCCAATTACTCTTATGATTCTGCAAGTCTCTGTCCATTTTCCATGTCTTTGCTTCCCACATGGCTGAGCTGGCTGTGGCAGCAGAAGTATACCCTTGGTTATCCAGACAGTATCCCTGCATTGCTACAGTGCCACAGTGAGTATGACAAGGAGTCTACAGATGTTGAGATAATGAAGGCACCTGGGAAGGCTCAATAACATTGTATGCTTGTTTTGCTGTTCTAGTTACTATGGCTGTCTAACAAATTACCTCAAAGTTGCATGATAGAAATGAACATTTATTATGCTCATGCATTCCCTGGGTCAAGAATCTGGACACGGTGCAGAATAGCTTGTCTCTGCTCCACCTTGATGTCTGGGGCCTCGACTAGAAGACTCAAAGGCTTGGAGCTGGAATCATCTGAAGACCACTTTGCTTATCTGCCTAGCAGTTGATGCTACTGTTGGCTGAAATCCCAGTTCTTCTCCCCATGAGCTTTCTTTTTTTTTTTTCTTTTCTTTTTTTTTTTTTTTTTGAGATGGAGTCTCATTCTGTCACCCAGGCTGGAGTGCAGTGGCGCCATTTCGGCTCACTGCAGCCTCCGTCTCTGGAGTTCAAGTGATTCTCGTGCCTCAGCCTCCAAGTAGCTGGGATTACAGGTGTGCACCACCATGCCCGGCTAATTTTCATATTTTTGGTAGAGACAAGGTTTCACCATGTGGCCCAGGCTGGTCTCGAACTCGACTCAAGTGATCCTCCCACCTTGGCCTTCCAAAGTGCTGGGATTACAAGTGTAAGCCACCACACCCAGCCCCATGAACTTTCTCATGTGGTTTTTCTGTAAGGGCTTCCTCACAGCGCGGTGGCTGGGTTCTGAAGGTCAGCCTTCCACAATAGGGAAGCAGCAGGAAACTGTGTCTCCTTCTATGACCCAGCCTCACAAATCATGCATCGTTATTTCCACTACCTTACATTCACTGAAGCAGTCACAAAGTCCCACCCAGGTTGAAGAGGAGAGGAAACATAATCTGTGTCTTGATGGAGAGAGGTAAGGTTCTGGAAGGATGTGGGACTGGAAATATGGCTGTAACCAATTTTGGAAAATACTATCTTCCACATTTCCACATTCCTAAGGGAATGCCCCACGGTGCTTCCAAGACTCTGGATAATGATTATTTGAAATAGAGCAAGGGCGACGGTGTTGGAAAGGAACAATGGCTGGCTCTACTGTGACAAACAAGGGTAGATGTTTGGTCTAGCTTCCTTCCACCATCCCTGAGAGAAACTCCAAGAAAAAGGAAGGTCAAAGAAGGATCCTAAGTAAAAAGTGGACACCCAGTAGGTTAAAACACTCCCTCACAACAGAGTTGTTAAGCTTAAATAGTGAATCTTCTGACAAACTTGAAGAACAGAGCTCCATAAAGGCAGGGACCAAGTCTGCCTCTTTCTAAGATGTGTTCAAAGAGCCTCCCACCTACAGCTCCAGCAACGTGTGAACAAGAGGGCCATAGAGAGGGCTGGGTACTGGCAAAGATCCGAGAATAAAGATTGTGTCCCTAACTTGCCCAGTAGGGTTACATTCCAAGTGTCCTAAGGGAGGGCTTACGCACTCAACATGTTGACATTCCACAGGCAGCGCAAGGATTGCAAACCTCTGGGGAGCCCTGTGAAGAGGACCCTTGAGACTTGTATGTGCCTTTTGGCCCAGTTCTTCCGTCATCCTGTTTCTTCAGGAAGGGGCCTGAAAGTTGCAGATGATTCCATTAGAAATTCTGTCTCTGCTGAGAGGGAACATTATTATTATTATTATTATTATTATTATTATTATTATTATACTTTAAGTTCTGGGATACATGTGCAGAACGTGCAGGTTTGTTACACAGGTATACATGTGCCATGGTATTTTGCTGCACCGACGAACCCATCATATACATTAGGTATTTATGCTAATGCTATCCCTCCCCTTGCTCCCCAACCCCCCGACAGGCCCCAGCGTGTGATGTTCCCCTCCCTGTGCCCATATGTTCTCATTGTTCAACTCCCACTTATGAGTGAGAACGTGCGGTGTTTGGTTTTCTGTTCCCCTGTTAGTTTGCTGAGAATGATGGTTTCCAGCTTCATCCATGTTCCTGCAAAGGACATGAACTCATCCTTTTTTATGGCTGCATAGTATTCCGTGGTGTATATGTGCCACATTTTCTTTATCCAGTCTACCATTGATGGGCATTTGGGTTGGTTCCAAGTCTTTTCTAGGGAACATTATTAATCATGTGGATTTGCATGCATGTATTGAGTGGTTATTTGGCACCAGACATTGAATAGGGTAGGAATGTGTCTTGCTGACTCCATAGCCCCAACAGTTGTTCAGAGTTGATGGGGAAATGCTAACACAACGAAGGAAGAACCAGAGACGAGCAAGGTTGGGAGAGACAACCTAAAGAAAAGGAAGAGAAGAGTGGGGGTGAAGCCTCAGCGTCCTTCCTCTCACTGCAACTGCTGGGCTACCCTTTAACAATGAAGTCAAATAGAAGTTAGCATCCAGTAGAAGAGTGGTAGGCTGGGGAGGGGGTGCTTCTCTTCCAGAAGGAAACCCAGGCTTTACAGACTCTTTCTTGTTCTTTCCCTCTTTCTTTCTTTCTTTCTTTCTTTGTTTCTTTCTTTCTTTCTTTCTTTCTTTCTTTCTTTCTTTCTTTCTTTCTTTCTTTCCTTCCTTCCTTCCTTCCTTCCTTCCTTCCTTCCTTCCTTCTTTCTTTCTTTCTTTCTTTCTTTCTTTCTCTCTCTCTCTCTCTCTCTCTCTCCCTTCCTTCCTTCCTTCCTTCCTTCCTTCCTTCCTTCCTTCCTTCCTTCCTTCCTTCCTTTCTTTCTTTCTTTCTTTCTTTCTTTCTTTCTTTCTTTCTTTCTTTCTTTTTTCTCTCTTTCTTTTCTTGAGACAGAGGCTTGCTCTGTTGCCCAGGCTGGAGTGCAATGGTGCAATCTCGGCTCACTGCAACCTCTGCCTCCCAGGTTCAAGCGATTCTCCTGCCTCAGCCTCCTGAGTAGCTGGGATTACAGGCACCTGCCACCATGCTCAGCTAATTTTTGTATCTTTTAGTAGAGACAGGGTTTTGCCATGTTGGCCAGGCTAGTCTCGAACTCCTGACCTCAGGTGATCTGCCCGCCTCGGCCTTCCAAAGTCTTGGGATTACAGGTGTGAGTCACTGCGCCCAGCCCCACTTCCTCTTTCAATATGACCAGTTTTGTTTTTCGGAAGTGCTTCCAACTGGATTCATTAGTGCTGTTCTCTCTTGCTTTAAGTATTACCTTAAATGTCACCTCCTCCAGGAGGCCTTCCAAGGCTGAGTTAAAAGGCCCCACCATGGGATCCCACAGTAGCTTGTGCTTCTCCCTAATAAATAATTGATCAAATTGCTGAAAATGCCGATTACTGCCCCTATTTTGGACTGTAAGCTCTGTGAGAGAAGAAAATCCGTTTTCTTCCATTTTAACTTCAGCACAGGGCATGTGGAGGGTGTTCAATAAGTACGTGTTGGGTTCAAAACAGGAAAAGAGATACTTATTCATTTTCTTCCCTTTAGACTTCCCTGGAGCAAAAGAGAATGGGGAGAAATGCTGGAGAACTTTCATAAGGAAAATACACATCCTACAATATTTTGTTTCTATTAAACAACATTTACACCAGGATTGGGGCTATTATGTTGTAGTGAAATATAGTTGTATTAGTCTGTTTTCACACTGCTGATAAAGACATACCCAAGACTGGGTAATTTATAAAGAAAAAGAGGTTTAACAAACACACAGTTTCATGTGGCTAGGGAAGCCTCACAATCATGGTGGAAAGTGAAAGGCACATCTTACGTGGCGGCAGGCAAGAAAGAATGACAGCCAAGTGAAAGGTGAAAGGGGAAACCCCTTATAAAACCATCAGATCTCATGAAACTTATTCATTACCGTAAGAACAGCATGGGGGGAACCACCCCTATGATTCAATTATCTCCCAGTGGGTCCCTCCCACAACATGTGGGAATTATGGGAGCTACAATTCAAGATGAGATTTGGGTGGGGACACAGCCAAACCATATCAGTAGTTAAACGTTGGCAGTCCTCAAGATTTGAGACATCAGGGTCTGAGAACAGGGAGTGGGTCATTCTAGACAGGTAAGCAGTCATGCTATGTGTTCCTCCATCGGGGAATAGTCAGGTGCACAGCAAGGAGAGAAACTGAGAGGACTGTTTCTTATTTGGGGAGACTTTCTTGCCTAGATGTTGAGTGCTGAGTTTTCTAGATATGATTCCTAGAGAAAATGTTTTGGTTTTGGTTTGACCTTTTTAAAATAAGAACTTAATTTTGATTGTTGTTAAAGTAATGCATATCTATAGTTTTTTTTAATCAAATGTTTCGTAAAAACATCTATAACAAAATAAAGCAGCCCCTATCCATCCTGTCCCCATCCCCAGTTCTGCTCTCTGAGACAATGACTTTCAAACTCAGTCAGCTGGGGTTTTTGTTGTTGTTGTTATTTACCCCCCTATTTCTAAAGATTATGCTGATGCTGCTATTTTTTATTTATGTATTTTGACACTATCTATCCGATGACTTCTTATTTTTATGCAGGATGTGCCTCACTTAATCTCATTCCTACATAAATTCCCTTATCCCATCTTCTCAGTAGGGTTATTTTTGTCAGAGATGATAAGATTCCATTGCATATAACAGGAAATGCAAAACGACAGTGGTTTTAGCAGAATTTTCTTCTCTTTTGAGTAAAAGCAGTTGGGAAGTAGGTCTTTCAGGGCTGGGATGGTGCATCCACAGGTACCTGGAAGAATTAGGAAACACATAGAAAACTAAACAAGTGGAAAAAATGAAGTAATTACTAACTCCAGGAATAAGTGAATAATTAAGGATAAAGGATAAACAATATGAATGCTCTCTGAGTCAAAGTGCCATAAAAATGGCATGAGCATCATCATGTAAACACGATTTAACTCGTGTTTACACGAGTTAAATAATTACACGATTGCCCCGATGGACTGCTTGCTCCCGAGGCCTGATTCACAGCTGTCATCTGGATTTTCCCTTTCTGGGCACCCATGTTAATTCTCCCATGTCTTTCATTCTTGGTTTACTTACTCGTTTTTTGCTTATTTTTGTGAGAATATTGCCTTCCAGTAGCTTCTTGAGACAGTGCAAGGCACTGGAAGGAGGTCCCCAACCTTCCCCCTTCTGGCTTCCATCTTCCAGGAGAAGGAAGGGGGAAGGGGCTGCATTAACGAGGATAAGGTAGGTTACACTGCAGTAATGAACAGGCCCAAATCTCTGGCTTACAAGAAGCAGTAAGTCTCTCACATGACACACCTGTCACTGGTTGGCAGCTGCTCTGCTTCTCTGGCCTTCCCTCTAGGACCCAGGATGATGGAGCAGTTTCTCTCTGGGACCTTACGGATCATCATGGCAGATCAAAAACCAACATATACTGTGCACTACCTCTTAGTACTTTCTAATTGGAAGTGACTTGTGTCATCTCTGCTCATATATCACTATACAAAATGAGACACATGGCCAAGCCTGAGTTGATGGGGTAGGGAATGATAGTTTTCTCCTAGGGAGGGCCAGTGAATATTTGTGAGCACCATCTCGGACAGGAGGTAAGGGGAAAGGCAGCTCCTCTCTCAGCAAAATCGGCGCCTATAAGGAGCCTTCTCAGCAGTCCTACACAGTATCCTCACTTACATCTTAGTGGCAAAACTTGGCCTACTTAACTGCCAGGGAAGCTGGAACATGTCGTATTTTTAGCTTGGGACATTTTACCGAAATAAATAAAGTTGGGGTTCACATACTACAGAAGGTGGGGGAAATGTACATTGGGTAGGCAGCTAATAATCTCTGCTAAATCTCTATCACAGTTTTGAGTTAAATCGTGTTTACATGATGATGCTCATGCCATTTTTATGGCACTTTGACTCAGAGAGCATTCATATTGTTTATCCTTTATCCTTAATTATTCACTTATTCCTGGAGTTAGTAATTACTTCATTTTTTCCACTTGTTTAGTTTTCTATGTGTTTCCTAATTCTCTGATAAGTCTCTTAATGGGCCTATCAGTCATTTCCCAAATGCTCAAACACTCTGCCAGCTCATTTACCCCCAGAGTCCTCCCTCCTGTAGCTCTTTGTGATGGTGCCCCGATGGACTGCTTGCTCCCGAGGCCTGATTCACAGCTGTCATCTGGATTTTCCCTTTCTGGGCACCCATGTTAATTCTCCCATGTCTTTCATTCTTGGTTTACTTACTCGTTTTTTGCTTATTTTTGTGAGAATATTGCCTTCCAGTAGCTTCTTGAGACAGTGCAAGGCAGATACATGTTTAAAGACTTTGCATGTCTCAAAATAATTTTGCTCTGTCTTTACACTTCATTTTTATTTTTATTATTATTATTATTTTTTGAGACAGCGTCTCACTCTGTCACCCAGGCTAGAGTGCAGTGGTGTCATCTCGGCTCACTGCAACCTCCACCTCCCAGGTTCAAGCAATTCTCCTGCCTCAGCCACCTAAGTAGCTGGGATTATAGGTGCGCCCCACCATGCCTGGCTAAATTTTTTTTGTATTTTTAGGAGAGACAGGGTTTTGTCATGTTGGCCAGTCTGGTCTCGAACTCCTGACCTCAAGTGATTCACCCACCTCGGCCTCCCAAAGTGCTGGGATTACAGGTGTGAACCACTGCACCCAGCCATTACACGTCATTTTGTTTGTTTGTTTTGTTTTTTTGTTTTTGAGATGGAGTCTCACTCTGTCACTCAGGCCGGAGTGCAATGGCATGTTCTCTGCTCACTGCAACCTCTGCCTTCTGAGTTGAAGCGATTCTCCTGCCTCAGCCTCCCGAGTAGCTGGGATTACAGGCATGCACCACCACACCTAGCTAATTTTTTTTGTATTTTTAGTAGAGACGTGGTTTCACCATGTTGGCCAGGCTGGTCTCGAACTCCTGACCTCAAGTGATCCGCCCGCCTTGGCCTCCCAAAATGCTGGGATTACAGGAGTGAGCCACCGCGCCCTCCCCCATTGCACTTCATTTTCAATGTGGGAGTAGAATTAAGGTTGAAAACATAGTACCCAGTGATGCTAGAAGACCAGGGCCATTCTGATTCCTGATTCTTCATGTATGAACAGTTTATTTATTTTGGATCTTGTGATGCTCTTAGGCACTTTATTTATGTCTGATGTTTTAATATTTCCCAGAGATATATATGTGAGTGAGCACTTTTTTATTCATTGCACTTGGGCATGTTGTGGGTCTTTCAGTCTGAAGACTTAGGTTTGTCAGTTCTGACTTTAAAAAATCGTTTGTTAATTTTCTTCCTTCTTTTTTCCCTTTCTGGACCTCCTATTCATAAGATATTGGATCTCCTAAATTCATTTTCTAGTTTTTCTCATGTTTTTTCTCTTATTATCCATCTGTTTTGTCTTTGTGTTTTTTCTGTGAGATTTTCTCAAATTTTTTTTTTTTTTACCAAAAGAGCATCAATTTCTCAAAAAATTATTTTATTTTATTTCTTGCTATTGAGATTTATTTTATTTTTTGCTGTTGAGATATTCTCAATGTTATCTTCTAAATATTCTAGTAAAAATGTATTGCTGCTATTTCACTTTCTTGTTCTTTGTTCCTTTAAAGAAATCCTCTTCCAATTTACTATTGTCTATCATCGCACTGAAAATAACAGTGTTTTGTTTTGCTTTAATCTTTTCCTGCTTTCTTCATTGTCTGTTTCCTCTGAGCTCCTTATTCCTTTTGTTTCCTTAATCTCCTTCTTGTGAGAGAGGCTTTCCTCAAGTGTTTGGTGATCCTTGGCTGACCATTCATGTTTGAGAATGAGTCCTAGTGAAGGAAAGTATGGAAGACATATCCAAATGCAAAGACATGCTGAGAGCAGAACAAACAGAACAGAAATGCAGAATAATAGCCGGATTGGCACCACAAACCTGCTGGGCTTTAGTTTTGGGAGCAGGCATAGTCAGCCAGGAGTTTGACTCCAATAAGTAGGGGTAAGAAAAAATGTTTTTCATGAAATCCATAGTTTTTATATTCATCTCAACCATCAAAAAGAGTGAAAGCAAAATGTAGATTATTCAGACATACAAAAACTAAGATGGTTTAATACTCCCAGACTTTCACCAAAAGAATTATTAAATGATGTGTTCAATTGGAAGTGAAGTTAATCTAAAAAGATAAACAAGATAAAATGGTGAACACAGAAATTGAAACAATATGTCAGTGAATATAATTAATTATCAACTGTAAAAATTGGAAAGCATTTTATTTCTTCTTTGCCCCTCACCCCCCGACAGGCCCCAGTGTGTGTTGTTTCTCTCTGTTTTTATTGTTCAACTCCCACTTATGAGTGAGAACATACGGTGTTTGGTTTTCTGTTCCTGGGTTAGTTTGCTGAAAATGATGGCTTCCAGCATCATCCATTTCCGTACAAAGGACGTGATTTCATTCCTTTTTATGTCTGCAGTGTATTCCATGGTGTATATATACCACATTTTCTTTATGCAGTCCATCACTGATGGGCATTTTGGTTGGTTCCATGTCTTTGCTATTGTAAATAGTACTGCAATAAAAATACCTGTGCATATAACTTTATAGTTGAATGATTTAAATTCCTTTGGTTGTATATCCACTAATGGGATTGCTGGGTCAAATGGTATTTCTGGTTCTAGATCCTTGAGGAATTGCCACACTGTCTTCCACAATGGTTGAACTAATTTACATTCCCACAAACAGTGTAAAAGCATTCCTATTTCTCCACAGCCTCACCAGCATCTATTGTTTCTGACTGGGATGAGATGGTATCTCATGTGGTTTTGATTTGCATTTCTCTAATGATCAGTGATGTTGAGCTTGTTTTCATATGTTTGTTGGCCGCATAAACGTCTTCTTTTGAGAAGTATCTGTTCATATCCTTTGCCCACTTTCTGATGGGGTTGTTTATTTGTTTTCTTGTAAATTTGTTTAAGTTCTTTGTAGATTCTGGATATAAGACCTTTGTGAGATGAGTAGATTGCAAAATTTTTCTCCCATTCTGTAGGGTGCCTGTTCACTCTGATGATAGTTTCTTTTGCTATGCAGAAGCTCTTTAGTTTAATTAGATCCCGTTTGTCAATTTTGGCTTTTGTTGCAATTGCTTTTGGCATTTTCTTCATGAAATCTTTGCCCATGCCTATGTCCTAAATGGTATTGCCTAGGTTTTCTTCTAGGGTTTTTATGGTTTTGGGTTTTACATTTAAATCTTTAATCCATCTTGAGTTAATTTTTGTATAAGGTGTAAGGAAGGGGTCCAAGTTTCAGTTTTCTGCATATGGCTAGCCAGTTTTCCCAGCACCATTTATTAAGTAGGGAATTCTTTCCCCATTGCTCGTTTTTGTCAGGTTTGTCAAAGATCAGATGATTATAGACGTGTGGTGTTATTTCTGAGGTCTCTGTTCTGTTCCATTTTTCTGTATGTCTGTTTTGATATCAGTACCATGCTGTTTTGGTTACTGTAGGCTTGTAGTATAGTTTGAAGTCAGGTAATGTGATGGCTCCAGCTTTGTTATTTTTGGTTAGGATTGTCTTGGCTGTATGGGCTCTTTTTTTGGTTCCATGTGAAATTTAAAGTAGTTTTTGCTAATTCTGTGAAGAATGTCAGTGATTGATGGGAATAGCATTGAATCTATAAATTACTTTGGGCGGTATGGCCATTTTCACAATACTGATTCTTCCTATCCATGAAGTTGGAATGTTTTTCTATTGGTTTGTGTCCTCCCTTATTTCCTTGAGCAGTGGTTTGTAGTTCTCTTTGAAGAGGTCCTCTATGTCCCTTGTTAGCTGTATTCCTAGGTATTTTATTCTCTTTGCAGCGATTGTGAGTGGGAGTTCATTCATGATTTGGCTCTCTGCTCATCTATTGTTGCAGTATAGGAATGCTTGTGAATTTTGCACATTGATTTTGTATCCTGAGACTTTGCTGAAGTTGCTTATCGTCTTAAGGAGTTTTGGGGCTGAGGCGATGGGGTTTTCTACATATAGAATCATGTCGTCTGCAAACAGAGACAGTTAGACTTCCTCTCTTCCTATTTGAATATGCTTTATTTCTTTCTTTTGCCTGATTGTCCTGACCAGAACTTCCAATACTATGCTGAAAAGGAGTGGTGAGAAAGGGCATGCTTGTCTTGTATCAGTTTTCAAAGGGAATGCTTCCAGCTTTTGCCCATTCAGTATGATGTTGGCTGTGGGTTTGTCATAAACAGTTCATATTATTTTGAGATATGTTCCATCAATACCTAGTTTATTGAGAATTTTTAACAAAAAGGAATTTTAAATTTTATTGAAGGTCTTTTCTGCATCTATTGAGATAATCATGTGGTTTTTGTCTTTGGTTCTGTTTATGTGATAGATTACGTTTATTGATTTGCATATGTTGAACCAGCCTTGCATCCCAGGGATAAAGCCAACTTGATCATGGTGGATAAGCTTTTTGATGTGCTGCTGGATTTGGTTTGCCAGTATTTTATTGAGGATTTTCACATTCATGTTCATCAGGGGTATTGGCCTGAAATTTTCTTTTTTTATTGTGTCTCTGCCAGGTTTTGGTATCAGAATGATGCTGGCCTCATAAATTAGTTAGGGAGGAGTCCCTCCTTTTCAGTTGTTTGGAATAGTTTCAGAAGGAATGGTACCAGCTCCTCTTTGTACCTCTGGTGGATTTCAATTGTGAATCCATCTGGTCCTGGGCTTGTTTTGGTTGGTAAGCTATTAATTACTGCCTCAATTTCAGAACTTGTTATTGGTCTATTCAGGGATTTGACTTTTTCCTGGTTTACTCTTGGGAGGTGGTATGTGTCCAGGAATTTATCAATTTCTTCTAGATTTTCTAGTTTATTTGTGTAGAGCTGTTTACAGTATTCTCTGATGGTAGTTTGTATTTCTGTGGGGTCAGTGGTGGCATCCCCTTTATCATTTTTTTTGTGCCCTATTTAATTCTTCTATTGTTTCTTCTTTACTAGTCTAGCTAGCGGTCTATTTTGTTAACTTTTTCAAAAAACCAGCTCCTGGATTCATTGATTTTTTTGAAGGGTTTTTTGTGTCTCTATCTCCTTCAGTTCTGCTCTAGCTTTTTAATTTTAAAGCAGTTGCTCCAAGGATTATAATATGATATTTAACTTCTGATAATCTACTCCAGATTAACACTAATTCTGCTAAAATATAGCAACATTGTTCCATGATAGGTTCATACCCCACCCTGTGCTATTATTGACATATGTGTTCAATCCATATGTGTTATAAACCCCAAGATATAACTATGTTTTGTTAGAAGAAAGGATAAGCTAAAATTCAGGTCAACAGTAACATGAAAGGATGGAGGTGGGCAAAAGGATTTCTGTGTGTAAATCATAGGCCTTTTTCAAGTCTTGCAGTAGCATTGAAATATTGAATAGCTTTCAACATTTACAGAAAAAAAAGGCTGGCCTTAGGGTAACACTAAAAGCACAAGCCATGCAAGTATAGAATACAAATCACCCTAGGGAGAAAAGAAGGGAAAATGCAGAAAATGTTATCAATCCATCAGTCTAGAAAAGAGAAAAAAATAAAAATATCTTGAGATAAAATAGACAATATATGGTAGAAAAAGGTCAAAACGAATCAGTAAATACAACAAAGTTAAATATACTACATTTGTTTATTAAAGACAGACATAATCAAATTGGGTCTTTGAGGTATAACTATACTTATGCCAGCCAGGTGCAGTGGCTCAGACCTGTAGTCCCACCATTTGGGAGTCCAAAGCAGGTGGATTGCTTGAGCCCAGAAATTCAAGACCAGCTTGGACAACAGTGAAATGCCATCTTTGCAAAAATAAAACAATTAGCTGGGTATGGTGGTGCGTGCCTGTAGTCCCAGCTACTCGGGAGGCTGAGGTGGGAGGATCACTTGAGCCAGGGAGTCAGGGTTTGCAGTGAGCTGAGATCACACCACTGCATTCCAGTCTGGGTGACAGAATGAGACCCTATTTTAAGGAAACAACAACAACACCAACAAAACAAAACCTGTACTTACAACAGAGACAACTAAAACAAAGACACACAGAAAAGTTGAAAACAGATGAATGGCGAAAGATATAGCAAGCAAATACTAAACAAAAGAAAGCTTCTTAAAGCAGAAAAATTTAATAAACAAAAGCATTAACGGAGTAAAGAGGGACCACTGTACCTAACAACTACAAAATATGAAACTGCCAGAATTATAAGAAGACGTGAACAAATCCACAAACATATTAAAGATTTTAGCATAATTCTAATAGAAATATATATATATTTTAAAAAGATAATGATTTAAAAGATTTAACAATCAAATTAACAAGCAAACTTGATTTAGACATTCTTTTGCAATAACATGAGATATTTACAAAAGATTGCCCACTCACTATTTTCAAAGGAAATCTCAACACACTTCCAAGGACTGATATTTCAGCTCAGACAACATTTTACTAATCATGATGAAATTAAAGTAGAAAGACATTTTAAAATCACACATGTATTAGGAGCTTTAAAAGTGATCTCTTGAATGTCTTTTGGGTTTAGGAGGAAATCACTAGGAATTACATAATATTTAGAACTAAGTGACTAGGAAGGTAGTATACATAAACTTATTGCCTCTAAAACAGTATGTATAGTTGTTTGAGATAGGAAAAACCAAACTGTTTTTCCTACTCTAACTCCCAATACATTCAATACAAAATACTTCACCTCTAATCAACAAAATGTGTGGGGACTTCCCCCACCAACAACCAGTTCTCCAGCGGACAATGAGTTAATTTAATTCAATTCTGACACTACTTACCTGGAGATAGCATCAGATCTCACAGATTAAAGGCTCAGTCTCACAACACTGTTCCCACTTCAGATGCCAGTTACAAATCCCAGGTCATATTTGACGCAGACTTCTGACCAACCAGCTATAAATTGGGGGCGACCATGACCTTGTCTTTGTGTTTAATTAGTTTACAAGAGCAGCTCACAGAACCGAGGGAAACATTGTACTTATGTTTACCCATTTATATAAAGGATATTACAAAGGATGCAGATGACCAGCCAGGTGTCTTCTGAAGATGCACAGGGCAAGGCAGATGGGAAGGGGCGTGGAGCTTCTATACCTTCTCTGGCTGCTCCATCCTCCAGGCACCTCCGCATGTTCCAAAACCTAGAAGCTCTCTGAATTCCGTTCAGGGATTTTTATGGAGGTTTCATCAGGTAGGCATGATTATTAACTCAGTCTCCATCCCCTCTTCCCTTTCTGGAAGATGGGGGTTGAGGCTGAAAGTTCCACGCTTCTAATTATGGCTTGGTCTTTCTGGTGACCAGCCGCCATCCAAGAGCTCACCAAGAGCCACTTCACTAGAACAAAAGATATGCCTATCACCCAGGAAATTCCACGGGATTAGGAGCTATGTGCCAGGAACCACATGATAGTCTAATTCCTTATTATTTTTGAAAAACAAGTTTGAAAATAAATGAATTATGTATCCAATTCAAGAACCTAGAAAAAGAACAATAGAATAACCTAAAGTAAGCAAATAAAATGAAATAATAAAGGAAAAATGCAAAAACTAGAAAATAAGAATTAATAGAGAAGATCAACAATCCTAAAGGTGTTACTTTGACACAAAATATGAAACAGACAAAGTGCTAGCCTGACTGACCAAGAAAAGACAGAAAGGACACAAATATAAAATATTAGGACCAAAGTAGTGAAAATAATTACTGATACAATTGAGATTTTAAAAACAAAAAGAGTGCAATAGTTTTATACCAATAAACCTGAAAACTTTCATGTGGTTGAGACTGCTGGTTTTCCAAACCCATTCTTCTGTTCTTCCTCAATAATGGAACTTCTGATTTTTAGTTAGATGCATGGTGATGTGGTTTGGCTCTGTGTCCCCACCCAAATCTCACCTTGTATTGTAATAATTCCCACTTGTCATGGAGGCACCCGTTGGGAGGTAATTGAATCATGGGGGCAGGTCTTTCCCATGTTGTTCTCTTTTAAGTAAAAAAGTCTCAGGAGATCTGATGGTTTTATAAAGGGAAGTTCCCCTACACATGCTCTCTGGCCTGCCGCCGTGTAAGATGTGACTTTGGCATCAAAAAGCTTATCCACCACGATCAAGTGGGCTTCATCCCTGAGATGCAAGGCTGGTTCAACATACGCAAATCAATAAACGTAATCCATCATATAAACAGAACCAAAGACAAAAACCACATGATTATCTCAATAGATGCAGGAAAGGCCTTCGACAAAATTCAACAGCCCTTCATGCTAAAACTTCTCAATAAATTAGGTATTGATGGGACATATCTCAAAATAATAAGAGCTATTTATGACAAACCCACAGCCGATATCATACTGAATGGGCAAAAACTGGAAGCATTCCCTTTGAAAACCAGCACAAGACAGGGGTGCCTTCTCTCACCAGTCCTATTCAACATAGTGTTGGAAGTTCTGGCCAGGGCAATCAGGCAAGAGAAAGAAATAAAGGGTATTCAAATAGGAAAAGAGGAAGTCAAATTGTCCCTGTTTGCAGATGACATGATTCTATGTTTAGAAAACCCCACTGTCTCAGTCCAAAGTCTCCTTAAGCTGATGAGCAACTTCAGCAAAGTCTCAGGATACAAGATCAATGTGCAAAAATCACAAGCATTCCTATAGACCAATAACAGACAAACAGAGAGCCAAAACGTGAGTGAACTCCCATTCACAATTGCTTCAAAGAGAATAAAATACCTAGGAATCCAACTTACAAGGCATGTGAAGGACCTCTTCAAGGAGAACTACAAACCACTGCTCAACGAAATAAAAGAGGACACAAATAATGGAAGAACATTCCATGCTCATGGATAGGAAGAATCAACATCGTGAAAATGGCCATACTGCCCAAGGTAATTTATAGATTCAATGCCATCCCTATCAAGCTACCAATGACTTTCTTCACAGAATTGGAAAAAACTACTTTAAAGTTCATATGGAACCAAAAAAGAGCCTGCATTACCAAGACAATCCTAAGCCAAAAGAACAAAGCCGGAGGCATCACGCTACCTGACTTCAAACTATACTACAAGGCTACAGTAACCAAAACAGCATGGTACTGGTACCAAAACAGAGATATAGACCAATGGAACAGAAGAGAGACCTCAGAAATAATACCACACATCTACAACCATCTGATCTTTGACAAACCTGACAAAAACAAGCAATGGGGAAAGCATTCCCTATTTAATAAATGGTGCTGGGAAAACTGGCTAGCCATATGTAGAAAGCTGAAACTGGATCCCTTCCTTACACCTTATACAAAAATTAATTCAAGATGGATTAAAGACTTAAATGTTAGACCTAAAACCAT
The DNA here is from genome assembly GCF_000001405.40 of Homo sapiens. Lineage (NCBI taxonomy): Eukaryota > Metazoa > Chordata > Mammalia > Primates > Hominidae > Homo > Homo sapiens. Next base: position 69,290,812 of record NC_000009.12, read on the forward strand.
AAAAACCCTAGGAGAAAACCTAGGCAATACCATTCAGGACATAGGCATGGGCAAGGACTTCATGTCTAAAACACCAAAAGCAATGGCAACAAAAGCCAAAATTGACAAATGGGATCTAATTAAACTAAAGAGCTTCTGCACTTCAAAAGAAACTACCATCAGAGTGAACAGGCAACCTATAGAATGGGAGAAAATTTTTGCAATCTACCCATCTGACAAAGGGCTAATATCCAGAACCTACAAAGAACTTAAACAAATTTACAAGAAAAAAATCAAACAACAGCATCAAAAAGTGGGCAAAGGATATGAATAGACACTTCTCAAAAGAAAACATTTATGCAGCCAAAAGACACATGAAAAAATGCTCATCATCACTGGCCATCAGAGAAATGCAAATCAAAACCACAATGAGATACCATCTCACACCAGTTAGAATGGCGATCATTAAAAAGTCAGGAAACAACAGGTGCTGGAGAGGATGTGGAGAAATAGGAATGCTTTTACACCTTTGGTGGGAGTGTAAACTAGTTCAACCATTGTGGAAGACAGTGTGGCAATTCCTCAAGGATCCAGAACTAGAAATACCATTTGACCCAGCCATCCCATTACTGGGTATATACCTAAAGGATTATAAATCATGCTGCTATAAAGACATATGCACACGTATGTTTATTGCAGCACTATTCACAATAGCAAAGACTTGGAACCAACCCAAATGCCCATCAATGATAGACTGGATTAAGAAAATGTGGCACATATACACCATGGAATACTATGCAGCCATAAAAAAGGTTGAGTTCATGTCCTTTGTAGGAACATGGATGAAGCTGGAAACCATCATTCTCAGCAAACTATCGCAAGGACAGAAAACCAAACACCGCATGTTCTCACTCATAGGTGGGAATTGAACAACGAGAACACATGGACATAGGAAGGGGAACATCACACACTGGGGCCTGTCGGGGGGTGGGGGGAGGGGGGAGGGATAGCATTAGGAGATATACCTAATGTAAATGACGAGTTAATGGGTGCAGCACACCAACATGGCTCATGTATACATACGTAACAAACCTGCATGTTATGCACATGTACCCTAGAACTCAAAGTATAAAAAAAAAAAAAAGATGTGACTTTGCGCCTCATTTGCCTTCAGCCATGATTGTAAGGCCTCCCCAGCCATGTGGAACTGTGAATTCATTAAACCTTGTTTCTTTATAAATTATCCAGTCTCAGGTAAGTCCTTATTAGCAGCATGAGAACAGACTAATACACATGGCTACATGAATAAAGAAGACATTTATTAGCAATCCTTGTAACTAGGAGTTCTGATCAATGAATTAGAGTACATATTGTATGACAACTTCTGGGAAGTTCTCTAAAAAGTCAGCTGGTATCTACCACTTTTTCTCTCTTCATTATTTAATCAATCAGCTAGCTGGAATGTGGACATGATGTCTGGATCTGAAGCAGCTACGTTCCACCACGAGGTGGAGTTGTGTGTAGGATAGCAGAGCAGCAACATAAAATGAACCTAGGTCCCCAATAACTTTGTGACACTATCTGCCAATCCTGTACAGGCTACCTCTGGAATTCTTTTATGTCGCTGAAAAATGAACTTATAGCTTGTTGAGCCCATGTTATTTTAGGTTTTCTGCTACTTGCAGCCATCAGGAGCATTTGTGATGTAGCATTTCTCAGTGCTGAACTATTGATTACAGAATTTTTTGTCAAGCTTCTGACACCCATCTTGAGAAGTTTTTTAGTATGTGTTGGGCAATTCTTCTGTACACATCTCAGTTACAAAATGTAACGCAATGTCATCTTATTCTTTCTTGGGTCTCATAAAGCACAAGTCTGCAAGGGAAGTATCTATTTAATCAAAGTCATTTCTCCAACAATGAACATCTGTTTCACAAATATCAACTTTCTACCCAATTGATCTGTTTCAGCACCTTTCTGGATAAACAATAACTTCTCGTTTCCATGATGAATTGTAGTGTAATCTTTTTGAAGATTGCTTAACTCAACACACACATATAATAACGCACACAACTGAATTGAAGTTATGATAATGTGAACAGCCATGATGAAGTTCAGTTTTGTACAGGCAGCAACAAATGTCATGACGATTGCTGGTGAACAGAAAATTATACAATGTCGTAGATTGCTAGAGGCAGCCTCATTTCAAAGATAATAAAATGGCTTAAAATCAATGACATATAAATAGGTTTTGATATCTAACAGGGAAAACTCTTTCATCATGATGATTGTTTTTTTAAGCCACTAAATTTTGGGAGTGATTTGCTATGCAACAAAAGCCAAGGGATGAAATCGTTGACAAAGTAACTGGAAAATGCCTGTCTGTAAAATTAATTATACAAATTCCTCATTAAATAAAAAGTTGGACGTCTATCTGTACAACATCAATTGGTGACTGTACATTTTTTGTGCTTATGGTAAAAGTAGAGATAACTTCTGAGTCATTCTCTTTAGTTTAATGTCAACTTGTTCTTTCTGAAAATAACTACCTAGCTTGGGAAAGCTGAAAGTCACCCAGACTTAGGCCAGACAGGAAAGACAGGTGAGCTCAGACAAACCACCACTCACATTTGTGGCTGAGAACTCAGGCTGATATTTATGGATTCAGTCATTTAAAAATATGTGCTTTTAGTGATGAGTAATACACCTTTCCAGAATTAAAAGGTTCTCCCTGTTGTCACTTCCATTCCAGTCCCTGTCCTCTCTTACAGAGGAATAAAATGTCATTTGAATAACCTAGCACTTACATTTTTAAACAGAATATCATTTTGCTATGGATAGAATTTGAAGCTGGGTGATGGCACATTGGGATTCATTGTTCAATTCTCTCTAGTCTGTGGAATGTCTGAAAATTTTCATAATAAAACATTTATTTAAAAGGCTGCCAGGCCAGGTACCATGGCTCACGCCTGTAATCCCAGCACTTTGGGAGGCCAAGGCAGTTGAATCACCTGAGGTCGGGAGTTTGATACCAACCCGACCAACATGGAGAAACCCCATCTCTACTAAAAAAATGCCAAATTAGCAGGGCGTGGTGGCGCATGCCTGTTATCCCAGCTACTCAGGAGGTTGAGGTGGGAGAATCCCTGGAACCTGGGAGGCAGAGGTTGCGGTGAGCCGAGATCACGCCATTGCACTCCAGTCTGGGCAGCAAGAGTGAAACTCTGTAACAACAACAACAACAACAACAACAACACAAAAAACAAAAGGCTGCCACTTTAAACATAGTTTCAAAGAATGATGATTGATTGTTCAATGAGTATTTACCCATATTGGTGTTTAATAATTAGGCACTCATATGTTATTCTTTAAGAAGCATCTAAATCATTTCTGCTAGAGGTAGACTCTAAAATATTTATGAGTGAAATGATATGATGTTTTCAGTTTGCTTTAAAGAGCTCCAGTGGTGGAGGGAGTAGAGTATGGAGGCAATAAGTTTGGCCATCAGTTGGTAATGGTTGAAGCTGGGTTATGGGTACATGAGACTTCTTATACTGTCCTCTCTACTCTAGTGGCTGTAAAAAATGTTCAGTTCATAAAAGTGTTCATAAAAACACTTTTAAAAATGTTCATGGGGCCAGGCGTGGTGGCTCACGCCTGTAATCCCAGCACTTTGGGAGGCTGAGGTTGGGGATCACTTGAGGTAAGGAGTTCGAGACCAGCCTGGCCAACATTGTGAAAACCCATCTCTACCAAAAATATAAAAAATTAGCCAGGTGTGGTGGCACGTGCCTGTAATCCCAGCTGCTTGGGAGGCTGAGGCAGGAGAATTGCTTGAACCCGGGAGGTGGAGATTGCAGTGAGCTGAGATCGTGCCATTGCACTCCAGCCTGGGTGACAGAGTGAGACTCCATCTCAAAAAAAAAAAAAAAAAAAATTCATGGTCCTGCAATTTCATTTCTAGGTATCTATCCCAAATAATTGAAAACAGGAATTCAAACAGATAGTTGTACACCCACTGGGTTCATAGCAGCATTATTCACAATAGCCAAAAGGTGAAAACAACCCAGATGTTCATCCACAGATGAATGGATAAACAAAGTGTGGTATATACATACAATGAAATAGTATTCTGCCCTAAAAATGAAGGAAATTCTGCTATATGCTACAACATAGATGAACCTTGAAAACACTATGCTAAGTGAAATAAGCTAGTCCCAAAAGGACAAATACTGTATGATTCCACTTACACGAGGTACTTACTAAAAGTAGTCAAATTCATAGAGATAGAAACTAGAATGGTGGTTGCTAGAGGGTAGGGGAAGAGTGGGGAACTGGGAGTTATTGTTCAATGGGAACAGTGTCAGTTTTGCAAGATGAAAAAAGTTCTGGGGGTGGATGTTAGTGATGGTAGCACACAGTGGGAATGTACTTAATGCCACTGAACTGTATACTTAAAAATGGTAAATGTCATACTACATATATTTTACCACAATAACAAAACATTTTTAAAAAGATGTCTAGTTTTTAGAAATGATATGAGGGAGAGAGAAATAACAGAAAAAACTGAGACTGTAAGTGAAGGGAACAGACATTGCTTGATGTCTGAAAAATACGGTAATCCTCACACTATCCTCCCACATAGCCATCATTTTCTTAAACAGGGTGTCTGGTTTACTCTCCTGTCTCCACCTTTTTTCCCCAAAGTCTCTGTGTTTCAGGGACAGGAGCTGATGGCCTCATAGAGCCAGTCACAGACAAGATTGAAAAGTAGGGCCAGGCCAACTGGCTCACACCTGTACTCCCAGCACTTTGGGAGGCGAGGTGGGTGGACCACCTGAGGTCAGGAGATCGAGACCAGCCTGGCCAACATGGTGAAATCCTGTCTCTACTAAAAATAAAAAAAATAGCTGAGTGTGGTGGCATGTGCCTGCAGTACCAGCTACTTGGGAGGTTGAGGCAGGAGAATCACTTGGGAGGCAGAGGTTGCAGTGAGCTGAGATGATGCCACTGCACTCCAGGCTGGCCAACAGAGTGGGACTCCATCTCAAAAGAAGAAAGAAAGAAAGAAAAAGAAAGAAAGAGAGAGAAAGAAAGAAAGAAGAAAGAAGGAAGAAAGAAAGAAAGAAGAAAGAAGGAAGAAAGAAAGAAAGAAAAAAGAGAAAGAAAGAAAAAGGAAGGGAGGGAGGGAGGAAGGAAGGAAGGAAGGAAGGGAGAGGGAGTGAGGGAGGGAAGATTGAGAAGTAGGGAGAGCTACCCTTCCATGCGAGTCAGCTAGGCTTGGGTTGCTCCCCCAGGGAAAGTTCCATACTTGTCCTGTCTTTCTCTCTTCCTAACCAGACCTAACCAGTAAGCAGCTCTTCTCATTTTTCTGATGAGAAAACTAAGTCCCACAGGAGAAAGTGGAGCATGTACACCGACCAAGGGAAGGAGGCAGGAGGAAGGGGCTGACACTTCCCACACAGACCTCTGGTTCTTCCAGTCCGTCCTGCTGATTTTCACCGCAGCCCAGGCACTCCCCATAGCTACCTAGAAGTCAGCTTTGTCTTGGGAAACACTCCCAGAGTGCTCTTGTAGAACTCAGCAGAAGCTCTTCGTGGAACATCACTTGGACGAAGGCCAATAGTCGCCTTCATCAGAAGTTAAAAATACCAACGGTCATTTATAAACACGTTCTTCACTCAACATAGCAGATGTTAGTTTGCAAACACAGCCTTTTAAAGACAGACAAGGCCAGATTACTCCTCCCCCAACTCCAAAAAGCAGGTAAAAGTATTTTAAACAAGTTATTTCTGCCAATTACCTGTCTGATTTGTTGGTTCACTTGTTTATATGTTATCTATCCCCCAAGGAGTATTTTTGTGGCTTGCAGAAATGTGCACAGTAAAACAGGATTTTTTAAATTTTATTTTTATTTTTTTTTTAGAAAAGAGAGAGAACATCATCACAATGAAGAAAGCCTGGTGCAGTAAATCAATGTGGTGCCAGGGATGACTTGCGTATATACAACGTTTGCCATGGAGTCCTGTGCTCTTTGCAGAGGTGAGATTCAGGTTTGACTCTGAACTTCTCAGCAGCTGAAACCAAAGTAGACAATGGCATCAATAACAAGAGCCACACAATCATTAGAATAAAAAAATCCCAGCTATCAGGAGAAACAGAAACTTTCCAGGAACTTCTGTTCTTATCACTCCCAGGAGGCCCTTGTGTGATATAAAAGGGACAATACCTTCAAAATCACTCCTGCAATAAAAACAATAGGTGGTTTCAAGAGGTTCATTCTGAGTGTGTCTCTCAAAGGAGTAACCAAGATGTAAAGGTAATTAAGGAATCTCCAGGAATGGCCAGGAAAGTGCCGTCAGGGTACATAGCTCCCAGACAACCAGACATTGCTCAAAGACAATGTTTTAGGTCATCAAATGGATTGCAAACAGTGCAATACTCCCTGGCTATTATTTTCCACAGCAACACCTTTGACAAGAAGTACCTCACTTTGCCTCAGGGACTTGTCTATGAAACGCTGTGCCAACTCCTTACCTAGATCGCGTCCCTGGGTCTTGCAAGCCTTAAATTCAGCTTTTGTGAGCTAGTTCCTTTCTTGCACATTGTATTGGCTCAGGCTCCTGCATAGTCTGTGAGGCAAACCCCCTGAACTGCATAGTTGTCTTGGAACTGGCAGTCTTGCAATGCTTTGATCATACTGTCAACTAAGATATTCAAAGACACTGCTCAGAGAAGGCTCAGCCTCTCTGTCTCTTGACAAAGAGATTTGTGCCAATGTCAAGTCTACTTTCTCTAGTAGGCCCTGAATTGCTTTGTTATCTTCCCAGCCGTGGAAGTGATAAGATTTGGAACCAGAGCAGATATGTTTACAGGAGTGGAAAACCATAGCAATTTTTTCTTCTGCCACCTTCATTAACGTGAACAAAAACGTTTTCATGCAAAATTCAGAACAGAAACCATTTTTTTTGTTTTCTAATTTTGTTTAATCAGCGTTTTGTAGATCAGTAGTCATTAAGAAAAGTTCAATGTGAGGCCAGACTTGGGCATTTTGTTCTGCCCTGCACACTTGCTGTTTTGAAGGGCCTGATCCTACATCGCCTATGGGGCTCTGAGCGGTGGGGGGAGAATGACCAGACACCACCCATTACCGGGAGGATCTGAAGCAAAAGATTCTCTAGGGGCCGGGCACAATCAAAGCGGAACATCTTCTTAAAAGGACCCTGATCTTAAAAAGCTTGGCTGGAGAAGACTGATCAACAGGTATTAATTTGTCTTTGGGCCTTCCGAGGGTTGAAATGAGGGTCTTAAAGGGGCCATTGCCTCTTCTACAACAGATACTGGGTTGAATCAAAGAGCATATAACTGGCTACCAGCAAATGCGATGGCTCCCATCCCACCCCTCACAAGGGGCATGGGAATCGCATTGTTGGTTCCACTTGGCCCCCTTAAAGCAGCACTTTCACATGGGACCCACCTTTTGTGCTTTGGGTGGTCAGGAGCAGGTTGTGCAAAGGGGTCTGTACCATGACTTTCCTCAGCTGTCTGCATGGGCCCATCATGTAGACATTTTTATTGTGGTGACTTCACAAAATCACCAAGTTTGAAGAAAAAACACTTATAGTTTGAACAAATGAAAATTCTGGCACATTAAAAAATTCATCTGTAGGCGCAAGCTTCAATATACAGGCATCCCTTGAAGATATTGAGGGTTCAGTTCCAGACCACCACAACAAGGCAAATATCACACTAAAGCCAGTCACATGAATTTTTTGGTTTCCCAGCACACATGAAAATTATGTTTACACTATACTGTAGTCTATTAAGTGTGCAGTAACATTATGTCTGAAAAACCAGGCTGGGCCCAGTTGCTTACACCTGTAATCCTAATACTGTGGGAGGCCAAAGTGGGAGAATCACTTGAGCCCAGGAGTTTGAGGCTGCTGTGAGCTATGATTGTGGTTCTGTACTCCAGCCTGGATGAGAGTGAGTTGCCCTGTCTACAAAAGATACAAAAAGTTAGCTGCGTGTGGTGGTGCGCACCTGTAGTCCTAGCTACTCAGGAGGCTGAGACAGGAGGATCGCTTGAGCCCAGGAGTTCAAGGCTGCAGTGAGCTATGATCATGCCACTGCCTTCCAGCCTGGGCAACAGAGCAAGACCCCATCTCTAAAAAAAAAAAAAGTACATATCTTAAAAATATTTTATTGTTAAGATGCTAATGATCATCTGAGCCTTCAGTGAGTTGTAATCTTTGCAGGTGGAGGGTCTTGCCTTGTGTTGATAGCTGCTGACTGATCAGGGTGGTGGCTGCTACAAGCTGGGGAGGCTGTGGCAATTTTTAAAAATAAAACAACAATGAAGTTTGCCAGATCAATTGACTCTTCCTTTCATGACGGATTTCCCTGTGGCATGCGATGCTGTTTGATAGCATTTTACCCACAGTAGAACTTCTTTCAAAATTGGAGTCAATCCTCTCAAACTCTGTCATTGTTTTATCAACTAAGTTTATGTCATATTTCAAATCCTGTGTTGTTATTTCAACAATGTTCACACCGTCTTCACCAGAATTAGATTCTATTCCAAGAAACCACTTTTTTTGCTCAACCATAAGAAGCAACTTCTGATCTGTTCAAATTTTATCATGAGATTTTAGCAGTTTAGTCACATTTTCAGGCTTTTAATTCTGGTTCTCTTGCTGTTTCCTCCATGTCTGCAGTGACTTCCTCTTTTGAAGTCTTAAATCCCTCAAAGCCATCCATGAGGGTTGGAATCAACTTCTTCCAAACTCTTGTTCATGTTGCTATTTTGACCTCCTTCCACAAATGTCCTCAATGACATCTAGAAAGGTGAATCCTTTCTAGAGGTTTTCAATTTACTTTGCCCAGATCCATCAGAGGAATCACTGTCTATGACAGCTATACTCTTACAAAATGTCTTTCTTAAATAACAAGACTTGAAAGTTGAAATTACTCCTTGATCCATGGGTGCAGAATGGATGTTGTGTTGACAGTCATTAAAACAATATGAACCTCCTTGTATATCTCCATCAGAGCTCCTGAGTGACCAGATGCATTGTCAATGAGCAGTAAAAAATATTTTGAAAGAATCTTTTTTATTATTCTGAGCAGTATGTCTCAACAGTGGGCTGAAAACATTTAGTAAACCATGCTGTAAGCAGATGTGCTGCCATCCAGGCTTTGTTGTTCTATTTACACAGCACAGGCAGAGTTGATTTCACATAATTCTTCAGAGCCCCAGGATTTTTGAAATAGTAAAAGAACATTGGCTTGTCTCCAGCTGCATTAGCCCCTAACAAGAGAGTCAGCCAGTCCTTGGAAGTTTTGAAGGCAGGCATTGATTTCTCTCTAGCTATGAAAATCGTGAATGGCATCTTCTTCCAAGAGAAGACTGTTTCATCTATAACACAGTTCTGTAGTTTAGTGTAGCCACCTTCGTCAATTACCTTAACTAGGTCTTCTGGGTACTTTGCTGCAGCTTCTACAGCACTTGCTGCTTCACCTTGCACTTTTATGTTCTGGAGGAAATTCCTTTCCTTAAACCTCAGGAACCAAACTCTGCTAACTTCAAACTTTTCTTCTGCAATTTCCTTACCTCTCTCAGGCTTCATAAAATTAAAGAGAGTTAGGGGTTGCTCTGGATTAGGCTTTGGTTTAAGGGAATATTGTGGCTGGTTTGATCATCTCTCCAGACCACTCCAGCTTTCTCCTTATCAACAATAAGACCGTTTTGTTTTCTTATCATTCATATGTTCACTGGAGCAGCACTTTTAATTTCCTTCAGAACTTTTCCTTTGTATTTACAACTTAGCTGTTTGGCCAAGAGGCCTAGATTTTGGCTCATCACGCCTTCCTCACTAAGCTTCATTTTTAGCTTTTGATTTGGAGTGAGAGACATGCAACTCTCCTGAATCTTTCACTCAAACACTTTTTAGGCCATTATAGGATATTACTTGGACGATTTTCTTTTTCTCTTCTTCTTTTTCTTTTCTTTCATTTTTATTTTTATTTTATTTTACTTTTTATACAGGGTCTGGCTCTGTCCCTCAGGCTGGAGTGCAGTGGTGTTATCATAGCTCACTGCAGCCTTGAACTCCTGGGCTCAAGTGATCCTCCTGCCCCAGCCTCCTGTGAAGCTGGGACTACAGGTGTGCACTACCATGCCTGGCTAATTAAAAAAAAAACTTTGGCTGGGTGCCGTGACTCACACCTGTAACCCCAGCATTTTGAGAGGCTGAGGTGGGCGGATCACTTGAGGTCAGGAGTTCAAGACCAGCCTGGCCAACATGGTGATATCCCGTCTCTACTAAAAATAAAATTAAAAAAAAAAATAGCTGGATGTGGTGGTGCGTGCCTGTAATCCCAGGAGACTGGGAGACTGAGGCAGGGGAATTGCCTGAACCTGGGAAGCGGAGGTTGCAGTGAGCCAAGATCACACCACTATACTCCAGCCTAGGTGATAGAGCGAGACTCCATAAAAAAAATTTTTTTTTTTTTTGTTTTTTGTAGAGACGGGGGTCTCACTATGTTGCCCAGGCTGGTCTTGAACTCCTGGGCTCAAGTGATTCCCCCACCTCAGCCTCTCAAAGTGCTGGGATTATAGGTGAGAGCCACTAATTGGCCTAATTTCAGTGTTGTTTTGTCTCAGATAATAAGGAGGCCTGGTGAGGGGGAGAAGGATGGGAAATGGCAAGTTGGTAAAGCAGTTAGAAAATAAACATTTATTGATTAAGTTTGCCATCTTGTATAGGTGTGGTTCATGGTGCCCCCCCATGGTGCCCCCCAAAAAATCACGAGACAGATTGTAAGAATTAGCAAAATGTGACACGAAGACACAAAGTGACTACATGCTGTTGAAAAAATGGCGCCAACAGACTTGCTCAATCCAGCTTGCCACAAACCTGCAATTTGTAAAAAACACATTATCTCCAAAGTGCAATAAAAAAGGCATGCCTGTATGTAAACTGTTACAACTCTGGTGAATTTGCTTGATAAAAAAGTGTACTTTTTAAGCATTCTATACCACTGTAGTAAACAATAATGTATAGTTGCAAATAGCTAGAAGGAGAATGTTGAATGATTGAATAATCCCAATACAAAGAAATAATAGGGTAAGATAATTAGCCTAATCTGATCACAATGCATTGTATATATCAAAATATCACTATGTACCCCATAAATATGTACAATTATTATATGTTGATTTTAAAAAGTTTACTTTTTAAAATATGATATGTGAATTTAATTTCCTAAGAAATTCTGACACTTGCTGTTCAACCCACAGGCTCCCCTGTTACAAAAACCTTCTAGTGATTTCTATTGTGGTTGTCTTGTCCATCCTTCTTCCTACTGCTCTGCATCCCATTCCTTGAGCATGGCACTTCTCAAGGCTTATAGAGAGAAGCCTCACACCTTGCAACCCATATGGGTTGGATTATATTGCCTGAGTTGAATTAAATAAGTGATAGAACATTCTTGGAGGTTTTGTGTATGTGTGCTTGCCTAGCTGAGGGATGGGTCACCTTTTCCTTCTCAGAACGTAGTAAATACCTAGATCCCTCTAGGATGGAAGATGGCGAGGTAGAGAGAACTATACGAGGCCGCCTGCCCAGCTTGTAGATGGGCCCACCTTCCAGTGCAGGGTAATGTGTGTGAATGGGCTGTGCAGGTCCCCAGAACTGGAGGAGCTGAATGAGGGGATGGAGGCTGCAAAACCTACATAAGACAGAACAGAACTACCCACCCAGGGAAGGAGAGGGCAGCCTCAGCCCCTGGGCTTTGAGGGAGGCAGCAGCTCCTGTCATTTCAGAGCATTTTCTTCATTCACCCCTTCCTGTGGGTAGGAAAAAGAGTTACCTAGTAGACTTGATCTCAAGTCAGTAATATGTCATGCTAAACCTAGGGACTTCCAGATTGGGTGGCAAAGGTCATTCTGGACACTTCTTCGCATGCTACTTCCATCCAATGAGGCCAGTCTGACTTCAGAAATCCATACCCTTTGCTTTTTGTTAACACAAATGTTTCCTTAACCTGAATCCTCTGCTTATTGGCTGTGATTAGACTTGCCTTTTAAAAAAACCTTTATGTTTTGAGCTCATTGAGATTCACATGCAATTATGGGATTCCACATGGCTTTCACCCAGTTTCATCCAATGGTAACATCTTGCATAATTATAGAATAATATCACAACCAGAAAATGGATATTGGTACAATTGATCCATCTTAGATTTTACCAGTTTTTCATGCACTCATCTGTGTGTGTGTGTGTGTGTGTGTGTATGTGTGTGAGTGTGTGTGTTTTATTGTATGCAGTGTTGTCACATGTGTAGGTTCAGGTGACCACGATCACAGTCAAGATACCAAACAGTTCCATCACAAGTGTCCCTCTTGGGTTGTTTTTTTTTTTTTTTTTTGAGACAGAGTCTCACTCTGTTGCCCAGGCTGGTCTCTAACTCCTGACCTCAAGTGATCCACCAGCCTTAGCCTCTCAAAGTGCTGGGATTATAGTCCTGAGCCACTGCGCCTGGCCTCTTGTTGCTTTTTTGTAACTGTATCTACATCCTCCCTCCACTCTTACCCCTGGCAACCACTCATCTTTTCCCCATTTCTATAATTTTGTCATTTTAAGAATGTTACATGAATAGAATCACACAGTATATAATCTTTTGTGATTGGCTTTTTTCCACTCAGCATAATTCCCTGGAGAAGTTGTGTGTATCAACAATAATTCCTTTCTTTTTATTGCTGAGTAGTATACCACATGGTATCGACGTACCACAGTTTGACCATTCATCCACTGAAGGAAATCTGGATTGTTTCCAGTTTGGAGGTACAAATTATGCTGCTACAAGCATTCCTGTGTAGGATTTTGTGTGAATATATGTATTTATTTCAGTGCAATAAGTGCTCAAGAGTGCAGTTGCTGGGTTGTGCAGTAGTTGTGTGTTTAGTTTTTCCAGAAACTACTAAACTATTTTCCATAGTGGCTGTACCATTTTACATTTCCACCAGCAATGTATGTGTGATCTAGTTAACTGCATCCTCATCAGCATTTGGTGTTGACCCTGTTTTTTATGTTAGCTGTTCTGTAGTTGTGTAGCAATATTGCAATGTGATTTTCATTTGCACTTCCCCAGTGGCTAATAATGTTGAACATCTTTTCATGTGTTTATTGACCATCTGTATATCTTCTTCAGTGAAATATCTCTTCATATCTTTTGCTCATTTTTCTAATTAGATTGACATTTTCTTGTTGACTTTTGAAAGTTCTTTATATTTTCTGGATATTAGTCCTCCATCAGATACGTGATTTGCAAATCTTCTCACAGTCTATAGCTTGTCTTTTTATCTTATTTTTTTCCAGCATTTTTTCTATTTTTATTTTTATTTTTTGAGATGGAGTCTTGCTCTGTTGCCCAGGCTGGAGTGCAGTGGTGCAATCTTGGCTCACTGCAAACTCAGCCTTCTGGGTTCAAGTGATTCTCCCACCTCAGCCTCCTGGGTATCTGGAATTACAGGAACCTGCCACTATGCCTAGATAATTTTTGTATTTTTAGTGGAAATGGGGTTTTGCCATGTTGGCCAGGCTGGTCTTGAACTCCTGACCTCAGGTGATCCTCCTGCCTTAGCCTCCCAAAGTGCTGGGATTACAGGCATAAGCCACCATGCCCAGCCTGCATTTTTTCTTTTTTTTTAAATTTTAGATTCAGGGGTACATGTGCAGTTTTGTAACCTGGTCAGATTGTGTTAAGCTGAGGTTTAGGGTATGAATGATCCTATCACCCTGGTACTGAGTATAGTACCCAGTAGTTAGTTTTTCATCCCTTGCCCCGCTTCCTCCCTTCCCTGTCTAGTAATCCCCAGTTTCTATTATTGTCATCTTTATGCCCATGAGTACCCCATGTTTGGCTCCCACTTATAAGTGAGAATATGTGGTATTTGGTTTTCTGTTTCTGCACTAATTCACCTAGGATAATGGCCCCCAGCTGAATCCATGTTGTTGTAAATGACATGATTGAGTAAGAACATCCTGCATTCCTACGCAAAGAGTTCAATGGCAATATATCCTACAACAATAAAGAAAAATGAGCAAAATTATCCTAAGTAAACTAAATAAGAAGACTTACCATGAACTGGGAAACTGTTGAAACCAAGCTGATATGTGGTTGCTAGCTGATTCCAATAGAGGCTCAGAATTAGAATATTGATCCAGAGTTTTACATTATTCATCCCTCCCTCTTGTTTCTTCTGAGCAGCAGCCAGAGATCACTGGTTGGTTCACAGGAATAGGCAGAGTTAGTCTCAATTGCAGAAATAAACCTAAAAACAACTGATGAGACTAGAATCTAATAGGTTCTTGAAACAATTTTTTTCTCTCTCTACTTTCCCATTTTTACTAAAGACAAATCATAACAGGACTGATTTGTTTGCAAAAATAAGCTATCCCCAAAAGTATATTTCCTACCTAGTTATTACACACCAAATTTCTCTCATAATATGAAGCAATTTCTGAAATCCCCAAAAGTCAAAACCATCAGATAATGCAATGCAAAATAGAGCAGAGCCTTAGACTTTGAGAGGGGTCTATCTGCTTTCCATTCCTAGGGTTCCATGAGAAAAACAGAGATTTCCCCCAAAATGAGGTCTATGGAGCTTCCTCTGTTTTTCCCAAGGAGATCCAGCTGTTACAGCTTGAATATCCACTTTTAATTAAACTGACTTTTAAGCATAGCACTCTAAAAAAAAATTCTTTTAAATCTCTTATTACCTGACTTTATCCAAGCCAAATGGCCAATATTTCTGGGTTTTGAACTTTACCAAAGGTAACCTCCTAGGTGCTCAGAAAAGGAAAATTCCAGACAGTTTGTGGATGGGAAGAGAATCAACAAATGGTAAAGGTCACACAGATATCAAACCAGAAAGAACTCATCCCCTAAGCCAGGAATTGAACCCTGGACTCAGGCTGTCATTGTGAAAAGACAAAGCCTTAGTCACTAAGCTACAGCATTGGGCAGTTTCCATTGCTCTTCCTAGAAGAAGTCTAGAGCTTGCAAAGGCTTTTAACTGCTCAAGATAATTTTTAGGGCTAACTATGACATGAACTCCATGTTTCTTGTCTGCTGGATGATGGAGACCAAGAGAAAATACCACCATGTGGTTAAAAGGTCAAGCTCCCAAGGACATGAAACAAGACGAGAGGGAAACTTCATCCAGCTTTTTCTGTTTCAGGGACCTGCAGCAAAGTTTGTTACTGAGGTCCTAAGCCCATGTTCTATCCTAAGGTACTCCTCTTTATGACAGACCGATACAGAAACACAAATTTATAGCACAAAGTATACCAGGTTTGCTATAGTCGCCACTCCACTCAGCACCCAAAATGGAACTGGCAAGGCTCAAACTTGCTCCTGGATGGACCCTGTCAGCTTTCATCCAACCTCTGACCAAGAGTTTCAACATGATGTTTCTGGGCAAGATGATCGCCCTGAATAACAGAAAAGATAAGAAAGAGAAAGGAGAGAAAGGAAGAAAAGCATTGCCGGTAGCAGGGTGGGGAGGCAAAGAGGTCAGGGAGGCCAGAAAAAGACCCATTGCAGCGACACTGAATCAAAAGTTTAGGTGGCCGCTTGTCAGTTGTGAAGGGATCTTTTCCAGCAGCTCCATCAGCTCTCAAGTTTCCCCTTTTGGGGAGGAAAAGACTCTTATGTGTCATGATCCTGTACATGTCTAATCCTGTTACGCACAGCCATCAGCAAAGAGTGCAAGGCAAATTAATCCAAAGAGAATAATGGTTAACATCCTGTAATGCCAAATCCATTTTTAGCCAAGTGGGACTTTACTGACAGGGGCCTCTAACCCCCTAAATCTTAGGAAGAACTCTAACCTTCCTAAGTTGCGTCTCAAACCCAAGTCCGGTCAACCATCCTTACCTTTTATTAAGAGGGTCCTTTAACCCACACTGTCTTAGGACTGAGACTCTAACTCCTCTAAGTTGGGCCTCTAACCCAATCCCATCTTTACCCGGGTAAAATGTACCCCAACACTTACCCAAAGTTGGCCCATTGGTGCTGCAGTCTATTTCCTTAGGGTCAGGGGTCTCTTCAGTATTGTCCCTTCATGGTCACCAGGAAGATGTTACCAGAAAAGGGTCCCAATCCAGACCCTACAAGAAGGTTCTTGGATCTCACACAAGAAAGAATTACAGTTGAATCCATAAAGTGAAAGCGAGTTTATTAAGAAAGTAAGGGAATAAAGAATGGCTACTCCATAGGCAGAGCAGCAGCATGGGCTGTTCCACTGTTGATACTTATGGTTATTTCTTGATTATGTGTTAAACAAAGGGTGGATTATTCACGAGTTTTCCAGGAAAGGGGTGGGCAATTCCTGGAACTGAGGGTTCCTCCCCCTTTTAGACCATATAGGGTAACTTCCTGACATTGCCATGGCACTTGTAAACTGTCATGGCACTGGTGGGAGTGTCTTTTAGCATGCTAATACATTATAATTAGCGTATAATGAGCAGTGAGGACGGCCAGAGGTCACTTTCATCACCATCTTGGTGTTGGTGGGTTTAGGCTGGCTTCTTTACCTGGTGCTATTTTATCAGCAAGGCCTTTGTGACCTATATCTTGTGCCGACCTTCTATCTCATCCTGTGACTTAGAATGCCTAACCTCCTGGAAATGCAGCCCAGTAGGTCTCAGCCTTATTTTACCCAGTTCTTATTCGAGATGGAGTTGCTCTGGTTCAAACATCTCTGACAGAAAGACTACGGTAGGAAAGGGAATGGAAAAAATTGATGTGCATACTTGCCACTAGGTGAAGTAACAATGTTGGGCTGTCATGTGATTCTGCAGAGTGAGGGTGGTCAGGAGTAAAACAGTGTTCAGGTGGGTGTTTGGGGAAGTTGTAGGCAGCTGGTGATTAGATTTCTCGGAAGACGTGGTCTCCCTTCAGGTAGCCTCACAGACTACAGCGGTACCAACACCTCTTGTGGGGCACCCTAACTTCTCCAGGACATGACCAAACTTGGCATTTCATGGAAGAGAAATACCAGGCCTGCCTCAAGTACTCTCCTTACTGCATTTGCCCCTCTTCAGCTTCCCTGTGAAGCTGGAATGTAACTACTTAAGTACTCAAGAGGCCTTCCACAAGAAACACAAAAGCTTTGCATTCCAGCTCTTGGTTCTCTGCCACATGACTGTCTCTAAGAATTTCTATGTTATTTTTGGAATGGAAAAACCAGACACAGTATGGCTTCTTTGAAAAGACAAGGTGATTGCTCTCCAGAAGGTTTTCAGAAAATAAACACTCTAATGCTTCTGTTCAACAGGCATTTAAAATTCAAGAAGAATGAGGGCATGAGGAAAGAACTGTTTGGACACAGTTAATTCTCTGTATGTGCCTTATATTAGTGGTTGTAGTGGAATTTGGAGCAGAATATAATCAAACACATTAGCACTTATGTGGAAGGAGCAAACAATGAGATGGGCGATATGGCCCACTTTGAGATCTTTTGTTTAAAACAACAACAAAAAAAGAGCCACCTGGCTACTTTTTTAGCTCTGGAATTTTCCCCAGGTGGGCTATTAACATGACAGAGTGGAGGAAGGGAATATCTAGCTGGTGATGGTTTATTTTCTGTCTTCTTTATAGATCATTTCGGTGGGGCCTGTAACATATATTAAGCCATGCGCTTCTTTTACAGCTTTTTAACATGATCTTCACACATACTTTCCTGACTGAATGGTGCCCCACCCTCACCAAAATATGTGTTCACATCTGAATCCCTAAAACCTGTGAATGTAACCTTATTTGGAAAAGGATCTTTGCAGAGGTAATTAAGTTAAGGTTCTTGAGATAAGATCATCCTGGATTACCTGTGTGGACCATAAATCCAACAGGTATCCTTACAAGAGACAGAAGAGAAGACACAGGCACACAGAGGAGAAGGTCATGTGGAGATAAAGGCAGAGATTGGAGTGATGCAGCTACAAGCCGAGGAACACCTAGCACCACCAGAAGCTGGAAGAGGCAAGAATGGGTTCACCCCTACAGCCTTGGGGGGGAGCATGGCCTCGCCAACACCTTGATTTCATATTTCTGGCCTACAGAACTGTGAGAAAATATATTTCTGTTCTTGGAAGTCACGAAGTTTGTAGTAATTTATTATAAAGGCCCTAGGAAATAGATGTACATATTAACTTCTATGCTGTTGTCAAGAAAATTTAGGAGAGATGAGGATAGTGTTTACAATGAAGCCAGCATTAGATATAGGTCCCTGTGCCTTCTTCAGGAAGGAATATTTATGTCAGGACACTAACAGTATAGACAAAGTCTTAGCTTTTTATGGCCAAGAGGATCCTTTGACACCTGACCCAGGCCTCACATTTTACCGATGTGGACTCTGAGATCCGGAGAGGAAAACTGCTCTACTTCAGGCCACATAGGCAGCTAGTGGCAGGGACAAGAATAGAGGTCAGCTCTTCTGATTCTCCCTCCACCAGACTCCTTTTGCACACAGTGAGCCACTCCACAGAACTTTGTTCACTTTTTCACACCACATCATTTCTGCAGGAGCTAACTGCCTCCGTTACACCGTATTCTTTCAGTTTTAAGTGACAGGCATCCATCAACATAGGTCAAACAATAAAGGAGTCAAGACAAGATGAGAGGTGATGGTGATTCATTCCCTGGTTTTTAAAGCATCAGCTCCAAAGTGATGTTTAACTGGCCAGATCAAGTCACATAACAATTTCCAACATCAAGAGGGTGGAGATGTGTGGTTTTACAATGTCCCCACAAGGAGTATGTTTGGTAAAAGAAAAGACTGAGTATCGCTTGCCTTTGGGTAGAGGAAGTGGGAGAAAGGGAGAGAGGGGTAGGATGGATACTTTTTGTTGACTTCTCTTACAAAGGAGGGTTATGGGTACAAACCCTTTGAATTTTTATTTGAAATTAAAAACAAAATTGTATTGTTTTTTAGGGTTGCCCAGGCTGGAGTGTGGTTGCTATTCATGGGTGAGATCATCAAAGTGCAGCCTAAAGCTCTTAGGCTCAAGTGATCCTCCTGCCTCAGCCTCCCAAGTTACTGGGATTACAGGCATGTACCACCACGCTTGGCTTCTAAACATTTGTATTGTTGTAAAATATAACATAAAATTTACCATCTTAACCATTTTAAGTGTACAGTTCAGTAGTATTCAGTACATTCATATTATTGTGTAATCAATATCCAGAACTCTTTCATCTTGCAAAACTCAAATTCTAAATCTGTTTAATAACAGCTCCCGCTTCCCCCACCTTAGATCTTGGTAACCACTATTTTACTTTCTGTTTCTATGAATTTGACTACTCTAGGTATCACATATAAGTAGAATCATACAATATTTGTCCTTTTGTGACTGGCTTATTTCACTTAGTATAAGGACTTCATCTATGTTGTAGCATATGTCAGAATTCTCTTTCTGCAATCAATAGGCCTTTTTTTCTTTTTTGGGGGTCTCACTCTCTCACCCAGGCTGGAGTGCAGTGGCACAATCTTGGCCCACTGCAATCTTCACCTCCCAGGCTCAAGTGATTCTCTCATCTCAGCCTTCCCGAGTAGCTGGGACTACAGGCAGATCCACAATGGCCAGCTAATTTTTTGTATTTTTTGTAGAGACAGGGTTTGGCCATGTTGCCGAGGCTGGTCTCAAACTCCTGAGCTCAAGTGATCCACCCACCTTGGCTTCCCAGAGTGCTGGGATTACAGGTGTGAGCCACCGTGCCTGGTCTCAATAGGTCTTTTAAGGCTCTGAAGAGACTCCATAATATTTGCCCTTCTTATCTGTGACTATTAACAGTTTTTCTTTCTGCAGAATTTCTCAAGACTAATCATTATTAACAACTTGGTGACATTGACTACAATGCACCTCCTCCTCTGTGAGCTGAGGTCTTCCTGCTATACAACAATACATGAATTTATTATGATGTCTGAGAATACTGAAATGTTTTTGTGGCCAGAGGCATAAATCCAAATCAAAGTAGATAGAAAGGAAGAATTTGTTGGAAAGATACTGAGATATTCAATGTAATTAAAGGAAGAATTGAACAACTTGACTGCAGGAAGTGTGATGTGCAGCTGGAACAGCTGGAACCAGGACTTGAAGGCCACCAGGACACACACACCTTCTCTCTCTCAATCTTTTTTTCTCTTTCTCTGAGTCTTACCTCTATTTCTCTCTGCCCGTCAGCTTCATTCTCCATACAGAGTGGATTCCTCCACACAGCCCAAGAAAAAGCCAGAGACAGCTTACAAGACCTTAGACTGCAAGGTCTCACTACCAGAGAAAACGAACCCTTTTTCCCAGAGTCAATTTGAAGAATTCGAAGCAAGGACTCTGATTGGCCAGCTAGGGCCATGAGCCCTTCTGAATTGTTGAGCTTTATGGTAACTTTGAGGGAGGGTTTTACTTGGAGAAAAGACTCTTCAGAAGTTTACTTTTGGTTGAAGCACATTGTTTGCAATTTATTATTGCTCTAGTTCTTACAGAACTTTACATTCTATTTATTAATGTAGCAATTGTTAACAGTCCCTTTTTAAGGAACATTTAAATATTGTTTGGTCTGTTTAAAGACTCAGTTAATCAAACTGCTTCAATACTTCAAACATAATCAATTTGATATATTTTATATTATTCTTAAATATTTTAATTGCTCAATAAAACAAAAAAATCTTCCTGAGCACTTAAATAGCTAGTATAAATACAATAAATCAACCTTGTAAATAAGGGGAATCTGAAGTTCTCTTAGATGTTCTAATACTATGAATGAACTTGGTAGGATTTCAACATAGTACCATAAGTCTAACTTCATAATTCAATTGTATTTTTAAATCAGAATTAAAAGACTGTCATACTACTAGGTTAAACTCTCATCAATATTACAAACACAAATGATTCCAAATATATAGGGTCTTTCCAAACACCAAAATGTTAATATCATGGTTTTGATTCCCTTGAACTTTTTAATACCTAATTTTTAATATTCCCAAAATTAAAACCTGTATCCAGTAAGGAATACTAGTAGAACTCCAGGGATCTCAGAAGACTTGATTCTAAATTTTCCTAGGGTTAAAAGATGTTCACTCACCAATGTAATTTTATTTATCCTAAGATGTACCTTATTTTTCTCTCACATTTTTATACCTCTGAAATAGGGATGTATCTTATACTCAATGGCACCTCACAGTTAATTGACACCAGTTAGTCTTTCTTAGTGATACCCCAAATAATGGTGTCTTAAATTAGATGAGATATGGTACCAATTCAGTTAAGGAGTGTATTAGTCTGTTCTCAGAGTGCTATAAAGAACTACCCAAGACTGGGTAATTTATAAAGAAAAGAGGTTTAATTGACTCACAATTCCACAGGCTGTACAGCAGGCATGGCTGGGAAGGCCTGTGGAAATTTACAATTGTATTGAAAGGGTGAAGGGGAAGCAAGCCCATCTTTGCATGGCAGTAAGAGAGAGAGAGAGAGAGAGAGAGAGAGAGAGAGAAGGGGGAAGTGCTACACAGTCAGATGAGAACTTATTCACTATCACAAGAACAGTAAGGGGGAAATCCACCCCCAGGATCCAATCACCTCCCACCAGACCCTTCCTCCAATACTGAAGATGAATCTCATAATTCATCATGAGATTTGGGTGGTGATACAGAGCCAAACCATATCATTCCCTCCCATACCCTCCCAAATTTTGTGTCCTTCTCACATTTCAAAACACAATCATGCCTTTCCAAGAATCCCCCAAATCTTAACTCATACCAGTTTTAACTCAAAATTCCAAGTTCAAAGTCTCATTTGAGACAAGGCAAGTCCCTTCCACCGATGAGCCTGTAAAATCAAGAGCAAGTTAGTTACTTCCAAGATGCAATGTGGGTACAGGCATTGAGTAAATGCTCCTGCTCCAAAAGGGAGAAACCAGCCAAAACAAAGGGTCTGCAGGCTCCATGCAAGTCCATGTCTCACATCCAGGGCATGCTGATGCAAAGGTTGGGCTCCCAAGGCCTTGAGCAGCTCTGCCCCTGTGGCTTTACAAGGTACAGCCCCCATGGCTGCTTTCATGAGCTGGCATTGAGTGTCTTTGGCTTTTCCAGGGGCATGTTGCAAGCTGTTGGTGGATCGACCATTCTGAGGTCTGGAGGATGGTGTGCCTCTTCTCACGGCTCCAATAGGCAGTGCCCCAGTGGGGACTCTGTGTGGGGGCTCCAACCCAACATTTGCCCTCTGCACTGACCTAGTAGAGGTTCGTCATGAGGGCTCCACCCCTGCAGCAGACTTCTGCCTCGACATCCAGGCATTTTTATACATCCTCTGAAATCTAGGTGGAGGTTTTCAAACCTCAACTCTTGCCTTCTGTGCATCTGTAGCTCCAACACCATGTGGAAGCCACCAAGTCTTGGGGCTTGCACCCTCTGAAGCAATGGCCTGAGCTGTACCTTGGCCCTTTTAGTCACAGCTGGAGCTGGAGTGGCTGGGATGCAGGGCACCATGTCCCAAGATTGTACAAAGCAGCTGGGCCCTGGGCCTGACCCATGAAACCATTTTTCCCTCCTAGGCCCCCAGGCCTGTGATGGGAGGGGCTGTTGCAAAGGTCTCTTAAATGCCCTGGAGGCCTTTTCCCCATTGTCTTGGCCATTAACATTTGGCTCTTCTTTACTGATGCAAATTTCTGCAGCCTTGAATTCCTCCCCAGGAAATGGATTTTTCTTTTCTCCTCCATGGTTAGGCTGCAAATTTTCCAAACTTTTATGCTCTGCTTCCCTTTTAAATATAAGTTCTAGTTTCAGGTCATTTATTTGTTTATGCAAATGAGCATAGGCTTTTAGAAGCAGCCAGGCAACATCATAACTACTTCGTTGCTTAGAAATTTATCCTACCAGATACGCTAAATCATCTCTCTCAACTTCAAAGTTCCACAGATTTCTACAGCAAAGGCACAATGCCACCAGTCTCTTCGCTAAAGCATAGCAAGAGTGACCTTTACTCCAACTCACAATAAGTTCCTCATCTCCATCTGAGACCACCTCAGCCTGGACTTTACTGTCTATGTCACTATCAGCATTTTGATCATAACCATTCAACAAGTCTCTAGGAAGTTCCAAACTTTCCCTTATCTTCCTGTCTTCTTCTAATCCCTCCAAACTGTTCTAACCTCTGCCCATTTACCCAGTTCCAAAGTCACTTCCACATTTTCAGGTATCTTTACTGCAATGTCCCACTTCTCTGGTACCAATTTTCTGTATTAGTCTGTTCTGACATTGCTATAAGGAACTACCTGAAACTGGGTAATTTATAAAGAAAAGAGGTTTAATTGACTCACAGTTCTACAGACTATACAGGAGGCATAGCTGGGGAGGCCTCAGGAAACCTACAATCATGTTGGAAAGGGGAAGGGGAAGCAAGCCCATCTTCACATGGTGGCAGGAGAGAGAGAGAGAAAGAGAGTAGGGGGAAGAAGTGCTACACACTTTTAAACAACCACATCTCCTGAGAACTCACTCACTATCACAAGAACAGCAAGGAGGAAATCCACTCCCATGATCCAGTCACCTCCCACCAGGCTCCTCCTCCAATACTGAAGATCACAATTCAACATGAGATTTTCGTGGGGACAAAAAGCCAAACCGTATCAAGTGGGATTACTTAAATCTGGAAATAAAGGCTGAATCTGGAAATAAAGGGTGTGAGACCCGGAGCTATAGACATCCAGGCATTGACACCATGGAACTGTTGATGTTGGCTTCTTTGGTGTCTGTGATAGGGTTCAAAACTTAAAAAAAGAAATGTGAGTTGGGTAGACAACTAGCTAGATTCAGTTTATCCAAATACTTGAGTCACTGCTTACTCATGAAATCTACAAATCCCTCTCAAGAGGTCACTTGATTGGTTTTGCCCTTGCGTGGCTTTTTTTGTTTTGCTTTGTTTTGTTTTGTTTTGTTTTGAGACATCCTGTTGCCCAGGCTGGAGTGCAGTTGTGTATTCATAGTTCACTGCAGCCTCAAACTCCTGGGCTTAATGGATCCTCCTGCCTCAGCCTCCTAAATAGCTAGTACTACAGGCACAAGCTACCATGCCCATCTAATTTAAGAAAATTTTTTTTCTTAAAAATTTTTCCTTAAAAATTTTTTTAGCCTGTGTTGCCCAGGCTAGTCTCTAACTTCTGGTCCCAAAGGATCCTCCTGCCTCCGTGACGTTTATGTAAAATGAAAGTCATATCCAACTTTGAAATTGTTAGAAACCTATGATACCTAAACGTGCTTTTTATTTAACTTTAAAATTATTTGAATTTGATGGATTCTTCTATTCGTGCACGTTTTGGATATTTGGTGTTATCCTACTTTTTTCCCCAGGCATAAGTCATATATTTGAAGCTATGATAATTATTCTTCTTTCAAATATTTGTCATTGCTTAGCTAAAAAGCTTAGAAAAATATTTAAAGTGGTGATAACAGACATTCTAAACTTCTAAATTTAATGAAAACTGTTTTACATGCTCTTGAAGATGTTGAGATCAACAATAACATTAAGAAATTATGTCATTTGTTTTATTAAGATATTTTTTAAAAAATCAAGAATACATTTTGAACAGCTTTATTGAGATATAATTCACATAGTATACAACTGACCCATTTAAAGTCTACCAGTCAATGGTTTTTAGTATATTCACAGATACTCGCAACCATCACCGTAGTCAATTTTAGAACATTTTAATCATGTGAGAAGAAACCCTATACCCTTTACCTATATCCTGTTCCCCCCAGTCCTAAGTAACCAGTAGTATACTTTCTGTCTCTATAAAATTCACTTTTTCTGGACGTTTCATATAAATGGAATCATATAATATGTGGTCTTTTCATGACTGGCTGTTTTCATTTAGAGGAATGGATGTTAAATTTGATTAAAAAACTTTCTAGGAAATATGAAGAGAGATGTCCCACGTTTTGATTTGAACTTCTCTCACAGATTTACCCGATTTGAGTTCACAATGATGAGGTCATTGTGTTGGCACAAACCGACCTCTTATGGCCCACAAGAGAGATGCTAACAGGCCTTCTTGGGTCAGGTGCCTGCCCCAGATCCAATCTCTAGACAGAGAGGCAAAGTCAGTCAGGAACATGGTAGCCCTGACCAGGGCATGGTTGGGGCAGAGCAAAGAGTAATCCCAGGAAAGGGACAAACAGACAGAATTGAAGTTGTCTTCTTTAATTAAGCCATTCAAGGGCCCTCTGCCGTGCTTTCCTGAATCATGATGAAATTACAAGCAAAATATTGCTGTGATATATGGGGAAAGGGACTGAATTAAAAGTCAGAAAGCCTAGGTTTTTGCTTTGGTTTTGCAGTTTGACTTTAAGAAAGTCACTTTGTCACACTTTTAATCCCAGCAACTTGGGAGGCCAGGGTGGGTGGATCACTTGATCCCAGGAGTTGGGGACCAGCCTGGGTGACATGGCAAAACCTCATCTCTACAAGAAAAATGCAAAAATTAGCCTGGCATGGTGGCATGCATGTGCCTTTAGCCCCACCTACTTGGGAGGCTGAGGTGGGAGGATCGCTTGAGCCCTAGGAAGTTGAGGCTGCAGTGAGCCATGATCACGCCACTGCACTCCAGCTGGACAACAGAGCAAGACCCTGTCTTAAAAAAGAAAAAAGTTGCTTTGTATCTCTGAACCTCAAGTTCTTCACCTTTACATGGGTAAAAATTAACTGCCTGCCATGGTTGTTGCTGGTGTTAGATGAGATAATGTGCCTGAAGTCGCATAAGACATTAACATTAGAAGACATTAAGTGTCCAGTAACTATCTTCTCTCTCCCTCTGATTCTTTAATGCCCTCCATGGTTTCTCCACAGGCCACTGCTCTCTGGAGCGGTTTCAGATTTAACTCTTGGTTAAGTCCACTCAGCATTTCTACCCTTCCACTTTGTGCTGCCATTGGGGTCTCTGTTTACAAGGTCTATGGTTAATGGCCTTATTTTAAAATTCAATTCCTCAGGATCTTCAGAGGTTTTCCCCAGACTGCATCCACCCACCACTTCCAAGTAGCTGAAAACCATGCACCACTCCCCGCCCCGCCCCCACCCCTACCTTAAGCCTCCACTCACCCTCCCCATCCCAGCAAACATGGTTTGATTGGTAGTTACATTGGTCTCCTCAGAGGTCTTTCATAGTCAGGCTTATCCTTAGTTATATCCTAAGCTGCAAAGCCCTGAGTTGAGGAGAGGACATGGTCCCTGCTCTCTGGGGTTAGAGTTCTGAGGCTGGCAGGTAACATAGCCTCTGTGAATGGGACACCTGATATTCCAGTGGCAGGTAGCCTGACACCAGGGCTTTGGGGCCCTGAGTTCCCTTTCAGCTTCACTTACACACACACACACACACACAAACATTTTTCTTTGTATTTATGGCGATGATTCATAATCAGGATATTCCTATTCAAAGAAGACCAAGGAATCATTGAATGACGTCAAGAAGAGAGCAAAGATCTATATATTCCTGGCATTTAGAAGTATGTGTTGCAGCTGGAGAGACCTTGGATATAATCCAGGATAAACTCCTCCTTACCCTCCCCCCACCACACTTCCATTGATGGAAAAAACTGAAGCCTGGACAGGTGATGTGACTAGCCTAAGATCTCTCGATAAGAAAAAAGGCAAAGACCATCCATTTATTTATTCATTCAGTAAAAGTTTATTGATTCGTATTTATCAGACACAACCCTATGAGATGAGAATATCAGGTTATTCAGCACAAAGTGCCTGCCCTCATGGAGCTTACATTTGTCATACTGTCACGAGACTGTGATAAACAATGTAATGTCAGATGGTGATACGTACTAGGAAGAAAGCCAGAATAAAGGGATAGGGAGGAAAGAAGGAGGAGAAGTGACAAATTTGACAAGGTCAGAAAATGTTTTTCTATGAAGTAAATGGAGTGAGGGGACATATCTGGGAAAAGAGCACTCCAGATAGAGAAAACAGCTGATACAAAGGCCCTGGTGCAGCAACAGAACCAATCTGACCAAGAGGTCTCGATTTTCCATGTAGAGCTCCTTCATCAAACCACATGCCCTCTAAGTCATCACTGTGGCCCAAGGGGCTTCATACCACATGCAGTGTCTAGGTTTGACAGTGACTGTGAGAGCCCAGAAGGCACCATGCTGCCCAGATTGGAACAAAGCTGTGTCCCCTACATATGTGACATTGACTCAGAACCTTAGCATAGTGAAATAGAAACAGCTCTGACTCAGAGATCCAGAGACCTGAGGCCCTGGTCTCTGGGGGGCCTTGTGGGTATATCAAGGAAGACTTCTTGAGAAAAATGAGCTCAATCTGTAACCTAGGGGTGAGTAAGAGTGCCCTGGGGAAATGTGTGTATAGGTATTGGGGACTGAGGGGTTAGGCACAGAACAATGTTCTTAACAGATGAAACAGTAAGTTTAAATGCCCCAAAGAAAAAAGGCACCTGACACAAAAGACTGATCTATGTCAGGATGCCAATTTATTAAGTGAGAACAAGGTGAAAGGCTTTCTAATGCACAGAACTCACATCTGCTACCAAGAGCAGCCCATTTCTTGGGTCAGAATGGCTGGGAGGGTGATTTTGTATCAGAAAATTGCTTGGAAAGTGTATTAGTCTATTCTTGCATTGCTATAAAGAACTACTTGAGACTGGGTAATTTATAAAGAAAAGAGGTTTAATTGGCCCATGGTTCTGCAGACTCTACAGGAAGCATGGATGTGGAGGCCTCAGGAAACTTTCAATCATGGCAGAAGATGAAGGAGAAGCAGCTGGTCTTACATGGCCAGAGCAGGAGAAAGAGAAGGGGGAGGTGCTACACAATTTTAAACAACCAGATCTCATGAGAACACACTCATTATCATGAGAAGGGCAAGGGGGAAGACTGCCCCATGATCAAATCATCTCCCACCAGGTCCTTCCTCTGACATTGGGGATCACAATTTGACATGAGATTTGGGTGAGGACACAAGTCCAAACCATACCAGAGAGAAATCTTGTTTTTCTGCTATTCCAGGGACTGTTGAGAAAGGCAGATAGAAACTGTGGGTGCAAGAAACACGAAGGTGAATAAGTTTCCCTCTGTTCCTTTCTCTTCTTTTCTGCCCTAATTAAAACAAAGACCTATTTGATAGAGCTGTTGCATTAGAATAATGTACACAAAGTCTGAATACAGTAGGCAATCAAAATCAGTAGCGAGGATTAGCAGGAGACCTAGGCTGTTCCTACATCCTCAGCTTCACTTCCCTCAGTTCTCATTTCCTTTCCTAGGAATAACCACTGCCAGGCCAGTTAAGAGCAGTTATGCCCTCTCCTCTTAGGGATCATCCCACCTCTCTCTCCCTGGGTGACTTTGTGGCCTTCAGCAGGATAATGACCAAGATATTTTAAATTCAGCAAATCTGTACATTTCCCACAGTTAAAGTTTGTCAATCTTAAAAAAGCCTAGCATATAGGGACATCCACAGCTCAGTCTATATGGGCTGTGTGGAACCCAAGCCAAGCCCCTCTTATTGTCTTTCCTCCAGCTTGACTGGCAGGATATCTTTGGGGGGCCTGAGGTCCTCTCTTTCATGAGTAGTTGCCAGGAAGAAGAATACACACACACACACACACACACACACTGCACACATGGAGGTACTAGAAACCCCTATCTGGAAGAGGAGTATTGGTCTCTGAGACATGGCTTTAGAGGACTGTGCATCTCAAACCTTAGGGGAGATGTTGCCAATACATCTGTATAGACCTCATCCCATTGCAGACCTTATACATCAGGGTAACTGCAACTGGAGGCTTAGACTTTGTATACAGTTTTTGAAGCTTCCCTGGTGAGTCTGACAAGCACCTTAGACAAAGAGCTCCTTCGTCGGGAAATGGGTGGCTCTGTTCACATTATTACAAGACAACCTCTGTCGTTAACATACAGCTGTCTCCTAAGCATCTGTTTCGGGGGTCTGTGCTTCACATTTGATTAACTAAAAGGCCTGTTCAACAGATTTCTCCAGAACAAAGAAACAGCCTCCGTTGGTGAATTACAGCTTTGACTTCTACAGAAACTTGAAACCGCAGGAAGCTCTGATATAAGGTTACCCATAGATACACACACACTCACATATTTGTAGGACACACTTTATTTTATATATATATATGTGTGTGTGTGTGTGTGTGTGTGTATGTGTATGTATGTGTGTGTGTATATATATATATGTATAGCTTATCTACTCTAGAAATTGATCAGCCATTAATAATTTTTAAAGCAGCTGGCTTGAATTATCTTTTGTGGGATTTGCATGATAAGAAGTTTTCAGTATTTAATTTGAACAATGAGAAAAATATGGCTACAGCTCATCTGTTTGACAAATAAGTCTGTCTTGGGGCCAGAGGCATTAGGAATTCTTAACAACCAGTCTGCACCATTATTTCAGAAAAACCTAGTGCCTGATTTGCCCAGCTCTGCTCAGGGTTTCTTTCTTTCTTTCTTTTATTCTTCCTCTCTCTCTTAATTAAAAAAAGCCTCACACAGCCCTTTCTCTGCAAAGTGAAATGTTATAATTGCTCTTACCACTCATCGATTTCCTCAGGGAAAAACCTAGGACCATGGAACCTGAGGCCTTAAAGTTTAAAATAGTGAGTTTCGGGTTTTGTCGGGGAATTTTGAGTCTATAAATTTATTCCACCCCCAAATTTACCTGCTTTTCTTAGTCCTTGTTCTCTTGCTGGTCATCTGAGAAATCATGGCGCTGAGAATAGCTGAATTTCAAAATCGCAGGCCTGGGGGTATCCAAATGATTGCATAGCCCAACCTCAGGCAGATGATACTCACAAACCCGTATCTTACAGATGAAGCAGTTGAGGCCAGGAAGCTCCTGACTGGGTCAAGGGCACAGAGTGGAGTGGGGGCTAGAACCCAGCAACTCGTTTCTCCTACGGTACCTTTCCCATTAGAATCCAGTAGTCTAACTCCTTCTGTGCATAAAGATCACCTGTGCAGTGAAGCTCCGCTGGGGGCCAGCAAAGCCCTCCCACCAACATATTTGCATGTATGTTTGCTTTCAAGTCAAATCCCCTACCTTCCTCTTCCATATAAGCATTCCCATATAAAAATTCTGGAGTCTAAATAGTACCCTCTACTAATGTTTCTTTGCATTTGTTACAATGCAGGTTCCAGGCCTTCAGTCCAGAGTATCTGATCCCGCAGGTGTGGGGAGAAGTGAATTAACTTGACATTCCCCTTCCCCGCCCTGGCGTGATCCTGTGGTCTTTGGAGCACACTTTGAGAAGCTGCTCCAGCCAGCATATTAACTGAGACTTCTAGAATCCACTATGCCTTAATTCAGAGAAGCACTTCCTTTTTTGTAAAATATAAGACCTGGAGGATCTTGCCAGGGAACAGGTTTTAAAGAGTTTCTTCAGCAGCTCTCACTCCGATGTGGAACAGCCTCCTTTAATTAGCTGACAGATGGGGGTCTTCTGAGAAGTGTGGAAGGAACTGAGGAGTTTATTTAAAGGGTCCTTGGGAGGCTGAGGTGGGCAGATCACGAGGTCAGGAGTTCGAGACCAGCCTGCCCAACATGGTGAAACCCTGTTGCTACTACAAATACAAATACAAAAATTAGCCGAGTGTGGTGGTGTGCACCTGTAATCCCAGCTATAAAGGAGGCTGAGGCAGAAGAATTGCTTGAGCCTGGGAGGCTGGGAGCCAGGCTCCTGGGAGCCTGGAGGTTGCGGTGAGCTGAGATCAAGTCACTGCACTCCAGCCTGGGCAAAAGAGAGAGACTCTGTCTCAAAAAAGAAAAAAAAAAGGTGTCCAAGAAACCTGGGCAAAGAGCCTGAACTCCTCAGTGGAGGAGGCTCCTAGTGCAAGGAGTGGAAAATGAGGGACAGGGAGGGGAAGCATTGGTAGAAGGTGTACGGAACCTTCTTGGAGTTGAGCTTTGATCTTGAGGAAAACTGGCAGCTGGGTTCCACCAAACAACACACTCCAGCTATTGTTTCCTTGAACTTTGGCCTACATTAATGAAGAATCTGGGGCAAATTTTTCACAGGTTCTTCCACACTTTATTTTTAAATTTTTTGATAACTTTATTGAGATATAATTCACATACCGTACATACAATTCACCCATTAAAGTGTACAATTCACTGGTTTTTAGTACATTCACAGAGTTGTACAATCATCAGTACAATCAATTTTAGAACATTTTCACCACCTTAAAAAGAACCCACATATCCTTTAGCCATCATCCCCTCGCAATCTCCCCATTTCCCCAGCCCTAAGCAGCCGGTAAGCTACTTTCTGTCTCTACAAATTTCTCTATTCTAGACAATTTAGATAAATGGAATCATATCATATGTGGTCATTTGTGACTGGCTTTTTTCACTTAGCATAATGTCTACAAAATTTTTAATTATTGTGGATACATAATAGTTGTACATATTATGGGGTACATATGATATTTTGAAACTTAGTATAATGTTTTTAAGGTTTCTACATGTAGCATAGATGAGCACCTCATTCCTTTTTACTGACAAATATACTCCACTGGCTGCATATTCCATGTTTTGTTAATCCGTTCATCCAGTTGATTGACACTTGGATTGCTTCCACCTTTTGGCTGTTGTGAATAATGCTGCTACTTGTGCACTGGTTTTTGTGTGAATATGTTCATTTCTTTTGGGTATATACCTAGGAGTGGAATAAGTGGGTCAAATGACAACAAACACTATACTTGACTTCCTGAGAAATTGCCAGACTGTTTTCAGAAGTCTTCAGTTTTTTTTTTTTTTTTTATTAAGACAAACGGAAATCAATGGCTCTGAATTATCCTATAAGAGCTTAGTTACATACAGGTTGTTCAGGTCTAACTAAAGACTTAATGTAAGCAGGGTTTGGGAGATGCAAAGAATCAAGCTTGGTTTACAAAAATACCAAGCCCAAATACTTGATATTTTTATTGGCATAATTTTAAAGGTTGGGGTAGTGTTACATGGATTTGTGTTTATAACCAGAAAAAGAAACTCAGTTATAAATGTGGCCAACAACAACAACAAATGACTGTACAACAACCCTTAATTAGTAGCTTTGGAAAAGTTTTAGTCACCTTATAAAATGAGTAAAGCCTTTAAGATGATAAAATCATCCACGGATTTCAGTTATTTTTGCTATCATCTGTTTCTGCATGGGGAAAAAGGCTTTAAAAATTTTAAGAATAAAGTATTTGGAAATACTTTACAGTATTTAAGTATATAATATACACAGAGATGCACACAAATCATAACTGTAACTCCATGAATTTTCACAAAATGAACCTTACTCATGTAATTAGTACCCACATCAAGAAAGAAATAGTCACCAGCACCCCTTGAAACCCTCTTTCCAGTCATAATCATGTCCCTCCTCAAGGACCAGTGGATATCCTGACTTCTAACAGCAACATTCTTAGACACAAATAATACATTTTTTGTAGTAAGTTTCAGGTGTCAAGAACTGGCCAATGAAATAGATTTGTTTAGCTGAGAGAATTTCTTAAGACTCAGTCAGACTTACTATATTGCATGGTGTAATACATTGTTAAAAATTAAATACTGTTAAGCTTGTATATAAAATAGAGTATAACCTCAGCCCCAAGAAGCTTTTCATTTAACATCAGCAGCAATTTAAGAGCATATACTGTATGGCATTTTTAAAAACTGCATGAAGCCGGGCGCGGTGGCTCACGCCTGTAATCCCAGCACTTTGGGAGGCCGAGGCGGGCGGATCACGAGGTCAAGAGATCCAGACCATCCTGGCCAACATGGTGAAACCCCGTCTCTATTAAAAAATATAAAAATTAGCTGGGTGTGGTGGCGGGCACCTGTAGTCCCAGCTACTCTGGAGGCTGAGGCAGGAGAATCGCTTGAACCCGGGAGGCGGAGGTTGCAGTGAGCCGAGATCACGCCATTGCACTCCAGCCTGGGCAACAGAGCGAGACACCATCTCAAACAAAACAAAACAAAACAAAAAACCCCTGCATGAATCAACAGACTTTAAACACTTATTTTGAAAGACATTTCCCTTTTCCTCCAGAATTTGAATTTATTCATGGGAGCAGTCTGTAAAGGAAGTCCTAGGCACCATTAAAGACAAGTGCTTTAATAATTTAAGAAGTGTGCATGTAAACTTGGGCACATTGACAGTATATTACATTGGGTTAAAGTGTAACGACCAATATAAATCCAGCTTCCACAAGCAGAGCATAAAAACTGACACATACTTTTCTTGGTTTATTGGGTAGGAGGATGTTAAATACCTTATGGTAAGATAAGCTTTCTAATACTGGAACTGACTAACTGCAAAGAACACTGCTCTGGTTCTTATCAGGAAAAAAAGTCCATTATAATCATTTTAGGCACGAAACTTTCTACGCATTAGAATTCTTCCGAGGTGAAAAGTATATTATTAAGGGAATTCATTTTGCAAAGAGGAATCTTTTTTTTTTTTTTTTTTTTTTTTTTGCTCTAAAGATTTTTCATAAATTACCAGAGTAGTTTAGGATTTTATTAGGATATTTCCTCGGAAGTTTGGGGGTTCCGTGTTCTATCAGGTGATGCCTAATAGATGCCTGATATAGCTCATAAGTCAATGAGAGGACAGAGCGTTACACTTGCCATGCACTCCGGGCTGCCCCGGGTACTTTCTTTACGGATGCTGGATGCTTCCAAGGTAACCCAGTCCTTTCATTCCCGCTCCTACCGAGATGCCGGGAAAGCACTCCCGCGCCGATGCGAGGTAGGCACGTCCTGCGCCCTGTGAGCGGTAACTGCGCTCGGCGTCGTCCTTCCCGAAGTCCTTGGCTTACACCTCTTCCCATCGAGTCGCCCCAAAGCCCCTCCTCCAGGCATCCCCCTCCTTGGGCAAAAGTTTAAGGGCGGGCCCCCTTCTCACTAAAGCGCGCCAGGGCCTCTCTCGTGGCTGGACAGAGAAGGCTCCTCGCTCTTCTCTAGCCCCAGCTCGGCGGGTGGGGACAGACGCTGAGACTCTCGGTGGCCGGCGCTGACGTGTCCTGGCCGTGAGGTGCCTCCCACCTCGAGGGACTTACTTAAATATTTGGGGCAGGGCACCCTCCCAGGACCCCAGGAAGCCGGCGCAGGTTCGGCGGGGACCCTGAGGCTGTGGCGCACTTGCCCCGGCACAGCGCGAGCACGGAGTGCGCGTGGGTGAGAGTGAGGGTGCGCCCAGGGCCAGCGGGAGGCGGACCCGCCAGGCGGCAGGTGGGTGCGGCCGGCTGGAGCCAGGGCAGCGGCAGCGGCGGCAGCAAGTGGTTGGGCCGTGCGCATTTCCTTCCCTCCCCCTCGGCCTCGGAGCCCGTCTGCAGTGCCCAGTGTGCTGCGCCTTCGGCTCGGCTCCGCTCCGCGTCCTCTGCCCGCCGCAGCCGGCCGCACCCGGCCGCACCCTTCCCCGTCCGTCCATGTCCCTGCCCGTGGTGCTCCCGGGCTCCTGCTGCCCCGTGGCTGGGCTTTCGGGTGGGCCGCAGGCCGGGGGCCCGGGCGCCGCTGCCGCCGCCGCTCAGGAGCCGCCGCTGCCCCCGCTGCGGCCGCGCTGGCCCCGGGGCGCGCTGCAGCCCCCGTCGCGGCCTCGCTGCGCGGCCACCGCTGCTGCCGGGGTGCTGGCCGCGCCGCCGGCGCTCTCCTCCCGCCGGGCAGTCGCCGCCGCTGCCGCCGCGGCCCCGGGCTCCGCGCTGCTGCCCGCCCGCCCGCTGCTGTCACTTGGGCTGCTTCAGCTGATCTTGGGCTGCTGCATGGTGGCGCTCAGCTTCGGGGCGCTGTCGCTGAGCAGCTCCCCGCAGGTGAAGAACTCGTGCCCGTTCTGGGCCGGCTCCTCGGTGAGTACCGCGCGCGCGCCCCGTTCGCCCGGTCATCCCGGTGATAGGGGGCTCTGGTCGTTCCTCTCCATTGCCCCTTTGTTGGCCTCCAGGGCTGCAGTTGGGGGAGCCTCACGCCACCTGAAGTTTTTGGAGGCTGGAGAAAAATGTTCCGCGACGGTCGAGTTCAGGGGTGAATTGGGTTGCACCTGGGTAGTGTCTGTTGCGCGCAGGCTGAAGAATTTTATTTTCCCTGTCAAGCTAATAGAATTAAAGACACCCAGCTCTTTGGGAGATTGGAAGGACAGGGTGTGGGTGGCAGGAAAGTGGGAGGAAAATGATTAAACTTCTTTTGGTTATTGAGTATTTGCTGCACTGACAACGTCTGTGCTGGGAGGGCAGGGATTTTGATCATTTTTGTTCACTGATGTATCAAGAATGCCTGGCACATAGTAGGTGTATTTGTGAGATGGGACAGTTTGACTGGGGCACATCGCTTGTTTTATTCTGCATTAAGACACACGTAAATGTGAAATGTGTAGGGTGGCTCGACCCCCAGACGAGTTCAGGAGGTAATGAGGGGGTGTGTGTGAACTGGCGCTTGTACCTGGTCATTAAAGGAAGGCCTTAACCCCACTGGGTTCCTGGAGCCATGCAGGCTGCTGTGCAGAATTCAGTTTGTGAGAACCGGGACCTGTCATTATGGATGAGCTGGCCAAAAGTCCTGGAGTGCCCAGCAGCTAGCTAGAGATGTCTGCTCTACAGGACCCACTCCTCCCTCCTCCAACCGGGAACGCTGAGCCTGGGGCCAAAGAGTGCCCAACTTCAGAGAAAAGCTGCTGCCAGCCAGTATCTATGGACACCGGGTGGCCACTCCCCCCTGCCTCCTAACAATCTCACAATTTCCAAGGCATCCAACCCCTTGACGTTTTCTGGGTGTTGAGAGACTTGGAAACACATCTTTGTGGAATGACTATGGAAGATGAGCACAGTAAATAACCTCTCTTTATATCTTTTTTTTTTAATTTTTAATTTTTATTTTTAAGGGACAGAGTTTCCCCATGTTGCCCAGGCTGGTTTCCAACTCCTGAGCTCAAGCGATCCTCCTGCCTCGGCCTCCCAAAGTGTGGGGATTAGAGGCATGAGCCACCACAGCCGACCGTAAATAACCTTTCTATGAACTCACTGTGTAAATCTGAAAGTCTAGCAATGCTGCTAGGTTTTAGTAAGATGTATAATCAGTGTATGTCCTGAATGGTAAGAACGGCTTTTGCAGTTTCACACATACTGCAATTCAAGACCAAATTGAAAAAAAAAAAAAAGGACTCGAAGAACTAATTGAACCCAAAGTAATTGTTTGAATAAGAACATTAAGAACGTTAGGTTCCTTGAGACTCGCCTGAAATTGTATACTTCATCCAGTGTCAGTTTGCTTTCCTTTTGAAATACTTTCATGTTGAATGAACTTATTGGGGTACGTGCTGGACTGTGGTGAGTGAAAGCCATGATTTGTGCCTCATGAAAAAACGCCACCCTGGTGGCTCTGCCTGTGGGCTCTGCCACTGGCCTCTATGAGTGTTCAGGAAAACTACAGAAGGATGGATATTCCAGACAAGGTAGGAATTAGACCCGTTATGCCACCTATTCTGTTTGTCTGACTAAGTCCAGCCAAATGGTGGGTGCATTTCATTTCTCTAAATACCACGGGCCAGTAATGATCTTGCATATATTTTTAGGAATTTGCTCTTTATAAAATCATAATCTATTGTCTTCTCAAACATAGCTAGTTTAGGATTCTTAAAAACTATTTTTTGTCTTCTAAAATTAAAAGCTGAAATCAGTTTACTATTGTGAATCATTTCAGAGGTAAATGCACTTAGATATCGGTCAAGCCACAGTTGAATTTGATGAAGTACCAAAAGAAAAGAAAAGAAAAAAAAAGGCCTTCCACCAGAAGGTGAAGGTTAATACTCCTGGTCTGCTGGCTGGGTATGTCCTTGTCTCCAGGTCTGGGCACACCAGAGGAGAGAAAGAAATCAGTGATTTGGAACTGACAAGTTCTCTGCTATATGTCTTTCCCCATTCTTCCCCATACTCTCCAAACACAGGTCTATATGCAACTCTATAACTGTTGGCTATTCCTACTTTTTGTGACTTGTTCCTGAGATTGACCTCAGAATTTGCAAAGTGACAACAGAAGCAGTAGATACTGTATTTATAGAACAATTAAATACAAATTTAAGAGGATGGCTTTAGGCACCATGACTCTCTTGGTGCTTTAGGGGAAAAAAGCCTTGTATCACATGTTTTGAATTTATGCATGTGACAGAGGTTGTTTTTTAAAAACCTCGTGTTATGGAAAAGTTTACATTTATGCAGTATACGATGAACCCACATATACCTTTCACCCAGCTTCAACAATGGTTTCATCTGCACCCCCTTCCTGGGCTCTGCTGCTGGCCTTGTGTCTTCTGATAAACTTCAGAAGGATGAATATTCCAAGCAGGGTGGGAATTAGATCCTTCGTGCTCCCTAGTCCATTTGTGAGATTAAATTCTCTTATTGTTTGGAAGCAAATCTCAGGTGTCACATTTCATCTGTATATATTCCAATGTGTGTATTTTTATCACAAGAAAATATAACCAGCATAGGATTGAGTGGGCAGTCCGAAGAACCATTCCCTTCAATTTTAAATCTTTTATTATAAAAATTTAAAAACTCAACAAATGTAGAAAGAAGGGTGTAATGATCCCGCATTTTACCCTTCACCCAGTAGCTATCAACACATGGCCACTTTATACCTAACGCTGCTCCCCCTTCCTAACACCCCTGGATTATTTTAAGGCAAATTCCAGGTATCACAACTTCAGCCATTAGTATTTTAGTATGTACTTATAAAAGAAATGGGCTTGATAGGACATTGTAACTAATTCAAAGACAGCTAAACTAAGGTTTCTATAAAAAAAAAAGTTGGAAGATTATGAGTTGAGAACTGCAGAATTAAAAAAGAACACAGCTTTGACATATATTCACATGCCATACAACTTACCCATTTAGCATTTAAAGTGTACTGGTCAATGGTTTTTAGTAAATTCACAGTTGTGCAACTATCACCACAATTTTAGAAAATGTTTATCAACCCTAAAGTTTTGAGTAGTTACTCCTCATTCTCCACCACCCCCACCCCTAGCCACCCACTGATTAACCCACTTTCAGTCTCTGTAGATATGTCTGTTCTGGATATTTCATATACAAGGGATCATATAATATGTGGTCTTTTATGATTGGTTTCTTTCACTTAGCATGTTTTCAAGCTTCATCCATGCTGCGGCAAGTCTCAGTACTTCATTCCTATTTTATTGTATGGATATGCCATGTTTATTTATTCACTCACAAGTTTTATTGGCATATGAAGCTAGGTAGTTGAATGGAAGTGCCAACTTATGTCTAAGGTTACTTCAAACCCACATAGGAACACAGTAGAAGAATATCCTCATATTTCAAGCTTTGACCATTAGGATCTTTAGCCTGCTATATCAACTGAACCCACACATCTTCTTTAGGCTTCACTGAAAATTTTGCTTGTGTATTTGATACAAAATTAGGTTCAAGAGACAAATATATTTATTTGAAATGACTATTTGTTGAACACAGTATAGTTCAAGGATATTTTTTCATATGTATTTCCTTAAGAGAGCCCTGAGCCTGAGATTTTGGAGGCTTCTTTCACTTGTTTGAACTTTGAAGGTATATTTTATCTATTTTAAAAAACACTTAAGAATTAACAAATTCTATAAAGCATCT
Organism: Homo sapiens; assembly: GCF_000001405.40. Taxonomy (NCBI): domain Eukaryota; kingdom Metazoa; phylum Chordata; class Mammalia; order Primates; family Hominidae; genus Homo; species Homo sapiens. Next base: position 69,329,507 of record NC_000009.12, read on the forward strand.
TTTTTCATAGTTTTCATTCATACTTTCAGCAACTTGAAGGGAGAGTTTTTAACGTAGTCTGTGTTTTTGAGCACTCTGAGCATTTGATTTCTTCCTGGTATCACCGGTAAATCACTCAATATATTATTATTCCCAAAATTCGTGAAGCTAAGAGATGAGCCATCTTGAAAAACAACCTGGCATTTGACTGGAGGTGAGTGGCTAAGGGAGGATCTCAGTGTCTGTCTTCAGCTGTGCTGTCCTAGCTCTCGGTTTGGGGGGTGCGTTTAGTGTTAACTAGATTCCACTGGGGTGTGGGAGTTAACGAGATTCCACTGGGGTATGGGCGTTAATGTTAACTAGATTCCACTGGGGTATGGGAGTTAACTAGGTTCCACTGGGTTTAATTAGATTCCACTGGGGTATGGGAGTTAACTAGGTTCCACTGGGTTTAATTAGATTCCACTGGGGTATGGGAGTTAATGTTAACTAGATTCCACTGGGGTATGGGAGTTAACTAGGTTCCACTGGGTTTAATTAGATTCCACTGGGGTATGGGAGTTAATGTTAACTAGATTCCACTGGGGTATGGGAGTTAACTAGGTTCCACTGGGTTTAATTAGATTCCACTGGGGTATGGGAGTTAATGTTAACTAGATTCCACTGGGTAAGGGAGTTAGCTAGGTTCCACTGGGGTTAAGTAGATTCCACTGGGGTATGGGAGACTCAGTCGGCCACACTGCACTAGATTTAATGAAAGAGGAGAGAGAGTTGCATTGGGTTGTCTCTCCTCCTTCAGAAACAAAATTCCTACCTTTGATGACATGCATGATCCTTGGGAGATATTTCAGATGAGTGGTAGAGAATTGGTTGTTGTTTTTTACTCCTCTCTGAGTGCCCTATTATTCTTTATCAGTTGTATACATCTATGTCTGTGCTTTAAGTCACTGATCTAAATTCATGATCATCCTTTGAGTCCATGATTCTTTGGCAAGGTTCTACTTTCACGTAAAGAGACAGACATTGGTGAACTTTAGGGTGAACCTTTGTAAAAAAAATCGCAGTGAATAAACATAAAGAAAAATCAATGGACTAAACGAAAAACTAACATAAAGATTATGGTTACTACCAGTTAAATGATAGTAAATATTTTTTATCATACTAATCAAATACTACTTTAATATTTAAGGGATATTTAAACTATAATTTTGGGGATGAGTTTTATTGATTTCTTTGGTCCTTTATTTTGCATATCAGCAGAGTCACCTTTATAAGTTCTGTGCCTCTTGGCCTCAGTTACTCATCTGTCAAATGGGTGGGATGCTTCTTCTTCTTCAGTGCTGATTTTGTCAGGGTGTAGCTAGAGTATACATAGGAGAGTGCATCACTGCTGGACCCAAGCACCAGACCTGGAATACACGGGAACCTGTATCAATGGTTTTTAAATACCGAGGTAATAGTTAATCAAAGTAAAATGAACAGGCCAGTATTTTTGTAGGACATTATAGTTACCATCATGTTTTCATTAGAAATATTCAGTTGCCCACTTTCTCAATTTGTTTTTTTTAATGAGCTGTGCTAGACAGATAGGGAAGAAATACACACACATACACACACATTTTTTAAAAAGTTGCCATTGTAAGAGCTATAGGGCAGGGTAGGTTGTTGAGAAGTTTGACATATTATTTTCTGCTTATTTACAAAGTAACACAGGACATTTACAACATGGCTTTTTAAAAATCTCTGTGTTTACATACAGCAGCTTTTGATAAATGATTCAGAACATTTTTGCCCTAATACAAGTTAATGGATTAGCAAAGGGAAATAGGGCAGTAGAATTATAAGCTTCTGATCTTAACGATTTGGTTTTTACGTTGGAAAATGAAAGCACATTAACCATTTATGGTGGGTAACAATGACTCTTCCCTGGGGTATCTCAGAGCCCTTCTTTGCAGTCTCAGAAAAAAGGAAAGCCCTCTGCTTTTTCCTGTAAGCTACAAGAAATAGGTTATCAGTGAGTGAAACAAAAATTGTAATACCTCTCATAATAATATAGAGATTGTTTGGTGTTAGAAAATAGGTTCTTACCTGTTCATTCAGGGCAAGTTTCATCTTGCGCTGGATGGAAAGAATGCTGATGGAGTTGCTTTTTGTTGCTGCTGTACTCTTTTAGGAAGCACAGGGGATGAAAAGTGTGTTTAGTCTTACATAGTCATCTTTGAGCAATGTCATCTCCTGTTTCTGGCCTCCATTCATTCATTCACTCATTGACTCTTGCCATAACTAACTGAGTGCCTTCTGGGAACCTTTAGTGGTGTGTGAGTGAGTACGCACAGGTCCAAGCCCTCATCGTGATACAGTTAAACATTTGATAGCATTGTGGCATAATGGGAGCCATGGAAGGACATTGTTAAGGGACCTTCTTGGCTCATTTCTGATGGAGCTCCAGCTACTGCTGCCACCAAGGGAGGTGGAGGCATTGAATACTCTGTCTCCTTCTCTTCTTCTTTTCCCAACCCCTTTCCCCGTCTGTGAATTCTGCCTCCCTTTCAGATGAAATGGAAGCATCATTCCTTAAGTCTTGAGCTCTTAAAAAATTTATCCCCAACTGTAGCACCTCTGTTCCCATTACCATTCGAGAGGCTTCTAACCATCCAGGCCTACTTCCTCTATTTGCTTTTCTCCCCATCACCACTCACAGGGTTCCCCAAGTGCCTCAGGGCTTCACTGGGCTTGAAGAGAGGGAGAAGTTGAATAAAAGTAGGTGTGTGCCTTTGTTGCGGGGTTCAGGAATGAAGAGCTGCAACTATAGCTCCCGCCTGGAGCTGGAATATAGTTTCTTAAAACATTGTAAAGAGCGGTGGCTTACAAGAATCCTGGTGGGATTTAACTTGAATATGTGCTGAGTCTGTAAAACAATTTAAATGGAAATGACATTCTTAGTTTGTCTTCAATCCATAGACTTGGTATATGCCTTGACTGACTTGGCTATTCATTTAATATTGCGCAATAAACTTTGTATTTCTCCCCAGTGAGGCCTTAAAGATCTTTGTCATATACATTTTGAGATTATTGATGTTTCTCATTTGTCATGTATTTGTACATATATACATTTTGTACATATTTTTTAACTTACATTTTCTATAGTTTGTTGCTACCATATGCAAACAAAATACCTCCCCTCCAAAGGAAGAAATAAAGATAGCTTAGTTCTTTGGTTTCAGAGACACCTCATTTGAAATGACAGTTGACTCTGTCATGATCTATTAAAATAAAAAGAATAGAAATACCTTTCAACTTAGAAACTTCACTCCTGGGACTTTTTTCCGCTGAAATAAAAGCACTTGTTTTTAAAGATATATGTTCATAGATGTTTACTGCAGCATTGTTTGTGACAGCAAAAAACTAGACATAGAATGAATGCCCATTAATATGGAAATGATTGAATACGTTAAGTACAGCCACACGATGGAATGTTATGTAGTCACTAAAGTAAAATGAATTAGAGCTGTTCCAATGCACATGAAGAGATTTCTATGAAGTATTTATTGAGAGAGAAAAGGAAGAGGCAGGGAAAGTATATCTTTTATGATTTTTTTACAAAAATTACATCCCTGTGAGTGTGTATATATACACATAGACATGTGTGTGTAGTAAGAATTTAGAGAAAAATACATATATATGTAAAATATGTAAACGTGCTAGATTGTTAACATGGAGGAGGGTGGGGTGATGTGGCTGTGTAGGTGAGGGGGGCAGAACAGTTTAGGCATATTGCTATTTTATGGGCTTTTATGGCTGGGGCTGGACACTTCCTTTTAATAATATTATTATTTTTTTTTTGAGATGGACTCTGTCACCCAGGCTGGAGTGCAGTGGTGTGATCTTGGCTCACTGCACCCTCTACCTCCTGGGTTCAAGTGATTCTCCTGCCTCAGCCTCCCAAGCAGCTGGGATTATAGGTGTGTGCCACCAAACCCAGCTAATTTTTGTACTTTTAGTAGAGACAGGGTCTCACCGTGTTGGCCAGGCTGGTCTCAAACTCCTGACCTCAAGTATTCCGCCTGCCTTGGCCTCCCAAAGTGCTGGGATTACAGGTGTGAGCCACTGCGCCTGGCCAATAATATTGTTTTAATAGAAAAAATACATTCCAAAAAGCTGAACCGCAGGGTTCTCTATTAATGGAGACCAGTAGCATTAATGTCAAACGCTAACTAATAATTCAAATCATATTTTTTACTGAATTGGGAGATTTGTGTTTTCCTTAAGGGCAGTTGAATATGAAGTTATGTTTTCACAAGAACAGCTTGAATTTCCTCAGCTAAGTCCAGTAGGCACCGGAGTGGGCAGGTGGGATGCACATGCACAGAGGGATACACACATGCACACACATGTGCACACACATGCAAGCACATGCATACACACATACATGCACAAGCATACGTGCCTACACCCTGAGTCACAGATTTCTGAGGAATCACTGTCATCACTATAAGGTAAGTCTTTTGAGCTAGAAGAGACCAAGAGATGGTTTCCTTCCCTTACAGCATTTCTAAAGAAATAAGTGAGGACCAGACAAGTGAAATGACTTGGCCAAGGTCTCATAGTTAAGTCTTTAGAAGCTGAGTGGGAGCCTGGAACCCAGGACCTCATGGATTGCAGTCCCAATTTGTAAAGTAGGTACAACTCACACACTGTGAGTCACACACGCCCTGCCCTGTGTCTTCAGGCAGAAATTGTTTAGGGTAAGGAAATATCCTATTGGATTTAAAGGGATTGCAAGGTTAAAGTGCCTGGTGGGCAGGCAGCTAGTAGTACCTTTAAACATAGATGGCACACAAAGAAATTGTCACCTATCTGCCTGTATATGGTTTTTGATCCTTGATATAAGTGGGTAGACTTGTCCTATGCTGGTCTGATGCTGCAGAATGATTACTCTCAGCTAGTGAGAATGGAGAATATTGCAAGCAGGCCTGTGGGTTTTGAATTTGAAGGGACACTGTCAAGTCCTTACTGATCTGTAGTTGATAAACACTGATTGTGAAATGGTGCATTTGAGCAATTTGAACAAGTATAATGTGCTTGTAGAGGAAAACCTTCATGGCTGCCTTTGGCAGACACACTTTATTTTACAAAGCTCAGAGTGCTCAAATGGCATCAGCACATCCCAGGCTGAAAAATTACTTTGATTATCATTTCCCAATTGTTTATCAAACTGTGTTATCCAAAGGGCTGACCTTGGTTTCCAGTTTATGTTTTGGCAAAATAGTGGCCCTTTCCTTTCCTTTTCTTTTTTTTTTTTTTTTTTTGAGACAGAGTCTCATTCTATCGCCCAGGCTGGAGTGCAGTGGCGCGATCTCAGCTCACTGCAACCTCTGCCTCCTGGGTTCAGGCGACTCTTGTGCCTCAGCCTCCCAAGTAGCGTCACCATGCCCAGCTAATTTTTTGTATTTTAGTGGAGATGGGGTTTCACCATGTTGTCCAGGCTGGTCTCAAAGTCCTGGGCTCAGGCAGTCCACCTGCCTCGGCCTCCCAAAGTGCTGGGAGTAACAGGAGTGAGCCACCGCGCCCAGCCTGTTTTTTCTTATTGAGATTTTTTAGCTCGTTTTTTATTGAAGTGTCATTTTGCAACATGAGCTCCTTCTCACAGTAGTTCCTCCCACTTTGTGGAATAAATGCTCTAGAACATATATTAATTGCCAACAATTGGGGCACAATGCTGGGAACTAGGACTTTAGAGAGACAAGACAGGAGTTCACAGTTAGTAGGTAATTCAGAGACACATCCCTCAATTATTACAATAGAGTTTTTGGAAAAAAAGAAATGTGTGCAGAGGGCTTCCATGAGTGTGGAGCGGTGGAATCAGTGAGGGCTTCTCAGGGCAGGTGACTGCTAAATGGGGCCTTGCAGGATGGATAAAAGTTCTCAGGCAGCTAGGAGGGAAGCTGGGAGGACACAGCACTTCAGCAAAGAGAAAGAAGCAAATAGCCCAGGGATGTCAGGAGCCTGGTTGGCCTGAGGGAGGGCAGGTACTTGGTAGGAAGGTATGTGGTGGAGGGGCCAGGGTATGTAAAAACCAGGCTTGAGAGCAGGTAAGAGAAGATCTTGAAGGGCCTTGTTTCCCATTTCGAAGACTTTACCTGTCCCATAATGGATGGGTACCTGACGAAGGGAAGGATGCCACCAGACATGCATCTGATGAGGCTGACCCTGGCAACAGATTGGGTGATGCTAGGAACAGGGAGCTTGACTGAGAAATAGTGATTCCTCACTCACCAGAAGGAGAGGCTAATTTCTGATTGTGTGTTCTTAATTGACATTAAGAGAAAACAGGCCAGGTGTGGTGACATGCGCCTGTAGTCCTGACGTGCGCCTGTAGTCCTAGCTACTGGAGAGGCAGAGGCGGGAGGATCACCAGAGCCCAGAAAGTCAAGGCTGCAGTGAGGCATGATCGTGCTATTGCACTGCAGCCTGGGTGGCAGAGCAAAGCCCTGTCTTTAAAAACAAAACAAAATTAAACAAAGTCAATAAAAAAGCTTTGAGGGCCTAGAAGTAAAAGTCCAAAGTGGTCTACCAGAGTGAACCCTGTAATCCAGGAGGAATATTAAATGTTTGATTTAGAATGCTTTGAAATTTCAGTATCTTTAAAAATATGTACTTTTGTGACTGAGGATTTGTTTATTGGAATTGGTCCATTTTCTATATTTATGATAGTTTATCCTTACAGGTGATACTCTCTGGAATCATAGGATTAACAACTTGGAAAAGGCCTATGATACTCCTGGTATGTACTGATCTTATAAATTGCTACCCTTTATAAAATGTGCTATGTATGAAGTCTGTTCATATAAACCACTGAAGAAATGCTTAAGCTTCCTTGTTCATTAAAAAAATAAGTTAACAATAGATAATATTAGAAGTCAGATGATCATAACCAGTAAGTAAGATAATAATTTTGCTGGTTTTCTGGTTCACTTTAAGCTCCTTAAGTACCCAGTGCTATACAAGTGTCTTTAGTTCTAGCATTAAACCCATCCTAAAGATAGAATTTTAAAAAAACTACTTACTATGGGCAGTTTTAAATATATACAATAGTGGAGGGAATAATAATGAACTCCCTGTACCCATCGCCCAGGTTCCATAATGATGAACTTCCAGCCAATCTTTACAGCTATACTCCCACTCATTTCCTCTCATATTCTTTTTTCTCTATATTCTTTTTATTTATTATTGTTATTATTTTTGAGATGGAGTCTCGCACTGTTGCCCAGGCTGGAGTGCAGTGGTGTGATCTCAGCTCACTGTAACCTTTGCCTCCCGGGTTCAAGCAATCCTCCCAAGTAGCTGGGATTACAGGCGCCCGCCACTGCGCCCAGCTAATTTCTTGTATTTTTAGTAGAGACGGGGTTTCACTATGTTGGTCAGGCTGGTCTCAAACTCCTGACCTCGTGATCCTCCCGCCTTGGCCTCCCAAAGTGCTGAGATTACAGGCGTCAGCCACCAAGCCCGGCTGTTATTCCTTTTTTTTTTTTTTTTTTTTTTTTTTTTTGATACAGTCTCACCCTGTCGCCCAGGCTGGAGTGCAGTGGCACGTTCTCAGCTTACCGCAACCTCTGCCTCCCAGGTTTAAGCAATTGTCATGCCTCAGCCTCCTGAGTAGCTGAGATTACAGGTGTGCACCAACACGCCTGGCTAATTTTTGTATTTTTAGTAGAGATGGGGTTTCACCATGTTGGCCAGGCTAGTCCCAAACCTCAAGTGATCCGCCTGCCTTGGCCTCCCAGAGTGTTGAGATTATAGGCATGAGCCACCGCGCCTGGACTCCTCTATATTCTTTTGAAGCAGATCTCATGTATTAATCATGAATATATGACTTTTTATTGTTATAATGTTTGAGTTGAACAACCTTAGAATTTTGTTGCATAGATTTGCTATATTATCTCTTTGTCACATAAATATTATATTCTCTTGGAAATAATATAGACATATACTGGTGATTTTATCTTTTTTTGTTATTGAGGTAAAATTTATATAGCAAAATGAATCATTTTAAAGTATACAATTCAGTGGTATTTTTAGAACATTTCCAATGTTCATCCTTTGTTTTTATTTGCTATGTCATTTTGATTCAGCGACTGTAAACTTATCATTCACAGTTTTAAATGATAAGTTTAAACTTATCAGTTACAGTTTTAAACTTACCATTTGAAGTGGATCAAAATAGACAATGCTAATGGAGTTTCCAACTTTTAATGATAAAATAGAGGGTCTAGGAAATTAGATTTGAATTGTGGTATACTTAAATTTTTTTTCTCTATAATATCTCTTATTTTTATTTGTCTCATCCATCTTGAAATGGAGTTAAATAATTTTCTAAAGTCATTTTGTATATATGCTTAATAGTTCATCTGAAACAGATTGTTGTTTGCTAGGCAACGGGCAATCAATACAAAACTCCTTAAATTTTTAAATACATAGAGAAGAAGCATATTGCGGAATCTTTGTGTGTCAGAATAACTAATGGATCCCAATACTGTATTGATGGTCTTGAAAAACTAACCTGAAGTGTTTTTAGGCCCACAAGATGACATAGGCAACATTTTACAACTCCATCAATGATTGTATTTCATGAAATTCCTTTAATAATTTTGGAAAGAATAAATTTTTAGCATACCATTTTAATAAACAGCAGGATGAGAGAAATTGAAACTTTGGATGAGTTGTATAGCCTGTGTTATAAGTGGCTGAAACTTGTTTCACAATGACTCTCTAGGTTTATGGTCTCTATGAAAAATTTTGGTTGGTGTTTATACGAATATTTGGTAACAGGAATCTCCTTTGCACTGTCTTTTTCCATTGAGTCAATACTAAATTACTCAGTAATACAAATCTCCAGTATTTAAATTGAATTAAAAGAAGAAAATCTTCAATGGTATTTGTACTTTGAAAATTCCAAATGATGAAAAGAGTATAAGTGTGTTAAGAATAGATTCAAGAAAGTATACCTATTATGACATTTATTTATTTGACCTTGTTGTCTTTTAAAAAGCTACCTCACATATTTATTATGTAAGCTTGAGCAGCCTTAAATGAAAATGGCCCTGTCTTATTACATTCTTATCCATTTATTTCTCATCTTTGTTAAGTATATGCACTTTGTCACAAAGTTGTAACCAGTGTGTACATACTATGTCATGTACTGCTTTTTCTGTTTAATATAAAATTAAGCTATTATCAGGTTTCCATGTATGAGGAGTCTACATGCTTATCATTTAAAACTGTAAGTAGGCTGCTGCCTTATTTCTGTATCATCATCAATTTTTACCCTATTGTTGGACATTTGAGCTTCTGTATTTTGGCTGCTATGAGTTATGTACTTAGAAGGTCGCATAGAGATTGTCTTGAAATGTTAATTAGCATCAATTTATAAAGAAGATAAATTAATTTGTAGGGATTCTACAAGGGAAAACTTTGTATCTATTAATAATTGGAGACTTAGTCAGTATCATAAATGAGAAATCCGCAGTTCATATGTATCTTTTGTTTTTTTTTGAGAGAGGGTCTTTCTCTGTTGCCCAGGCTGGAGTGTGGTGGCGTGATCACTGCTCATTGCAGCCTCAAACTCCTGGGCTCAAGGGATCCTCCCAGCTTAGTCTCCTGAGTAGCTGGGACTACAGGCGTGTGCCACCACACCCAGCTAATATTTAAATTTTTTGCAGAGATGGGAGTCTCGCAACATTACCCAGGCTTGTCTCGAACTCCTGGGCTCAAGTGATCTTCCCACCTCAGCTTCCCAAAGTTCTGGGATTACAGGTATGAGCCACTATGCCTGGCTCATATGAATCTTAGTAGTATACCATTATAACTCATGCCAGATGCTTGTGTTATGTCACAAAAGGGAAAAATGCCAGTCAGATATTCCTAGCCCATCTTTTTAAGAGTAGCATCCCTGTGTGCAAGCCACTGAACTCTTCTGAGCCTAGTTTTCTTTTTGGCACAGAGGGGATAATTTAGTGATACCAAGGGAAGCTCTACCCTGCCCCTCCCTTAATGGATATTTTTTCTCCATTTTCCCCCTCAAGCCCCTCTGCCTCAGTTTCCCGAGTTTAAGGAATGTGCCATTGCATGCTTTTTAGTGGGAGGCCATGCTCCATTAGGAGCCAGAGGACCCCATGGGTCTGTGTTCTTGCAGGCCTGGGCTTGGCTGATTAGAGTTCTGTCCCCTTCCCCTTCTCATCCATGCTGTAGGCTCAGGGGCACCTTCTGACTTGGGACTTTCACCCCCTAGCTGGTTGTTTGGCTGGCCGCCTCTTCTTCTGGCTCTCAGCTCAGCAGTCACTTCCTGCCAGAGGCCTTTCCTGACCACTCTGATTGCTGTGGCTCCTGCCTTGCCCCTAGCCATATCCCAGCACTGAATTACTGGCTTTGTGGTCTGTGATTAGCCTATGTACCTTACATTTGTTGCCTCTCCCCAGACTACAGTCAGTTCCCCGAGAACAAGAGTCTTGCCTTTTTCACTCTCTTTCTGTAGGGCCAATGTGCTCAATACACATTAGTTGTTGACTGTGGAGTTAATTTGACAGCCAGTAAGAAATTTAGGTCCTGGGTGAACTCTCAAAATTTCTTTTACTTTTGTCTCAAATTTCTCTCACTTGCTTTTGTTCTCCAAAACCTTGTATTCATCCCCTTTGAACTTCAAAGTTGTCAGGGAGTATTTTGGTGGTGGAGGTTGGGAGGGGAAGGATGCTCTTTTTCAGGGCCCTTTGAAAGGCAGGCTGTCCTCGTTTTTAGTTGTTCACATGAGTCTAGAACACATGGATATTCCCTTTTGAGAACCATTTACATTTGGGCTTCCTCTTTTGTGGTTGTTACCTTGATGACATCAGGTTTTTTACTGGTTTGAACAAAAAAGGGTCACTGTGACCTAGTTCCTTCAAACTCAAGTTTTCACGGAAATTCAGGGTTGGAAAGCCTTCATTTACTGGGTCATGTTTCTTATACTAACATACTCATGTGTTCAGAACAAAAATGATAATATTGGAAAATAGTTGGTAAATATTTGTAGCTATTTATGGCTATGACTAAGAATAAGCTAGGAAGTATGTGTGCATGCATGTGTGTGTGTGCATGTGTGTGTGCATGTGTGTGTGCGTGCATGTGTGTGTGCATGTGTGTGTGTGCGTGTGTGTGTGCATGCATGTGTGTGTGTATGTGTGTGTGTATGTGTGTGTGCATGCATGTGTGTGTGTATGTGTGTGTGTTTGTGTGTGTGCGTGCATGTGTGTGTGTGTATGTGTGTGTGCATGTGTGTGTGCATGTGTGTGTGTATGTGTGTGTGTGTGTAGTATTCTAGGTTGTGTGTTTTCCATAAAGAGCTAACATTTTCCATTTTTAAAGAATGTTTTTATTTCTTCTAGACATCATTCCTCTTTCATTCTAAGAAAATGTTCTGTAAGTGTTTACAAATGATGGACAATGCTAGAAACAGCCTCAAAGATTGTCTGGTCTAGGCACCTCAGTTAGAAAACAGAACAGTCTTAATAAGATTTTAAAAAAATTTTTCTTTGGTGGTACAGGCATTTTTGGTGGCAGGTATTTTTCCTTGGTAGTACATTTAGTAAGAAGTGCTACTGTGAAAACCCAGCTAGCTCTATGCCTGTATTTTGGGTTCCTTATGAAGTGGTGATGTGAGTTTTGTTATTTTTTTTTCTTGTCAATTAGATGGGATAAGTATGACCTAAAAATGATAAAGGGACAGCTCCATATTCTTTAGCATCAACAATGAAGGTTCTTCCCCAGAGATGTTCTTGGATCACATGTGGCTTATTCCCAACTGTGGCTCCTGTTGATTTGCACCCCAGACCAAGAATAGACAAGGGTAAATGTATTGGCTATTTAAAAAATGGTCTTTCAGTTTATTTTCTAACCTCAAGATTATAGTATTTAGGATAAAACCTCATTACCTGAAGAGACTACAAAATGGCTTAAGATATGCTTAATTTTTTTTTTTTCCTCTAAGAGTCCATATAGGCTAGGTTGGTAAGATAATTCTGCTCACAAAGCCATTTGGGGAGCTAGGAATTTTTCATCTTATTGTGTCTTGGATGGAGAGTCATAGAATACTTAGACACTTTGTCAAAAGTCAGAAATAGTTTTAGGTGGATTATGCTGTGAGATAGATTGTGGTCTTTTTTTTCCTGAGGATATGGAGAGCTGGAGTGGTCAGAATACCCAGGTGCAGTTTAGGAATCCATGCATTTACAAAATGAGCTGTGAAGCTCTCTGGCTTTGGCAGTTGAGTTCTTTCAAGTACATTTCAATAAATTGAAATGAACCCTTGTTTGATGGTTCACAAAACCTGGATTTTAATGCTGACACGTTACCACTAATTGTCAGGTGACCTTGGGGAAATCTCTTGACCCAAAAGTCAAGAGATTTTCCCAAGGTCTAAACCAATAAGTGGCTTAGATCAGAATAATATTTTAAGATTCCTTCCAGCTCTCATATTATAGATTTCCAGAGTCCTCTTTAGTTACCTCGATGGTGTTTTAATTTCAGATGGACATTTCAACTGGTCATTATAAGCTCCCTGTATATAAACTGAAATACTATGATTATTTCACTCTGTTTATTAAGGCGCAAAATGGAAGACTTTTCTTACTCTTCAGAATTGTTAGTAATACATTCTTGCATGTATATAATGCTTAAGAATTTTCCAGGTTCTTTCATATACCTTTTCTCCTGGCAGATATTATTCCTTTTATGTAGATAAGAGAATATTAGTTCAGGAGTTAATTGGCTTGTCCAGTTCACAATGAGTTGAATGATTGTTAGAAAGAACCCAGGGATTTGGGCTCCTAGTTCATTGCTTCTTCCATTGTAACATTTTACCACCTCCTCCATTAGCCAATCGGTAGCCATCTCACTGTGGCCAACAGTGGCTTTTTTGTGGTGTAGAATATAAATTAAATAAGCTGTTATCTTGTTTGTGAATGTCCAATTCTTTTTCAAGATCTGAAGTGGCAAATGTTTTGGGAATTTTATCTTTCACTCAAAAGAGCCAGAGGCAGAAATGACCAAGGTAACACAAGGTGTAGTTTTGAGTCTCAGTCCTATCAATTTCAATCAATGAGTGGCCAAGGAAATGATCTAATTTGTACGCTCATCTGTACAAATGGGATTTAAGGCTGTGTAAACACATTATGAATTATTTTTTAATCATTCGTTGATAAAATCTCCAAGAGAAGATTTGGCCTCTCAATTTGATGTGTCATTATGTAACAACCCATGGTAGAAAAATGTGCACTTAGGTATTGTGAAGGCAGCTTAGGCTGGGTTCAGGCTTCTCTGTGATCACAGTGCATTTAGTCTGTTGGCAACAGATCTTTGATTTCTTCCCTCTGATCACCTTATCCCAGGAACTGGGCATTGGGTAAGAACTTGGGATCCTCAGAAATTGAAAGCAGTCTTGGGTGATTCATCTACGGTTGGAATCAAGACCTGGGCAGTACCTTGTTTTGCAGACTGACCTAAGCCAATTTGGGTATGCTTTAATTAGTGGGTTTAGTTTGGTAGCAACAGGTAATTGCCAAAGCTTAGAAGTAACCTTTCTGCCAAGTTAATTGTTAAAATGAAGTTGATTCTCAGATCAAATTCTGCTATCCACTTATTAGCCCTCAGACAAAAGAATTGTTCATGCCCTTTGTTCTGAAGCTTAAAGTATAGAGAGTGGAGATTTGTATCATGCTTACAAAACAGAGTGTGTGAACAATGTTTTTGTCTCTCATTTTCGCATTCACTTGTCTTGAATACCACTGTGGATTCCTTGAAAACCTGTTGATCAAGCAAAGCTAAGTTTATAAGACCCACTTCAGTAAGGGAGAGCAGCTCTTTGCCAGTTCTCAGAAGGGATGAGCCAAGGAGAGAATATTTACAGGGTTTTAGAGCCCCTGCTGGATGATTGTTTTTTTTGAGACAGGGTCTCACTCTGTCATCCAGGCTCCTGAGTGAAGTGGCACCGTCGCAGCTCACTGCAGCCTTGATCTCCCTGGCTCAGGTGATCCTCCCACCTCAGCCTCAGCCTCCTGAGTAGCCGATGTTGAAAAGGTAGTAATTAGTTTGGTCAATATCGCTAGTCACTAGGGAAATGAAAATCAAAACCACAATATCAAAACATCATGTAATATACCTTTAATATAAACAATTAAACATGAGAACCCGTTTTTAACATCCATTATGCTAATTAAACAAGGTAATAATTTCATCAATGGCATCTCATTTTCATATTCACTCTGCTAATTTAGCAAAATCAGTTGGGTGTTGTTGGGAGATAAAGATAAGGGAAGCAAGCTTTTGGAGTTTGGCCTTTCTCATAAATGCTAGCTGACCATCCTGGAATATGAATTCTTTACTATTCTTGGGTGTAGCTTGGACCAACCAATGTATACATACATAATATCACATTGCCAGTGCTAAAGTGCATTATAGACTATTTTGTGATTTAAAAGTAATGGCAAAAACCGCAATTAATTTTGCACCAAATCTAATAGTAGTACATATGTATTTGGGTTGCTAAAGGAAGCCCTCTGACCAGTCCTGCATCCAGGTTGTCTGAGCCCAACAGACTACAGTGATCAATTTCTGAATATGACTATGAGAAAATTCTCAAATTATTAATGATTTGGGGCAAGAGGGGAGACCATTTTGAATTGGGGAACATCTTAAAATTCATGTGTTGTCATGAAATGTTGCAGAATAATGTGTACGGTCCTATCTGTGTGTGTGCGTGTGTGGTGTGTATGTTAAAAAACACCAAGTGATCATACATGTATGTTTGTAGTTACATGGAAAATTTCTGAAAAGATGTAGAAGAAACTGTTTACAGTGGACCCCTCTGTGGAGTGAAATGGGAATGGGAAGGAGGAAGACTTTCTTGCTCTCCAATTTGTATTTGGAGGGAACAGTGCTGTATTGTGTGAAGAGGAGACTTTTAGTTTAGTTATCTTTTGTTTGATTTTTCGCCACCCTGTACCTGCAATGTCTGAATTCCCTTTTTGGAGTTGGTGTCTCTGCCTTTGTGTGTGTCTTGGTGAGCAGTGGGGCCCTGCCTCTGGCAATGAAGCTTCTGAGGCCACGTGCTTATGTTTCTGAATGCTAGCAGCCAGCCTGTGAGCCCGTGACCTCTACCCCCTGGAGCTCTAGCCCAGGACTCTGAATCTGGAGCTGTGGATGCACTGTAGCCCTGGGGCCACTTGGAACTTATTGGGCAAAGGAGGCAGCTTGTGTCCAAGGCTGACAACAAGGGACCTGGTTTTCCTGTGGCATGACCTTGC
The DNA here is from genome assembly GCF_000001405.40 of Homo sapiens. Classification (NCBI taxonomy): domain Eukaryota; kingdom Metazoa; phylum Chordata; class Mammalia; order Primates; family Hominidae; genus Homo; species Homo sapiens. The sequence continues at coordinate 69,344,818 of NC_000009.12, forward strand.
TAGAAGTGCCAGCTCCCGGGTTCTTTGGCTCCTTCCTGGGTTCCTGAGCCTCGTTCTTGTGGATTCTGTGAGCTACCTGATAGTCTTGCAAGAAATTCCTTTTCTTCTTAAATAGCCTGAGTTGGTTTCTCTTGTTCCTAACATAATCAAGAACTCTGAATGCTTAAGACCATGATTTTTCTTCTATGAATATTACTTTTATAATAATTAAAAATAGTTCAAACTAAATAGATTCATTTTAAAACATTTGGACACTTATGGTAACTCAGTTGAAAAACAAGAAATCCAGTGGGCATGCAAAGTAGATGGATTGGTGGTAAGCTCAGCATTGGTGGGAAGTGTCAGGTGAAGGAGGCTGGGTCGGGGTGTCAGGGCTTGGGTGATGGTAGAATTGGGTATAATGAGCTGTAATGTCTCAACGGTGATACCAAAGAGTTTCCTGGTAAAGCTCTTTTGTGAAGAGAAAATAATGATCTCTAAATGGACATTATGTGTTAGCAGGCATCCTGCACATTGATGGAGAAGAAAGAGTATAGATTTGGGTCAGACCCAGATTTGACCTGGGTACTGTACTTAGTTGTATAATTTGGCATAATACTTTACCTCTCTGAGACTGTTTCTCTTTTATTTCATATTTATAGTTATATATCTAAATATATTATCTATCCATCTACCTATATCTCAAACACACCACAGTGATATTTTATAATTTAGTAAGTGCCTTTTAAGAGGGAAAATATTTTTTATTAAAAAAATGGGAGCTCATTAGCCTTCTTACTCTTTTTTAAAAATTTTTATCTTTTGAGACGGAGTCTCACTCTGTCACCCAGACTGGAATGCAGCGGCACAATCTTGGCCTTCTGCAACCTCCGCCTCCTGGGTCCAAGGGATTCTCGTGCCTCAGCCTCCTGAGTAGCTGGGATTACAGGCATGCGCCACCATACGTGGCTTAATTTTTGTATTTTTAGTAGAAATGGGGTTTCACCATCTTGGCCAGGCTGGTCTCAAACTCCTGACCTCAAGTGACTTGCCCATCTCAGTCTCCCAAAGTGCTGGGATTACAGATGTGAGCTACTGTGCCTGGCCTACCTTCTTATTCTTATTAAAAATAATTAGACCTCTGCATTTATCCCACACCCAAACCTGACTTATACTCCACACAAATAACACTTTTTTTTTTTTGAGATGGAGTCTTGCTCTGTTGCCCAGGCTGGAGTGCAGTGGTGGCGATCTTGGCTTACTGCAGCCTCTGCCTCCCGGGTTCAAGCGATTCTCCTGTCTCAGCTTCCCGGGTAGCTGGGATTACAGGCACGTGCCACCATGCCCGGCTAATTTATATATTTTTAGTAGAGACGGGGTTTCACCATGTTGGCCAGGCTGGTCTCGAACTCCTGACTTCAGTTGATTTGCCTACCTAGGCCTCCCTAAGTGCTGGGATTACAGGCGTGAGCCACTGCGCTTGGCCAGAAATAACATTTTAAACATTTTCTGGTTTTAGCATTCTTGGTGGTTGTCCTACCTTGTTAAAAGTGAGGAATTTGCCACACGTATGTTAACCTGTTTCCCTCCTTTCTTGTTTTTTAAAAAGTTATTTTTGTTACTTCTATTGATGACTTTATTGTTGTAGATAATATTGTAAGCTTCTGTTTCTTAATTTCTGAACTTTGGATAGTATCTTTTGACCCTCTTTTATATAAGATAAAGAAATTATGACTTTTTTTACTTCTTTCCCTGCTTTCCCAGTTTTTGATAGTGATATTTTACTTTTATGTTGTCAGTGTCTTAACATTTACATTTTGCTCTTAAGCTATATTATATCATTCAGACTTTGCCTATAAATTGTTTCTCAGACAATGAAAACCGCTAATGGCATTTATTAGATTCTTTATTTCCAGATTCACCTGAGGCCTTGGTATAAGGGATGCCAACATTCCAGTGTCTGTGTTAGACTATCTAAGCAGGACTTGCAAAGCTGCTGGGTGAAAACCAGTTTTGCAACCCTTAGCTGATCTCCATCTCCCAGCCTAGAAAAAGATTAGGGATTAAAGAGACAAATGTTTTGGAGAAAGTTACTGAATTGCTGTGGCATTTTGAGTTCCACCTTCTCATGGGGAAAAGGGGAAGTATTTAAAGATAAGCAATTGGAGAATATGATAGATTCTTTGGTGTCTGACGGGACCGTTGTCGGCTACACCTGGGGATTCTAAAGGACGGATTGGAGCACCCTGTGGCCTCAGAGTTAAAGCCTGCAGTTGGAAATAATTCTATGTTCATAGACTAAGCACAACATGAATATACTTCTAGCTGACCAGATGGGCCTCCCAGGAAATAGCAGGCATGGGGTGAGCTCACATCCTGCCCAGAGAGGCCATAGGAAGTGAGCAGACCACAGCAGAAGGAGGCTGGGCCTGGACTCCTGGATGCTCAGGCTAAGGGAGCTGGAAGCTCAGCAGTAGGTATCTCTGAGGAGCCAATGGAAGCTCCATTCTGGAGAGAATCCCCTGTAAACACTTGCCAAGTCCCAACATAACAGGCAGATGAACTCTCCCTGCCCGTTACCTTCCCTACCAACATGGCTGTGGCCTTCCCCACACCCCCTTCTATCAAACCCAACTGTGTTGTAGGGGGAGCAGTAGACCCACACGAAAAAAGGGAAACAGAGCAGATTGAGGCCATTCCCTTGCCTTCCCACGGCAGGCTTGCTCCCTGCCTAGAGTAATAAGCCTGGTGGCAGAGAGAGAAGCTTACATTCAAATGAAGTTCCAAGTTTTGACTGGGACACAGCCTTGGACATTGTAATTACTGAAATGAGTTGTTTTGTGACTTGAAGTGACTGGAGGACTTTTTGTACCTGATATTGATCAGACAAGTCATGGTCCTGGACTCCAATTTCATCTTAAACAATCAGGAATAATGAGCCCTACAGAGTGGCCTTGAACAACATTGCAGCAAGGAAAGAAAGTGGTTTTCTGTTGACCTCCCTAAGCTCTGCTTGTTCAAGGGACCAGCTACATTATTTACTGCAACACCAGGAAGAATGATTGATATTAAAGAGAAGGAAATGTAATTCCATGTTATTCAAAGGAAGACTGTTTCCTTTGCCAAGTCAAATGCATTATTTTTTCTTATTCTCTAGTACGTGCTTGGTATCATGCCACATTCTAGTTTGCTTCATGTTTGGACCATGACTTTGATGTATATGTTTATATTTTTCTGAGATGTTCTAAATGATTCTTTTCTTTCTTTCTTTTTGTTGACAAAAAGGCACCTAATCTCAGAGATCATCTAGCTGCTGCTTCTTTCTGTCTTTCTTTTTTAAAAGAAGATCTCACTGTCACCCAGGCTGGAGTGCAGTGGCGCGGACACAGCTCACTGCAGCCTCGACCTCCTGGGGTCAACTGATCCTCCCACCTCAGGGCCAAGGAGTTGGGACTATAGGCATGTGCCACCATGCCCAGCTAATTTTTTTTAATTTAATTTTTTGTAGAGACAGGGTTTCACCATGTTGCCCAGGCTGGTCTCGAACTCCTGAGCTCAAGTGATCTGCCCAACTTGGCCTCCAAGAGTGCTGGGATTACAGGTGTGAGCCACAATACCCAAGCCTGCTGCTTTTTTCTTTATTGAGATGTAGTTGACACACCAAAAAATTCACACATTTAAAGTATACAATTCAATGGATTTTTAGCCTATTCCCAGATCTATGTAAACTTCACTACTATCAATTATGGAATATTTTCATCAGCCTCCAAAAAAATCCTGTACCCATTAGAAGTCACTCCTGATTTCCTCTCAATACCTTCAGCCTCAGGAAACCACTAATGTACTTTTTGTCTTCATAGATTTGCCCATTCTGGATATTTCAAATAAATGGAATCATACAGTATGTGATCCTTTGTAATTGACTTCTTCCAGTTAGCATATTTTTTAGCTTAATATTTTTAAGATTCACCCATGTTATAGTATCTGTCAGTACTTGTCCCTTTTTTATTGCTGAATTGTATTCCATTATATGGATATATCACATTTTATTTATTTATTCATCAGTTGATGGACATTTCCACTTTGGCTATTAGGAATAATGCTGGGCCAGGCATGGTGGCTCATGCCTGTAATCCTAGCACTTTGGGAGGCTGAGGCGGGTGGATCACCTGAGGTCAGGAGTTTGAGACTAGCCTGGCCAACATGGTGAAACCCTGTCTCTACTAAAAATACAAAAATTAGCCAGGCATGGTGGCGGGCACCTGTAATTCCAGCCACTCAGAAGGCTGAGGCAGGGGAATCGCTTGAACCCAGGAGGTGGAGGTTGCAGTGAGCCAAGATTGCACCATGCTACTCCAGCCTGGGCGACAAAAGCGAAACTCCATCTCAAAAAAAAAAAAAAAAAAAAAAAAAAAGAGAAAAAAAGGAATAATGCTGCTATGAACATTAGTGTACAATTTTTTTGTGGATATGTTTTCATTTCTCTTGGGTACATGTCTAGGAGTGGAATTGCTGATTCATGTGGTAACTACATGTTTAACGTTTTGAGAAATTGCTAAACTGTTTTCAAAGTGGCTATATCATTTTATATTTCCACCAGCAGTGTTTGAAGGTTCTAGTTTCTCCACGGTTTTGCCAACACTGATCGTCTGTTTTTTTGATTGTAGCCATTCTTTGGGGTGTGACGTGGCATCTCATTGTGATTTTGATTTGATGTTCAACATCTTTTTATGTGTGTATTGGCCATTTGTACATCATCTTTGGAGAAATGTCTATTCAGATCCATTGCCCATTTAAAAATTGGTTACTTGTCTTTTTATTATGAGTCCCTTATCAGATACAGAGGCTCCCCACTTACAATGTGGGTTATGTCCAGATAAACTCATCATAAATTGAAAATATTGTAAGTGAAAAATGTATTTAACGCACCTCGAGCATCATAGCTTAGTCAAGCTTACTTTAAAAAAACTCAGAACATGTACATTAGCCAACAATTGGGCAAAGTCATCTAACACAAAGCCTATTTTATAATAAAGTATTACATATCTCATGTAACTTATTGAATACTGTACTGAATATGAAAAATGGAGTAGTTTAATGGGTATTTGAAGTACAGTTTCTATTGAATGCATATGGCTTTCACACTATTTTAAAGGCAAAAGATTATAGGGTGAACCATTGTTAAGCTGGGGACTGTCGTATATGATTTGCAAACATTTTCTTTGATTCTCTGTGTTGTCTTTTTACTTTCTTGATGATGCCCTTTGAAGCACAAAAGTTTACAATTTTGAAGTTCAGTTCATCTATTTTTAATTTTGTAGCTTACACTGTTGTATTTAAGAAGGGCTTTGTCTAACCCAAGGTCATGAACGCTTACTCCTATAATTTTTTTCTAAGATTTTTATTATTTTAGCTGTTTTGCTTAGGTCTTTCATTTTTTTGAGTTAATTTTTGCATATGGTGTGAGGCAGGGGTCCAGGTTTATTCTTTTGCATGTGGATATACAGTTGCCCCAGCACCATTTGTTAGAAAGACTCTTTTTCCCCTTTGAATTATCTTGATACGTTTGTTGAAAATAAGTTGATCCTAAGTGTGAGGTTTATGTATCTGGCTTCTTGATCATATTCTTTTTGCTAGTTGTTCCACTTTCCCTTTTGGATGTTTCTTGTTAAGACCACTCACTTCCTGTTCTAGTCTGGACTTAATTGTTTTCTGGCCTGTTGCACAGATGTCATCTGAATATTTCTTTTCATTGTATTCTTAAATTAAATCCATTTTTTCTTAGGTCTCATGCATTCTTTTTCTTTGAGTTCTTTTTTCATTTGCCAGAGAACATTCTCAAGTAATAATTTTCAGAAAGAATTGAGGGAAGACAGCTCTCTCAGGGTTTGAATACCTTGATGTATCTTTGTTCTCACCCTCTCACTTGAATAATAGGCTGGATATAGAATCCTGGGTTCAAAATAATTTTTCTTCCAAAAAATGAAGTCATTGCTTGATGCCTTTTGTCACAGATGAGAATCTTGATGCTGATCTGATTCTTGTTCCTTTCTAGAAAACCTTTTTCTTTTTCTATTTGGAAGCTTTTAAGATCTTTTCTTTTCCTTGAAAATCAATAAAATTTGATTTTCAAAAAGATAAAATAATGAGTCTCAGGCAAATATAAAATGAACATGAGTGATTAACGAGGGAGCACTTGTTCAAAGAGCATTTGAGAAGCTAAGCATTTATTGGTAATCTTAGAAGAAGATTGCTGGGATAGATACAAAACTGATTAATGTACTCCAAAGCCATGAACTGTAACTTCTGAAGTTCCAATTGAACAGAACCTTATTTTCATCTCTACTGAAATAACATCTACAACTTAAACTCTGTTCCTACAGATGTAAAGTAGCCATTTTAAAAAATAGATTACCCAGTAATCTCTTCTGCCTATTTTCAAGTTTCAGATAATTTTTCTGAGTCTTCTGAAGTTACATGAAGTTATGTCTAGGTGGAGTCTTTTCTCCTTCATCCTTTTGAGTATTTAGTGAGCTTTTGTGATTTGAATATGTGTGCCTTTCTTCAACACTGAGAAATTTTCTTATTTCCTTGATGATGATGATGATGATGATGATGATGATTGTGATTATTATTTTGAGACCAAGTTTCACTCTGTCCCCCAGGCTAGAGTATAGTGGCATGATCTCGGCTCTCTACAACCTCCACCTCGCGGGTTCAAGTGATTCTCTTGCCTCAGCCTTTGGAGTAGCTGGGACTACAGACATGCACCAACACACTCAGCTAATTTTTGTATTTTTAGTAGAGATGGTGGTTCACCATGTTGGCCAGGCTGGTCTCAAACTCCTGACCTCAAGTCATCCATCCGCCTCGGCCGCCAAATTGCTGGGATTACAAACATGAGCCACCGCACCCAGCCTCCTTGATTATTTTCTTCCCTCCATTTGCTCTGTTCTTTCCTTGTAGAACATCTACAAATCAGATGTTGAACCTCTTGGACTGAACCTCTTTGTTTCTTAACTGTTCAAAGTTTCACATTTCTGTTTATTTGTCTTTTTAATGTATTTTCTTAATTTTTACTCTTGCCATTCTATTGAAGTGTTTGACAATTATATTTTTTAATGTTCAAGAACACTTTTTTGATCTCTGATTTATTCTTTTGCTTAGCAGCTGTTCTTGTGTTATTATGCCATATTTTCTATTTGAAGATACATATTACATATATTTAACATTTTTCTTTTCTATTCTCTGAGTAATCTGTTTTCTTTTTTGGGGTCAGTGATTCTGATTGACATCTAGGTCCTTCTTTTTTGTATTGTTAGATTTTTTTCTTTTTTTGAGACAGAGTCTTTCTCTGTTGCCCAGGCTGGAGTGCAGTGGCACCATCTCAGCTCACTGCAACCTCTCCACCTCCCAGGTTCAAGCAATTCTCCTGCCTCAGCCTCCCAAGTAGCTGGGATTATAGGCTTGGGCCACCACACCCGGCTGATTTTTGTATTTTTAGTAGAACCTGAGTTTCTCCATGTTGGCCAGGCTGGTCTCGAACTCCTAACCTCAGGTGATCCACCCACCTCAGCCTCTCAAAATGCTGGGATTACAAGCGTGAGCCACTGCACCCAGCCATGTTGTTAGATTTTTGAATGTCTGTTGATCCTTGATCATTCATTCTAGTCATAACTAAAGGCTAGATTGGTAATATTTATAATAATATTTGCAATAATAACATAACTGAGATGCATGTACTAATCGACTAATCACATGAGGTGTTATTAGTATCCTCATTCTGAGGAAACCAAGACACAGAGAGGTTAAGTGATTTGCCCAAGGTCACATAGCTAGAAGTGGCAGAGCTGGGCTGCAGTTCCAGAAGGTCTGTCTCTAGAGTCTTTCTTCTTAATCACTACCTGGTTCCACAGCAAGCTTGTTTGTCAGGGCCAGCTAGCTGTCTGAGAGCTCTGTGCAGCTTAATGGACCATAGTGATTGATAGGCTTCATTTTAGTGTGTGCTTGAGAGAAACAAGCCTATGACCCCCAATATGCCAAAAAGAAGAAGACAAGGCTGGATGTGGTGGCCCATGCTTGTAATCCTAGTACTTTGTAAGGCCAAGATGGGAGCATCAGTTGGGGCCAGGACTTTGAAACCAGCCTGGACAAAAGAGCTAGACCCCCATCTCTACAAAAACTTAAAAAATTAGCTGGTCATAGTGACACATGCATGTAGTCTCAGCTATTTAGGAGGCTGAGGCAGGAGGATCACTTGAGCCCAGGAAACTGAGGCTGCAGTGAGCCGTGATCGCACCACTACAGTCCAGTCTGGATGACAGAGTGACACCCTACCTCTAAGAAAAATAAAAGTAGAAGAAGATAACACTGCACCGGGACTCCTGCACCCCAAGGCAGATTATTTCACTCTCTCAGAATGAAGTTCACTAGTACTCGCTGGTGGACAAATGCTTGTACTGTCTATTACTTCTGCATCTTTGAAAGTCTCTTCAATCTTTTTTCAATGTTTTGTTATGAGAATTCTCAATAGAAAAGTTGAGCAAATAGCACAATTAACTCTGATGTGCCCTTCACTTGAATTCCAAAGCCATTAACATTTTGCCACATTTGCTGTCTCTACATAAATAGATATTCTATATTCAACTATTCAAAGTTGCAGATTTCATGGTGATTCACCCCTATATGCTGTAGGAAGCACCTTCTAAAGTTAAAACGTTCTTCTGCATCACCATAATAACATGATCATGCTTAAGAAAATTTTCTAATAATCTTCCTAATGAATTTCCTAGTGTCATCTAATATTCAGCCTATGTTTAAATTTCCCCACTTGGTTCACAATCTTCAAATAACTTTTCTTAATCAAAACCTTTGTAACTGAAGTATGATTTGTGCACATTTCTGTATGTATAATGTGCAAAAAAGTCCAGGATTCTATCAAGATTCGCTTATGGCATTTAATTAGTCTGTCTCTTTAGTCTTTTGTGTTCTAGAATACTCTTCTTCTTCCTTTTTGTAGGAATTGACTTAGCGAAGAGATGACTCCAATTGGCTTATATGTTATTGTTGTTCTTCTTTTTCTTCTTTGATATGAAAAATTTCAAATATACCCCGAAGTTGAGAGAAATACAAAACCCTCCATGTACCCATTGCCCAGCTACAACAATCAACACACGTCCAGACTTGTCTCATCTGGACCCCTATTTCCCTTCTCTTTTGCCATTGGATTATTTTGAAATAAATTTCAGCCTTGACAATAGTTAATCCTTAAATATTTTAGTATATATTTATAAAAGATACATAATTTGTCAGGCTCATCAAGTATCTAGGCATTGTCTTACGTATTTTTTTTATAATTGGTTTGTTTTAATTTGACCCACATTGCACTTAGCTGATATGTCTCTTAAGTTTCTTTTAATCAGTAAGTCCCTCTTTCTCTTGTTTGCCCTATTGCAACATTTTTTTTTTTTTTTTTTTTGAGACAGAGTCTTGCTCTGTCACCCAGGCTGGAGTGCAATGGTGCCATCTTGGCTCACGGCAACCTCTGTTTCCTGGGTTCAAGTGATTCTCCTGCCCCAGTCTGCCTGAGTAGCTGGGATTACAGGTGCCCACCACCAGGCCCAGCTAATTTTTCTATTTTTAGTAGAGACAGGGTTTCACCATGTTGGCCAGGCTGGTCTTGAACTTCTAAACTCAGGTGATCCGCCTGCCTTGGCCTCCCAAAGTGCTGGGATTACAGGCATGAGCCACTGCGCCTGGCCCATTGCAATTTATTTGTTAAAGAAACTGAGTCCTTTGTTCCACTGAGTTACATTGCATCCCCATGGTGCTGTTCAATATATTTATCTGTCCCCTTTATTTCCAGTAACTGGTAGTTAAATCTAGAGGCTTGATCTGATTCAGGTTTGGTTCTGGGGTCAGAACACTTCACCAGTGGTGGTAGGTATTTCCAACAGGAAGCACACATTGTTCAGTTGTCTCTCTTTTTGTGATATTGGCAGTCAATGATGACACTTCCTTAGATCACTTGGATAACTTGAATCTTTTATGTTAAAAAATGTCAATAAATAACAATTACAATCAGGAGTCTTTAAACCATTGATCCCCACACCATATCCATTAAACCGTTCCCTCCTTTGAGATATTAGATTGGTATCCTTGGAAAAGGGGGTCCTTATATAAATTCAAGTAGTGCCATATACTGTGATGAATTATTACAATGTAAATACTCCCATGCAGCCTCGCTTTAAAAAAAAATCCAGGATGTTATCAAGGTTCACTTATGGCATTTCATTATGATAATTTAGTTTACTGTAAAATTTTAATGGCTCTTAGAAGTGCTAATTGTTTAACTTTGTTTAACTTAAAGTTTCTCAAATTTATCTCACTTCACACCTCTTTCTCCACAGACTACCTATTAAGCCCTCCCAGAAAAGTAATCAATGGAAAGTTATTTGGAAAACATCTTAAATCATTTGTTCGGTCACTCAGTAAACATTTTTTGAGCACCTGCTTTGTGTCAGGCATTGTATCAGACACATATATAGAAATGGACTCTCAAGCTTTATTGGTTCTTTACTTGTCTGGTGTTAGAATATTTCAAATGTCACAGGGAGAGAAATACCTGACTTAGCAGATTATAGTGATCTGATCACTGGGGCATACAGTATCTCAAAGTAGGCAATATCCCTGTCTACAAAGAGTCATATAGTCTGGCTTTCATTCCACTGCTCAGTCAGGAGTTGAAGAGGGGAGAGAAAGGGTCAGGCACTCCAATTATCCATGACTGACTGCATAACAAACCACCCCAAAACCTAATGGTTTCAAACCACAACTTATCATTGTCTCTTATGGTTTTGTGAATCGACAGGATTCCTGTTTGGCGTCTCTCATGTGATTGCAGTTAGATGGCAGCCAGGTTGGGAATCATCCGGAGGTTTGACTGCCCCGGACCTCCGTGATGGCTCTTTCACATGACTGGCAAGTGATACTGGCTGTTGCCTGGGAGCTCAGCTAGGGCTGGTGACGAGAGCGTGAACATGCGACCTCCTCATGTAACATGGTGGCTGGTTTCTGAGATGGAGTGTTTCAAGTGAGTAGTGTTCCAGGAGGCCTACTTTTTTGTGGTGTGCAATTTTTTGTTGTGGTAAAACATATATAACATAACATAAAACTTACCATTTTAAACATTTTAAAGTGTACAATTCAGTGGCATTTTAAAGTGTACGTTTAGTGGCATTAAGCGTGTTCACAGTGTTGTGCTGCACCACTGTCCATCTCCAGAACTTTTTCATCATCCCAAGTAGAAACTATATCCATTAAACAACAACGCCCCATTTCCTTCTCCCCTGAAGTCCGTGGCAACCACTATTCTACTTTCTGTCTCTATGACTGTGCCTATTCTAGGTATCGCATATAAGTAAGTGGAATCATACAATATTCGTCCTTTTGTGTCTGGCTTATTTCACTTAGCAAAATGTTTTCAAGGTCTATCCATGCTGTTGGAGCATGTGTTAGAACTTTATTCCTTTTCATGGCTGAATGAGATTCCATGGTATGTACTGGACCTCACCTCGTGATATGAGGAACGCCCTGTGAGTACAGACAGGGAAGGACTTGCTGTTGGCCATCTTTGGAGATTGCTGACCCTGGTTTGCAGATTCTTCTTAGGAACTGTGATCTTTGTGGTTGGGGAGTCATGATCTGATTCTTTAACCTGCTGAACCTTGAGAAGCTAAGAGCAGCAAAGAAGGGGCCAGAAGTAGAGAAAGAAAGAAAATTAGAGAGGCACAGAGGAAAGGATAAAAGAGGAATGAAGTCAGAGAAGTGGAGTCTCAGGAACCATGGATATGCAACTTTGTTTACAACGAACTTTCTGCTGCCTTTCTAATCTTCAAATCAAAATTTATTTTGGCCACCTTATTCCCAAGGGGCATAGCAGATCTGGTTCCTGACCAGTTCACCTTATTGGACCAATAAATCTCATGTGTCACATGATCCACTGACTGTTTCTCTTGTGACTCTGTCCTGGTCTTGGTCATATTCCTAATGAGAACATGTTAATGTAGGGGTGATAGTAATGCCCAACTTGAGTTGAGGAATTACAGAGCTAGATATGTGCTGAGGGTCCTGTCTTCTCTGCAGAGGCTGATTGCTTGGCTTATAAGAAATCACTTTTCAGCTGGGTATGGTGGCTCACGCCAGCAACCCCAGTGCTTTGGGAGGCTGAGGTGGAAGGATCAGCTTGAGGCCAGGAGTGTGAGACCAGCCTAGGCAACAAAGTGAGACACCATCTCTACAAAAAAAAAAAAAAAAAAAAAATTTTGAAGTCACTTTCCTGAGAAATGAGAGACAATGTGCTAAAAGGAGGGACTGAGGGACCCGGGATAGGGCAGAATTTGCTGTTCACAAGAGGCTTGAAAGTGCCCTTGAGACATGTATGTTTTCACTAGGACTAAGCAACTCTGGCTTATAAGAGCTTTTAGCTCTCCTGAAAGTTGTGTCCCCAAATGATAAATATTTGTGTCTCACTCTGGTAGGAGAAGCAAGAGGCCTTTCATCCCTGTTGAAAGAGGAATGAGAAAGCAATGGTTATTATTATATCTTAAACACTTTATAAAAAGAAAATCAGGGACTTCCATAATATGAGTAAACCTGGCACTTCAGCATGCTGGAGAGGAAAGAGCAACAGTCGGTTCTGTTCACAGCAACGGGCCTGTGTTTGGCTTGTTGGCAAGGAGAGCTGGTCTGGGTGATGGTAATGTATCTGCCAAACTTCTGGCAGAAGTTTAAAGCATGTCAAGGGACTGAAACTGGGAGTAGGTTCTGTTGGGGTCTAAGGATTAGAGGTGCACAGGCAAACCAAGTCAGTGCATGTGGGAGCTCCTGAAATAGGTTGAGAGTGGTGAGAGTGTGGGCTTTGTGAGTGGTTGTGATTTATGATGTTTTGTTGGTTGCTGTGGTGCTGGGCTGTCAATCCAAGCATTCGTTTTGCTAAACCAGTTCAGAAAAATTTTAGTTCGGTGCCTTGTCTTTAATTATTTTTTTTCCAGTGCCATCGTGTTGTGTTCAGATGACTTTGCTCATGATTCTAGATCTTTATATTGAAATGCTTCCCCAAATTGAATTAAAACATAAAATGTTAAGAGTTAAATAAGTGGTTACGTTAACTGTCACGGGTCCTGTGCCATTTGTCTTATTAACCAGTGACTAATCAGGTTTTCTGGTACTTGGACTCCATGGCTCTGAGGACATACGTGTTAAATGGCAGTTAGAGTCTCAGCAAGACCACACAATTGTTCTTGTTTCAGTGGGAAAATGGAACTTGAATTCTAAGGAACAGGTATTTTGTTCTTCCACCCACCTACCATTCTCACTTCTTCCTTTGACATAATGGAATTGAAGTCCCAACACTTGCTGTCTTCTTTCTTGAGGAAGTGATGAGTTCCCAGCAGAAGCAATGGTGGTAGCCATTTTCATGCTTGCAGTGATAGTCAAGCAGGTGTTTGCCTTTGAGGCCTGTCTGTATATGTCCTAGAATATTAGTAAGAATATATGATACCTGTATATAGCACTTATCAGAAAGAATAGATTTTCTTTCATTTGTTCATTGACTGGTTGACTGACTCATTCATTCAGTATTATTTACCACCACTTAGGTTTTTGTGTTCTTGTTTCAGATTTTCTACCCCACTGGAGAAAAGCATTTTTTAACATTTATTTGTAGCAGTATCAAAAGGCTGCATATGAGGGGGAAAAAAAGGGCACAATGATTAAATGAAGACCAGTAATATTTTCTTGGGGAATTAAAAGACAAAACAGAGTGTGAAAGAGAAGAATTCTAGGGTGGGATTAGCACCTTTTGAAGTAAAAGTTCCTGCTTTCTTAGAAGTTTCTTCTCATGAGGAAATAATTTGGTGAACTGCTCATATTTAAATAAAAACAACACATGTACGTGCACAAATTCATTGTTAACATTTAGGAAAAATATATGTTATTTCTGATAATTTAAAAAGAAGCATCACATTTGTTGAACATATTTAATTGTTAAGGAAAAATTTTTTAAAGCATTAATAAAGCCTTTTTTTTTCTTTTTCTTTTTCTTTCTTTTTTTTTTTTTTTTTTTGAGACGGAGTCTTACCCTGTCACCCAGGCTGGAGTGCAGCAGCACGATCTCGGCTGACTGTGTAACCTCCACCTCCTGGATTCAAGTGATTCTCCTGCCTCAGCCTCCTGAGTAGCTGGGATTATAGGCGTGTATCACCGTGCCTGGCTAATTTTTGCATTTTTAGTAGAGACGGGGTTTCACCATGTTGGCCAGGCTGGTCTCGATCTCCTGACCTCAAGTGACCCGCCCGCCTCAGCCTCCTAAAGTGCTGGGATTACAGACGTGAGCCACTGCACCCAGCCAAAGCCTTTCTTTCTTATTAGAATACTGCATGTGATGCCAGACAGATGTGACAGAGGCCAAACCCAGTTGGGAAGTTGATTTATACCCACATCCACCAATGAGCATACTAAGAACTTGAGGTGAGATGGTGATATGGTTAGGCTTTGTGTCCCCACCCAAATTTCATCTTGAATTGTAATTCCCATAATCCCCACGTGTCAAGGGAGGGACCAGGTGGAGATAATTGAATCATGGTGGCATTTTTCCTCATCCTGTTCTCATGATGGTGAGTGAGTTCTCATGAGATCTCATGGTTTTATAAGGGGCTGTTTCCCCTTCACTTGGCACATCTCCTTCCTGCTACCTTGTGAGGAAGTTGCCTTGCTTCCCCTTCACCTTCTGCCGTGATTGTATGTCTCTCCAGCCATGCTGAACTGTGAGTCAATTAAACCTCTTTCTTTTATAAGTTACCTGGTCTTGGGCAGTTCTTGCTAGCAGCATGAAAATGGACTAACACAGATGGCAAAGGTCAGGGACAGGTGTGAGGACTGAGAGTGGGACAGTGAGGACAGTTACAGGCTAGATGGGGATGACAACTTCATGAAAGGAGAAGGAAAAAAGTACTAAGCTGGAGGATGGGCAGGAAGACAGAGAGATGGCCATAGTTCCTGATCTATTAAAAGTTTGTGAATTGACAAGTACATTTGTTGAGGAGAGATGTATTGAACGCATTCTACATGTTGGGCACTGCTGTGGGCAGCTTTATAGACATGCTCTTATTTTGCTTTTTTTTTTTTTTTGGTTGTTCCTTTCAACAGCCATTTGAGGTATCACTCATTTTTTATAAGTAAATAAGTGAGACCCAGTGAGTTTCAGTAATTTGCTCAAGATTATTCGGCTAGTAAGCCAATGGGCTGGAAATTAAACACACATTTATCTCACTCCGAGTTCATGTTTTTTATTCCATTTTATGCTTTAAATTTAGTTTTTCCATTTGTCAAGGTTATATGTGCACATGGTTTAAAGGGTCAAATAGTGCTGTAAGTCTGAAGAAGAAATTTTCAGTTCCTTGTCCCATTTTCAAAACACAATCACTTCAACCAATTTCCAAAGGCAATCAGTCACTTAGGCATTGTAGACAATTAGGAAATCTTTCTCTGTTACATTTCGCCCCTCTGCCCCAACACGTACTTTTATAGTCCCTTTCTCAATAAAGTTATATCATGATTTTGGTCAGAGCAATTTTCAGTGTTTATTTTATTTTGACTATCCTCTTTCCTCTCCAGTAAAATATTTTATTTTTCTTCAAGTTAACAAAGGTTAACTTGTTCAAAGGTCCTTCTTCATTTGCTTCATTTTTCTGTTATTATTGATACAAATGTCAACCATCCTCTTACTGTTTAAGTCCCTCTTCCATATATTCAAGTACATCTGTTGGATATTCTGTCACTTTCATCCTTCCTGGAGCCTTTTGACTTGCTCTATCTGGACTGGCTTCCCAGTAGGCTCTGCATGTTACTATCATCTTTATCATCCTTTCACCATTATCTTGGGCGTTCCCTTAACCTCTCTTGAGATGGATCCCTGTTTCCTGGATTCCATAGCTTCTTTTTTTCCCTCACTCCCCACAAATTTTGGTGGAGCATCCTGTAGTAGATTTCTGAGAAAAGGGTATATTAAAAACACATTTAAAAAATCTTGCATGTAAATTGCAAAAAAAAAAAGTAAAAATATTTTTATCCTATTCAAACTTGATCAACATTTTTAGCTAAGTATAGGATTCCAAAATTGGAATTCTCTCTCAAAATTTTGAAGGCATGGCTCCATAGAATTTTGGCTTTCCAGTGAAAAATCTTTCAGCCTTTAGCTGTGGTTGAGATTTTCTTCTGGGTCCAAAGCTGTGGTCAGAAAAAGGAATCAGGAGTTCTAAGTGACTTTTTTTTAAAAAGGGATAATTTGTATATGGTACCATGCACAGATCTTAAATGTATAAATTGCTGAATTTTTATACATGTATACACATGTATAATCATTATCCAGATCAAGATACAGAAATTTTCCAGTGTTCTGTAAAGTTTCCTTATGCCTCTTCTCAGTTGATTCCTCTGTCTCCCTGCAGGAGTAACCACTGTTCTGATTTTTTTCTACCATAGGTTATTTTTATGTGTTCTAGAACTCTTTTTAATATGGAATCATACAGCACATGCCCTTTTGTGTCTGGCTTCTTTCAGTTAATATAAGGTTTCTGAGATTCATCCATGTTTTATATGCATCCGTTGTTTGTTTCTTTTTATTGTTGAGTTTCATTCCACTTACGAAATGTACTATAATTTGTTCATCCATTCTTCTGTTATTGGCATTTTGGTTCTTTCCAGTTTTGGGCCATTATGGCATGTGCTATGAGCATTCTTGTCTATGTTTTTTTGTGAACATATGCAAAGGTCATAGAGTGGTATAAATTTAACTTTGTTAGAAACTGCTGATCATTTTCCATTGTGGTTGTACCAATTTCTAATTCTTTTTTTAATAGACTCTTGTCAGTATTATTTTGAGGCTCACTTTCATTCCAAAGAGTATCTGGTGCCACCATTTCTGAACATCTGGGGATTCTGAAGAGTAAATCCTGTTGAGTTTTGGCTTTCTTCATTGCTTTTGTGGGATTCAGTTTTCTCAGGACCACTGAGTCAATTCATTCTTGTCCACCAACTTTCTACCTTCTAAAATTTTGTTGCTGTTCTCATGTTCTCTCTATCCTTAAGGATTTCTGCGTTAAAAATATTTTCTTTTCCTGTCATTTTAGTGGGTTTTCAGGAACTAGTAGAGCTAAATACTTATGCTCAATTCACCATTTAAAACCTATTAGTGAATAGGTTTTAAAATAAAAGTGTTAAACTATTCTGCCTTCCCACGGTTACTGGAACTATTTATTTATTTAAACCTGCACAGTGGGTTTAAGTCGCATCTTGAGATTGGAGCAGTGGGGAAGTAAGGAGCAAAATAAAAGTCCTTAGGCAGTAGGGAAAGGTCAGCCTATTTAAAGAATGAAATCTTGTATCAAACAATACCAAGCTGTGATAGGCATAATTATTTAATGATATTATGTGACAGGGATTATGAAGAAATCTTAGCAGGGAGGGATAGGCAAATTGAAGGTGATGTTGCTTCTTGATAGCCTCAGGTTCCCCAAACATTCTTTCATTGGGTCAGTTAATTGAGACCTGGAATGAACTGGGGGTACAATTACCAGAGATCAGAGCTGAGATGAATTCAAAATACTGAATTGAAAAACATAATTCGTTTTGCATAAAGGCAGCTGGTATAAGTATCATAAAGGCACCTGGTATAAATATCATAAAGTAGTCATGATTCAAATGAATAACAAAATATAAAAAAAGCATAGAAGACTTAACTCATTGTGATGGTTAATACTGAGTGTCAACTTGATTGGATTGAAGGATGCAAAGTATTGATCCTGGGTGTGTCTGTGAGGGTGTTGCCAAAGGAGATTAACATTTGAGTCAGTGGGCGAGGAAAGGCAGACCCACCTTTAATCTGGGTGGGCACCATCTAATCGCTGCCAACGAATAGAAAGCAGGCAGAAAAATGCAAAAAAGCTAGACTGTCCTAGCCTCCCAGCCCACATCTTTCTCCTGTGCTGGATGCTTCCTGCCCTTGGACATCGGACTCCGAGTTCTTCAGCTTTGGGGCTCAGACCGGCTTCCTTGCACCTCAGCTTGCAGACAGCCTATTGTGGGACCTTGTGATTGTGTGAGTTAATACTACTTAATAAACCCCCTTTATATATCAATCTATCCTATTAGTTCTGCACCTCTAGAGAACCCTGACAAATACACGCATGTCGCCAGTGCCTATGAGAGCACTAGCTCTTTGGATCTTGGATTTTGCAATGTATCCTTGAATAGTTGGATTTTGCTTCTTACTCATGAAGACCACAGGGCAATGTGGGGCAAGCCCTCTACTTTTTGGCGCCCACTGTCTCTCACGGTCTAAAATACAAGTTCTAGAAAGACAGTTCTCTGTCAACTTTGTGTTTTTCTGTTTCTTGAGAGTAAACCCCAATGATGCATTGGCTTCAGTAGAATTCAGGAGCAGTAACCCATAGTGTTCACTTAACTGGGCAAGTGATGATTAATTTGAAATGAGAACAATAGGAATGGGGCTTAATGAGCAGGAAAAAAATTAGGTTAAATATTAATGTAAGGAAAAATTTTATAGAGAAGTTGTATCAGTCAAGCTCCCAGCAGGAAACAGATGACACAATACAATTAGAATTGACAAGTGGTTAGTAAAGGGACGACTCACAAAGATATGTGCAGGGTATGGGGAACAGTGAAACTGTTAACCTTTTCTAAGCCTGCAGGGAAGAGTGGGGGTGGTGGCAAGAATCTGGGAGTCAGAGTCATGTACAGAGGACCCCTGAGAGCCTGTGTGGCTTTCCTTTGAGGGACACAGCCAGCCTGAGGCTGCAGAGAAGGAACCAGGAGAATAACTCCTCCAGCCTCACTCTCTTCCCTCCCTGTGGTCTTCTTTCCGTCAGGGGTCCCTGTTGGTTGAGCTTCACTGGAGACCAGAGGGCAGAGTAGCCCCACTGAGCCAGTCTACATACAACAGCCTTGCCCATGGGTAGAGTAAAGGAAGGGTAAGTGTGGAGAGAGGCTGTGGCAGGGCAAACAGGAGATGCCCCACACACAGATGTCAGTGGTCCAGTGTAGAGTGAGTTCCCTAAAGGAGGCTGCAGACATCATTCTTTTTGGACACGTTTTGGAAATAATGTAACTGCAGATTTATCTTAAAATTTGAATGTCCCTTCCAGCTGCCATAAATTCAGATGTCACAAGCAAAAGAATGAAATTCTGGTACCAAACCTAATGAAATGTGTTTTGTGAAATTCACTTTACAATAACAAGCTGCTCCTGCAAAGAGGAAATACCCAGTAATAATAACACTGTGTACATTGTATTTTCCAGTATATAAAGGACTTCCATATAAATAATTTTAGGTGACTCTCTTAATAATTTTGTGAGGTAGCTGGGAAGATAGACCCACTTAATGGATGAGAAAAGTCTCACAGAATTGGCCTAAGATATCACAGCAAACAAGTGGGAAAGCCTGAATTTGAGCCATGTCTCTAGATTTCAAATTCAGATTTGAGTTTCAAGAGAAACTCCGATCCCCTGCAATGATTTTTTTTTTTTTAAGGCAAGAGTAATTTCTTATAAGAAATATAAGAAATTCTTCCCCTTCCCAGATGTTGCTGAGTCGTCTTTGTGACTATAATGTGCTTTGGCAGCTGATATTTTCTTGTCGTCAGTTTAAGGAGGATGCCATCTGATGAAGCTTGAGATACAAATTTGGGTCTTGGAAGTGATCCCATTATAACCAGGTAAAAGCTAGAGGCATCCATTCTGAAGGTCCCTGTAAACCCTGAGTTCTTTATGACTCCAATATTTTGTATCCTGGAAGATGATCCAACTTCTGAAAGAGCTGTGTCTCATATATGCCACAGTTGTCTGTGCTAGAGTAATTCAGGTGACCATTTGGCTAAGTTTGACCAGAGTTTTAATAACATAATAGTAAAGTCATATGCCGGAATAAAGTTGAAGAACAGTGAATGGCGATTTTGTATACAGTCTATGTGTACAAATGAAACCCCAGGCCTTCCTTCTGGGTTTTGCAGGAGTGGCATTCTAATGATTTGACTTTGACTTGTACTTGGCAGCCCCTCCAGTATAGGAGGGAAATGAAGCCTACCAGGCAGTGACTCCCTGGAGCATTCTCTCAGCTTGTCTGTCAGTCAGACATTTTAGAAGTAGCCACATTCATTGTATGATCTCAGAATCCTGCCTTGACTGCTGGATTTAGGATTTTCTTTTTAAAAATAAGGTAAGTATGTTTTATATACAGTCCTGTTCCAGATTGCAAGTGTTCAGTTAGCTAAATTTTGACAATTTGAATAATGCATGTAACTACCACCCAAAACAAAAGGTAGAACATTATCACCCCAGAACATTCTTCCGTGTGTTTCCAGTCAATCTCCTCCTTCCCTGCCCTCCTCACAAATAGGCAATCACTCTTCTAATTTCTATCAGTATAGATTACTTTGTCTATTCCTAAACTTTAAGTAAGTGAAATCATACAGTATCTGGCTAATTTCACTCAATGCAGTTTTAAAAAATTGATACATAATATATGGACATATGGGTTAAACGTGCAATTTTGTTACATGGATAGCAACAAAATAATGATCATATAATGATCAAATCAGGGTATTTAGGATATCCCTCACCTTGAGTGTTTATCATTTCTATGTATTGGGGACATTTCAAGACTTCTAGCTATTTCAAAATATGCAATATATTTTTGTTAACTATAGTCACCCTACTCTGCTTTCAAACATTAGAACTTATTCCTTCTATCTAATTGTGTTTGTATCCATTAACCAACCTCTCTTCCTTGATCCTATCCCCCACACCCCACATGCACCCATCTCAGCCTCTGGTTACTATAATTCTACTCTCTCTCGATGAGATTAACTGTTTAAGCTCCCACATGTGAATGAGAACATGTAATATTTATCTTTCTGTGCCTGGCTTATTTCCCTTAACATAAGGGCCTCCAGTTCCACTCAGGTTGCTGCAAAATAACAGGATTTCATTCTTTTTTATGGCCAATTAAACATTTCAATGTGTATATATACCATATATTATTTATTCATTCGTCTGTTGATGGGCATTTAGGTTGCTTCCATAACTTAGCTATTGTGAATAGTACTGCAATAAACATAACGGTGCAGGAATCCCTTTGATATACTGATTTCTTTTCTTTTCCATAAATATCCAGTAGTGGGATTACTGGATCACATGGTAACTCCATTTTTATTTTTTGAGGAATCTCCATACTGTGTTTCATAATGGCTCTACTAATTGACATGCCCACCAGCAATGTATAACAGTTCCTTTCTCTGCACATCCTCACCAACAGGTGTTACTTTTTGTCTTTTTGATAATAGCCATTCTAACTATAAGATGTTATCTCATTGTGGTTTTGATTTGTATTTCCCTGATGATTAGTGATGTTGTGCGCTTTTTCACAACCCTGTTAACCATTTGTATATCTTCTTTTGAGAAATGTCTATCCACAATCTTTGCCCATTGGTACAGTTGGTAATTCCAACTGGGGTTTTTTTTTTTTTTTGCCATTGAGTTGTTTGAGTTTCTTGTATATTCCGGTTATTAGTCCCTTGTCAGATGAATAGTTTGTGTTTTCTCTCATTCTACAGGTTGTCTCTTCACTCCGTTGATTGTTTCCTTGGCTTCACAGGAGCTTTTTAGTTTAATATAGTCTCATTTGTCTATTTTGTTTTTGTTGCCTGTGCTTTTGAGATCTTAGCAATAAAATCTTTGCCTAGACCAGTGTTCTAGAGTATTTTCTCTATGTTTTCTTCTAGCAGTTTCCTAGTTTCAGGTTTTATGTTTAAGTCTTTAATCCATTTTGAGTTGATTTTTGTATATGTTGAGAAATAGGGGGTCTAGTTTTTTCTTCTGAATATGGTTATTTAGTTTTCCCAGCATCATTTATTGAAGAGAGTGTCTTTTCTCCAATGTATGTTCTTGGTGCCTCTGTTAAAACTCAGTTGGCTATAAATATTTGGATTTATTTCTGGGTTCTCTATTCTGTTCCATTAGTCTACATTTTTAAAATTTTAATTCAACTTAATTTATTTATTTTGAGACAGGTTGTTGGCCTGTCACCCACGCTGAAGTGCAGTGGCATGAACATAGCTCACTATAGCCTTGATTTCCCAGGCTCAAGCAATACTCCCACTTCAGCCTCCCAAGTAGCTGGGAATACAGGTGCACCCCACTACACCTGGCTAATTAAACAATTTTTTTTTTTTTTTTTTTTTTGTAGAGACAAGGTCTCACTATGTTGCCAAGACTATCTTGAAGTCCTGGGCTTGAGTGGTCCTCCCACCTGGGCATCCTAAGGTGCTGGGATTACAGGTGTGAGCCATCACACCTAGTCTATATATTTGTTTTTATAGCAGTACCATGCTGTTTTGGTTACTATAACCTTTGAAGTCAGGTAATGTGATGCCTCCAGCTTTTCTCAGGATTGCTTTGGCTCTTTGGGCATTTTTTTGGTTTCATATGAATTTTAGGATTTTTTTTCTATTTCTGTGAAAAATGTCATTGATATTTTGATAGGGATTGCAGTGAATCTTTAGATTGCTCTGGGGAATATGCTCATTTTGATAATATTAATTTTTCCAATCCATGAACATGGGATGTATTATTATTTATTTTTGTCTTCTTTCATATCTTTCATCAGTGTTTTTAGTTTTCTTTCTAGAGGTCTTTTACCTCCTTGGTTAAATTTATTCCTGGGTGTTTTATATATATATATATACACACATATATATAAATATATATATACACACATATATATAAATATATATATACACACATATATAAATATATATATACACATATATATAAATATATATATACACATATATATAAAAATATATATATACACATATATAAATATATATATACACATATATATAAATATATATACACACATATATATAAATATATATACACACATATATATAAATATATATATACACATATATATATAAATATATACACACATATATATAAATATATATATACACATATATATATACATATATACATATACACACACACATATATATACACGTACATATATGTATATTTGTAGCTATTGTAAATGGGATTGCCTTCTTGATTTCTTTCTCAATTCATTTGTTGTTGGTGTATATAAATGCTACTGATTTTCTAAACGTTGATTTTGTATCCTGAGACTACTGAATTTATTTATCAGATTTAAGAGTCTTTTGGGGGAGTCTTTAGATTTTTCTAGCAGTAAGATTATGTCATCTGCAAAGAGGAACAATTTGACTTCCTCTTCACTAATTTGGATGCCTTTTATTTCTTTCTCTTTCCCGATTGCTCTGGATAGGACTTCTAGTACTGTGTTGAATAGAAGTAGTAAAAGTGGGCATCCTTGTCTTGTTCCAGTTCTTAGAGGAAAGGCTTTCAGCTTTTCCTCATTCAGTGTGGAGTTAGCTGTGGGTTTTTCATTTATGGTCCTTATTATGTTGAGGTATGTTTCTTCTATGCCTAGTCTGTTGAAGGGATGTTAAATTTGATGATCATGTGCTTTTTGTCCTTCATTCTCATAATGTGATGTATCACATTTATTGATTTGGGCATGTTGATCTATCCTTGCATGAATGGGACAAATTCCACTTGATCGTGATGTATATCTTTTTGATGTGCTGTTAGATTCAGTTTGCTAGCATTTTATTGAGGATTTTTGTGTCTATGTTCATCAGGGAGATTGGATATTTTCTTTTTTTGTTGTGTCCTTGTTTGGTGTTGGTATTAGGATAATGCTAGCTTTGTAAATGTGTTAGGGAGAATTCCCTCTCCTTCAATTTTTTGGAATAGCTTGAGGAGAACTGGTATTAGTTCTTCTTTATAAGTTTGGTAGAATTTGGCAGTGGCTTCATAAATTATTTGCAATTCTTCTGCATGGGAGATTTATATTTAATTTTTAAGAAACTGACAAACAATTTTCTTTTTTTTTAAATTATACTTTAAGTTCTGGGATACATGTGCAGAACGTGCAGGTTCGTTACATAGGTATACACATGCCATGATGGTTTGCTGCACCCATCAACTCTCAACTACATTAGTATTTCTCCTAATGCTATCCCTCCCCAGGACCCCACCCTCGGCAGGCCCTGGTGTGTGAAGTTTTCCTCCCTGTGTCCATGTGTTCTCATTGTTCACCTCCCACTTATGAGTGAGAACATGCGGTGTTTGGTTTTCTATTCCTGTGTTAGTTTGCTGAGAATGATGGTTTCCAGCTTTATCCATGTCCCTGCAAAGGACATGAACTCATTCTTTTTTGTGGCTGCATAGTATTCCATCGTGTATATGTGCCACATTTTCTTTATCCAGTCTGTCATTGATAGGCATTTGGGTTGGTTCCAAGTCTTTGGTATTGTGAATAGTGCTGCAATAAACATACGTGTGTGTGTGTGTCTTTATAGTAGAATGATTTATAATCCTTTGGGTATATACCCAGTAATGGGATTGCTGGGTCAAATGGAATTTCTGGTTCTAGATCCTTGAGGAATCACCACACTGTCTTCCACAATGATTAAACTAATTTACACTCCCACCAACAGTGTAAAAGTGTTCCTATTTCTCTACATCCTCTCCAGCATTTGTTGTTTCCTGACTTTTTAATGATTGCCATTCTAACTGGCATGAGATGGTATCTCATTGTGTTTTTGATTTGCATTTCTCTAATGACCAGAGATGATGAGCTTTTTTTTTTTTTATCATATGACACACAGTTTTCTAAAGTGGTTGTGCCACCTTATACTTGCACAAGCAGTGTCTGAGAGTCCAAGTGTTCCTCATCCTCACCAGCACTTGGTTTTGTCAGTCTTTTACATTTTAACCATTCTAGTTGGTGTGAAGTGGTATCTCATTGTGGTTTTTACTTTGCACTTGTGACAACTAATTATTTGAAGACCTTTACATGTGCTTATTGGCTATTCTTATATTTTTTATGTGTCTGTATGAAATGTCTATTTAAGTCTTTTGCCCCAATTTTTAATTGGGCTGCTTGTCTCTTTATTATTGATTTGAGGAGTTACTTGTATATTCTGGACACAAGTTGTTGTTTGTTCAATATATGAGTGAAAATATTTTCTACCAGTCTGTAGCTTGCCTACTATTGATTTTCCTAACTGTGTCCTTCAGTGGGCTGGCTTTAAGATTTTAGTGAAGAGATTTTGGGTTCAGTGTTAGGAGTAATGGGCCCTCACCCATTTTATAGTTGATAATGTTAATTTTTATTGGCGTACTGATGGGCATTATAACCACACTTTTTTTTCAAGGCATTGTATATTATCGTAAAAGAAAATTTCCAAGGGAAAACTCGAGACTTTTCCATAGTAACAGTGATTGTGTTATTGGGTTTAAGGATTACAGATATATTAGATCTCTTTGAGTAGCAACTGCTAGTGTGTAATAGAAGCCCATGTGGGAAGATCAAGTCCTGTCCTTTGCCAATTATGTATTCTCCTTTTCCAAGAAGCTGTGGCATAATCATAAATGATACAGTGCAAGAGGGGACATATTCTATATGCTGCCCAAGTCAAGTCCAATAGACACTGGGGAATCCAGCCTGGGAAACAGTAACAACAGCAGCTTCCATTAGTATTTTCCCCAAGATCTGATGACAGGCTGCATCCAAATTAACAATAAAAGGAAAGAAGCCAAACTTCTCTTGGAGAGAAGAAGGAATTCCCCCTAGGTAAAGTGGCATCATGTGATATTAAACATTGACTCATAAAATGGGTCTCGGGAAATGCTTTCAAGCTTGACTTGGAATAACAATAGTTAAAGAACAGGGTTTCTCCCTTAGAGTTCATATGTGAACTTGTTTACCAGCCAACTCTGACATATCAGCTACTTGAATTGATGCTTTGTTCTAACGCTGATAATTATTGCCTCTAATCTTTTATATTTGCTTTTATATTTGCAATAAGATTTTGATTTTCTTAATAATCATGGCTCTCAAGTTGAAAAGCCTGCATAATCTCTAACTTGTACTAAGTAAATACTGGCTTCTCAGTTGACTACTATCAATTTTTTAATTATTTGGAGTAATATTTGTAATAATTAACTTTAGAGAAAAGCACATGGAAAATCTTTGTGTGCATATTCTTTAGTACCTAAAGTGTTCAGAACTGAAAAAAAGACCCATTTTTATGTCCATTTACATACTGTGATTTCTGGATAGTAAAGGCTCTGAGCTCCTTCATGTCCCTGTGTTTCACTTATATTCCAGAGTTCTGTATTTGTTTATTTGCTGCTGATCCCACAAAACTAAAGGAAAAAAAATAAGAGTGGCTCAAGGAGGAAATAGCTAGGGCTTAGTGTAATGTGTGGGTGGAAGATAAGGGAGTAAGAATTATTTTCAAAGAGAGAAAAATAAGGACTTGAGGTTATTGAGAAGACTTAAGAGTCAGTGGCATCCCTCAGCACAATTTTAAGAAGTCTAAAATGTGAAAAAAAGTTTGTACATTGAAAACACGGTTCTGATCTTTTTTTAAAAAAATGTTCTCTTGGAAGGGAATATGAGTTTTTAAAATCAGGTAAAACTCTGTCTGAATTTAGCTGTTATCTTTTACTAACTGTCCATTCTCTTGCCATTTCAGGTAAACCTCTTTGTGCTGCTCTCTGTGGTTTGTGTCCTCTTAAATCTAGCTGGATTTATCCTAGGCTGCCAAGGGGCCCAGTTTGTGTCCAGCGTGCCCAGGTGTGATCTGGTAAGCAGTCCTAAAACATCACTGTGCATCTAGGCAGACCCTGGCTTGTCAGGTGTTCCTGGCGAGACTTGCAACATTCAGCATCAGGCAACTGTCCTGAAGTGAAACCTGAAATGGGTAAAGGGAAGTGGGAAAACAAAACAAAGAGCTGCCTGCTGATTATTTCACCCAAGTTGTCGATTACTTTTTCCAAAGCAGGGACCAGCCAGCAAAACACTGGAACCATAGTGATATAATGCATCATTAGTTAGTGAATGGATGGATCAGATGTCCACAATCAATCAGTCTCTGACTGTCCTCATCTAAAAAGAAATAAAATGGATATTGCCAGAATACAGGTCAACAGTCTTTTATCTGAAACCTTTGGAGGCCAGGTGTGTGTCAGCATTTAGAGTTTTTCCAGTTTTAGAAGATTAAATATTTTGCATATACTATTTATTATGTAGCATGCCAGTGGAGTCTGGGACAGCAGGCTGTTATCATGACTTCTGGTTTTCAGAGCTTTTTGGATTTCAGCATTGTGAGTAAGAGGTTGTGGACTTGTACCATCTCTGAACTTAAAAGAAAATAAATTTTATTGTGGTAAAATACACATAGCATGAAATTTACCATCTTAACCATTTTTAAGTCTACAGTTCAGTAGAGGTAAGTATATTCACATTGTTGACAACCAATCTCTAGAACTCTTTTCATATTGTAAAACTGAAAGTCTATGCATATTGAACAGCAACAGCTCCCCATCCTCCAGCCCCTGGCAATCACCATTTCACATTCCGTTTCTATGAATTTGAGTATCCTAGGTACCTCATACAAGTAGGATAATATGCTGTTTGTCTTTTTGTGACTGGATTATTTCACTTAGCATCATCTCCTCAAGGTTCATCATGTTGTAGCATGTGTTAGAATTCCCTTCCTTTTTAAGACTATATAATATTCCATTGTATATACATGATACCTTTTGTTTCTCCATTTATCTGTGATGGATATTTAGGTTGGCCCCCACTCTTGGTTATTGTGAATAACATTGCAACGAACATGGGCCTGCAAACATGTCTCTGAGATCCTGGTTTTAATTCTTTTGGATATATAACCAGAAGTGATCATTTGGTAATTCTATTTTAAATTTTTTGAGGAAACTTTGTATGGTTTTTCATAGCAACTGCACCATTTAATATTTCCATCAACAGTGCACACGGGTTCCAATTTCTGCACATCTTCACTGACACTTGTTATTTTCTGCTTTTTTTTTTTAAAGTGGCCATTCTAATGGGTATAAGGTGATACCTCATTTGGTTTTGATTTGCATTTTCCTTATGATTAGTGATGTTGATAGTCTCTTCATATGCCTGCTGGCTATTTGTATGTCTTCATTAAAGGAAGAATGTCTATACAAGTCTTTTGCACATTTTAAAATTGAGTTATTTTTTTTTTTGTTATTGAGTTATAGAAGTTCTTTATATATTCTGTATATCAGAATATATATACCACAAAACCAACACTGTGATTATTTCTGATGTTATAATTATAAAAGTTTGGGCAAGCCATGAAAAGTATAAGGCAGAACTTAAATATCATTTGAATTCCCACTATCCCTGGATAACAATTTGGCCATGTGTTAAGCATCTCTTTATGCACAAAAACAGACATAATCAACAGGATCATGTTGTAAGTGTTGTTTTCCTTTGGGGAAATTACTGACAAATGAAACCTTTTTGGGCAAGGGGTTGCTCTTCTCTTCTCTTTCCCACTCTGCCCATACCTGTCACCCCAAATCCTTAGTAACAGGCTGGGGAATTATATTTCATAATGTTTTCATGGTCATGTAATCTTACATAAATATGTATGGAGTGGGGTCGTTCATGATTTTTTTTTAAATGAGGTATATTGTATGTACTTCCCTGCATCCTGTTTTTATCACTTAAAGATGTATCACTTAGAGATAGATTAAATACAGACTAACACCCTTAATTTCTTTTACCAAGTTAGTTCCTTATTTTGTTATTGCCTGTTGTGGCTTGGGTTTTGACCAGTAGACACAGTGCTGCCATTAATATCATTCTGTATATCCTCAGGGAGATTTTAGTCCTAAGCGGAGTAGGTTCCCAGGACAAGGAATTGTTCTCAGCAGTATCTTTTCTCCTGCTTATCTCATTTATTATTACAAATTCAACCATTTTATTGTTCTATCCATCGCTTTTAAATTGGGGTAGAAGTTACAGTGAAAAACACAAATCTTAAGTGTGCAGTTCATTATAAGTTTTGACCAATGTATACATTCATTTTGACAAATGTATACACTCATGTTATACTCCAAACAATTTCTATACTCCAAACAAAATATTGTTTGTTGTACTCCAAACAATATTTCTGTCACCCTAAAAAGTTCTTTAGTGTCTCTTTTCAGGCAGTCTCTACTCTCTCATAGGCAACCACTGTTCCTGTTTCTTTCACCATGGGTTAGTTTTGCATGTCCTTGAACTTCATGTAGATGGAGTCACACGGTTTGAAAGTTTTTGTGTCTGACTTATTTTGCCCAGTGTAATGTTGTTGAAATTCATCCATATTTTTATATTGTATCTGTTGTTTGTTCCTTTTTTCAGGACACTATTTCATTTTATAAAAATACCAGAATTTTTTTGTTTTTTTGTTCTCTTGTTGATGGACAGTTAGGTTGTTTCCAGTTTGGGGGTATTATGAACAAAGCTGCTGTGAGCATTATTGTTTTGGGGAGGCAGTTTTCATTTCTCTTGAGTGAATACCTAGGCACGGAGCTGCTGGATGATGCGGTGCTAAAGAGTTTTCCAAAGTGGTTGGGGAAGTGAGTATTTTTAATTTAAAATGGATAGTCAGTTCCTTCATTAAAGGGCTTAAACTCACCAGTGACTGGTGAATTTCTACCAGTGGCTCTCCACGTCTCCACCAGCAAAGAGAGTTTCTCTCTTTTTAAAGTTGTGCCAGTCTGATGAAGCCAGAGTGAGAGCTTGCTGTCACTCTAATTTGTAGTTCCCTGAGTGCTTAAGATGGCATCATCATTTTTTAAAAAGCTCTCCAGAAAATTCAAATGTACAGGCAGGATTAAGAATGCTGCTATTGAAAGGTGACAGGGGGAAGACAAAGATCTGACCTCTTCAGGCAGTAGCACCAAGAATGCAGGGTGGATGTTCATTATTTAGGATCAGGGAGACTTCTACAAATTTGTTTGTGGATAGGCTAAAGTGACTGATGAGAAGTGAGAATAAGTTTTTAGAAATATTGGGCAGAGATGGGATTAAGAATGGAGGTGAAGGTATTAGATTCTGCAAGGATCAGGAATAGGGGAGAAGGAACGCACAGTGCACAGTTGCCTGGAATCATTTTGCACAGTGCCTGAGGTTTCTTTGTATCCAGTGGGAAAATTAATTGGTATTCGTGATCATTTGTATAATGAGTAAACTTTCAAATAGGGTTGTTTAAAGGGACTGAATTTCACCCATCTGGAAAATTTTGCCATCCAGACTGGCTCACTCCAGAGGTGCCAGGTAGCTGAAGTTTCTGAAGAGCTGGACATCTATGTTATATGGTGTGTGCAGCCCACATAGGCCTGGTTTCCCACTTAACTAAACGCTTTGTATCAAGAATGGACTTGTTTGGGAAGGGAATATTTTGTAAGATGATGCCTAGTATTGTCTGAGAGAGATAGAGCTTTCAGGTTAAGATCTTGAGGCTTGCACCAAGTGCAAAAAATGAAAATCAGAGTGCATTGTGTTGGGGAAAAAAAAGTGAGTTTGGTTCCTTTTGGGGAAGAGTGGGACTCATGTACACGAGCAGAATGGAGGCTGATACTTCATCTCATTTAGCTGCTTGTTTGTTAGTACTAAACAGGATTAGTATGAAAACAGGAAGTTCTCAGCTGGAGACTTTAAAGGAGAAAGGAGGAATATTAAAATTCCCTTTGTTTTGTGAAAGCCACTGAAATTTAGGTTTTGGTTGTTACCATGCTATACCCTAGCCCATCCTGACTGATAGAGGCATTGCCTGACACAGAACCCTGCCATCATCTCATTCTACAGGATTGGTGCTCCATGGTAGAGCCAGGGTATTTTTTCTTAATAATTAAAGTATTTTTTTTTACCTTTCCTCCGTTAAGGTGGACTTAGGTGAAGGCAAGATTTGCTTCTGTTGTGAAGAATTTCAACCAGCCAAGTGCACAGACAAAGAAAATGCCTTGAAACTCTTTCCGGTTCAGCCCTGTAGTGCTGTTCACCTTCTACTTAAGGTACCTCAAACAGATTCCCACCCGCACGGTAAATACACCACGGAGCCCCCAAAGAAGGCAAACTTACTTGAAATATTCCTGTTCTATTACCTCCCTCAAACAATTAAGCTGCTGAAAGCGCATGTGAGTGACCCCAGAGACAGAATTGAATGCAGAAAGAACCACAGATTATTGTGTGTGTTAAATTATGTATGGACAGCTTTCTTTGTGTTGAAGAACTGTAAGATAGTAAAAAATGGAAAGGAGCCTGACTATATATATGTATATGTATACACATACACACATATTTCCACATATAAACATATGCATACGTACATATGTATACCTACACACACATATACGGTGTAGCTTTTAGCAAAACCTTTAAGTCGCACACTCGTGTGTCATTGTTCTGATGCTCATTTGTTTGCTTACATGGGTCATATGGGCCACTGAGTACTACCAGTCTGCAACACGTAGACTAAGGAGAGAGATTGGCCAGAAAATATGGGGGAATTGAAGCACCTTAGCTCTTGTTTAATAAGCAACAACTATAATAAGCCAAAGGTATTAAACAAACAGATGATCCCAGTTGAAGAGAAATACAAAATTAGCCTTCATCAGGGAATTGGATAAAAATTGTGCCCTGACTTAAGGAACATTAGCTCAGTGAGTGACAAAATCAACTGGTGAACCCTGAGGTATGGCTTTTTGAGAGTCCACTTCTGCCGGTTTTCTTTAGATATTTGTTTTGGGTTTCATTTTGGTGGGGAGGAAGAATCTCCAAGGAAAGAGAGAACTGTTCCAAGCTACCAGCTCTGGGTTGTGTGGGATGTGGAAATGGCCTGCTTTCCATGGCTTCTGCATTTTTGGTAGCTGAGTCACCCCCAAACTTTCTGAGCCAGGACTTAGCTTGGGGAAAGCCCCACTCAAGGAGCCAGGACTGTACCAACAGAAGCGTTTGGAATGGCCTTTGCTATTTTGAGATGTGTGTTTAGTGGAGAGAAGTCCTATTTACACTCTGGCTGGGCCAGCTCCTTCAGTGTCCTCGTCGTGTGCATGGGGCAGCACAGCCAATTGCTCTTGAAATAGAATTAGTGGCCACAAATTAAGCAGTGTGCTGTGCTGGTGGGAGGCTGTGGGAGGGAGGAGGCTGGGAATTGCTATCCCTGGGGAAATCAGCCTCAGAAGAGAAGCTCACTGCTCTCCTGGAAGGAATGTTTCTCGACAGTATTCTGATGCTTGCAAAAAGAAATACTATCATACCACGTTGTTCTGTGACAGAAAGCTTCTAAGATAAGTTTTTGGAATTAAGAAGTACACATTATTGCATGAGGGTCATAATAATAGCCAGCATTTATTTGGGCACTTTCCACGAGCCAAACACCATCTAAGTCCTTTACATGCATCCTCTCCTGAGAATTGTCTTATGGAGGCAGCGTTATTATTATTTTAAAGATTTTCTACATTGTATTCTGGTGATGTTTGTTGAAGTACTTAGTGGTGCCATTGTTTCCTTGCCCCAGAAAGTCCTCTTTGCCCTGTGTGCCTTGAATGCCCTGACCACCACCGTCTGCTTGGTGGCCGCTGCCCTCCGCTACCTCCAGATATTCGCAACCAGGAGATCCTGCATCGTAAGTCTATGCAAGGGCATCATGGCCACGTTTCCGCTGAGCCAGCCCATGGACCCCTTCGTGTCATCCACTGCCTCTCTCCCCGTGCCTTTGTAATGAAGGCTGTTGACTAACTGAGCTGCTGTTTAATCAGGATGAATCCCAGATTTCTGCTGAAGAAGCGGAGGATCATGGACGCATCCCCGACCCTGATGATTTTGTGCCGCCTGTGCCTCCCCCTTCCTATTTTGCCACGTTTTACTCGTGCACACCCCGGATGAACCGCAGGTATCGTTCCTGAGTTCCCCTGCAGTCTGAGTGGGATGCTGTGGGTTCTGAAGACTGAAGTGTCTCCAGAACTCACCACATGAGATCTCACTTTTCTTTGAAAAAGAAAAAGAAAAATTTTTCCTGACTTGAGGAACGTTAGCCCAATGAGTGACAAAATCAGCTAGTGAACCCTGTGGTATGGCTTTTAGAGAGTCCACCTCTGCCAGCCTTCTTTAGAAAAATGAAAAACAATTATGCTGTTTTTCAGGGGTTTCTATTCTCTCTGTCTCTCTCTCTCTGTTTTCTGTCTTACTTTCTCTTTTTGTCTGATAAAACAGATGAATCCAAAGAAAAGTTAAACTTTGGCCTGAAGATAGACATTTTCAATTTCAATTAGCTTTCTAAGGGAAACTGACACCCAGGGAGATAACAGCTGTAATTTGACATGATTGAGAGTCGCTGTTGCCTTGGAAACACTCCCAGTTAGGCCAAATCGATGTTTCATTGTAATACCATCAGCAGGTCTCAACAATCAAGAAATTCTTCCTAGCCATTAAAAAGAGATTAATTATTAATTGTCTCTCCCTGGTCTAGAAAAAATAGATACCATACTTATTTTCCTTTTCAAATTTCAAACTTAAAATTTTGACCTTCTTAAATATCAAGGATTTTTATTGGTACAGTGAAATGCCGCATACATCTGTCTGATTGTTAGCAACTTCTAGAATCAAACCTTTTTTTAAAGAATGACTTCATTTAGGCGCGGCGTGGTGGCTCACACCTGTAATCCCAGCACTTTGGGAGGCTGAGGCGGGCAGATCATGAGGTCAGGAGATCAAGACCATCCTGGCTAACCCCCGTCTCTACTAAAAATACAAAAAAATTAGCCGGGCATGGTAGTGGGCACCTGTAGTCCCAGCTACTTGGGAGGCTGAGGCAGGAGAATGGCATGAACCTGGGAGGTGGAGCTTGCAGTGAGCTGAGATCGCACCACTGCACTCCAGCCTGGGTGAGAGCGAGACTTTGTCTCAAAAAAAAAAAAAAGAATGACTTCATTCGTTTATTCATTCAACAAACGTGGAATCCTCTGTGCTGGGTTATTGGAATTCAAAATGAGCTAGACCTGCTTCCTCCTCTACCATTAAGGAGCTCACAGTCTAGGTCATTAAAATGTGTGTTGGAAGGATCACGGTAATATTCAAAAGAGGGACTTTGGGTGCACAGAGAAGGTACACCTAACCCAGAGTGGCAAGGCAGTCAGAGATGGCTTCCTGGATGAAGTGAACTTAAGCTGAGTTTAAAGGATAAGCAAACATC
Source organism: Homo sapiens (assembly GCF_000001405.40). NCBI lineage: Eukaryota > Metazoa > Chordata > Mammalia > Primates > Hominidae > Homo > Homo sapiens. Next base: position 69,379,044 of record NC_000009.12, read on the forward strand.
TGTTGAACTTTTTGAAAGAGAATCTCTTAATTCCACAGAAATACTAGTGTCTTTAGCTTCATATTCAGAGGGCCAGAAATTTCTATTTTTTAATCCCTGTAGTACATGTAGAGACTTATCAAACTAACTTGGTGCTGAGCTTGAGGTTTTTAGAGAAGTATTTTCTAATGTCCAGGGTGATGGTATGTGACTTTGAGATAGGTCACCAGTGGGGCTGCCACCCAGACACTGTTAGTGTTCTTTTCAGTGGCTTAGCTGCTGACTCGTCCCTCAGTTATACCTGAACCCTACGTCTATACCCTCCCCAGCTCACTTGCCCAGGCAGGGGCAGAGATGACTGCAAAGCTGGAGGGGATGTCAGCTGGGTGACAGGTGGCCTGGGCTAGGCCTGTGGGACAGCTTGGCCTCTCTGGTGTTCAGGGAGTGGCCTCTACTGGAATTTCAAAGCCTCAGGGGCTGGGATGGCTTCCTTAATCTTTCAGGAAATGAGCCAAGAATGACAGAGGCTGAAGAGATATGGCAGCAAAACACATGTTCTTTCTGTACCTGAGGACACATTTGCAAAAATCTTAGCGCCGTCTCAGGCTGTCTGTAGAGGGTACATTGGAGGACAGTAAAAAATGACTGATATTTCATGGTGGGGATGAGAAATACCCTCTCCAATAAGAAGAATTCTTTGACACTGAGGTTGCGGATGAGCACTCTGTTGACCTAGGAGGAGGCAGCAGACAGATTTAGTTTCTGCAGTGGCAGAAAGGGAAAGTGACTCATGTGGGTTTAGGAGCCGAGCCATCCAGCAGTGTGCTCTGAGCACTCCCGACCTTCCTGTCTCCTCGCTTTCCTTTCTCTTCTCTGCTTCACCATAATAATGCTCATCACTGCAGATATTTCCACTCTTTAAGATCTAGGTGCATCCTCGGATTTGTCTCTCTGAGTCCTGAGACAGCCTCTGGCCAAATCCAGGTTGGAAGAAAACAGACAAGCTTCTCATCAAGGGCTTTATCCTTCAAAACTTTCTAGAAAGAAGGCCGAAGGAGGGAGTTAAAGCAAAACAGTCTTGTGAGAAAGAAGACATTGCCCAGTCTAAAATACGTGCCTAGAGCCCTATAATCATATTGCCAATGGGCAAACACCTTTATTTTTGGAAATTTTACCAATATCAGAGTGCAGTCCACTTTCCTTTTCAAAAGGGCTGAATTTATTCACATTTAGATACATGTCCTATCAAAAATATTTCACAATGTGACCAACTTTTCTAGATTCACGGTATAAATCAACTTTATAGACACTCATGGTTTAACCTCAGTTGGTAATTTTCTTTCTTTTAAGCAGGCAGGCAAGAATATTCATGATTGTTACTATTTTATGACCAGTTTTATCCAGAGTTTTCACACAACAGAGGCTCCCCATTTCCTGTAAGGTATTATGACCTCTCAGAAGAGGTTTGTTTAACTTCTATAAATACAACCACTTCATGCGTTGGCATCTCCTTGAGAAAAGGCTTCTCGAGTTACTGTCATAAACAGAAGTCTGATTGCAGTTGAGGTTTCTGTCCAAAGATGGGTTCGCTACTTTGTGAATTGATTTGTAATACAGGAGGGGGCCGTGCACCCCACCCCACCTCCGCTACTCCAGGGTGTCTCTGTTCTCAGAAGTTGGCTTGAGCCAGGGATCAAGGAGTCTCCAACCTATTTCTTGAACATGGATCTGGTTTTTACTCTGGGGATGTAGCCTATTAAAGAAAACCGAAGACTGAGGGGGTCTTGGGCATTGACGTGGTTGACATGGGCATTTCTTAAAGCAGAGCCCCCCCAAACCCCACTCATTTCCTTTCCTAAGAATTTCCAAACCCAAACTCAAGTGGAGCCGGGCGATGCTTGGGGTTGAGTCAGTGCTCAGCTGTAGAGGGTTGGGGGAGGGCCCTTCCCTCTCTCCCCCTCTGCAGGCAGCAACCCTGTACCCAGTCACAGGGTACAGTTTTCCAGTACAGGAGGAGGAGGATTCTCTGGTCAATGGTGTATCTGCTGCTGCATTCCACCTGAGTGAGTCTTCAGGGCCTATTTGTAGCCTGAAAGCAGAACATGCTTTGAATTTCCATCTTCAGTGCTCCTGAGCCTGCACCAGTGAAGTCTTCCTGGGGACTTGGTGATGGACTTGAAAGAGCCAGGCTCTAGAGTCTCTGCAGAGGGTGACCCAGGATGAGTCTCTCACCATTTCTGAGCCTCAGTTTCCTCATTCACCTTCGTTGTCATGTGGCTGCAGGGAGTATTGTTATGAGATAATGGACATAAGAAGCTTTCTGAAAAGAAGCAAGACCCTCATTCTTTAATAAAAATTTGATCAACTTTCCCAGTAGAACAGGGCTTTAATTTCAATCACCATTATCCATTTCCTTTTGCAGTGGTGCTCAATCTTGGTGGTGCATTAGAATCCCCTAGGAGCACTGACAACGGGCAGATTCCTGGGTCCCACGATAGGCAATGAGAGCAGAATTTCTAAAAGTGAGGCCTGGGCCATCCAGAGTTTCAGAACCTCCCAAGGTGATTCTACCTACCTTGCCAGGACTGAGAGCCATGGGGATCTGGGGAAAGAAACAGTAGTTAAAAACAAAAACAAAAACAAAAACAAAAAACCAACCTGCCAGTATGTAGCAGATCCATTTCCCTCCACAGACCCTTGTTAACACAAATGAGGTAAAATAAGAAATTGCTTAATAGGAAAGGAACTTTCCTTCTATGTCAACTCTAGCAGCATCTTCCTTCAAAGTGAGGCTTTTATGGGCATTATCAAAACTACCATAGAAGCTGTTTATTCTGTGGTCAGCTTGGATAAAGTATGCCCCCTCTTTCCCCAGTTGTTCTTCGGGAAGAAATTCTACAATAGTTTAGGATCTAAAACAGAGCCTGTTACTCTGACCTCTTGGCCCTCAGCAAGCCCTCTCCTCTCTCTGGACACGTAACAAACAGGCAACGGGGATAGAAACTTTCCAGGCAGGGGACACAGCAGCGAAGAAATACAGATGTCATTTGTTGGAGAGAAAAAGTCAAGTGTTTATAAGTGCTAGGAAGGTGGCTCATGGGGGCTATGCTCATTAAAGATGGAAGGCTGGCCCTCTGGAGAGGATAGAAGTCCATAGGTCTCATTGATGAAAGCAAATTGCACTGTTCATTTGCCAGGAAAGAATCTTCACTCTTAGATCCAGGAAGGGTCTGGCTTCTCAGAGTCACTCAGCATTTATAGTTCTTAAACAGTTTCAGTGGAATGGGGGAGTTGGAATGAAGCCCGTTGGCAAGTCCTGCTGTAAGGGGGAGAATCTCTCTTTCATAATAACTTTGCCAGGACCCCTCCCCCACGAAGGGACCCTTTGTGCTAGTGCCTCGCTTCCAACTGGAGGCTTGATGTGTTGCGTGCTGAACCTGCAAACATCTCCACTTCAGGCATTAGCTCATCACCTTCTGCCTTCCCCTTCAGGTCAAGCAAGGGATGAGAGCCTCGCTTACGAACAGACAAATATAGAGGAAAACGAGGGAGTGCTTTCTCATCTTTTCATTCAGGTTGCAGAGTCTCATTCTTCTCAGTCCCAGAATTCCAGAAGTTTTATTGTTAGGAAGAAAGAAGATGATATCCTTTTCAAATTTTTTCTTCCACCAATCACATTTTGTATATAGCCACAAAGAATAAAATGAAACAACTATAAATTCAGAGAACACTGCTCCCCAAAAGGCAGTGCCTGCAAGCAACTAGCCCCAGAATCTGTTTTCTCATCCATTTCTTTTAGCTTTTTAAAATCCTTTTTTTGTATTTCAAGAACAGACAAACTTTTGTTCTCTTTTTTTTTCTTTCATTCTTTGATACTCCATAGCAGAATGCAGGTGTTCTGGCTTTTATATGTATTTTATAAATTATTTTAAAACTTAGGTTCATCATTATCTAGATCATCTGGTACCTTGGGCAGAGATTTGTGGAATTTTCTGTCAACGTTGGTGAAAAATCTTGTGGAGGATTTTGCTATTATTTTGAATTTTGCTGTTGACGGTTCTTTACCCACAGGACAAAAACAAGAGTCATGTAGAATGTAAGACATAATTGAATTTTCCTGAGTCCTTAGCTGTTTTTTAAATAGAGGTGAAACTCATATAAAATGAAATTAACCAAAGTATATGATTCAGTAGCATTTAGTGCATTCACATTATTTCGTAACCATCATCTTTATCTAGTTCCAAAGCATTTTCAGTACTTCAGAGAGACCCCATACCCATCAAACAGTCACTCCCCATTCCCTTCTCCCCCATCCCCTGGCAGCCACTAATCTGCTCTGTGTCTCTATGGATTGTTTGCTTTTTGACTGATGGGTTTAAAAGCAATGATGGGGTTGCATTTTATACACTGTCATTTGCTTAAGGAACTCTGGCCACTTCGTCGGAGAGCAGCTTCTATTATTCTCCCTCTCCTGGCCAAGGAGACCATGGTATGGAGAGGTGAGTGGTTTTCCCCACAGTTTAGAGCAAAGCCAGTATCCGGGCATCACTGCAGTCACGTGGCCAGTCTGTAGAACGTGCTTTCTGACGCCAAGTCGCTTTTCCTAGGATGGTTGGTCCTGATGTTATTCCCCTGCCACACATCTACGGAGCTCGAATCAAAGGTGTGGAAGTGTTCTGTCCTCTGGATCCCCCGCCGCCATATGAAGCTGTGGTGAGCCAGATGGACCAGGAGCAGGTACTGTCTGTCCTGAATCTCTCTAAGTACATTGACTGCAAGTGGGAAAGACAGCACCGCCCCACCCCCTGCCCCCAGAGAACAGCAGGGAGACCGGGCCCCACACATCTTTTTAAGGAGTTCACTGGGTCTAATGAGGGGTGAGTTAAACATCAACAAAATAACCCTGTTTTTTGCTGTGATGCAGGGATCTTCATTCCAAATGTCAGAAGGATCAGAAGCTGCTGTGATCCCATTGGATCTGGGCTGCACACAAGTGACTCAAGGTAATAGATACATTGTGACATGATTCAGTAGATTAAAACATGATAAAATAGGCTGGGCAAGGTGGCTTATCTCTGTAATCCCAGCACTTTGGGAGGCCGAGGTGGGAGGATCACATGAGGCCAGGAGTTTGAGGCCAGCCTGGACAACATGGAGAGAGACCCTATTTCTACAAACGGAAAAAAAAAATGATAAAATAATGATCCTGTCTGGTATTGTGTTAGAGGGCAGGTATTCTTGGAGCAAATAGTTCAAGCTACACCTTTTTCTCCAGATACAAAAATACCATCAACTATTAGGGCTTATAAATGGGAGAAAATATGTGAACTGAAAAAAGATATCCTTGGAATTTTTTATGAACCAGACTATTCTCAGGAACCATGAAATAGGTTACAGAGTTTGATTGATATTCCTGTGTTTTCTGATCTATGATTTTCTTCCTCCTATTAATTAAAATTAGCTAGACTTTTGTCAGGGGAAAAAAAGTTTCCTCTATTGCAAGGTGATTTGTGGTAAGATTGTGCTGTGTCATTTATAACCTAGGGCCCAGGTCATGCTGCCCGAGCAGCTAATGAATTCTGGTTTTCAGTACTGCAGTAAGTACTAGAGTCAGTTTACATTTATCCTTGTACTTTAAGGGAACATTGTTATGGCCTTCTCTCTTTGGGGAGGTTTTAAGTGGCCCAGAGGATTGTCCACCAGGACAAAATCACAATGGTGATAAATAATGGATCAACTCTTAGCAATTTTAGATGAAGGTAATTTTTCAGCAGTACTATTTGTAATGTAATACTTTGTGTTCTGTTCACCTTCCATCCTAAGTAGAATTAATTATGAAGCAGTGTTCTGTCTCCTAAGTATGTTCATAATTTTTCCATTTTTTTTTTTTTAACTTTATTTTTATTTATTTTTTCTGAGACAGAGTTTTACTCCTTTTGCTCAGGGTGGAGTGCAATGGGACGATCTCAGTTCACTGCAACCTCCATCTCCTGGGTGCAAGTGATTCTCCTGCCCCAGCCTCCCGAGTAACTGGAACTACAGGCACCGCCACCATGCCCAGCTAGTTTTTGAATTTTTAGTGGAGATGGGATTTTGTCATGTTGGCCAGGCAGGTCTTGAACTCCTGACCTCAGGTGATCCACCCACCTCAGCCTCCCAAAGTGCTGGGATTACAGGCATGAGCCACTGCACCCAGCCAATTTTTCCATTTTTAAAAACAGTTTCTCGAATTACAACTCAGGCTCACAGTTTTATTTTCATGAGCATAAATTATCCAATTCCAGCGGGGTTTTACGGATTTGTTTAGTGGCCACTTGACTCTCTCTAACTTAGCCTTCCGGGAGTTCTGCAGCCCACAGAGCAGCCACCTCACCTGTGCTGGTATTACCTTCCCCAGAACCAGGCTTATCCTGAGATGTCAGGGTGCTTTTCAGTACTGCCCCAGAATGCTTCCCTGGAGAAGATTCTAAGCACCTTTAGGAAAAAAAAACCCCTGCCATTTTGGCATGGCTCCTTTATTTTGCTCTTGGATTTAAATTTTTCTGTTTGTTTGTTTTAGGTGTGGAGGGGTGGTTTGGAAAGGCAAGTTTTCCTGTAGTCAGTGATGTAAAAACTTACTGGGCCAGCAGCCTGAGTAAATGTTATTAACTGCATTACCCTTGCCCTGGCAGGTTTAGGCTCCCAGGTGTTTCCTGCCCATTTTGAGGACTGCAGCTGGTGAGATAATTTATGTTTCGCCTCTTTTTTTTTTTTTTTTTTTTTTTTAAATCAGATGGGGACATTCCTAACATACCTGCCGAAGAAAATGCATCCACCTCAACTCCCAGTTCAACCCTGGTGCGTCCTATCAGAAGCCGGAGAGCCCTCCCACCCTTGAGGACCAGGTCGAAGAGTGACCCTGTGCTCCATCCTTCTGAGGAGAGAGGTGATGTCATTCCCCAAGCTCTTCGCAGGGCTGTGTGCTTATTTGCCTAAAGGAGCCAGGTGAAGGCAGGTGGCTCTGGCCAGCTCAGGACCCTGCAGTTTAAGTGGTCATTTGAAGGAGCTTATGAGGTCTTGGGAAAGTAAAATATTCTACGTCCATGTTAGGAATATATATCTACCATGTCTTTTAAGGATGGTAGGGTTTTTTTGTTTTTTTTTAAAGTCATTGTCATCAAAAGAATTTGGTTGTACATGATACTATGCTAGGTACTACATGAAGACAATTATGCACACCTAGTTCTGATTTCTAGATGCTGCAATCCTATAGGAATATGCATTGTCTTAAAAAAAGTCAAAAGGATTTTTGTATACTCCCTCTTTTATAATTTGTTATATTTTTACTATGTATGAGTAGATGATTGAATTATTGAAATCTGACCTTGTTTTTAGAACTTTGGATAGAATGAAGTACACGCACCCACACAATTCACCTCTCTCTCTGTGTTGTTTGTGTATAGATGTTACCTGAATAATTAAAAATTAAAATAATAACACTGACTTTTTTCTGAATATATGAATACCTGAACATCTCTAAATATCTCTTCATTGTAGAAAATTATAAAAAATAAAGAAACTAAAGGAAGAAAATTAAAATCTCCTGTAACTCCACCAGCACCAGCTTCTTCTTGTGAAGTAGTCTAGCAGAGTTGACCTCTGCTGTTCTAAAACACCTATGCAAATAAAACTTTGATAATCCTCCACCCTGCTCTCTCTAAGGTCCTGTCTTGAGCCCTTGCAGTCTCAGTTCTGGCTCTCTGACAGTGTGTGTTATTTGCCACAGCTCTGGACTGACCATGTGCGAGCCAGAGAGAACATTCCTCTTGTCTCTACAGCAGCTTCTAAGTGGAGAGGAAGTCCTGCCGCCTGGTACTGAGCGTGTCTCTGAAACACAGTGGCCAGGCAGCCTGGCTTCTGATTCCCAAGACCTGCCTTCACTGTGGGTCTCCTACACCCTACCTGGCAAGTTGAGGACTCCAGCCTCAACGGGAACTTAGCTGTTTGCACAGCTTAGGGAAATCTTTCCAGAACCCCTTCTCATTCTGCAGACCTGCGGGGGCAAGAACAGCAGCTGCTGGAGCCCTCCATTGTGGAAGGCGCCAGGTTGCCTTCAAGTGGAAGAGTGGAGACCCTGACTCTGTCCTCACACGAGTGTCTTTGGCGAGTGCTTCTGGAAGACTCTTGCTGTCTGTGACGTGCATATGGCTGCCTGAGAGGACAGTCTCGAATCCTGGTTTAGAGCTCCCCACACCTGCCTTTCTCCAGAAGAAAGGGGGTGCTCCCCTTCTTCCACCTGCTCTCTCGCCCCCTGCTTCTTGTCTTCTTTGAATTTCTAAATTGCTGCTTATCAGGCCTTCATAGACTGAAGATGCCAATGTTGTGTATGCTGAAGGCTGCTGGCTGACTTCTGGACACATAATGACCAGATCTGAGTTTTGCTTCACACACTTCACAGTGCAGAAGCATTGCTGGTCTTTACACCCTTGCTGATATAGGCAGCCATGGAAATTAGAGCCTGCAGTGGATTTCCCAGGCTCTCTGTTGACTTCCAGAATGATGTGTACTTTTTCTGCACCTAAATTTCTCTTTTGGTAATAGCTATAGATCTACCTCATATCCATGGTGTGAGCATCGATAACACAAGTCAGTACAACGTCCTTGAGGACGTTTGGGACAAAGGTATAGTCAAAGTGATCAGAGCATTACATTCATCTGACAAGTCTTGTCTCTCTTCAGCCCCTTCCTCTCTTAATTGACTACTTCATCCTCGCTCCTTGGAACATCCTTTCATTGGTCAGCCACATTTTTCCTGCTTGGCCCATCCATCCCCATCTATTTGTCATACCCCATGAAACTTAACCTCATTATGGTTTGCATTCTGGATTCTCCTCTCCACCATCTGGCTTTACCTTGGGGGTGGTGTCGTACATGACACAATGACGTGTTTCGGGCCATATCCTATTGGAACTGGACTTCAGGGAATAACCTTGTGTTGTTTTCCCTCCTTCTGCAAGATGAAAAGCAGGATGTGCATGGCTATCAGCATTTGTCAGATGCTTTCCATGTTGAGTTTTGTGGTCTGTGCTTTCAGGTACAGGCATATGTTCAAAAGGGGTTGGCCAATGGGTACATGTTGTTTGTTTCTGCCCACAGCTGCCCCAGTGCTCAGCTGTGAAGCTGCAACACAGACTGAAAGGAGACTGGATCTGGCTGCAGTGACTCTGAGGAGAGGCTTGAGATCTAGAGCTTCGCGATGCAGACCGCGGTCTTTGATAGATTACAAATCCTACATGGACACCAAGCTGCTGGTGGCGAGGTTCCTGGAGCAGTCCTCTTGTACCATGACCCCAGACATCCATGAACTTGTAGAAAACATTAAATCTGTTTTGAAATCTGATGAGGAGCACATGGAGGAAGCCATCACAAGTGCCAGTTTTCTAGAACAGGTAGTTTTATTATTAATCTCAGGCATGAATCAGATGACTCATTTTCATAGCAGCTAAAGTGGCTTCTCCGCTTTCTTGTCCAAGGCAGAGTAAGTTCATGGTCACAGTCTTCAGGGAAATTGGGTTGAGAGTTCTGGGGAGGGAGACAGAGGAAGCCGGGGAGCTTTCTTTCAAGTGTGGTAACTTTCCCACATCATTCTTGGCTCAAGGGAAGAGAACCCAGTTTTTCTGGGATGTGGAAGCATGTCTGGGAAAATTAAAGAGTGCATCCTAGGAATAAAAGCGGAGGATGTGGACAGTGTGGAGTGCATTCAACATTTGATTTCCTGAATTGAAGGTTTCCTTTGATAGGGCATGTTTTCTCAGCCCTTTGGAAATGATGACATAGGTGAATTTTAATATCAACAAGATTCTAAGAGGCTGTTCACATTCCCATGAAATGTTTGGCAAGATAAATAAGCCAACAGGTCCTAAGGGAATAAGCACCTTTTCTTCTTGTAGATTAAAAAGTACAAGGCAATCCCCGAAACTGAAGCCACTTGGGGAAAAGATAGAATTGGGCATGAACATAATCCAGTTGGGTCTCAGGTTTCTCCTCTTTAAAGTAAATGGTTGGACTAGGTAGTCTCTCTACCTTTATTTTTGAATGAATGGAGTTTCCTTCTGGTAAGAGCCTTCTCTCCACCTCTTTTAAGAGCCATTCCCTTTTAGGTGTTGGCTTCATTGCTGCAGGTAGTGGGGTGGATGTTGTAGACAGCACCCCACAATGGCGTATGGATGTTTTGTGGCTCTGTGTCTTTGGGCATTAAATGGCTAACAAATACTTCCTCAACTGAAGTGGGCTAATTTCTCAGGGTAATTACCAACTTCAGGATGTAGGTAAATTTTCAATTCAAATTGAGTAAATACCCTCTCACTGTCCCTTCCGTTCCCCCTTTCTACCTGCTGGCCTCTTCTTACAGAAGCCAGAAGCCAAACTCTCTCCCAGTCCCTCAGGGGATTCAGCGGGGAGGAATGATCTGATTACTTGCATGAAGAGGTACATGAACCACAGACCCTCTTGGGTTTGCACTCTGAAAGAGTGATCAGTTGACGGTTCCGGGTGAGGCTCCAGTTACTAACCTATGTAGGGAAAACATTTTACATCCTGGTGTCCCTTAGCTACTCCAGATGTCATTGTCTGTCACCTTCCCTCTGTCCGGCCCCAATAGCCCAATAATCAGGAGTCACTTCTGGAAGGCTGCCAAGCTCTGATGAGCTAAGAGCTGGAGCATTCACCAGGTAGTGGGCCTGGACCTTCTGCAAAGTCTTGCTCCCTGAGAAATAGCTCTGGGGAAGAAGAACAAGCACTTATACAGTTCACTAGATGCTATCATCACAAATGTTTGCTAGATCTTTGTGCCCCAGGCAGGTTAAAACTTCAGGTGCTGAGATTGTTGTGATAGATTTTGGGCCATCTCCTGGGCCTTCCAGGACTGGAACCTAGAGGTGAGCTTTCACAATTCTATACCTTTTCCCTGGTAGAAGGAGGTAAGAACACCAGAAGGAGGTAAGGACAGCAGAAGGAGACCAGTTATTTCTGACTCTAGCTGGCTTCGCATCTTGGAGTTTTTAGATCCATTTTGATTTTCACTGATATCAAAACCACTTGTCCTAACTTACTATGTAGCACAGTCAACTTCTTTGAATGTTGAACTTTTATTCTTAATCGGGAGACAAGGACAGACCTTAAAGACAAATGTAATTAGTAGACTGTTAATAAAATTTAATTTTCCTTCTTTGGAGGAATAATCTTTTAATGACCTTAAAGGCTCAGAATGGTACAAATGAAACAAAAAGTCATCCAAATGATTGTGCTGTGATGTTAGGTAACAATAAAGCCCCAAGGTTTTCCGAAGCTGCTGACAGTATTATGGGTCAAAGAAACATGGCAGTGCAATTTTTAAAAAATTGACCGGACAGTTCTCTCCTCTTCAATCCCAGTTGGATGAGGAATTTTTCATATTTTTGCCATTTTTACAGAGTAAGTGATATTATTATATATTCAAAATTATGTTTGTGACACATTGCAAAATAGATCTAGCAAAAAGAATCATTCTTAAAGACTTTTTACAAATAAATTGGCCTAATTTTTATATTGTTTATTAAAGGATTATCAGATCCATTTGAAGCATCATTGGATGGTTTGGGTTGACTGTTTCTTTTTTGAAACAAGGTCTCCGTCTGTCACCCAGGCTAAAGTGCGGTGGTGTAGATATAGCTCACTGCAGCCTTGAAATCCTGGGCTCAGGTGATCCTCCTGCCTCAGCCTCTCAGGTAGCTGGGACTACAGGCACACACCACCACGCCCAGCCAAGTTTTCTTATTTTTAGTAGAGATGAGGTCTTGCGATGTTGTCCAGGCTGGTCTAGAACTCCTGGGCTCAAGTAATCCTTCTGCCTCAGCCTCCCAAGTAGCTGGGACTACAGGCATGAACCACCATGCCCAGCTAATTAATTTTTTTTTTTTTTTTTTGTAGAGATGGAGTCTCACTATGTTACTCAGGCTGGTCTCAAACTCCTGGGTTGAAGTAATCCTCCTGACTCAGCCTCCCAAAGTGCTGGGATTACAAGTGTGAGCCACTGCGCCTATACTTGGTTGACATTTTATAAACCCATCACCTGGTCCCAATCCCAGACCAGTGGTTCTTACTTGGATTCTTGTTAAAAATACAGATTCCTGAGCCTGAGTCCAGGCTAACTGTCCCCATTGCTATGGGAATTCTGTAGCAATTTGCTGAGAATTCATGTTTCTGACAATACCCGTCCCTCCCTGACCCAGTAGTAATGTTCAGATGCCAGCAAGGATCACTGACTTAGACTTCAGAGAAATTAGAGAAAAGCAATGAGAAGAATGTTAAAGCAAGAAATTGCAACGGACAAACCAGTTAAGTGTGGTTTACGGGTCTACAGCGGACATGGTAGAACATTTGGAGGATTTACAAAGAACCTCTGGAATTCCAAGTGAGTTCCACTTTGGGAAAATGCCTTTTTTTTTTCTTTTTCAAAGCAATTACACATTAAGATAGGTGGATGGACCTAGGAGGTAGGTCAAAGGGCCACATCTGGTAAAGCTTACTTAACTTCTCCCCACCCCTCTCTTTTCCCAAAGATAATGGCCCCATTGCAGCCCAGCACATCCAGGGCCCACAAGCTGCCCTCGCGGAGACAGCCTGGCCTGCTGCACCTCCAGAGCTGCGGCGACCTTCACACCTTCACACCAGCGGGGAGGCCCCGAGCCGAGAGGAGGCCCCGGCGAGTGGAGGCTGAGCGGCCACACAGCCTCATTGGGGTCATCCGAGAGACTGTCCTGTGAACCCTGGAAGACAGAAGGCCACTCCAAGGGGAAGGATCCCTCTCCTCTCTGCCATTTCTTGGCTGGGAGCTGTGGTCCACCTCAAAAAAAAGGAGCACTCTGGAGGACACGTTTTCCCACCTGTTGGCTCCCGTGTCTGCTGACTGAGGGCATTCAGGAGTAAATGCACAGGTCGGTCCAGGCCCGTCTGGGTTTGGGATGCACTGAGTTGGAGGTTATGAAAGCTTTGATCCTCTTCTTCCTCTGCTGGGCCTCGCAGCATTCCCAAGGGTCACATGCCCTGGCATGGGCAGAAACTGGGCTAATGATTCTTTGCCCACTTCACCCCTCGTGTCTCTCTTTGTTGCTAAGTTCTTTCCCTCTTGGAAGGACAGATCTGCCGGGCTGCTATTTATAGTTGCCTTTGGCCTTTCACTGCTCTGCGATTTGGCAGGAAATAAGGCGATTAACCCTATGTGTCCACAAGCCTCAAGCCTTGTTTCAGGTCACCCTCAAATCACACTCTCTTTAGGCAAAACAGGAAACTTCTTAAGTGACAAATTTTAATGCCAGACATTTAAGGAGAGGATTATTGTTGATTCCATTTACTCATGCTTGCAAAACTAGAGACCCCTAAGGCAGAACTGAGAATAAACATGTTTACTTTGGGCCACTGGGCTTGATGTGTAATATTTGTTATTACATGTATCCTTCGGGCTGTATCGTTCATTCAGCAAGCACTTGGCTGGATGGCTTCATGGAGCTGCCTTCTCATGGGATCACGGACAATAAATCAATAAAGTAATTACAGATTGGGGATTATTGCTGAAAAAGAGCAATAGGTGGTTAGAGGGGCTTCTTCTTCGAGGAAATGGCACTTGAGCTGAGTCACGACTTAGTGGATCAGGGAAGAATGTTCCAGGTAGAGAGAGAGGGGCGAAGAACACCAGAGGCCACTGTGACCACAGCCCCGAGTCAGGGCAGCGGTGGGCAGTAGCTGCACAGGCTGCCTGTTGTGCTAGCAATGAGATACTGTTGAGGAGTTTTCAGCAGAAGAGTGATGGATGTCAGCATATTTTCAAAAGATCACCATGCTGCATGGAGAATAGTTTGGGCCAGACATGAGTGGAGGTGAGGAGTTGAGTAGAGAGGTTACATAGGAAATGGAGTACTGCTTCTTGCTGGGCACTGCCTGTGCACCAGCTACTATGCTAAGAGCTTTGCACACACTCCTATTTTGTGCTCATGACAGCATAGGCGGTGGAAGCTATTATTGTCCCTATTTGACAGATGTGGAAAATGAGGTTCAGTAATTTGCGCACGGTCCCTCCGCAGCTAAGGGGTGGAGCTGCCATTCACACCCAGGCAGTCCAACTCCAGAAACTGCTCTGTTCCTCGACCTCCCAAACATGAAATTGGTTTGCCATTTCATGCTTCTGTGGGAAAGGGCTGTTAAGACTTCTAGCTTGCCTCTCCAGACCACAGATTTCCTGGGTCCAAGCCAACGAACCATGCCAGAGTGGGAACTGTGGTGGGGACAAGGGATGGAGGAAAGGAGGGGAAAGACACTGGTGTGGAGGTGCTGAGCTGCGGTGGGAAGGGGGCTGTGGAAACAGCCCTAGAAATGGGAGAGATGGAGGGCTGTGAACAGGCTGGGGTCAGGCCCCTTGCCTGGGGTCAGCTCTGTTTGGGGAAGATCTACAGTGACATCTCAGAATGACATTTTCTCCGTTCTTATCCGCCCATTCCCAGAAACTGAATTCCCCTTCAGGCTCATGATCTTTCCATTTCTCTAGGAGTCCTCCTGTCAGCACCATAGCTGTCCAGTGGGGTCTGGCCCACTGCCCGGGGTAAGCCCTTGCCCTGTTTGAGGGCCTCACCGTAGTTCTCCAACATTCCGTGGACTGCCCATGCGGCCTAGTCTAATTTCTTCTCTCCTTCACAGCTCCTTGTGTACCCCCAAACTGGTTTCTCCAAGTGAGGCCCCACAGCAGTTAGCCAACCACTTTGTCCCACTCCTGTAGCCAGGCAAGAGAAGGGACTGGCCTTTCCTTCCCTCACTCAGGCCTGGCTGTGCCTTTCTCACTGCTCTGGAATCTTTTTTTTTTTTTTCCCAGCTGCATCCCTCTCCACCTTCCCTTCTGAACCCTATTGCTCACCTCCACCTGCCACCGCAGGCCTCCCTGTGTACCTGAAAGGCTCAAGGAAGACAGGTGGGCACCACAAGTGTGAACAGTGTCTGGCTTCTAGCTTTGGGGGGACAGTCACAGAGATGGCCTCAGCCATCCCGAGGAATGAGAAATTGCCAGCGACAACTGGAAGAGGAAAGGAGGCATAAAGCCTGAGAGCATCAGTTAGATGGACACCAGGAGCAAGGGGGGGCCTGTCTTAGCTTCATGGAATTGTCCCTGCAACTTCAGAAATGGCGAAATCTGAAAACCTATTTCTGCCTTCCTTCCCTGACTTTAAGGAGTATTAAAGTAAAAAAAAAAAACACAGAAACATATATATATATAACAATAGTTTACATATATTTAGCATGGGAGGGAACTCAGAAGTCATGTGATTTATCTCCTTCCTAGTTCATCTGGGTAGTAATATACTTTTAAATACTTAAGCATTAATAATGATACACATGCTCATAGGTTAACTGAACATATATAGCGAGGGCAGCTGTTTCGCCTTTGGAGTTCCTTAGGAATCCATAGTCCAGTGGTTTTAACAAAGCATTTCAAATGTGGTTATCAAAATTATACCAGAGGGTTGATTAATTAGCATAAGGGATGTTTGAAATAAGTTTTCACTGGTGAAGTAAATAATGTTCACAACATGTGGCCAGCTAGGAGCACTGCATAGTCATTGTTGCCTCTGTCCCAATGAGGCATCAGAATCTGGTCCCCACTTTGTGAGATTGTCACAGGATGGACTGAGATTCAAGCTGCTCCTTCAGAACCCCAACCTTTCAAGCAAGCTACGTATCTGAGAATCTGAGGACAGCTAGGACTTCCCCAAGCTTACAAACTGTTTTGTGCAGCCTTGCCAATGAGCATGGCTGGCTGGCAGAATTGCCCAAGACCTGCTTTCATTGGAGCATCTTGATGGTGAGGTTTGGAGGAGGAGTCTATGGCCCCTAATTTCCAGACGCTGCCTGTATTTGTCAAAAGAACCAGACATTTGCTGAACTGTCTAATTGGGTAGGTCAGATCATGCTACCCCCTCAATTTGCAGGAAAGGAAACTGAGGCCCAGTGCTAAGAATGGGGCAGGGGTAAGAGACCAGCACTTCTGGCTGGAGTTAACCTTTGGTGTCGTCCATTCCATGAATTTGAACAATGCATGATGACCTGTATCCACCACTGTAGTAGTATACAGAGTAGTTCCACTGCCCTAAAATCCTCTGTGCTCTACCCAGTCATGCCTCTCTCCCCTAACTCCTGACAACCACTGGTCCTTTGACAGTCTCCATAGTTTTGCTTTCTCCAGAATGTCACACAGTTGGAATCAGATACTATACAGCCTTTTCAGACTGACTTCTTTCACTTAGTAATATGCATTCAAGTTTCCTGTATCTTTCCATGGTCTGATAATCCATTAAAACCCTTGAAAAGTTATTTGATTCAATAGTCATAAAAGTAAAGTACTCTATCATGTTAACATCTCAAAGCACTTACCCTCATTTTCTGAATTTACTCATGTCAGGGACCAGGGAAAAACAGGTCTGCAGCCCACACTGGATTAGTGTTCACCTGGGTTCCCACTCTAGACGGCGTCTCCCAGTTTCATTTGTCCTGTGTGATAGGTCCTGGGGACACTGATGAAGAGGACTGGGAGGTAACAGGTGGGGACCCCCTCTTCCCTCTGCACCCGTATCTGTCTCTGAGGCTACCTGTGAGCTTAGGCCCGTCCTCACAGCGAGACCCACGGTGTGAAGATCCAAGGCTTTGGCGAGTCGCTCAGGATTAGGAAGAACTGGCAGAGGAAGGAGGGGGCTGCAGCCAGGCCTCCACCCAGTGGGAGTGGAATTCTGGAAGCAGAACAAAGGGGCCCATTTCCACCTCCCCCCAGGCTGCTGTAGGATGCAGAGGAGGACAGTGGGGCAGGGAGGGAAGGGCCCAGGACAAGGCCATCTTTGTTTCCGTGTTGTTCCTCCCTGAGGCCTCTGCAAGGAAAGCCAAGTCCGAAGTCAAAAGACGCCACTTTTCTTCCACTCTCTCTCTGCAGAAGCCTTCATCCTCTCATTCACTCAACAGGTATTTATGGAGCTCCAGGGTACCAGGCTGTGGGCCAGGGGCTGAGGGTAGAATGCAGAGCAGGAAGAGGGGACACACAAATCACAAATTACAAATGCAAAGCCATTTTCCTCTTGGCTGCTGAACCGTGCCAAGGCTCCAGCAAGGAGGAGGAGCCAAGAGAGGGTGACTTTGAGACCAACAGGTACACGCCTGGTTTCTCAGAGGCTGGCGTGAAGGCTCCCTCATCCCTGATTATCAAACAGGCTCACGTGGCAGATGGTTCACCATCCTGGGAATTCTTGATGAAAAGTTATTCCTGACTATTGTTAAAGATGGTAACGGGCCGAGCACCATGGCTCACACCTGTAATTCCAGCACTTTGGGAGGCCGAGGCAGGTGGATCACCTGAGGTCAGGAGTTTGAGACCAGCCTGGTCAACATGGTGAAACCCCGTCTCTACTAAAGATACAGAAATTAGCCGGGTGTGATCATGGGTGCCTGTAATCCCAGCTACTTGGGAGGCTGAGACAGGAGAATTGCTTGAACTCAGGAGGTGGAGGTTGCAGTGAGCCAAGATTGTGCCACTGCACTCCAGCCTGGGCGATAGAGCGAATAGAGCGAGACTCCATCTCAAAAAAAAAAAAAAAAAGATGGTAAGGAAGACTTATTCAAGCAGGAGCCACCGCAGTGGGGTTCTGCAATAGGGGAGAAAGGTCAGACTCAACCCCAAACATAGCAGGACAAGTGGAGATTTATACAGCCAAGGAGCAATGTTGGGGTCAGTAGATAGAAAAGTACTAAGAGGAAACGTGAGGGCTGGGGCAATTCTTGATACACCAAGTCACTAGGATTCTTGCTGAAGGCAGGCCAGGGTGATAAGCTATCAGGGTAGGGAATGAGGAATGTGATCAGATACCAAGGATAGGAGATTTTTGCTAAACTGACTCAGCAGAATTCTTGCTAAAACTGGACTAAGAGTCCAAGAGTCAGAAAGAGGACTCAGGCAGGGTGCAATAGCTCATGCCCATAATCCCAACACTTTGAAAACTGAGGTGGGAGGATCACTTGAGTCCAGAAGTTCAAGACCAGACTGGGCAACATAGTGAGACCCCATCTCTACAAAAAAGTGTAAAAATTAGCCACGCGTGGTACATGTCTGTAGTCCCAGCTACTCAGGAGGCTGAGGTTGGAGGATCACTTGAGCCCAGGAGGTTGAGGCTGCAGCGAGCCATGATTCCACTGCACTCCAACGTGGGTGACAGAGTGAGACACTTTCTCAAAAATACAAAAAAAAAAACCAACACCAAAAAACAAAACAAAACAACCAACAACAACAACAAAAAACATCAAAAAAAGAAAAAGAGGACTCAGAGGAGCCTTACTCAAGTTTGGTCAAGGGGTGAGTGTGTCCGACTCCAAGGAGCATCTCCGTTTCTGAGTGGGAACTCTCATGACACTGTGTCCCTTGCCTCAGGCTTGTCACTGTCTAAAGAAAAACGCTCCTTTCATTCCAACAGCTGGCAGGATCTCTGTTTTGCCCTAACAAAGAAGCTAGAGCCAAAATTCAGGATGAATCATCGTTCTTCTCTGGCAAAGTGGCTGTAGGTCCCAGGTCTATGGAGGCTTTCCCAGAATCTTTTAGATACTGTTCATGAATTCTGATCCAAAAGGAACATTTCATAGTGCGGGCAGGATCACATATTAGGCAGAAAACAATTCCAAGCAAGGAGAGTTGCTGGGATTATTCTGCTCTGGTCGCAAGCTGTTTCTCCCGCCGCACTGTATCTGCTTGGTGGAGACAAGCAGGTGTTCAACAGTAATCATACACCAAAATATGAGAGGTATCAGGCATGGGGGCCTCTCTCCTCATTTTGTAGATGAGGAGACCGACATCCAGAGTGGTAAACAAATTTGGTTTGTCTCATACGAGCTGCAAGTGTCAGCATGCCACAACTTTAGCCTGTGTCTCCTGCCTTCCATTACAGCAGACTGCTTGCTCTTCTCTAGACTGCCGTGGCAGGGAACTATGGGGAGGCGAAAGAAACACACCACTGGAACTCATAGGGAGCTGAAATGGTAACACCAGTGTGTCACTTACAAATGGTGATAATGAGGCCAGGCACAGTGGCTTGCACCTGTAATCCCAGCACTTTGGGAGGCTAAGGTGAGGGGATTGTTTGAACCTGAGAGCTTGAGACCAGCCTGAGCAACATAGTGAGACCCTGTCTCCACAAAAGATAAAAAAGCCAGGCATGGTGTTGCATACCTGTGGTCTCAGCTACTCAGGAGGCTGAGTTGGGAGGATTGCTTGAGTCCAAGAGGTTGAGATTGCAGTAATCTGTGATGGTGCCACTGCACTCCAGCCTGGGTGACAGAGCAAGACCCTGTCTCCAAAAAAAAAAAAAAAAAAAAAAAAAAAGATAATAATGAGTAGCACTTATTGTGAGCCCTTCCAGAGCTGTCTTATTAACTTAGTTCAAGTAATCTTCACAATAGTCTTCACAATTCTTTACCAATTCTTATGACTCTACTTGATTTCTCTTGTTTAATTACATTTGGCGGACATCTCTACTACAATGTGGAAGAGTAGTGGAACTACAACATCCTTGTCATGTTCCTGATCTTAGAGGAAATGCCTTTGACGTTTCTCCATTAAATAAGATACTAGCTTTAGGACAAAAATAAATAAATAAATAAATAATATATAAAAATAGCATACCTCAGTTCCTATGTTCTTGAGGGTTTTTGTTCTGTTGTAGTTGATTTTTGTTTGCTTCATGAAGGGGTACTGGATTTTGTCAAAGGCTCTCTCAGCATCCCTGGAAATAATCATATTATTTTTCCCCCTTAGGTTTATTAATGTGGACTATGGTATTAATGGATTTTGAATAGTGAACCAACCTTGAATTATTGAATAAATCCCATTAATTCATGGTGTATTATTTTCTTAATGTGATGTTGGATTCTGTTTGCTAAATTTCAAAAATTTTCAATGCTATTTATTAATGATACTGGTTAGTATATTTCTGTATACTCTTTATCTGGTTTGGGTATCGGTATTTTATTAGATTCATAAAATGAATTGGGAAGTTTTCCTTCTTTTTCAGTGCTCTGAAATATTTTAGAGAACATTGGTCTTTGAAGGTATGGTAGAATTTCCTGTCAAAGCCCTTGGTGCTTTTGTGTAGAATAGTTCCTTAATACATTTCTCTATTTCTTCTATTAAAATTGGTCCATTTAAACTTTCCAACTCTAGTGAGGGTCAATTTTGGTAATTTTTATCTCCCTGGGAAATCAACTATCTACTTCACCCAGTTTTTCAAATTTATTTGCATAGAAATTTGTCATCTCTTATAATTAAAAAAAATCTTCTGTTCCAATGGTTATTTCCCCCTTGTCATTTTAAATTTTATATATTTATGGTTTCCCCTTTTTTCTTGTTAGCTGTTTTTTTAAAACCTATATTTTATTTAAAACCTATATTTTATTTGTTAATTATATCCACCGTTTATTCACTTTCTCATTAATTTTTGCTTTTAGTTTTTAGTTTTTAGTTTTTTTTTTTTTTTTGAGACAGGGTCTCACTTTGTCACCCAGGCTGGAGTGCAGTCGTGAGATTATGGCTCACTGCAGCCTTGACCTCTCCAGGCCCAGTGATCCTTCTACCTCAGCCTCCTGAGTAGCTGGGACTACAGGCACACACCACCATGGCCAGCTAATATTTGTGTTTTTTGTAGAGATGGGGTTTCACCATGTTGCTCAGGCTGGTCTGGAACTCATGGGCTCAAATAATCCTCCCACCTCGGCCTCCCAAAGTGCTAGGATTGCAGACGTGAGCCACAGCACCTGGCTGCCTTTAGCTTTATTATTTTCTTTTTTGTGCTTTCTTTTGTTTTACTTTGTTTACTTTGTTGTTCTTTTTTTGGTGCTTTGAGCTGGAAATTTAATTTGTTTCATGTTATTTTCTTGCTTTCATTGATAAAAAAGTGTTTAGCGCAATGGATTTTCTTATCACTGCTTGAATTGAATCCCATAGAATCTGATATATTTTCATCGTGATTAGGGACCCCCTTGGAAAAAAAAGAATACAAAATTAGGTACAGAGCATTGAAAGGGGCTAATTATGGGATAATCCATGATACTTGAATTTCAGTGGCTTCACAATAAATCCACCGCTGTTCAAGAATAAGACTTCGGAGTTTACACCTGAGTTTTGGGTAAGTGGTTGGCATTTTTGAGATGGGCAGCAGTAAGAAAAGACCCTGAGACCATGAGTAACAAGAAAAAGGAACTGGAAAGAGAATGAACTATAATGTGTAGGCAGAATTAATCTCAATATAATCTTACCATATGCATGATTGTCTTACTATCACCAGCTGCAAATGATTAAAAGGAGTTTCTGAGTGTTAAGTAATGTGTTTCAGATCACACATTTGGTTAAATGAGGCTACATCCAGCCCAGTCCAACCCTGAAGCCTATGTTTTCTTCGCTACATGCACCATATTGCTGGTGCCAGAAAGGACTGGCTTCAGTGCTCCTCCCATCTTCTTCCACAAGCTGTGAGCTGAGGAATTTCTTATAGAAAGTCACCTGGAAAGACAAGTACTGGCAGTGTGGGATTACTTATTGCAGGGAATTTGACAAAACATGGTGACCATATTAGTCATCTATTGCTGTGTAATGAACTACACCCAAATGACAAACATTTATTATGTCACAGGCTCTGAGGGTCAGAAATCCAGGAGCAGCTTAGCTGGGTGCTTCTGGCTTAGGGTTTTTCATGAGGTTGACATCCAATGGTTGGCTAGAGCTACACTCATCTCAAGACTCAACTGGGGCTGGAGGATCTGCTTCCAAGCTCACTTATGCAGTGTGGATGGGCCTCAGTTTCTCACTGGTTACCAAGACTTCACCACATAGACTTCCTACCATGTAGGCCTCACTATGTAGGCTTCTCCATAGGGCTGCTCATAGGATGGCAGCTTGCTTCCCAGAGTGAGATGAGAGAGAGAGAGAGAACAAACCAGAAAGCCCACCCAAGATGGAAGCCACAGTCTTTTTATAACATATCTTAGAAGTAATACACCATCATTTATGTTTATTAGAAGCAAATCACTAGGTCCTACCCACACTCAAGGGGAGGGAAATTGAACTGTACCTTTTGAAGGAAGGGGTATTTAAAATATGTGTGGACGCTGATGAGGTTCAGGACACGTGTCTCAGTCTGTTTTCTGTTGCTATAACCAAATACCTGAGACTGGGCAATTGTTTTTTGGATAGGGTCTTGCTGTGTCACCCAGGCTGGAGTGCACTGGTGCATCTTGGCTTACTGCAGCCTCCACTTTCTGGGTTAAAGTGATTCTCCTGCCTCAGCCTCCTGAGTAGCTAGGATTACAGGCACATGCCACCATGCTTAGCTAATTTTTGTATTTTTAGTAGAAACGCGGTTTCACCATGTTGGCCAGGCTGGTCTCAAACTCCTGACCTCAGGTGATCCACCTGCCAAAGTGCTGGGATTACAGGAGTGAGCTACTATGCCTAGCCTGAGACTGGGTAATTTTTACAGGAAAAAAGTTTATTTGGCTCACAGTTTTGGAGACTGTGAAGTCCAAGAGCATGGTGACAGCTTCTGGCAAAGACTTTTGTACTGTGTTGTTACATGCAGAGAAGTGAACAGGAAAGTGGGCATGAGCAAAAAGAGGGCAAAACATGAGGGGTGGCCTCGCTTTATAACACCCTGCTCTCACAGGAACTAATCCAGTCTCTTGAGAGCAAGAACTCACCCCCACGAGCATTATTAACTCAGTCCTGAGAGAGCAGTGTTAATCCCTCCTAATGACCTCATCACCTCTTAAAGACCCCATCTCCCAATACCATCACACTGGGACCAAATTTCCAACACATGAATTCTGGGGAACACAAACCACAGCAACACACTACCCCAAAATATGCCACCTTGGCATCTGAGAAAACAGCAGAAGCAGGAAACTCACATTCACCTTCTCCTCACTCTTCTCTCCTAAAGCAGGTCACAAAACCTTCATTCTAGAGGTTCCCTTCCTATACCCGAGGAAAGGAATGTCTTTATCTCTGAAGACGCAAGGACACAGAGAGGAACATGAACAACCAGGTCTTGCTTAAGTTTTCCCCAGTTTATTACCATTAGAGCATAACTTCTTTTTTTTTTTTTTTTTTTTTTTTTGAGACAGAGTCTCGCTCTGTTGCCCAGGCTGGAGTGCAGTGGTGTGATCTCGGCTCACTGCAAGCTCTGCCTCCCAGGTTCATGCCATTCTCCTGCCTCAGCCTCCTGAGTAGCTGGGACTACAGGCGCCGCCACTGTGCCCAGCTAACTTTTTGTATCTTTAGTAGAGACGGGGTTTCACCATGGTCTCGATCTCCTGACATCGTGATCTGCCTGCCTCGGCCTCCCAAAGTGCTGGGATTACAGGTGTGAGCCACCGCGCCCAGCCTAGAGCATAACTTCTTTGTCCAAACGTACTTGTCTACACCTATCCACTTCTTTGTCGAACTTAGCATAAAATTACACAAGTTTCTCTGTTCCTTTGGTTCTTCAGTTTTGAAGGCTTTCATGTCACGTGAACTTTATACATTAAATAAATTTGTATGCTTTTTCTCTTGTTAATCTGTCTTTTGTTATAGGGTGCTCAGCTATGAAGCTAGCCATGGGTGAAAAGAGGAATTTTTTCTCTCTTACAATGTATTTTTAAACCCATCACACTGTTACTGGCTGTGTATGCAGACCTTTCAGAATTTATTCCTGCCATGGGATTTGTAACAAGGGGATTTTGCCTAGGCTAAAGCCATCCTCCAAAACCCATTCCTTGCTCTCCCTGTAAATCTAAGCCTCATCATTCCCTGTGGCATATAGAGAAGAGGTCACCCTCATTCATGCCTGCATTCATTCACTCACTCAGCAAATATTCATCATGTGACAATGAGATGTTGGGCATAGCCCCAGGTACTGGGGATAGAGAAGTGGAAAAAGCACATGAAGTCTCTGCCCTCATAGAGCTCACATTTGAATGGGAGGAGCCAGACAATGAATAAAAAGATAATTGAAGTAACAGCAATGGTAGTAAGGGCTATGAAGAAAAATAATGGATAGGAAGTGATGGGCACTGCTACCTTAGAGTGACCATGGTAGGTCCTCTGCACTGTGTTGGAGGAGGTACTCAGAGAAATCCCCTTTGCTGAGGTGACATTTCAGCAGAAATTTGAATGAAATGAGAGTCAGCCACAGGGATATTGGGAGAAAGTACAGCAGTGGCAAAGGCCCTGAGGCAGGAGTGTTCTCGGTGTGTGTTCAGGGAGTATTGTGGTTGGAATGGAGTGAGCAAAAGAATGAATAGGAAATGAAATCAGAGAGGTAGCCAGGCATCAGATCAGGGCTTTGCAAGGTCCTTGGATTTAGTCTAGTGTGATGGAACTCACTTGGAGGGTTTTGAGCAGAGGAAAGATGCAATCTGATTTCATCATGTTCTTGGGGTCACTCTGACTGCTAAATGAGGGATGGGATGGGGGAGAAGAGAGGAAACAGGGGGCCAGTTAGGGGACTGCTGTGGCCATTCAGGTAAAGAAGGTGGTGGCTTGTTCTGAGGAGGACACAGTGGAGGTCATGAGACATGGTCAGATTTGGATGTGATACCTTCCACATTGCTGTTTCCAGGAAGTGGTGCTGATGACTTAAGATGAGGATGTTTCTGCTACTTTTGTATGTTTCTAGCGAACTGGTGGTCATTCTTTTAACAAACTCCCATGTTATGTACTATGTTCCAGGTGCTCTCCTGGTGTAATGGGTAAAGAAGTGAACCAGACACTGTCCCCACCCACAAGACAATCACAGAACATCAGAGAAGAGAGGCAGAGCAGATACATCACATTCCAATGTGCTAAATGCTGGAAAAAATACTAGAGGCATCACAAAGCAGCAAGCCATTCACCCTGCGAGCAGGCGCAAAGACTGAATAGGATTTGCATGGGCAGGAAAGGGGTGGCAGGTGTTGCAGGCGCAGGATAAAGCTGTCCATGTCCGGGAGCAGTGGGGAGCCACAGAAGATGAGGCAAGACAGAAGTTAGAGTCTGGGCACGGTGGCTCACGCCTGTAATCCCAGCACTTTGGGAGGCCGAGGCGGGTGGATCACGAGGTCAGGAAATCGAGACCATCCTGGCTAACACGGTGAAACCCCGTCTCTACTAAAAATACAAAAAATTAGCCGGGCGTGGTGGCAGGCGCCTGTGGTTCCAGCTACTCAGGAGGCTGAGGGAGGAGAATGGCGTGAACCCGGGAGGCGGAGCTTGCAGTGAGCTGAGATCACGCCACTGCACTCTAGCCTGGGCGACAGAGCAAGACTCTGTCTCAAAAAAGAAAAAAGAAAAAAAAGTTAGAACCAGGCTTGTAAAGACCCTGGAATGCCAAGCTAAAGCCATTAGACTCTGTTCTTGGAGGCACACGAGGAGGCCCTGAGTAAGCCCAGTGACAGCAGAGAGTATGAGTTGGAGTGGAAACAACTGGAAATATGAACTCCTTTTGTGGTGCTACTGTTAATACTTTCACTTGCGTCCGTGTGAAGAGACCACCAAACAGGCGTTGTGTGAGCAATAAAGCCGTTTATTTCACCTGGGTGCAGGCGGGCTGAGTCCGAAAAGAGTCAGCGAAGGGAGATAGGAGTGGGGCTGTTTTATAGGATTTGGGTAGGTAAAGGAAAAAGGGGGGTTGTTCTCTGGCAGGCAGGAGTGGGGGTCACAAGGTGCTCAGTAGGGGAGCTTTTGAGCCAGGAGAAGGAATTTCACAAGATATTGTCATCAGTTAAGGCAGGAACAGGCCATTTTCACTTCTTTTGTGGTGGAATGTCATCAGTTAAGGCAGGAACCAGCCATCTGGATGTGTACGTGCAGGTCACAGGGGATATGATGGCTTAGCTTGGGCTCAGAGGCCTGACATTCCTGTCTTCTTATATTAATAAGAAAAATAAAACGAAATAGTGGTAAAGTGTTAGGACAGTGAAAATTTTTTGGGGATGGTATGGAGAGAGAATGAGCGATGTTTCTCAGGGCTGCTTCGAGCGGGATTGGGGCAGCGTGGGAACCTAGAGTGGGAGAGATTAAGCTGAAGGAAGATTTTGTGGTAAGGGGTGATATTGTGGGGTTGTTAGAAGAAACATTTGTCATTTAGAATTATTGGTGATGGCCTGGATACGGTTTTGTATGAATTGAAAAACTAAACGGAATAAGAGAAGGAGAGAAACAGGTATTAAAGGACTAAGAATTGGGAGGACCTGGGACATCTAATTAGAGAGTGCCTAAGGAGGTTCAGCATAGCCTTGCCAGCAAAAATTATTTATTTACTTCAAGAGTTAAGAGTGGTGGTTTGGGGATAGCACCAGGAGATATCAGCTGTGATGGCTTGGAGAAACAGTGTAAACTGGCAGTGTAAACAAGAGCAGGGCATGTGTGAGTAGTTGAGAACGGTGATAGGAGTATGATTAGACAGAAGATAGTAGGGATGACAAGTTTTTTGGGGCACAGTCCAAGTTGGTCTGGTGTCTGGAATGAGACTGGGGCCTAATAAAAAGGAGCCTCTATACAGGAGCTCAAATGGGCTGTACCCTGTAGCTTTCTGAGGACAGGCCTAAATTCTGAGAAGGGGAAGTGGTAAAAGTATCGTCCAGTCCTTTTTAAGTTGGTGGCTGAGCTTGGTGAGGTGTGTTTTTAAAAGACCATTAGTCTGTTCTACCTTTCCTGAAAACTGAGGACTGTAAGGGATATAAAGGTTTCACTGAATACTAAGAGCCTGAAAAAATGCTTAGCTGATTTGACTAATAAAGGCCGGTCTGCTATTGGACTGTATAGAGGTGGGAAGGCCAAACCGAGGAATTATGTCTGACAGAAGGGAAGAAATGACCGTGGTGGCCTTCTTAGACCCTGTGGAGAAGGCCTCTACCTATCCAGTGAAAGTGTCTACCTAGACCAAGAGGTATTTTAGTTTCCTGACTCGGGGCATGTTGAGTGAAGCCAATTTGCCAGTCCTGGGTGGGGGCAAATCCCTGAGCTTGATGTGTAGGGAAGGGAGGGGGCCTGAATAATCCCTGAGGAGTAGTAGAATAGCACATGGAACACTGAGAAGTTATTTCCTTGAGGATATATTTCCATGATGGAAAGGAAATGAGAGGTTCTAAGAGGTGGGCTAGTGGCTTGTACTATAGCATAGCCTGCCTTTGCTGGTGTTTGGCGATTACGCCTGTGGAACTGCCATCAATAAACCAAGTGTGATCAGGGTGAGAAACAGGGAAGAAGGAAATGTGGGGAAATGGGGTGAACATCAGGTGGATCAGAGAGATGCAGTCATGAGGGTCAGGTGTGGTATCAGGAATAATGTGGGAGGCCAGATTGAAGCCCGGGCCAGGAACAATGGTAATTGCGGGAGACTCAACAAAGAGTGAGTACAGCTGAAGGAGCCGGGGAGCAGAAAGTATATGCAACAGGTGTGAGGAAGAAAATAGATTTTGGAAATTATGAGAGCTGTAGAGAGTGAGTTGAGCATAGTTTGTGATTTTAAGGGCCTCTAAAAGTATTAGGGAGGCAGCAGCCGCTGCATGGAGACATGATGGCCAGCCTAAAACAGTAAGGTCAAGTTGTTTGGACAAAAAGGCTACAGGACGCGATCCCGGTCCTTGTGTAAGAATTCCGACTGCACAACCCTGCACTTCAGCTGTGTGTAATGAAAAGGGTTGGGATGAATCAGGGAAAGCTAGGGTGGGGGCAGTCTTTAAAGCTGTCTTCAAGGAACGGAAAGAGGAGTGGGGAAAGGATTTAGGATCTATGGGGTCAGCTAGGTTTCCTTTTGTGAGTGTATATAATGGTTTTGTTAGGATGGCAAAACCAGGTATCCAAAGGCGAAAGTATCCAACCATGCCCCGGAAAGAAAGGAGTTGTTGTTTTGTAGAAGAGGTTGGGGTTTGAGAGATTAGTCAGACACGATCAGCAGGGAGAGCACGTGTGTTTTTATGAGAATTATGCCGAGACGGGTAACAGATAAGGAAGAAATTTGGGCTTGACTGAAGTAATGGGGGCTGTCTGAAGTTTGTGGCAGTACAGCCTAGGTAATTTGCTGAGCCTGATGGGTGTCAGGGTCAGTCCAAGTGAAAGCAAAGAGAGGCTGGGATGAAGGGTGCAAAGGAATAGTAAGGAAAGCATGTTTGAGATCCAGAACACAATAATGGATTGTGGAGGGAGGTATTGAGGATAGGAGAGTATATGGGTTTGGCACCATGGGGCGGATAGGCAAAACAATTTGGTTGATAAGGCATAAATCCTGAACTAACTTGTAAGGCTTGTCTGGTTTTAGGACAGGTAAAATGGGGGAATTGTAAGGAGAGTTTATAGGCTTTAAAAGGCCATGCTGTAGCAGGCGAGTGATAACAGGCTTTAATCCTTTCAAAGCATGCTGTGGAATGGGATATTGGCATTGAGCAGGGTAAGGGTGATTAGGTTTTAATGAGATGGTAAGGGGTGCATGATCGGTCGCCAAGGAGGGAGTAGAGGTATCTTATACTTGTGGGTTAAGGTTGGGGGGATACAAGAGGAGGACGCAAAGGAGGCTTTGGATTGGGAAGAAGGGCGGCAATGAGATGTAGCTGTAGTCCAGGAATAGTCAGGGAAGCAGATAATTTAGTTAAAGTGTCTCGGCCTAATAAGGGAACTGGGCAGGTGGGGATAACTAAAAAGGAGTGCTTAAAAGAGTATTGTCTAATTTGGCACCAGAGTTGGGGAGTTTTAAGAGGTTTAGAAGCCTGGCTGTCAATACCCACAACAGTTATGGAGGCAAGGGAAACAGGCCCTTAAAAAGAAGGTAATGTGGAGTGCATAGCCTCCATATTGATTAAGAAGAGGATGGATTTACCTTCCACTGTGAGAGTTACCTAAAGCTCGGCATCCGTGATGGTCTACGGGGCTTCCGAGGCGATCGGGCAGCATCAGCCTTCAGCCGCTAAGCCGAGAAGATCTGGGAAGGAGTCAGTCAGAGAGCCTTGGGCCAGAGTTCCAGGGGCTCTGGGAGTGGCTGCCAGGTGAGTTGAACAGTCCGATTTCCAGTGGGGTCCTGCACAGATGGGACACGGCTTAGGAGGAATCCTGGGCTGCGGGCATTCCTTGGCCTGGTGGCCAGATTTCTGGCACTTGTAGCAAGCTCCTGGGGGAGGCAGTTCTGGAGGAACGCCTGGCCACTGCGGTTTAGGTGTTTGGAAGTTCTTGTGTGCTGGAGATGTGGCTGGGGTTTGTCTCACAGTGGAGGCAAGGAATTGCAACTCAGAAATATGTTGCTACTTGGCTGCCTCTACTCTATTATTGTACACCTTGAAGGCGAGGTTAATTAAGTCCTGTTGTGGGGTTTGAGGGCTGGAATTTAATTTTTGGAGTTTCATTTAATGTCGGGAGCAGATTGGGTAATAAAATGTATATTGAGAATAAGACGGCCTTTTGACCTTTTAGGATCTAGGGCTGTAAAGCGTCTCAGGGTTGCTGCCAAACAAGCCATGAACTGGGCTGGATTTTTATATTTGATGAAAAAGAGCCTAAACGCTATCTGATTTGGGATAAAGAAAAAGGAGCATTAACCTTGACTATGCCTTTAGCTCCAGTCACCTTTTTAAGAGTAAATTGCTGGGCAGGTGGGGAAGGGCTAGTCACGGAACGAAACTGTAAGCCGGACCGGGTGTGAGGAAGGGAGGTGATAAAAGGATTATAGGGTGGAGGAGCAGAGGCTGAGGAAGAATTGGGACCTAGCTCGGCCTGGCGAGGAGGGGACAGGTTAGATGGGTCTGCAGAAAAGGAAGATTACAAAGACTCAGCGATGCTTGGGGTTGGGACTGAGGGGACAGGTGGGAGGGAAAGATGGAAGATTTGGGACGAGTCACATTGGGAACAGGGACTAGGGAGGGACCAATGTGTAAAAGAATGCCTGGACGTCAGGCACCTCAAACCGTTTGCCTATTTTACAACAAGAATTATTTAGATCTTGTAGGATGGAAAAATTGAAAGTGCCGTTTTCCGGCTATTTGGAATTACTGTCGAGTTTGTATTGGGGTCAAGCGGCATTGCAGAAGAAAATAAGACGCTTAGATTTTAGGTCAGGTGAGAGTTGAAGAGGTTTTAAGTTCTTAAGAACACAGGCTAAGGAAGAAGGAGGAATGGAAGGTGGAAGCTTGCCTATAGTGAAGGAGGCAAGCCCAGAGAAAAGAGAGTAGAGACACGGAGAAGGGGTGGGGGGTTCTTGTCCTCCAGAAAAGCAGAGAAGGGGTTGGGGCATGGAAATAAGGGGTTGTGGCACAGAGATAAGAGGTCGGGGCACGGAAATAAGGGATGGGGCGCAGAGATAAGAGGTCGGGGTTCCTGTCCCTCCCCCAGAAAAGTGGGACTTGCCGCTAAGGGTGAAGGACGAAGGCAGGTGTCCCTGCGTGGTCTGACACGTCTGAAACCTGGGTGAATAATCAGAGAGGTGTCCTTGCAGTGATTAAACACCAAGGGAAGGCTGCCTTCCCTAGTCCATGACCGGCGCCGGAGTTTTGGGTCCACGGATAAAACGTGTCTCCTTTGTCTCTACCAGAAAATGAAAAGAATTGAAATTAAGAGAAGGGAGAGATTGAAGTGTGACACCAAGATTGAAACGAGAAAGAGGTTGAGGGATAGTGAGGGAGGTTGGAGAAGAGAGTAAAAAGAGGCCGCTTTTCGGATTTGAAATTGGTGAGATGTTTCTTGGTCTGGTTGGTCTGAGGACCTGAGGGCATAGGTGGATCTTTCTCACGGAGCAAAGAGCAGGAGGACAGGGGATTGATCCCCCAAGGGAGGTCCCCCGATCGGAGTCACGGCACTAAATTTCACTCGCGTCCATGTGAAGAGACCACCAAACAGGCTTTGTGTGAGCAATAAAGCTGTTTATTTCACCTGGGTGCAGGCCGGCTGAGTCCGAAAAGAGTCAGCGAAAGGAGATGGGGTGGGGCCGTTTTATAGGATTTAGGTAGGTAAAGGAGAAAGGAAGGTTGTTCTCTGGCGGGCAGGAGTAGAGGTCACAAGGTGCTCAGTAGGGGAGCTTTTGAGCCAGGATGAGCCCAGAGAAGGAATTTCACAAGATAATGTCATCAGTTAAGGCAGGAAGAGGCCATTTTCACTTCTTTTGTGGTGGAATGTCATCAGGAATCAGCCATCTGGATGTATACGTGCAGGTCACAGGGGATATGCATTAGGAAAGATTTAGGATTTAAAATGGCAAGAAAAAAAATGGAAGTAGGCCTAATATCCAGCAAGAAGAATAAATTATTTTGCATTAACATTTTAAAAAGTTGTATATAAGCAAAAATTTGCCAGGAGTGGTGGCACGAGCCTGTAATCCCAGCAACTCGAGACGCTGTGGCATGAGAATTGCTTGAACCTGGGAGGTGGAGGTTGCAGTGAGCCAAGATTATGCCACTGCACTCCAGCCTGGGCGACAGAGTGAGACTCCTCTCAAGAAAAAAAAAATTGTATATAAGGTAGCATAATATATTGCTATTAAAAATGTTTTTAGGCCAGGTGTGGTGGCTCACGCCTGTAATCTCAGCACTTTGGGAGGCCAAGGTGGGCGGATCACTTGAGGTCAGGAGATTGAGACCAGCCTGGCCAACATTGTGAAACCCTGTCTCTACTAAAAATACAAAAATTATCCAGGTATGGTGGCAGGCACCTGGGAAATACACATGGTCCACACAGTTTAAATGGAAATATATTGAAGGGCCACAGTGATTCTCTCTGGATATTGAGATTATATGTAAAGATTGACATCTGGCTCTGACCATGTCTCATGATCTCCACTGTGTCCTCCTCAGAACAAGCCACCACCCTCTTTACCCGAAGATTGCTTTTTCCCTTTTTACAATGTTTCTAAATTTCTGTCAATGTTCATGTGAATATGCATTTGTCTTACAGTCAGAAAAATTGTTTCTAAATAAAGATTGAAAATTGATTTAAAACAAGGATCTGCCCAATATGATGGAGAAGGGGGGCCTGAAGAAGCCGATTTCGAGCAGAGGACAAACTACTTTGGAAGCAGGGGGCAGAACTTGCTCTCTGATTGGGTGTGGGAGAGAGGCAAGAGTCAAAGTTAAATTCAGCCTCACCTCTTCAGCCCTCCTCAGTGCAGCAGCCCGAGCGGTCCTGTTAAAACAAGTCAGATCACATCCTCCTCTGCTCACTGCCCCCCAGTAGCTCCCACCTTGCTTGGCATAAACACCAGTATTCTTAGAGTCACTTCACAGCATAAACTTTCCCACCCATCCTAGTGTTGTCTCTCAATTCAGGACCTCTTCCCCTCTCCCTCTCACCCTCCCTCCCTCTGCTCTCCTCACTTCCTGGAAGAGGCCTAGGAGTTCTTGCCTCAGGGCCTTTGCACCTGCCAGCCGCCTGTCTGTTTTCCCTGTCTGTTTTGCCCTCTCAACTCCTTCAAGTCTTGACTCCAGTGTACCCTTCTCAGTGAGGGCTTTTCTGGCTGCCCTCTCCAAATACATCCCTCTAGAACTCTTATCTTTTCCCTATTTTTTTCTCTTCGCACGCTCCACAACTTAATTTAACTATCTCTTTTACTTATTTAACTTGATTTTTTTGTCTCCCTCGCTGGAATATATATAAATAGCAGGAAAGCAGGGATTTTGTTCAGTGAGGTCTTCTCAGCTCCCGTCACAGAATTAACCGCAGTCAGATGTTTGCTGACTGAATGACCATAATCTAAGAACCTAAACATTCCATTTACCACAAAAAGACCATCAGATTTATTCATCGTTTAGTAAAAGACATTTATTTGATGGCTAGACTTCTTTCAATAGTAAACTCTCTTGGTAACATTTTCACATTATTTCTTGGTCACTTTCTTTGTTTTCGGGGACAGCATAATTTAGAGACTAGAAATTGCGGGGAGGTGGTGGTAACCGGGTCCGGTCTCCGGCCGACGGGAGGATGGGGGCCACTAGGGCCGTCAGATCTCGCCGCGAAGGCGCAGAGCTTGGGCTTGCTGGTTCCAGCGTGGTTCCCACCTCCTGGGGAGCGGGGGGCTGCGCTACTCAGGGCGCTCGCTGCTCCCGTGGCGGTTTATGGCCTGTGTGGCCTGGACGTCGCGATTATTGTCCAAGACTTTCTCCTAGCAGCAGTGGCAGTTCCGGTTCTGCTGGCGAAGGTGCGGGTCTAAGAGGCGTAGACCGTTTTCCCCTGGGGGCTTGTGGGGATCCAGCGCCCACCAGAGAGGCGGCTGCAGGCTAACTCCACGAGCCACTCGAGCCAGCTGTGCTCATGTCTCCCTTGGCCCTCCCCGCTTCTGGTGCAGAATGGAGCCTCCCGCGTCCCAGGCCGGGAAAAACGCGACCCCCATCAGATTGGCTGGGACCCCCAGGATCCCGGCTATTGGGAGACGCTGCGCTGGAGGGAACGTTTTGGAACGCGGGGTGGGGTCGGTGGGCGCTTCCCTCCTGCCTCTGGGCTCCAGCCTGATGTCTCCTCCCTGCCTAACTAATTTCGAATGGAAATAACCTGAGGAGTAAAGCAGCAGAAGCGGTCGTTTTATTCCATGCCCACCCTCGCCTACTATAGATCAGCCGAGAGAACACGGGGGACGGCTTTCTCTATTACTAAAGGGAACTGAGGATGGAGGGGGAAGGGGACTGGGCAGTCCTTGGGGAGGGAATCTAGACCATGCCAGGCCCCAGACTCCTTTCCCGGCAGGGCCTATGTCCTGGGGTTTATTGAAATCGTTGCTGTATTCCCCCGCGGCCCACCAGGTGGCTGTAGCGGGTCACACATTGGGCTGGAGAAGGCCAGGAGAGCCAGGGCCGGAGAAACGCCTCGTCCACTTCCAAGCAGGGCGAGTCCCAGTAGCCTATGGGGACTCCAGCCTAGGACGTGGGCCACCGAGGCTCCTAGAATCATCGTGGCTAACAGCCATGGAACGATCGCCACGGTCCTTGCATCCGCAGCTCCCAGCACCGTGGCTGGCACCAAGCAGTGCTCCGAAGCTTCTTTCTGGGAAGGAAGGCTGAAGGGTGAGAACGCAAGCGAGCAATGAACAGCAGTTTCCAGCTGCCATCACCCAGAGCTCTTCTTTAGTCAAGAGTGAAATAGAATAAAATGGAACTGAAAATGGACTTGGTCCCTTGGGCCCCATGTCTAACTCTAGCCTACCTTTCCTGTCAAACTGGGTTGGCTGTGCTCCCCACGGCCAAATCATCCCTCTCCCTGGCCCCTGCTCCCCGGAGGCTGCCCACCTGGCTCCCGCAGCTCCATCCACCTTCCCCAAGCTCCCTGCAGGTTCTGTTCATCTTCTCCCTGAGATGTCATTTGTGCTGAGCAGTCTGCCTGATATTTCAGCTACCTGGGTACCTGTGGGTCTCACCCCTGATCACAGGCTCCTCAGGGAAGAGGGGATGGGAAAGTACAAGACAGAATGAAGTTTGTGTCATCACTCTGGGATTTTGGGCAAATTACCTAGCACATGTGAGGTCAGTTTCTTCATCAGTAAAATGGGGATAATACCTGCTCTGTGATATTGCTGTGCAGTTAAGTGCTAGAGCCTATGCAGCTCATTTGCCTGGCATCTTATAGGTGCTCAAAGAATGTTAGTTCTTATCATAACTGTTAGTGAGCTTGGTTGGAATGGTGAGTGGTTTTTTTTTAATCACTTTTTTTTTTAAAATTTTATTATTTCTATACTTTAAGTGTTAGGGTACATGTATACAACGTGCAGGTTTGTTACATATGTATACATGTGCCATCTTGGTGTGCTGCACCCATTAACTCGTCATTTACATTAGGTATATCTCCTAATGCTATCCCTCCCCCATCCCCCCACCCCACAACAGTCCCCAGTGTGTGATGTTCCCCTTCCTGTGTCCATGTGTTCTCATTGTTCAATTCCCACCTATGAGTGAGAACATGCGGTGTTTAGTTTTTTTGTCCTTGCCATAGTTTGCTGAGAATGATGGTTTCCAGCTTCATCCATGTCTCTACAAAGGACATGAACTCATCCTTTTTTATGGCTGCATAGTATTCCATGGTGTATATGTGCCACATTTTCTTAATCCAGTCTATCATTGTTGGACATTTGGGTTGGTTCCAAGTCTTTGCTATTGTGAATAGTGCCGCAATAAACATACGTGTGCATGTGTCTTTATAGCAGCATGATTTATAATCCTTTGGGTGTATACCCAGTAATGGGATGGCTGGGTCAAATGGTATTTCTAGTTCTAGATCCCTGAGGAATCGCCACACTGACTTCCACAATGGTTGAACTAGTTTACAGTCCCACCAACAGTGTAAAAGCATTCCTATTTCTCCACATCCTCTCCAGCACCTGTTGTTTCCTGACTTTTTAGTGATCGCCATTCTAACTGGTGTGAGATGGTATCTCATTGTGGTTTTGATTTGCATTTCTCTGATGGCCAGTGATGATGAGCATTTTTTCATGTGTTTTTTTGGCTGCATAAATGTCTTCTTTTGAGAAGTGTCTGTTCATATCCTTTGTCCACTTTCTGATGGGGTTGTTTGTTTTTTTCTTGTAAATTTGTTTGAGTTCACTGTAGATTCTGGATATTAGCCCTTTGTCAGATGAGTAGGTTGCAAAAATTTTCTCCCTTTCTGTAGGTTGCCAAAATTTTCTCCCTTTCTGTAGGTTGCCTTTTCACTCTGATGGTAGTTTCTTTTGCTGTGCAGAAGCTCTTTAGTTTAATTAGATCCCATTTATCAATTTTGGCTTTTGTTGCCATTGCTTTTGGTGTTTTAGACATGAAGTCCTGGCCCATGCCTATGTCCTGAATGGTATTGCCTAGGTTTTCTTCTAGGGTTTTTATGGTTTTAGGTCTAACATGTAAGTCTTTAATCCATCTTGAATTAATTTTTGTATAAGGTGTAAGGAAGGGATCCAGTTTCAGCTTTCTACATGTGGCTAGCCAGTTTTCCCAGCACCATTTATTAAATAGGGAATCCTTTCCCCATTGCTTGTTTTTCTCAGGTTTGTCAAAGATCAGACAGTTGTAGATATGTGGCATTATTTCTGAGGGCTCTGTTCTGTTCCATTGGTCTATATCTCTGTTTTGGTACCAGTACCATGCTGTTTTGGTTACTGTAGCCTTGTAGTATAGTTTGAAGTCAGGTAGCGTGATGACTCCAGCTTTGTTCTTTTGGCTTAGGATTGACTTGGCAATGCAGGCTCTTTTTTGGTTCCATATGAACTTTAAAGTAGTTTTTTCCAATTCTGTGAAGAAAGTCATTGGTAGCTTGATGGGGGATGGCATTGAATCTATAAATTACCTTGGGCAGTATGGCCATTTTCATGATATTGATTCTTCCTACCCATGAGCATGGAATGTTCTTCCATTTGTTTGTATCCTCTTTTATTTCATTGAGCAGTGGTTTGTAGTTCTCCTTGAAGAGGTCCTTCACATCCCTTGTAAGTTGGATTCCTAGGTATTGTATTCTCTTTGAAGCAATTGTGAATGGGAGTTCGCTCATGATTTGGCTCTCTATCTGTTATTGGTATATAAGAATGCTTGTGATTTTTGCACATTGATTTTGTATCCTGAGACTTTGCTGAAGTTGCTTATCAGCTTAAGGAGATTTTGGGCTGAGACAGTGGGGTTTTCTAGATATACAATCATGTCATCTGCAAACAGGGATAATTTGACTTCCTCTTTTCCTAATCGAATGCCCTTTATTTCCTTCTCCTGCCTGATTGCCCTGGCCAGAACTTCCAACACTATGTTGAATAGGAGTGGTGAGAGAGGGCATCCCTGTCTTGTGCCAGTTTTCAAAGGGAATGCTTCCAGTTTTTGTCCATTCAGTATGATATTGGCTGTGGGTTTGTCATAGATAGCTCTTATTATTTTGAGATACGTCCCATCAATACCTAATTTATTGAGAGATTTTTAGCATGAAGCGTTGTTGAATTTTGTCAAAGGCCTTTTCTGCATCTATTGAGATAATCATGTGGTTTTTGTCTTTGGTTCTGTTTATATGCTTGATTACATTTATTGATTTTCATATGTTGAACCAGCCTTGCATCCCAGGGATAAAGCCCACTTGATCATGGTGAATAAGCTTTTTGATGTGTTGCTGGATTCGGTTTGCCAGTATTTTATTGAGGATTTTTGCATCAATGTTCATCAAGGATATTGGTCTAAAATTCTCTTTTTTTGTTGTGTCTCAGCCAGGCTTTGGTATCAGGATGATGCTGGCCTCATAAAATGAGTTAGGGAGGATTCCCTCTTTTTCTATTGATTGGAATAGTTTCAGAAGGAATGCTACCAGCTCCTCCTTGTACCTCTGGTAGAATTCGGCTGTGAATCCATCTGGTCCTGGACTCTTTTTGGTTGGTAAGCTATTAATTATTGGCTCAATTTCAGAGCCTGTTATTGGTCTATTCAGAGATTCAACTTCTTCCTGGTTTAGTCTTGGGAGGGTGTATGTGTTGAGGAATTTATCCATTTCTTCTAGATTTTCTAGTTTATTTGAGTAGAGGTGTTTATAGTATTCTCTGATGGTAGTTTGTATTTCTGTGGGATCATTGGTGATATCCCCTTTGTCATTTTTTATTGCGTCTATTTGATTCTTCTCTCTTTTCTTCTTTATTAGTCTTGCTAGCGGTCTATCAATTTTGTTGATCTTTTCAAAAAACCAGCTCCTGGATTCATTGATTTTTTGAAGGGTTTTTTGTGTCTCTATTTCCTTCAGTTCTGCTCTGATCTGAGTTATTTCTTGCCTTCTGCTAGCTTTTGAATGTGTTTGCTCTTGCTTCTCTAGTTCTTTCAATTGTGATGTTAGGGTGTCAATTTTAGATCTTTCCTGCTTTCTCTTGTGGGCATTTAGTGCTATAAATTTCCCTCTACACACTGCTTTGAATGTGTCCCAGAGATTCTGGTATGTTGTGTCTTTGTTCTCGTTGGTTTCAAAGAACATCTTTATTTCTGCCTTCATTTCGTTATGTACCCAGTAGTCATTCAGGAGCAGGTTGTTCAGTTTCCATGTAGTTGAGTGGTTTTGAGTGAGTTTCTTAATCCTGAGTTCTAGTTTGATTGCACTGTGGTCTGAGAGACAGTTTGTTATAATTTCTGTTCTTTTACATTTGCTGAGGAGTGCTTTACTTCCAACTATGTGGTCAATTTTGGAATAGGTGTGGGGTGGTGCTGAAAAGAATGTATATTCTGTTGATTTGGGGTGGAGAGTTCTGTAGATGTCTGTTAGGTCCGCTTTGTGCAGAGCTGAGTTCAATTCCTGGATATCCTTGTTAACTTTCTGTCTCATTGATCTGTGTAATGTTGACAATGGGGTGTTAAAATCTCCCATTATTATTGTGTGTGAGTCTAAGTCTCTTTGTAGGTCACTAAGGACTTGCTTTATGAATCTGGGTGCTCCTGTATTGGGTGCATGTATATTTAGGAGTGTTAGTTCTTCTTGTTGAATTGATCCCTTTACCATTATGTAATGGCCTTCTTTGTCTCTTTTGATCTTTGTTGGTTTAAAGTCTGTTTTATCCGATACTAGGATTGAAACCCCTGCCTTTTTTTGTTTTCCGTTTGCTTGGTAGATCTTCCTCCATCCCTTTATTTTGAGCCTATGTGTGTCTCTGCACATGAGATTGGTTTCCTGAATACAGCACATGGATGGGTCTTGACTCTTTATCCAATTTGCCAGTCTGTGCCTTTTAATTGGAGCATTTAGCCCATTTACATTTAAGGTTAGTATTGTTATGTGTGAATTTGATCCTGTCATTATGATGTTAGCTGGTTATTTTGCTCGTTAGTTGATGCAGTTTTTTCCTAGCCTCGATGGTCTTTACAATTTGGCATGTTTTTGCAGTGGCTGTTACTGGTTATTCCTTTCCATGTTTAGTGCTTCCTTCAGGAGCTGTTTTACAGCAGGTCTGGTGGTGACAAAAATCTCTCAGCATTTGCTTGTCTGTAATGTACTTTATTTCTCCTTCACTTATGAAGTTTAGTTTGGCTGGATATGAAATTCTGGCTTGAAAATTCTTTTCTTTAAGAATGTTGAATATTGGCCCCACTCTCTTCTGGCTTGTAGAGTTTCTGCCAAGAGATCCGCTGTTAGTCTGATGGGCTTCCCTTTGTGGGTAACCTGACCTTTCTCTCTGGCTGCCCTTAACGTTTTTTCCTTCATTTCAACTTTGGTGAATCTGACAATTATGTGTCTTGGAGTTCTCTTCTCGAGGAGTATCTTTGTGGCGTTCTCTGTATTTCCTGAATTTGAATGTTGGTCTGCCTTGCTAGATTGGGGAAATTCTCCTGGATAATATCCTGCAGAGTGTTTTCCAACTTGGTTCCATTCTCCAGGTCACTTTCAGGTACACCAATCAGATGTAGATTTGGTCTTTTCACATAGTCCCATATTTCTTGGAGGCTTTGTTCCTATCTTTTTATTCTTTTTTCTCTAAACTTCTCTTTATGCTTCATTTCATTCATTTTGTCTTCCATCACTGATACCCTTTCTTCCAGTTGATCACATCGGCTACTGAGGCTTGTGCATTCATCACGTAGTTCTCTTGCCATGGTTTTCAGCTCCAAAGGTCCTTTAAGGACTTCTCTGCATTGGTTATTCTAGTTATCCATTCATCTAATTTTTTTTCAAGGTTTTTAACTTCTTTGCCATTCGTTCGAACTTCCTCCTTTAGCTTGGAGTAGTTTGATTGTCTGAAGCCTTCTTCTCTCAGCTCGTCAAAGTCATTCTCCATCCAGCTTTGTTCCGTTGCTGGTGAGGAGCTGCGTTCCTTTGGAGGAGGAGAGGTGCTCTGATTTTTAGAGTTATTCCAGTTTTTCTGCTCTGGTTTTTCCCCATCTTTGTGATTTTATCTACCTTTGCCTTTGATGATGGTGATGTACAGATGGGGTTTTGGTGTGGATGTCCTTTCTGTTTGTTTAGTTTTCCTTCTGACAGTTAGGACCCTCAGCTGCAGGTCTGTTGGAGTTTGCTGGAGGTCCACTCCAGACCTTGTTTGCCTGAGTATCAGCAGCAGTGGCTGCAGAACAGCGGGTATTGGTGAACCGCAAATGCTGCTGCCTGATCGTTCCTCTGGAAGTTTTGTCTCAGAGGAGTACCCGGCTGTGTGAGGTGTCAGTCTGCCCCTACTAGGGGGTGCCTCCCGGTTAGGCTACTTGGGGGTCAGGGACCCACTTTAGGAGGCAGTCTGCCCATTCTCAGATCTCAAGCTGTGTGCTGGGAGAACCACTACTCTCTTCAAAGCTGTCAGACAGGGACATTTAAGTCTGCAGAGGTTACTGCTGCCTTGTGTTTGTCTATGCCCTGCCCCAAGAGGTGGAGCCTACAGAGGCAGGCAGGCCTCCTTGAGCTGTGGTGGGCTCCACCCAGTTCGAGCTTGTTGGCAGCTTTGTTTACCTACTCAAGCCTCGGCAATGGCGGGCACCCCTCCCCCAGCCTTGCTGCCACCTTGCAGTTTGATCTCAGACTGCTGTGCTAGCAATGAGCGAGGCTCCATGGGCGTAGGACCCTCTGAGCCATGTGTGGGATATAATCTCCTGGTGTGCCATTTGTTAAGCCCAATGCCTCGCCCTGCTTCGGCTCACACAAGGTGTGCTGCACCCACTGTCCTGCACCCACTGTCCGGCACTCCCCAGTGAGATGAACCTGGTACCTCAGTTGGAAATGCAGAAATCACCCATCTTCTGCATTGCTCATGCTGGGAGCTGTAGACTGGAGCTGTTCCTATTCGGCCATTTTAATCACATTTCTAATAGAAATTGAATATTGGAGGATTTCTAGTGAACATGTGAGGGGAAGAAGATCAAAAGATCACTTTGCACTGGAAACATTTCACTGTGTTTGTGCTGTGGTTGGAGATTTCAGTAAGATGGGAGCTGAGCAGAGGCCTACTGTGTGTCCTGTGAGGCCACTGCACTGGAGGCGACCTCAGGTGTCACTTGGAATGCTGTCTCTTCTCCCTTAGCCAAGGCAGGTCCTGGAGACCTTCAGAGCCTGTTTTCTAATGCTGTGGCAAACAACTAAAATGTCGACATTTGACCTGTGTGCTCCCAAATGGACCATAAAAAGATGATTGCTTATTTTATTTAGTAATAAAAGTAATATTTTTAGGCCACCCCTCCACAAGAAAGCTTAGAAATTGCTTAAGTAGCTGAGAAGCTGGCCACAGCAGGTGTGCTGGTAAGTGTTTAACAACCAGCTCTCTGGGGGGGAAACTATGAGTGTGCATCTGTGCTTATTTACCTGATATAAAGAATGTGTAACACACAGTTTACAAATAATAATAATATATTCACTCATTTTTTGGGGGGGGTGCAGGTAGAAACTCACTCTGTTGCCCAGGCTGGAGTGCAGTGGTGCAATCATAGCTCACTGCAGCCTTAAACTCCTGGGCTCAAGCAATCCTCCTGCCCCAGCCTCCCAAGTAGCTGGGACCACAGGCACGTGACACCATGTCTGGCTAATGTTTTATGTTTTTGTAGAGAAGGAGGACTTGCACTGTTGCCCTAACTGGTCTTCAACTCCTAGGCTCAAATGATCCTGTTGCCTCAGCCTCCCAAAGCTCTGAGTTTACAGGTGTGAGCCACCATGCCCCGCCTCACTAATCTTTATTGCAAATGCCACCCACCTATAACTTCAGTATGACTTGGTATTTCCTGCAAACTCACAATCAGTTTTTCTAATTCTGTTACCAAGAATAGTGTCACCAAACCAGACTACAAATAAATGTTTGACTCCTATGTGAATCGCCAAAGATGTTACTCATAATACTGGTGAATGAATGGAGCTCTGACATGCTACACTGTGGGAGGCTGTGGCTCTGGGTGTGGTAGAGCTGGTTGCCATCATAAAGAAAAGCTCAAGTGAATGGGGGGAGAGCAGGTAGAACTGGAACCCATGAGGACAGAGTTCTGTCCTACCTGCCTCCCACTGCAGTGATGTGGGGACCTGCAGGAGGAGTTAGTCCCACTCACACCTGGCCCAGGTCTCAGAGATACTGAGGGAGAATCTGGAGGAGCTGCCGACCGGCTGCTTCTCTGAGCCGCTGGTGCAAGCCAGCAGACCATCGACAACGTGTATGAGCTGCGACAGCCCCTGGTGTTGCCGGGACCCACAGTGCATTTTGGCTGACGCTTCCTATCTGCCCTCCAAATCTCACCTAAACCTCTCCTGCAGTCCTCATTTGGAATCATACAGGGAGGGAAGTCTGGAAAACAAAGTTCTAGCCTAGTTAAGTTGACTTGATGGAAC
The DNA here is from genome assembly GCF_000001405.40 of Homo sapiens. Lineage (NCBI taxonomy): Eukaryota > Metazoa > Chordata > Mammalia > Primates > Hominidae > Homo > Homo sapiens. The sequence continues at coordinate 69,421,303 of NC_000009.12, forward strand.
GCCACCATGCTTGCTTGATGCTTCTGTGCTAGGTGGGGATCTCCTCACCCTGTTGTTCCAGGTTTCTTTGCCTCTGCATGGAAAGCTGTTTTTCAACCATGGGACCTGGAAAACTCCTGTAGTATATTCAAACCCTGCAAAGATCTCACTCGCTCTGAGAAAAGCTCCCGGACCCTTCCCCTCCAGGACTAGTTCTGTACCTTGTACTCAATGACTGTGTCTACTGCACATGCTAAATGTTCAAGGACAGAGTCACTAATGGTTAGAACAACTGAGCCAAGCTGTGCCCATCGCATAGGTGAAGAACTGGAGGAGCAGAGTGGTTGAGTAGCTTGCCAAGATCACACAGTGACAATTGGTAGGAAAGCTGTAATTTGAACCCGGTCTGTGACTCCTCTTTTAATTATAACCCACGGTGACTAGAAAGTCAAGGGAGATTTGGCTCCTGCCCATAAGAAACTCCAATTAGTGGAGGGGAAAGAGGTGGTTAAGGTAGTAAGTAGCTGGTCAGTTGTGCTATGTCTGAGACTGACAATAGGAGCAGAATGTGGAGTAGACCCTGGATAAGGGGGTCCAGGGTAGGAATGAGGTTGTTTCCCGCCTTCCGCCTTCCGCCTTCCACTTCCCGCAGCGGTAGCCTCAGCCTTCTAGGAATGGCTTCTCCCCAGCTGGAGGAAGGGACTAGAAGGCAGCAGTTATCTATGCTGCTTGCCGCGCCACTGTCACAAAGACTCTGGAGCTAGCCTGAGAACTGGGGTCACAGCAGTGTGCTCAGCCTACCTCCAGGGCCTCCTGGGTCTGGCCAGTAGGAAGATGAGGTCCGCGTTGTTGTCTGTCAGCAGCTGGGATCATACAAAGGAGCATTAGCCTGGGAGCTAGGGAGTGAGGTTCTAGCTGCCTGCTCGCTGTGTAGTCTCCAGCAAGTCCTACCCCTCTTGGGGTCTTTGGTTTCCTTATCTGGAAAACAAGGGGCCTGGGATGGGTGGCCAAGGCTCCTCCTTCCCTCAATCGCCTGGGAATCTTGGCAGTTATTTGGATTTGGCATTTCTCATGTAATTCCACCAGAGGGCGCCAAATACTAGCTCTTACCAACTTGGTTCCTGAAGCGGGTGTCTGCTGGGGAGGGCGCAGAGGAGGTGGAGTGTGAGTTGAGTGTGATAGTGTGGAAGCAATTAGCAATTAAGTGTATGTGAGTGAGTGTGTGTGTGTGTGTGTGTGTGTGTGTAGCACCAAAGCTCCTGTAACCGCCTATATCTCCCACCACCACCCTCTGCCTGCTGGCTGCATCTTCAGCCACTTGAATTCTCCTTTCTTAGCCTCCACGCCCTACCAGAGAGGCCTGGCCTCAGGGCCTTTGTCCTTGCTGTCCCTTTAGCTTGGAACACGCATCCCTAAGGCATCCACAGGGCCCTCCCTCACTTCTTCTTCATGAGGCATTCCTAACCAACCTACATAAAATAGCCACCCCCAAACTCATTCTAAGCTTTAGTTAAAAACATTAAAGAAAACTGTGGTAAAATATACCATAACATAAAAAGTACTATTTTAACCATTAATTTTTAAAATAAGAATATAGTTAAATACATATAACATAAAATTTCCCATCTTAGCTATTTTTAAGTGCATAGTTCAGTAGTGTAGCGTACATTCACATTGCTGTGCAATCAGTCTGCAGGGCTCTCTTTTTCTGGCAAAACTGGAGCTCTGTACCTACTTAACAATAACTCTTCATTTCCTCCACTCCTCTACTTTCTGTCTGTAAGAATTTGACTACATCAGGTATCTCATGTAAGTGGAATTATACAGTATTTATCTTCTTGTGACTGGCTTATTTCACTCAGCATAATGTCCTTCCAGTAGCGATAAACCCTTATGCTAGCATGTGCCAGAATTTCCTTCCTTTTTAAGGCTGAATAATATCCCACTGTGTGCCTGTACCATGTTGTGTTGACCCACTCATCGATGGACACTTTGGTTGCTTCTGTCTTTTGGCTGTTGTGAATAATGCTACCATAAATAGGGATGTACAAATACCTGTTTGAACTCCTGATTTCAATTATTGTTATTATTATTTTTTGAGACAAGGTCTTAGTCTGTTGCCCAGCCTGGATTGCAGTGGCACAATTTCAACTCACTGAAGCCTTGACCTCCCAAGCCCTAAGCAATCCTCCCAATTCAGCTTCCTGAGTAGCTGGGACTCCAGACTTGCACCACCACGTCCAGTTAATTTTATTTTTTTTTGTGGAGACAGGGTTTTGCTATGTTGCCCAGACTGGTCTGGAACTCCTGAGCTCAAATGATCCCCCTGTCTTGGCCTCCCAAAGTGCTGAGATCACAGGTGTGAGCTATCACACCTGGCCCCTGCTTTCAATTCTTGTTCCATGCTTTTATATTTTATTTTATTTTATTTATTTTGAGATAGGGTCTCGCTCTGTTGCCCAGGCTGGAGGGCAGTGTCCATGCTTTATTTTTTCTGCAGAGCACTAATTACCAACCAACTGCCCTCCTCCTGCCCACAACTAGAGATGCAAATGATTTCTATTTGGTAGAAAGATAACCCTAAAGGTTATAATTGTATTGCCTTAAGGACATTAGCCAGTTTTGTTTTATTTTATTTTATTGTTGAGACGGAGTCTCGCTCTGTCACCCAGGCTGTAGTGCAGTGGTGCAATCTCGGCTCACTGCAACCTCCGCTTCCTGGGTTCAAGCGATTCTCATGCCTCAGTCTCCCATGTTGCTGGGATTACAGATGCCCACCACTATGCCTAATTTTTGTGTTTTTGGTAGAGGTGGGGTTTCACCACGTTGGCCAGGCTGGTTTCAATCTCCTGACCTCAGATGATCCACCCGCCTCGGCTTCCCAAAGTTCTGGGATTACAGGTGTGAGCCACCATGCCCAGTCGCAACCGGTTTTACTTCAAACCTAGTAATTTTATTCTAACATTCTTTTAAAAATGTCTATAAATACTTAGGTCCTCCAAATACTTTTTGGACCAGCTTTACCATCTTACTTGTTTCATCATTAATGATTAATAAATCTCTGATATGTGTTCATTCCATCTTTGTTATGGGAGTTATGTTTTTTAACTTTTAAAAAAGTATGCATTGGCATCTAGAAGTTTTTCCCAGGGGCTAAAATCTGCTTTTGGATGAAATTCAGTACATCAGTAGTTTAGGACTTCGGGTGTTTGGGGGCGACCTGCACTAAGCCATGCAAGTGCGTGCGGAGCCTCTTGAGTTGTGGCTCCCGTTGGTGTACCCAGGGGGTCTGGAAATTCCAGGAAGCTTATGAGGACCTGGATCTGCTGGGCCCCAGGAACGGCCAGTACTTCCTCAGCAACCACTATGCGCCATGCACATTCTGAAAGCTTTCTATGTGTTAGCTTATCCTCACACGGTCTCCCTGAGATAAACACTAGTTTGCAGATGAGGAAACAAGCTCAGAGGGTTTAAGGAACTCTGAGGATCACAGTTTAAGCAAAAATTATAGAAGAAAGACCTAAATAAAGTGGTTCTATGTGCATCAAGGTGGTTAAATGGTTTTTTTCTCTAGTTCTGCAATTTCATCTAAGATCAAAGCCAAGAGGGGGAAGCTAAGGTATAGTCTATGGTAGGAGCAGCCTTGCCTGTGGGGGCAGACCACACCCACACAGGCAGATACCATCCATCAGGGGACTGTGGTCTCCTGTGGGACAGACAGACTTCCAGGGAGCTTGCTGAGAGGTGCCAGTTCAAAGACTAGACCCTCCCACCAGCTGTCTTCCCACCGTCATCCTGGTGATGTGAGAGGGGTGTTGTCATTGGCGGGGGATGGGTGCAGAATTCAGGAAAGGAGCTACTTACTCGCCACTCCACTCTGGGAGGCAAGGGAATATTGACCTCGTCAAGGGAGGCGAATCCCAAGAGCATCACTGTGAAGGCTGGGGGCCTGTGCCCTCCACTTGCCTCCCCACACACTGAACTGGGTGCTGGTAACGTCTTATCTACATGTGGCCGAGGGACCGGACCAGCAGAAGGTGTGGTGCTGTGGGTGGTGAGAGAGATAATAGGAAGCAATGGCTCTGGGATGGGCAGGGGAGAGACAGCCAGGGGTGCCCCTCCCTTCCTCTGAGGGTGAGGAGGATGGTTGCTGGATGCTTCAGGAGCTTGCTGGCTGGGGAGATGGTGGCTGCAGGCGGCTGGGGACACAACCTGTGTGGAAGAGGTGTGCACTTTAGAGGTGTGCACAGATTGGTACCAGTCTGTGGCCTGTTAGGAACTGTGCCACACAGCAGGAGGCGAGCAACAAGTGAACAAAGCTTCATGTGTATTTACAGCCGCTCGCCGTCGCTGGCTCACATTACCGCCTGAGCTCCGCCTCCTGTCAGATCTGCGGCAGCATTAGATTCTCATAGGAGTGTGAACCCTATCGTGAACTGTGCATGCGAGGGATCTAGGTTGCAGGCTCCTTATGAGAATCTAATGCCTGATGATCTGTCACTGTCTCCCATCAGCCCTAGAAGGGACCATTGAGTTGCAGGAAAACCAGTTCAGGGCTCCCACTGAATTATACAGTTCACCATAGAATTGTGAACTGTATAATTATACAATTCTATGGTGAATTGTATAATTATTTCATTATATAACAATCAGAGAAATAAAGTGCACAATAAATATAATGTGCTTGAATCATCCCCCTCCGTGGCACCCGGTCTCTGGAAAGACTGTCTTCCATGAAACTGGTCCCTGGTGCCAAAAAAGGTGGAGACTGCTGCTTTAGAGGACTGTGGCTAAGGGGTCAGCTGGAAGATGGGGCCCAGGGCTCAGGGACCCTGAATGCCCGGTTGCTGCCAATTGTTTGTCTTCATTGATCTCCTGGTCAGTGGACCAGATCAGCAGAATGAACCAGCAAGGCGAGGACTGTGACCTTCCCAAGGGCAACTCTTAATGTAGGGGAACCTCTGTGCACCTCCTACCCATGCCCCTTCCCATAAAGGGACTCAAAGAAGGAGACAGGGAGGGAGGGAGGGAGCTGAGAGCAAGTCCCGCTCTCCTAGGCCAGTGCTCAATTCCAGTCTGGGGATGGGGAAGTAGGGCAGACTGATTTGAATAAGAGATGTGGTTTGCAAATCAATGGAAGAAAACCAGGAAGGAAAACATTATAAGAACCAAAAGAGACCCAAAAGTCTAACGCTGAGTTCATCCGTGTGCGATGACAAGCCTGTCCCAGGTGGGTGCAGGTGGGAGTTGTTGGAAAGCTGAGCATAAGTGCTTGAACCCTCTGTGCCCGTTTCCTCCTGTATAAAATGGAGACAATGATAATACAGGAAAAGCTTCTACCTCTTAGAGGTGTTGTGGGGAGTTACCAAGTTCATCTCTGTAGGATGCTTGGCACATGGAAGTTACTATAAAGACTAGCTGCCATTCTTCAAATTGTGACTTCCCCAGACACCAGTTCAATGTGCTTTCTTCCCACTTGATTCAATGGCAGCCGTCTCGGTGGTGGGACACTCTGCTTGCTGTGAGGAGGATGGAGGAGAAGGGGCTCCTCGGGGCCAGGCCACAGGACCCTCAGGATAAGGCCCTGCCTCCATGTTCAGGGCTTTCAGCAGCTACAGACCTGACGGGGCTGCAAAAAGCTTTGCAGGGAAGATGGGGGAGGGGTGTATGCAAAGAAAAAGCTGACAAGCAGTCTGCTTTGGAACAGGGCTGGACACTCTGTGTTGGGGAGTCCAGGGCCCCCAGCATGCCCCCGGCAGCAGGGAGGGCATGCCTGGCAACCTTCAAAAAGTGAATTTCCAAAGAGCACCAGGAGGAAACCTTCCAGAACCTTCTCACAGAACCTTTGGATGGGCCTCTCAGGGCGCTGTTTTCCACCGTCCACTTAGATCTTAGTCCCTTACAAAAAGGTACCTCCCTTACGGGAGATGACTGAGGTGGGGGAGAATTAATTCCTGTTTTCCTGCCCTCATGGAGGATGTCAAGTAAGAAATCCGGAGAATTTCTCTTTCTCCAGTTCAGTGTGCTCAAAGGAGACCCACAGGACTGGAGGATCAACTGGGACAGGAGAACAGAGCCTTTCTTGTCTAAAACCAAGTCAGTTCCACAGAATAAAAGCTCATTTAGAGAACTCCTGGGCTCTGGGCGCCTATAGGGTGGGTAGGAGCTAGTCAGTCAGTCTGTTAGGGAAAAGACAAACTCATCACATGATCCCAAGCCTTCCCTGCAACAAGAAGACACTTGGCCAGGCCAAGAGGTGAAGTTCTTGTTTATTGTTGCAGCAACTCTTATACAGACATTAGCGTTCAGTTAAATAAAGGAAGATAGATAGCACAGTAAATACATCACAACCCCAAACTGGATGACTGTGGCCACGGGACGGAGGAGGGAGGGAGGGAGGGACCAGTGACCAGACTGTCAAGGAAGTACATTCAGTGGGTGTGCGGTGTCCACATTCCAGGCTCACGTGTAGATATATTTTATTTATATATTTATTTATATTTATATATAGATCATTGAGTTTTGTGTATACAAAGAACGATATTGTTACAAATACAATACTATACTTCTCCCGACACTTTACAATAAGCTCTATTTCACCCTCTTTACAGAACAATAGTACAAGTTCATACTCTAGGTGCTGTGCTAAGTATGTACAAGAAATGTCATTCCCACACAGTCCTCACACACTGCCTTGATGGAGGGGAAGAAAGATCGAGTTGTGTGCTCAAGTCAACCTAGGCCAGGGAAGGAGACACATGAAACTCAAACCAACAGGTGGCCTGTGAATGCGAGTAAACACATCTAAGGAGGGGCGGCCCCTGGTTGTAAACATTGGTAACGGCTACACCACTGGGTCGAGGGACCCGGGAAGGGCTCTGTAGATGGTTTTCATCTGTGTGCGGGAGGTGTTGGTGCCCACAGGGTGAGGGGGGCAGAGGAGCGATGGGGGAGGTAGTAGGTTACTCTGGGACTCCCTGAAGGCGGTGTTGATGGGCAATGTTCAGAAAGCAAACCCGTGCACAGGGACCCGGCACCCCTGCCATGCACTCCTAGGAGCCTGCTCTGGCGAGGGAAGGTGTCGCTGGAGAAGTGGGCTCCAGGCATTGGTCTTTGGGGGTTTCTTCCTCTCATGAACCCAAGGCTGATGGTGGCTCCCTGAAATGCTCACACTGGAGAAAAGGCAGGATGGGTTCTGGTGCCTCTGCCTGGACCAGGAGGGGGAGGTGAACGTGGGAGTCCAACCCCAAAGCTGAGCCACCAGCACACCCTGGTGGAGCAGCCACAGCAGCTCTGTGCCCTCACAGCGTTTGGGAAGGCTGCCCTGTACATAGCCTTCCCATTACATGGGGTATTTAGATATTTACATGTATAACTATATATACTGGGATGACAGAAGGGAAGACCACCACTTCTCTTGGGACTTTCAAAAAATCTAGCGACTTGCTTTTAAGACTGTGGCTGCTGAGGTGACCATACCTAGGCTCACTCCCTTGCCCCAGTGGTAGTGGGAAAAAGAACCCACTTCAGCTGGGTGGACCTGTACCGAGCTCCAGCAACTTCCACTCACTGGGTGTGAAGACACACCTGGATTAACACAAAAGAATGTGGCAGAGAAATCTTCTCACTCTAATGTTACAATGTCAGTCCTCTAGGAGAGCTTGCAGAATTGGCTTTTTCAGCACCTCTCAAAGTTTACAAGGTTTTTGTGCAATAGGAATAGAAAGTATATTCTCTCCTTTAGGTGAACATACATAACCGTTATGTGCAGGTTGTACAGGGATGCACTACTGGAGTTCTGTCCCCTGGCCAGTCGTGGGCGGGCCTCTGTGGCACTGCCCAGGTGCCTAGGGACAGACAGGCATGGGCCCCTACGATGATTTTCCAAGGCTCCTGATGCCTGAAATACCACCAGTAACACTTCATTCCTGTTCTATCCACTCTTATTGGCAGAGGAAAGATGAACTGGCTGATGACTCTTTAGTGTCTCACTGTATCACCAGATACTCTACAGCAAATGGAGAACCCTGGCCATGGTTCCTTCCTGGTCCTCACGTTTGTGATGGGTTGACCTTGAGGCTGGTCTCCCAGAAACATTCTGTAAAGCATCCTTCAAAGAAGTCCTGGGGAGCTTTACGGACCATCCCAGAGCCCCTGGCCCCACCGGGTGCCACTCTCTGCAGCAGCAGAAGTCCCTTTCCCCCCAGGGCACCTGGGCAGCCAGCGGCCTCCCTTCCTCAGGGCTCCTTTGTAACACAGTGAAACTGAGAGTGCCACTGCTCGTTCCTGTCAAGCACTGAGCTTCCCTGATTCTAAGCAGAAAACTCAGAAGATGCAGAGATCTCGGGGAATTGATCACAGAACTCTCTGGTTGAAGTCTCTTGTCCCTAATCTTGTTATAGTCACTTTGCTCCCTCCTTAGAATCCCTCCATTCTCTCTATAAATACATGCTACCCACCATTTGCTCACTGAGTTCCTATTTCCATAGACACAACATAAATATCTCGGATGCAGAGAACAGGGACTATATTAATTACAAAATATAATAGTTTCTCTTCCCCTGTCTCTACTGAGGTCATGAATGAAACAAAACAAAAGCAAAGCCAAATCACACCTCACATGAACACAAAATGCTCTTTGGACCAAGTGAAAACTGGCTCAGAATTATAATATTACTAAAACATCTACACTGAACTGAGACGGAAGCATAAATATGAGGCACCTGATGAAAACACGGAACAATTCCACACCAGCCAAAAATGCTCTCAGGCCCACAAGGCAGCAAGAGGGTGTTTATGGACCACATCTGGGGATTCTGAGGCATAACTTGAGGTTGCTATTGTCTCCTTAATTTTGTGGTTTATGTACTATTCTGGCCTTTCCAATATCACATCCGCCTAGTGGCCCTGAGCAGAGAAGAAAGTTGGTCTTGCCTTGGGCCAGAAAACAAGACGCAATTGCACCTGCAGCTTGCCTTCTTGGGAACAGTCCCTCCTTCCCAGACTCCTGGGATGTGTGTTCGGCAGGGAGGGGAGTCCAGGAGGAGGATGCTTTAAGCCAAAGTGGTGCTGGAGGGGCTGGGCCTCAGCGCAGAGAGGGCAGGTCTCTCAGGATGAGGCTGAGCAGCCCCCGCCTGCCTGGCCACCTGCCAGGGAAGGGGCCTTCCAGAGAGGTGGGTTTCCAGGGGATCTGTGTGCCTAATCTTCAGCTTGTCTCACTGGTGGTGGGAGCAGGGAAGGGTGATATGCAAATGGGACTGTGTGTGTGTGTGTGTGTGTGAGAGAGAGAGAAGCAGACAGTACCTGCCTGTGTTTATCTAATGGTTGATAACTTGAGGACAACCTGGTAAAGCTTCAGATGCCCCATGAATTGCCAAGCTCTCTGTGACACTATGGTGTCCTTGCCCAAGGCAGTTATTTCCCCTTTTATCCTGGGGTGAGAAGGCTCGTATTAGAAAACACACATACGTTGAAATTAGAACTAGCAATAGAAGAGGTTTAAGGTTGGCTCAGAGATTCTGGGAAGAAATAATGTATGGTGCCCCAACTACATGGCAGGCAGTGCATAACCTTAATGACGTGGGCTGGCCCTGGGTACTACCACATTCCCACAGATAAACTCAGAGAGCAGGGATCAGCAACTGGGTTTTAGGCACTGCTGAATCAGCTGCTTTGCTGCCCCGCGAGCTCCTTTTAAGAAGTCTGCACCTCCTGGGAAGGGAGGATTCTCCCTCAAGCAGTGACAGCCCACCCCCTGGACACACCCAGAAAGCCCTCCAGGATGGTCCTGGGTCAGTACCAGGTGGGTGCTGGCTGCTCTCCATCCTCAAGGGAGTGCATACGAAACTTCCCTGGTATTGAAAAAAAAAAAAAAAAAAAAGCAAATCGGAGAGAGTAAAGAGGTCCTTGTGGATTCTTCTCTTCCTGTGTAAAACCAAATGCTGGGCGCGAGAGGGGAAAGTCTCAGTGGACACAGGGATGCAGCACGAGAAACACAACCACGAAGAGGAGAGTCCTCCATGCATGCCACCGCGTGTGGCCGCGGTCAGATGTAAACAGGCTGCTCCTGGGCCGTCAGCAGCCTGTACATCGCGGCTGGCATTGTCTTCATATGAATCTGAGGGTAAAGAACACACTTTAGTGGGGGGCTGAGGCTGGGGGCTGGCTGCGTGGGCACTGCCCAGGGCTGGCCAGAGAGGCAGTGCCTCTCCCACAGAGGGCTTTGAAGATACTCCCTACCGCCCAGCCACCACCAGGGACCTGACCCAGGGTGGCCTCCAGGAACAGTGGAATCCACTGACTTTCTCAAAAGCTTAGGGGTGACAGAAATGAACAACAAAAACCAAGCAAGGCTTATTTCTCAGTCAAATGCTCTCGCTCTCACCAGACCCTACCCTTTTAAAAGCAAGAACTCTGAAAATGGAGGAAGGGCTCCAGGCTTCTCAGGGTGCCTGCCTCCCTCATCTCTCTTGGCAGATGAGGCAAGGATGACAAATCAGCCCTAGAACAGCAGTGATGATTGATAGCAGTGATGAATGACAGCAGTGATGACTGACAGCAATGAATGACAGCAGTGTTGACTGACAGCAGTGATAAATCAATGACAGCAGTGATGACTGACAGCAGTGGTAACTGACAGCAGTGTTGACTGACAGCAGTGATAAATGAATGACAGCAGTGTTGACTGACAGCAGTGATAAATGAATGACAGCAGTGATGACTGACAGCAGTGATGAATGACAGCAGTGATGACTGACAGTAGTGATGACTGATAGGAGTGATGAATGGCAACAATGATGACTGACTGACAGCTGTGATGACTGACAGTAATGACACGTCATGCCACACTGCACTGGGGTCACACCTCTGGAAGGCCACTTTGTTGATTCAACTTGAGTCTAAGACTTAAATCTTTTAAAAACATTTGGGGAGATTAACTGGGGAAAATGGAGGCAACTTAGGCGGCCATACAGAAAAGCAACAGAAAGCTGAGTGTTAAAAAGAGAAGGTGAGCACATCAGATGAAAGAGAAGGCTGAGGGTGATCTGATTCCATTTCATGGAGGAGCTCCCAGATAACTGCTTGCTAATGGGTTTGGCATTTGGTCAGAGACAGGTCTGCTTGTTGGGGAGTGTTCAGGATTGGAAACTCAGGGAGCTTTCCTGGAAGGTCTGCTCAGGGCCACGGTGAGCATACGAGGCAGGGGCACCAGACGCGGCCCTCAGCACCACCCTCAGCCCCGGACCTCTCCTACCTCCCCAACAGCATTGGAGAGAATGTGGACGATCTTCTCGTGGGGGGTGGCCACGACGCTCTGTCCATTGATTTCAATGATCCGGTGCCCCACACGGACGCCTCCTCTCTCAGCTATTCCCCCTCGCATGAGGCTGCAGATCTGCCAGAGTCAAAGGCAGAGTTACCCTCATTGCAGACAGTGCGGTGGGGCTGGAAGGCCGTCTTTCCTGAAAGCCCCCTGCCCCTACACTCTGCTCTTGGAGAAACTGACATGGTTAGGCTTTGGGCATTTAACTCTCTTAGTGTCTTTTCACAAAAAAATAGGTGCCGTCGGCCCACATGGCCACCTTGTTCATGCGGCTTGCACAGAGACTGTAGCACATCACTGGTTTTTACGGCACACTGAATTCTACTTCTCATCCCAGCTGGGGCTGGGTAAAAAGGGCCATTTGGGTCTGTCGCAGAGTCGCCAGTGTTTCCAAACTGTCAGCCTGTGTGACACAGGTTAGTGTTAGTTCCCGTAGTCATGACTGGGACTCAAGCACTGAAGCGTTTAATGCCAGCAGACTGTTTTTAGGGTCACGATTGCCTGAGCCACCATGGGGCTGGAACTCCACTCCGTGTTCCAAAGTGTGGCTGGCTGGAGGGGAGAGACTCCTTCAGAGTTTCCCAATTCAGCGGCCCCTGTTCAAACTCCCTTCCCACAGAAAAGACAGTGAGGCTGGATTTTGTGATGGCACAGCCAGGTACCACAGTGACCCGAGGTTGCAGGCGGGGCTGATGCGCCCTCCACCCTTACCTCACACACACTACAACATAACTTTTCCCAAAAGAGTAGGTCTGAATTTACTAAGTTGGCTTTTCATTCCAGACCATGCACCTTTATTTAAAAGTGGATGCAGACAAGATTGCAAGTGACATCTTGCAGCAACATGCTGTGTGATTCTGAGTGTGTGGCCCAGCTGCTCTCTCAGCTAGTCTGGGGTCAAAACATTCCTTAGGTGTTTTCCCAGTGGACCCACACATGTTAACAACTCCTTGTTCGTATCTGAACTTTTAATGCAGTTTAACTATGAACAAAGCAAACAAGTACAAGTACAAACCAATGAAAAGATGATCTCAGAGCTAAACTGTAAAGAGTCACCCTAGATCCTCTCCTAATAGGCAAATTAGGCTACTCAGGTACAAAGAATGCAGGAAGTGGGGCTGGATATTTCAACTCCAAATGGGAAGTTCAAGGGTATTTCTAAACCTTCAAATGTATTTGGAATGATATTTTAATTACCTAGGACTTTTTTTTTTTTTTTTTTTTTAAGACAGAGTCTTGCTCTGTCACCTAGGCTGGAGTGCAGTGGCATAATCTCTGCTCACTGCAACCTTTGCCTCCCGGGTTCAGGTGATCCTCCTGCCTCACCCTCCTGAGTAGCTGGGATTACAGGTGCCCGCCACCACACCTGGCTACTTTTTGTATTTTTAGCAGAGACTGGGCTTTGCCATGTTGGCCAAGCTGGTCTCAAACTCCTGGCCTCAAGTGATCTGCCTGGCTTCGCCGGAAGGCCAAGGTTTGAAGGATCACTCAAATACCAAACTGTTCGAGTCCCAATTGTGACTGTGGGAACTGAGCCGGCCCCTGCACTGTACAGCCCCAGGCTTGGGAGTCAGCTGCTCTGCGGGACTCTGTGCAGCCAGGGTGGACAGTCCAGAGGCAAGGAGGCTCTTGGAGGGTGCATCCCAAACTCTCAAGCTGGCAGCCGGGAAGGCAGTCCTGCATGTCACAGAAACACTGGGTTCTGGGTGGGAATCTCTGCTGAAGGGACTCTGTCCAGAGAGGGAGCTGAGCCTCCTTCATCCACTCATACTCTTTCTTGATGGATTCCTTCAGGGAACAAACTGGCTTAAAACAAAAAAAAAAAAGTCAAAGGCCCTGGGAGCCTGGGATACCAGCACTTTGGGAGGCAGAGGCAGGTGGATCACAAGGTCAGGAGTTCAAGACCGGCCTGGCCAGTATGGTGAAACCATGCCTCTACTAAAAATACAAAAATTAGCCGGGCGTGGTGGCACGTGCCTGTAGTCCCAGCTACTCAGGAGGCTGAGGCAGGAGAATCCCTTGAACCCAGGAGGTGGAGGTTGCAGTGAGCCGAGATCGTGCCACTGTACTCCATCTTGGATGACAGAGCGAGACTCCATCTCAATTTAAAAAAAAAAAAAAAGGCCATGCTACATTTTTTTAAAGCATTCCAACAGATGTTTATTATTACTAAAATGTCCACTTTAACGTTTTTATTATTATTAGTATACTTTAAGTTTTAGGGTACATGGGCACAACGTGCAGGTTTGTTACATATGTATACATGTGCCATGTTGGTGTGCTACACCCATTAACTCGTCATTTAGCATTAGGTATATCTCCTAATGCTATCCCTCCCCCCTCCCCCCACCCCACAACAGTCCCCAGTGTGTGATGTTCCCCTTCCTGTGTCCATGTGTTCTCATTGTTCAATTCCCACCTATGAGTGAGAACATGCAGTGTTGGTTTTTTGTCCTTGCCATAGTTTTCTGAGAATGATGGTTTCTAGCTTCATCCATGTCCCTACAAAGGACATGAACTCATCCTTTTTTATGGCTGCATAGTATTCCATGGTGTATATGTGCCACATTTTCTTAATCTAGTCTATCATTGTTGGACATTTGGGTTGGTTCCAAGTCTTTGCTATTGTGAATAGTGCCACAATAAACATACGTGTGCATGTGTCTTTGCAGCAGCATGATTTATAGTCCTTTGGGTGTATACCCAGTAATGGGATGGCTGGGTCAAATGGTATTTCTAGTTCTAGATCCCTGAGGAATCGCCACACTGACTTCCACAATGGTTGAACTAGTTTACAGTCCCACCAACAGTGTAAAAGTGTTCGTATTTCTCCACATCCTCTCCAGCACCTGTTGTTTCCTGACTTTTTAATGATCGCCATTCTAACTGGTGTGAGATGGTATCTCATTGTGGTTTTGATTTGCATTTCTCTGATGGCCAGTGATGATGAGCATTTTTTCATGTGTCTTTTGGCTGCATAAATGTCATCTTTTGAGAAGTGTTTGTTCATATCCTTCACCCACTTTTTGATGGGGTTGTTTTTTTCTTGTAAATTTGTTTGAGTTCATTGTAGATTCTGGATATTAGCCCTTTGTCAGATGAGCAGGTTGTAAAAATTTTCTCCCTTTCTGTAGGTTGCCTGTTCACTCCGATGGTAGTTTCTTTTGCTGTGCAGAAGCTCTTGAGTTTAATTAGATCCCATTTGTCAATTATGGCTTTTGTTGCCATTGCTTTTGGTGTTTTAGACATGAAGTACTTGCCCATGCCTATGTCCTGAATGGTATTGCCTAGGGTTTTTATGGTTTTAGGTCTAACATGTAGGTCTTTAATCCATCTTGAATTAATTTTTTATAAGGTGTAAGGAAGGGACCCAATTTCAGCTTTCTACATATGGCTAGCCAGTTTTCCCAGCACCATTTATTAAATAGGGAATCCTTTCCCCCATTGCTTGTTTTTCTCAGGTTTGTCAAAGATCAGACAGTTGTAGATATGTGGCATTATTTCTGAGGGCTCTGTTCTGTTCCATTGGTCTATATCTCTGTTTGGTACCAGTACCATGCTGTTTTGGTTACTATAGCCTTGTAGTATAGTTTGAAGTCAGGTAGCGTGATGCCTCCAGCTTTGTTCTTTTAGCTTAGGATTGACTTGGCAATGTGGGCTCTTTTTTGGTTCCATATGAATTTTAAAGTAGTTTTTTCCAATTCTGTGAAGAAAGTCATTGGTAGCTTGATGGGGATGGCATTGAATCTATAAATTACCTTGGGCAGTATGGCCATTTTCATGATATTGATTCTTCCTACCCATGAGCATGGAATGTTCTTCCATTTCTTTGTATCCTCCTTTATTTCCTTGAGCAGTGGTTTGTAGTTCTCCTTGAAGAGGTCCTTCACATCCCTTGTAAGTTGGATTCCTAGGTATTGTATTCTCTTTGAAGCAATTGTGAATGGGAGTTCACTCATGATTTGGCTCTCTGTTTGTTGTTGGTGTA
This sequence comes from Homo sapiens, assembly GCF_000001405.40. NCBI lineage: Eukaryota > Metazoa > Chordata > Mammalia > Primates > Hominidae > Homo > Homo sapiens. The sequence continues at coordinate 69,436,593 of NC_000009.12, forward strand.
TAAGAATGCTTGTGATTTTTGCACATTGATTTTGTATCCTGAGACTTTGCTGAAGTTGCTTATCAGCTTAAGGAGATTTTGGGCTGAGACAGTGGGGTTTTCTAGATATACAATCATGTCATCTGCAAACAGGGATAATTTGACTTCCTCTTTTCCTAATTGAATGCCCTTTATTTCCTTCTCCTGCCTAATTGCCCTGGCCAGAACTTCCAAAACTATGTTGAATAGGAGTGGTGAGAGAGGGCATCCCTGTCTTGTGCCAGTTTTCAAAGGGAATGCTTCCAGTTTTTGTCCATTCGGTATGATATTGGCTGTGGGTTTGTCATAGATAGCTCTTATTATTTTGAGATACATCCCATCAATACCTAATTTATTGAGAGTTTTTTAGCATGAAGCGTTGTTGAATTTTGTCAAAGGCCTTTTCTGCATCTATTGAGATAATCATATGGTTTTTGTCTTTGGTTCTGTTTATATGATGGATTATGTTAATTGATTTTTGTATGTTGAACCAGCCTTGCATCCCAGGGATGAAGCCCACTTGATCATGGTGGATAAGCTTTTTGATGTGTTGCTGGATTCAGTTTGCCAGTATTTTATTGAGGATTTTTGCATCAATGTTCATCAACGATATTGGTCTAAAATTATCTTTTTTGGTTGTGTCTCTGCCCGGCTTTGGTATCAGAATGATGCTGGCCTCATAAAATGAGTTAGGGAGGATTCCCTCTTTTTCTATTGATTGGAATAGTTTCAGAAGGAATGCTACCAGCTCCTCCTTGTACCTCTGGTAGAATTCGGCTGTGAATCCATCTGGTCCTGGACTCTTTTTGGTTGGTAAGCTATTAATTATTGGCTCAATTTCAGAGCCTGTTATTGGTCTATTCAGAGATTCAACTTCTTCCTGGTTTAGTCTTGGGAGGGTGTATGTGTTGAGGAATTTATCCATTTCTTCTAGATTTTCTAGTTTATTTGAGTAGAGGTGTTTATAGTATTCTCTGATGGTAGTTTGTATTTCTGTGGGATCATTGGTGATATCCCCTTTGTCATTTTTTATTGCGTCTATTTGATTCTTCTCTCTTTTCTTCTTTATTAGTCTTGCTAGCGGTCTATCAATTTTGTTGATCTTTTCAAAAAACCAGCTCCTGGATTCATTGATTTTTTGAAGGGTTTTTTGTGTCTCTATTTCCTTCAGTTCTGCTCTGATCTGAGTTATTTCTTGCCTTCTGCTAGCTTTTGAATGTGTTTGCTCTTGCTTCTCTAGTTCTTTCAATTGTGATGTTAGGGTGTCAATTTTAGATCTTTCCTGCTTTCTCTTGTGGGCATTTAGTGCTATAAATTTCCCTCTACACACTGCTTTGAATGTGTCCCAGAGATTCTGGTATGTTGTGTCTTTGTTCTCGTTGGTTTCAAAGAACATCTTTATTTCTGCCTTCATTTCGTTATGTACCCAGTAGTCATTCAGGAGCAGGTTGTTCAGTTTCCATGTAGTTGAGTGGTTTTGAGTGAGTTTCTTAATCCTGAGTTCTAGTTTGATTGCACTGTGGTCTGAGAGACAGTTTGTTATAATTTCTGTTCTTTTACATTTGCTGAGGAGTGCTTTACTTCCAACTATGTGGTCAATTTTGGAATAGGTGTGGGGTGGTGCTGAAAAGAATGTATATTCTGTTGATTTGGGGTGGAGAGTTCTGTAGATGTCTGTTAGGTCCGCTTTGTGCAGAGCTGAGTTCAATTCCTGGATATCCTTGTTAACTTTCTGTCTCATTGATCTGTGTAATGTTGACAATGGGGTGTTAAAATCTCCCATTATTATTGTGTGTGAGTCTAAGTCTCTTTGTAGGTCACTAAGGACTTGCTTTATGAATCTGGGTGCTCCTGTATTGGGTGCATGTATATTTAGGAGTGTTAGTTCTTCTTGTTGAATTGATCCCTTTACCATTATGTAATGGCCTTCTTTGTCTCTTTTGATCTTTGTTGGTTTAAAGTCTGTTTTATCCGATACTAGGATTGAAACCCCTGCCTTTTTTTGTTTTCCGTTTGCTTGGTAGATCTTCCTCCATCCCTTTATTTTGAGCCTATGTGTGTCTCTGCACATGAGATTGGTTTCCTGAATACAGCACATGGATGGGTCTTGACTCTTTATCCAATTTGCCAGTCTGTGCCTTTTAATTGGAGCATTTAGCCCATTTACATTTAAGGTTAGTATTGTTATGTGTGAATTTGATCCTGTCATTATGATGTTAGCTGGTTATTTTGCTCGTTAGTTGATGCAGTTTTTTCCTAGCCTCGATGGTCTTTACAATTTGGCATGTTTTTGCAGTGGCTGTTACTGGTTATTCCTTTCCATGTTTAGTGCTTCCTTCAGGAGCTGTTTTACAGCAGGTCTGGTGGTGACAAAAATCTCTCAGCATTTGCTTGTCTGTAATGTACTTTATTTCTCCTTCACTTATGAAGTTTAGTTTGGCTGGATATGAAATTCTGGCTTGAAAATTCTTTTCTTTAAGAATGTTGAATATTGGCCCCACTCTCTTCTGGCTTGTAGAGTTTCTGCCAAGAGATCCGCTGTTAGTCTGATGGGCTTCCCTTTGTGGGTAACCTGACCTTTCTCTCTGGCTGCCCTTAACGTTTTTTCCTTCATTTCAACTTTGGTGAATCTGACAATTATGTGTCTTGGAGTTCTCTTCTCGAGGAGTATCTTTGTGGCGTTCTCTGTATTTCCTGAATTTGAATGTTGGTCTGCCTTGCTAGATTGGGGAAATTCTCCTGGATAATATCCTGCAGAGTGTTTTCCAACTTGGTTCCATTCTCCCCGTCACTTTCAGGTACACCAATCAGACGTAGATTTGGTCTTTTCACATAGTCCCATATTTCTTGGAGGCTTTGTTCCTATCTATCTATCTTTTTATTCTTTTTTCTCTAAAATCCTCTTTATGCTTCATTTCATTCATTTCATCTTCCATTGCTGATACCCTTTCTTCCAGTTGATCACATCGGTTACTGAGGCTTGTGCATTTGTCACATTCTTGTAGTGTGGTTTTCAGCTCCATCAGGTCCTTTAAGGACTTCTCTGCATTGGTTATTCTAGTTATCCATTCGTCTAATTTTTTTTCAAAGTTTTTCACTTCTTTGCCATTGGTTTGAACTTCCTCCTTTAGCTCAGAGTAGTTTGATCTTCTGAAGCCTTCTTCTCTCAACTCGTCAAAGTCATTCTCCATCCAGCTTTGTTCCGTTGCTGGTAAGGAGCTGTGTTCCTTTGCAGGAGGAGAGGTGCTCTGGTTTGTAGAGTTTCTGGTTTTTCTGCTCTGTTTTTTCCCCATCTTTGTGGTTTTATCTACCTTTGGTCTTTGATGATGCTGACGTACAGATGGGTTTTTGGTTTGGATGTCCTTTCTGTTTGTTAGTTTTCCTTCTAACAGTCAGGACCCTCAGCTGCAGGTCTGTTGGAGTTTACTGGAGGTCCACTCCAGACCCTGTTTGCCTGGGTATCAGCAGCAGTGGCTGCAGAACAGCGGATATTGGTGAACCGCAAATGCTGCTGCCTGATCGTTCCTCTGGAAGTTTTGTCTCAGAGGAGTACCCGGCTGTGTGAGGTGTCAGTCTGCTCCTACTGGGGGGTGCCTCCCAGTTAGGCTACTCAGGGGTCAGGGACACACTTCAGGAGGCAGTCTGCCCATTCTCAGATCTCAAGCTGTGTGCTGGGAGAACCACTACTCTCTTCAAAGCTGTCAGACAGGGACATTTAAGTCTGTAGAGGTTACTGCTGCCTTTTGTTTGTCTGTGCCCTGCCCCCAGAGGTGGAGCCTACAGAGGCAGGCAGGCCTCCTTGAGCTGTAGTGGGCTCCACCCCGTTCGAGCTTCCCCGCTGCTTTGTTTACCTACTCAAGCCTGGGCAATGGTGGGTGCCCCTCCCCCAGCCTCGCTGCCACCTTGCAGTTTGATCTCAGACTGCTGTGCTAGCAATGAGTGAGGCTCCATGGGCGTAGGACCCTCCGAGCCAGGTGTGGGGTATAATCTCCTGGTGTGCCGTTTGTTATGCCCATTGGAAAAGTGCAGTATTAGGGTGGGAGTGACCCGATTTTCCAGGTGCTGTCTGTCACCCCTTTCTTTGACTAGGAAAGGGAATTCCCTGACCCCTTGCGCTTCCCGGGTGAGGCGATGCCTTGTCCTGCTTCAGCTCTTGCACAGTGCGCTGCACCCACTGTCCTGCACCCACTGACCGGCACTCCCCAGTGAGATGAACCTGGTACCTCAGTTGGAAATGCAGAAATTACCCGTCTTCTGCATCACTCACGCTGGGAGTTGTAGACTGGAGCTGTTCCTATTTAGCCATCTTGGCTCCACCCCCCCAGCCATGCTACATTTTTATTTGTCAACATTGTGGAAAAGGGTGTGGAAGGTGTTCTACTTACAATTCCATTCTGGACGCTGAAACCGAGCTGGTAGCGAAGGTCTGGTCTTCTGATTAACACGGTGGTCACCGGAGGACATCTCACGATATTCAGCTTGACTCGGGACTGATTCTTTAAGCCCTTAAACATGAATAAAGTACAGTGGGTATGGTGACCACTGAGGCAGACAGAATAAACAAAAGCAGGCAGCACCAAAGGCAAAAGAAGCTGCACTGAGTCTTCCGAAGGACCCACTGCCTGCTTGCCTGCAGGCCTCTGGTGCCTGGGCTGGTACAGTCACTGCTCGGCTTCACCTACCCAGGGCTAAGACGCCACATGTTGCAGATGGAGCCCTCTTAGCCCACGCACAGATGGGGTTCCTGTGGGCAATGCCTTCCTTTTGGGAAGTGGGCTGGGTTCAAGGGATCTGATCAAAGTACTTGTGCAACTATGAGGAAGTATCAGATGTCCTTTTTGGCTTCAAAGATGAAGGAGGCACACTATTTCCCCCAGCCAGGAGCAACATGAGTGGGAAATGGACTTTTCTTCTGAAAGGCAAACTCTAGCAATGACTCCTCTTCTAACAAAGGACATCTAACTCACAGCAACTGGCCTGATTCATCATGGCTCTTTTCTCTTGTCTCTGATGCTCCTCTTTCCCCTTCTTTCTGCCAGTTAGAGATTTTATAGCTGTCAACATTCCCACAGCAACCAGGGACTCCAATCAGTGTGTGCCTCCTTGGGAGAATGGGGAGGGTTGTAGGATGGGTGTTGATGGAGAAGGAAGAGGAAGAAATACGACTTGCAGACTGTTGTTTCATGATCCCTGATGACACACCTCTCCCTCTAAATTAAAATGGAGCGTAGAGGGAAAGCTGATCTTCGACTATAAAAAGGAACTAGTTTCAGAGACTATGTAGAAAGCTTCCACCTCTGTGTGGTCTGAGCTGAGCTCAGGCTCCTGCTCCTGTCCCCTGATCAGACTCACAGCAGTGACAGAAGCCCTGGTGTGCTCAGAAGCATCTTTAGAAAACCATCACAAGGCTACACTTGCCCTCTGCTGGGTGGTGGGAAGGTTTGCTCCTGCAGGCCTGACCACTGACTTGTCAGCTTCACCCTAGAGGAGGGTGCCAGGCAAAAGGAACTCAGCCCTGAAACAAATGTCCACTTCCAGTCTCCCCAGGGTGCCTGCTGTGCCTCAACAAACTCCTCATTGCCACATGGAGGAGAAGGAATGGCTGATAGCAGGTGCCTTCCCACCCCTTTCAAGTCATGGTATGCAGGAGGATCATGTTTGCATGCTGGGGTAAACAGACCACACTGTTGTAGCTGCAGGCCCTGCAGCCCCTGGCCCTGCTATAAGAGCTGAGGCAGCGGGGGTCATAGCCCTCAGTGGGAAGCACCTGCCCAACTGGACTCCCATCTATAAGGCCAGCTGCCTGGGAAACCGCTCAAGTTCAGCCCCAGGCCCACTACTCCAAAGGGAACTGTGGGGTGGGTGGGAGGAGAGGTGGGTAACTTTTCCTGCAGGAGAGAACAGCTACCAGGGAATGAGGAGGGACTCAGGGAAAAGGCAAGCTCTGTTCTATCCAAGCCCACAGTATCGCTCAGAGACAGCACCTGCTCAGTTCACAAGTGAGTGGGTCCAGTTTGCGCCCTCTACGAGTGAAGTGGAAAGAGGACCTGTAAAGAACAGTGACAAATCCAAGAAAAGCATGCATGAAGGGTGATCGTCTGCCTCTTATTCTATAAATAGAATTCTGTAAATTCCACAGCCACTACTGCTGTCACTCCTTGACCAGTCTACCAAATCTTTTTCAGTGCGAGGTCAGGACTTACATTTCACATTTTAAAGATGAAGACATAGACACAGATTGCTTTGTCCAAGGGCTCTGTGGGGTCAGGACTGGAACTATGGATCCCTGCTCAGGTACCCTGCCTGGCAGAGGCGTGAAACTGGTGTTAGACAACTTCACTGCAAACAGAATCTGTAGCAAGAGTGCTTCTTGGAGTGGCAGAAATGACCTATACCCCTTTTGTATCTGAGTTACAGGATATGCTTTAGATTGAGGGAGAGGTAGGGGCTATTTTGCCTCTGGTTATCCAGCTTTACTATGCTTGGCCAGCAGGTGTACACCAATGGCTCTTAAACCCCACACAGCAGCAGCAGCAGCCCCTGGCCACTTTTTAGAAGTGCAGATTCTGGGCTCTACCCAAGCCCCACTGAATCAGAAAACCTAGGGGTGGGACCCAGGAATCTGTGGATGACAAATCTCCCAGATGATTCAGGTGCACGCTCAATTTTGCGAACAACTGTTGTGGACTACTACTGCAGAACAATGAATGACCTCATCTGCATCCAGGTGGCTTAATTTCTCCATGGATGATTACACCCAAAGATGTCAATTTACTAGTCACACCTGCAGCCAGTGTGCTCAGTGAGAGCAGGCGCTGGCAAGGGTGGGGTGAGGGTGACATCTTGTGGGAAATTTTGTTTGCCCAGTCACTATACAGCTGACCCCTGTTCAGCCATCTGCATGTCTATGTCATGCAGGAACACCCCTAAGATCACTGCTGCATCAAAACCCACCCTGATGATGAAACTAATTGAACCAAAATGACTGTAACTACCTGTCATTGAACACTCACTGTTATCTGGCATTAACCTGGAAAGGACAGGAGCTGTCTCATTTAATGTGGCTGTAATTATTTCTATATTATAGAAGAGGAAACTGAGGCTCAGAGATTTTAAATGACTCACTCACATTCACACACAGCAAGATTCAATCCTATGTCTGTCCGCATTCAAAACGCACAGTATTTCTACACCATAATGCCCCATATACACAACCAGAGAGGGTGTGTCTTTTGTGAATAAGGCTTGCTCCACAAAGACAACAGGGTCAGCCACAGAACAAATCTGTGTCCCCAAATTCCAGCCTTGAATTGGGGCCATCTTTTTAGTTCATTTTCCTACGTGGCAAGAGTTTTTCGGGGTTCCTGGTCCTCATAATCCCCCACCCCCTGGCTTCCCCACTGACTTCTGCTTCTAGTTTGTGCTCCTAATGTGTGAATTTTGATGGAACTCAATTTCCCCGCCGTCAGCATCTGCTCCCCCCGTGCTCTGAATTCCTCTGCTTTCTGCAGGACTTGAGCCTCCCCATGGCTGTCACTCAGCTTGTGGCCTCGATGTACCATGCGACTTAGCATTCACATTCATGTGGCATCTCCTGGTGGTTTTGGAACATCTCCAGGGAACTGCTCTGGTTAAGGAAATGATTCCAAAGCACAGCAATGGAATGAGTGTGATTCTCCCTGGGGAAATGAACATCTGTGAAGGATCCAGGCCTTCCATATGCGGCAGATCCCATCGTCCCCATCGACAAAGGGAGATGCTCTGGCCTTCTGCTCCTATCAATAGGACCAGCACAGCCTGGTGAAGAGGACTCTTGTGGTGTCAGAAAACCTGAACTCAAGTTTTGTTTCTGCTACCCCAAGCAGTGGGATCTGAAGCCCTTTGCTGGCCCTTCTCCCACCTCAATTTCCTCATCTTCACAACAAATGGTGAAGCTCACTAATGTCTCTGGCAGTCCTAATTTCAATGATTGCACCCCCTTTAATGTGTTTATTCCTAAATGTCTTTGCCTTTAACACCAAATCTCAACCATTATGCTTAAACCTATTCCTAAAATTTAAAGTGGGCTTCTTTTGTGGGGCTAGGAGGTACGGTGGAGAGCAGCTCAGACATTCATGCAGATATTTTTATCTGCTTTGAGTGCTTCCTCCTTTCCATCCACCTAATCAATAAATATTTACGAATCACTTGTCATGTGCCAAGAAATGTGTTAGGCACTGGAGATTCAGGGAAGCGCACCCTCTCCGGGGCTGGATAAGAGACATTATCAGTACTAAGCACAGGGCTCTGAGCCCAGAGGGGGCTGGAGTCCCTTCACCCTTTTCTCTCTAATCACACACCAGGAGACCAGGAATTTGTGGGAAAGAAGAGAGATGAATGATGAAGACAGGAGCATGTTGTTGGAATCTCAACCCTTCAGGCAAAGCCACCTGCTTTAAATGTTTACGCCTATTAACCACTGAGATTATTTAGGTATGCTTGTGTGATACAGAAAATGTTACCCAACATACCGAAAAGCAAGAGAATGACTCTATTTTCTCAATGTTGCCTAAAAAATTCATATTGCTCTGGTGGGTTCTTTCCGGTTCTTTCCTTCTCTGTGAATTGATTTGGGATGCCTGATCTGTCCCTCAGTGAAAAATTTTCTAGATTGGGGAAAATGTGTTGCAAGATGAAGCTTAGAGAAATAGCAATTTGAAATAACGAGACCATGCATTTGCTCTGCTGTTCCTAATCAATGTTTCATGTTGGGTCCCATTAACTTGGATTTCTGAGCTGCCATTTTATTGGAGGTGCCAATTAAATAAAGGGTCATTTGGTCCCCATGACAACAGTGGAACGGTACAGCAAATTAAGAAATCTGGTGGGAGGGGAAGCCCAGAGAAGAGGGGCGAAGAGAGAAAAGAGAAGCCAGAATGGTCTCTATAGCAACGGGAGAGCAGAACCATGATGCTCCTGGGGAAGCAAGGGAAGCTGTGCGCTATTCTAAAACAGAGCAAAAACCCAGAGGGCAGGACCACAGAGGCAAAGGCACAGAAAGAGGCAGCCTGTAAAATGTTCCACCCACCAATAATTATGCCTTGGGAATTAATTATGACCCAAAAAATAAGGTAGGAAGAGTAAGGCAAGTCAATACCTATAATTCTACTCTAGAAATTGATTTCCTGTAACCTGGGGGGACAATAGTCAACCAGTATTGAAGTGGCCAGATGCAGAATGCACACTTTGGATCCCTGTTCCTGAAAGTGTAGCCTGCAGACTGGTGATGCCATCCCCGCCGCAAAGCCTGCCAAAAATGCAGAATTCCACCCTATACCTGCTGAATCAGACCTGCATTCTAACAAGATCCCCAGGTGATTCCAATCAGTTTGAGAAGCACTGATTCATCAGGATGAGAGTTGCTTGTCAAAGTCACTGCAAAGAGCATGGACATACACTGAAACAAATTTGAACACAGCCTTGAAGTGGTCCAGATGCTGCTCTGCAGTGGCCCGAGGGGTGGGGGTAGGGCAGTGTGCACATCTGTCCAGGTGCAGGCAAAAAGGGGTGTGTTTTCTAGAGAATTTTAAAAAGGTGATACGACCCACTGATGTCAGTCTGTATTTGGTACTGGTGATTCTGGCTGTTATCAGTGGTTACACCTCCCACCAGCCAGGGTGGTCCACGGACGGACCATCACATTTCCCCATTCAACAAGCGGCGCACTGTGGCAGGGAGGAAGTTCAGCTGTGCTCTAATCGGGGTCTGCCCTGCTAAGTACTTCTTCACTATGGGTGGCCACGAAAGCACTGCTTTTCTTTTCTTACTCTTCATCTTCATCAGTTACATCTCTTTTATCACCACTCGGCCTTTTAATTTTCTGGTTCTATAGAGATTACATTTATAGACATCAAAGTTCAGCTCCTCAAACAATCCATTTCCCCTTAGGAAACTGTGCAGACAGAGCTCCGTCTGTACTCCAGCAAGCTTTGCTTCCACCTTGATGCTGTGGCAGCTGCAGAGGGAGTCAGGCTGCCCTCATAGCCTCACTGCTTCCCTCCTCTGGTCCCCACGCAGATAAGGAAGGAGCGATTCGCAGGAGGGTGGGGACTCACTGGCCAGCTGGGGGCCCTGGGCAAGTCTCCTGTGCCTTTAGAGTCTCTGATGGCCCATCTGTGCACCTAGCATCTGCTGTCCCCCTTGTGGGCTGTCCTGAGGAGGAAAGGAGGTGACTCCAGGCCATGAGCTGGAGTCTTAAGGGCCTCAGGAAGCGCGGCTTGTTCCTGCCCAGGCCCCATCCCCACCTTTACTTAAGTCCTCCCCTTGTCTGAGTCTGTTCTTAGTCTGCCATGACAAAGTACCACAGACTAGGTGGCTTATAAACAACAGGCATTTATCCCTCACAGTTCTGGAGGCTGGAAGTCTGAGCTCAGCGTACCAGCACTGTCAGGTTCTGGCAAGAGCCCCTTCTGAGTTGCAGATGGCCAACTTCTAGCATCTTCACATACCAAAAGAGAGCTTGCTGGGGTCCCTTTTTTAAGGGCACTAATCCCAACCATGAGGGCTCCACCCTCCTGCTAATCACTTCCTAAAGGCTCCACCTCCAAATAACATCACATTGGGATTAGGGTTTCAATATGTATTTGGAGGGAACACAAATATTACTCAATACTTTACTTAACCCCCTATCCCCGCTCCTCCTCCCCAACCCTTCTAGACTCAGACCAACTCCCCACAAACCATCCCTAACCAGCTTCCCTCTCTCATCGATTTCTCTCTCTTGCATCTGAACTCCTATGCCGCTCAGGCAGTTTCTCAACCTCAGCACTACCTACATTTGGGGCTGGATAACTCTGTGCTGTGGGGCTGTCCTGTGCATTGTAGGATGTTTGACAGTATCCCTGGCCTCTACCCACTGGATGCTGGCAGCACCTTCTCCTCCGTGACAACCCAAACAGTCTCCATACATTTTGGGGGATGAAGATCACCCCTGGCTGAGAAGTACTGCCCCATGGTCTGGCCTTGGGCCTAGCATTTCACCTGACACCCTCCCTGGGATGACTCTGTATTGGAGGCTGTATGACCACAGACGATTACATCATCTTGCTGTGCCTCAGCTTCCTAGCTTGTACAATGGGTACAAAATAGTACCTGCCCACAGAATGCTGCCCCGAAGGCTCAGCAAGTCAGTCCACACATATTCTCAGAGCATCCAGAGCACAGACACACAGCACTGAGCACTGTGAGCCATAAGTCCTTTCACTTCTCCTCAAACCGACCAAGCTCCCTGGGGGGCAGGGACTGTGTCCACGGGGCCCCTGGGTCCCACAGCCCCTCAGCAGTTCTCATGCATGCACCCAAGGTGTTTAATAAGCAACTTGCTCACTGGCAGGAGCGACTTGTGGTCCTGCCTCCCTAGCCCCACCCCCCCGCTTGCCTCTCCATGCAATCACAGCAACACCAGACCAGCCGTTCCGGGCCAGGCTCAGACCCCATCTCTCCCTGACTCAACACCGGCCCCTGTCCATCAATTCAAGCAGAAACTTCCAAACGCCACTTCCCTTTCTGCTACCTACCTAGGTTTTATTCCTTCAAGGTCAACTTTAAAATCACATAAAATTGTCCATCTAATCACTTGTAGCCTCTCACCTTTATGTTGGCCGCAGAGCCCTTGCACGTCTCTAATTATCCTGCACATGCACACTGGCAAGCCAGCTTCCTCAGAGCGCAGCTCAGTGCCTCACAGAGGCCCAATTAAACCTTTCTGAATGAATATCCATGTTCAAAGTTGATTCTCTAATCTTACCTTTAACGTGTATTAAGCAAGAGGTAGAATTTATTTAAGTATAAGATATAAGAAAAAGAAATTAAAGGAGGCCAAAGAGGACTATTTCTTTCCAGATGTGATTATCTTATGTGAAATTAGAATTTACTCCATTTCATTAAAAACAAAAAGTCACCATCCATGTGTCCTATACACTCACCTTCACCTCCCACCCCCACCCCCTTAGCTGAGGAGGCTGGCTTTGTGATTTTTCTTTTGCTCACAATGACTATTTGCACGAATTAATCCCCTTCCTTCTCCCTCTCTCTCACACATGCACATACGCACACAGCTATGTTCCAGCTAAGTCTTTCAGGAAACCCCTACAGGACCCCAAAAAACGCTGTGGAATCTCAGTCTAGCTACAGTACCGCAGCACTTGGTGCAGAGCTACTGGGGTCTACAGATGCCATCATGGAGGAGGAACATCCTGGTCACACTGGCCATGCATTCAGCAAGTCCCAATGTGCTCAAAAAACTCCACATGAATGCTTCATGTCTAAAGAAAATCTCATTTCTTCTCAAGTATTCACATTTAATTTTCCTTTAAGTAGCTCTTCTTAGCTTTATAAGCATCAGTTCAGGTTGAGCAGGAAGTATGCTCAGGTATGAAAAAGCTTCCATGGACTGGAAGAGAGTTTCCTCCTCCTTCTGGCAATGAGCACATGTGAGTTGCTTTACCCGGGGTCTGAGGGAGGACAAACTCACCTGCATCATAGTCAGGGCCACTGGGAAGGAAAAAGCACTCTCAGATTTGAAGCATTTCTGACATTTTTGACAGGGATGGTAAATCATGCCAAGTGTATCTGGCTGACTATAAGTGACTGTCTGGATTCCCAAGCTGAGGCCATTTCTGTTGAGGCTGAGTCTGGGCTTAGTGGGAGAATGCTGTGATTGACTAGTGATGCTGTGATGGACATGCTGCTATCAGAAAGTAGTGTCATGTGAACCAAATACACTTCCCCTAATCTAAATTGATTTCAGGGAAGAATCTGTAAACAGTAACTTGATGGTAAGCTTCCTGAGTGCAAGTCCACGCCTTTTGTGTTTGTGTCTTCCTTGGTGCCTGACACTTTGAATATGTTCATATACATTAATGACTGGATGGGGGTCACACTTCACATCACTTGAGGTTTACCACATCAACTGATTTTTCCCATATTCAGGTACCTTAATAATGCTCTGGCAGGTGGACAGAGGCAGGCCCACCAGGCTGGTGCCATTAATGGACATGATCTGGTCACCGATATTCAGCTTCCCAGATTTCTCCGCAGGGCCACCATGCATCATGTTGGCAATGATCACGGTGGGGAGGATGGATCCCCAGCCAGACTCCACAATCACCACACCTAGGATTTCTCCTTTCTGCTTCTCTATGAAAACCTGGAAGGAGAAAAACATTTAGAAAACCTCCATCAGTGACCATCTGGGGTAGGTAGAAATGAAAGCCTCTCCCCCATTCCTGTCTTGCCTAAAGAAAGACACTTCCCTGGGGACACCAACCCAGATGAGTTCCTGTCTTCTCAGCATTCCGCATATTTGGAGTTTTTAAGAAATGAATTCACACAGGTCTACACTCTTTTGTAATTCACTCGTTTCACATAAGCAAACTTGCCTCAGCACACAACCATGAGGACCACCAGTTTTTTTTTTTTTTTTTTTTTTTTTTAATTTCTTCAGTCCTGTCCTCAGTGGCAGGGGATGAGGCTCTGTGGGTGGGTGGTGTGTTATGGTTTCTAGAAATAGCTTTTCAAATTCCATGCGCAGGTTCCCCCTCCCACAGTGCTTCCCCAATTCGCTCCGACATTTAATTTTCTTGAGTTAAAAATAAATAAACACACAGAAACACTTCTCTGCAAGGAAAAAGTTGAGAAAAAAGAAAAAGTGATGCTGAAGTTATCACAACCAAAAGGCTGGGTGTGCACACAGGAAGTGCATATCCTGGATACACAGACTTTTCACAACCTTCACTGGCAGGGCAGAGAAGACAGGGGTTGATGTTGGATACTTGCACTCTGGGGAGGCCTGCAGATATGCCACTAAAAGGTACCACACCTCTTGGAAGCACCCAACAGAGTGTGTATGTGTATTTTTGGGGGGCTTGACAAAGTCCCCTTCACAGGTTGGTGTCTGCTTCCCCCAGCTGCTGAAGCTTACAGTCAGCCCCTTCCCTGGAGAACTGTCCTTAGCTGAAAGGGAGACACATTCTGTTAAGGTTGAATTGTGTCCCCCCAAAATTTGTATGTTGAATTACCAACCCCCAGTGCCTTTGACTTAGATTGTGACTTTATTTGGAGATAAGGTCTTAGCAGAGGTAACCAATTTTAAATGAGGTGATTAATATGGACTCTAATCCAATATTACTCATGTCCTTATTTAAGAAGAGGAATGGTTGTCTGTCATGGGTATCAAAAAAAAAAAGAGGAAATTTGGACATAGGGACATGCATGGAGAAAGGCTGATGTGAAGACACAGCATGAAGACAGCCATCTACAAGCCAGAGAAAGGCTTGGAACAGATTCTTCTCTCACGGCTCTCAGAAGGAACCAATGCTAACAACACCTTGCTTTTGGACTTCTGGCCACAAGGTCTGTGAGACAATAGGTTTGTGTTGTTGAAGTCACCCAGTCCATGGTACTTTGTGACAACAGCCCTAGTAAATTCATATACCCCCTGTCCAGCCTTGGCCAATAACCGGCATGGGGTACAAAGGCTTGCCAGCTCCCTCGCTCCAAGGTGAGACAAATCTGTCCTGCAATATGTGCCATGGAGCTTCCCTCTGGACAGAAGGAAGCTCATGTCCAAGGGACCACACCCTTACTTGGTGTCCCACCACCAAGCTTCCCACATCCCTTCTGTTCTGAGGCACTCTCCCAACAAACCTCTGTGACAAGAATCCCTGCCTCAGGCTCTGCTTCTGGGGAATCTGACCTAAGACACCTGACAGACCCCAGTGGATCAAATGATCACTTTCTCATTAAAAGTTCTTTTTACCTATGGGATCAAGTCCAAACCCCTCAGCTGGACTTGCAGGCCCTCCAGTTCTGACCCAGATCTCAGGCCCATCTATCTCCTTTCCTGTGCCTACCTCCTGCTCTAGCCAAACCGTATTTCCTCATTCCCTAGACAAATGTGGAGCTTTCTGATCTCCAGGCTTCCAACCATTCCATAGACCCCACCCTCGGCTTGCCCCTACAATCCCCAGATCGCCAGACCAGCTTGGATAGCCTCATCTTCCTACAGGCATTCCTGAATAGCTCAGTTTGAAGCCACAGGCCATCCCCAGAGAAGCACAGCACCTCTTGTCTGAAACTTGAGATCTTCTCTGTTTGTCCAAGTGTAGTTGGTTTTGATTAGTGCCTGTACCTGGCACCATCATTTAACTTTTTCAGTGCCCTTACCTAGATTGCAGTGTTTGTACAAGCAGAGTTCAGGTCCTATCTGCCTCTGGGACCCACCCAAAACTTAGCTCAGGATGACCAGGAGCAGAGGATGTGCTGCCTCTCTGTTTACACCTGTCCACAATAGCATTTCATGACAGGGCCCCACAGCAGGGAGCGAGAGATGGGGGTGAACGACTTCATGATGTCCTGCCAATACGGCACTCCTCACCATTGATCTCCCTTCACTTCCGCGGCAGGGTGCCCCACTTTCCAAGCCCCTGCCCAGCTGACCCAGCCTGGAGAACAGCTTCAGGTAAGTACCCACATCTTTACAGTTTTCCGACTTGGAGAAGTGGATCAGGTCATCGTTGTACATGTCCTGGGTATTGAGCAGGTCACTATACTCCTTCTGGCTGAGATCTTCGGGGTTAATCCCATTGGCCCTGAGGAATTCCTGGTATGCCACGCTAAATGCCTGTCCGATGGACTGTGCAATCAGCTGAGCCTGGAACAGCAGCCAGAGAGGAAAGATGGTCAGCAGGGCAGTGCACCTGGTGAGCGGCCTGGCGCACTTCCCACCTGAACAATGGCCCTCCTGGAGTCTGAGGAAACCCTAGACATCACGCCTGCTGGGCCAGTGGTTCTACGTGGGGCTACCAGTGCCCACCAGGGGCAATTTTCAGAAAGACTGGGGATGTTTTTGATTATGACAATGATCATAAGGGAGCTACCGGCATTCAGCAGACAGGAGTCAGAGATGCTGAATATCCTGCCATGCAAAAAACAGCTCGATACAGTGATGAGTCATTCTATACCCTGCACCATCTTCACAGATCCCTCTGGACATTCATGTGCATGCAATACTTGTTTACAGTTACCTGAGTCCAGGATTCAACTCCAATTTATACATAAACACAAAGACTTTGTATGGCTCTAATACACATCGAACATTTCAAGAATAATACCGTCTGAATTGAGAGATGATGTTATTTTGCTTCATTCAGTACTTCACCAGGAGGAAACTTCATGACTTTGGAAAATCAACATCAGCGCTGCTGTGATATCTGTGTTGCCGATAAATCACATCCCTATCAACCTGCACGTGTGCTGTCATGCATGGTGATTATGCATGTGCTTGTAGATACATACATATTATTTGGCCCTCAATTTGAAATGTCAACTGGAAAGTTTATGATATCCCACTGCACACTGCGTTCTCCTACATCCAAGCTTAATCAAGTAGGCATAAGCATCTCACTATCTCATTATGCCTTTCAGAATGGTTGCGCCAGAGCATTTATTAATACATATTGTAATATGGTTTTATTTTAGTTTGCTTTCCACTTATCTTTCCTTTATATTATATTTATGGCCACAATTTGATTATTCTGTGAAAGATTTTTCAATAGGGGAGGTTATATTAGCTATGAATTTCATTTCAGGATAGTAATGGGTCATTAATAAGATATTTATTGTAGAAAGGGAGGGTTGGGTCTAACAGAGTTGAGAACTCTGACTGGTCCAACCCTGCATTTTCCAGTTGAGGAGATGGAGGCCCAGAGACACAAAGGAACCTCTCAAATTCACACAGCTTGCAGGAGGTGGCACTGGCTTCTACACTGGGTTTTGATAGCTTTTCCCTGCATTAATTAAGCAACATTATTAATCCAGACAGCCAAGAGCAACTGAGCACTTCTCATGTGGCTATGCTGCAGTAAATGCTATACAAGGTATATGCTATGAAAAGTAAATGCTATACAAGGACCATCACTGAATCTGCATATCGATTCTATGACAGCTATTAGTATGACTGGTCCACAATCCTTCACTTGGAATGCAAGAGGCTCTGCTTCAGAATTCAAAACTTTTCCAATTTTAGAAAGGTAGCAGGGTGCAAATACTGTACATTGTGCCATAACCCCCTGACGGTCTGGGGAAGTACACAGAGCACAGTAACATTTCTGTGGCAAAATCTGTAAGATTCATGGTAAGCTAGACAAATTCTATAAACGGCCTGCCAGCAGGCAAGGCAAGTTTATCAGCCACCTGACTTCAAAAATCCCTTTTGTTTCTCAGAGCTTTCTAGACTTTGGAACTATGGATCTGTATTAGTGTCCCCACTGGGTAGAACAGGATATGGAGGTTGAGGGGTTAAACTGCACACTTCCTGAGAAGGGGCTGGGGGCTGAATCCAGAGCCCATCCTCCTGCCCACCACACTGGAAGGCTTCTCTGTGAAATTCTGATGGGCAGAAAAAGCCAAACCAGAAAATCTCTAGAGCGGTGTTTTAAAAACACAATTCTAACCTCCACTGCTCTTTCCCCACCTTTCCTAAAAGCACCTTATTAACAGCAAAATGGGAACTTTCCGTGTGGCTGGCTATGGGAAAAGAAATACTTAACTTTTCTCACTGTTAGAATCTGATGACTTTACAAATCACATCAAGAACTACCACCATCTACCTATTGTAAAACTGGAAGGAGTAAGGCATTGCTTTTGGCATCAGAGAGGTACATGCAGACAAACTGAAAAATATATACCTGGGAATGTGACCAGTCGACTTCCTGATCATCATTAGTGGATGCCCCTGGTGAATACACTGGCTACTGAGATTTATGGACCACTAGCCATGTGCCACACATCAGGCTTTAACTGCAATATCTATGAGAGTGCCACAGCAGCCTGGTGAGGGAGGTACTATCGTCCTGCAGAAGAGGAACTTGAGGCTTAGTGGCTGCACAGCTTGGATGAGGAAGGACTCAAGCTCAGCTTGCCCAATTCTGGAGCCAGCACACTCTGGCCCTGCTCTAGTGAAAGCAAAGGGGTAAGATTCTCAGGTCCACTCTTGCCTACCTCTTGCTTCTCCAATCTTTCCTTTCTTCCCTGATGGATCCAAGGGTACCCCAAGGAGAAGAAACCCCTCCCTATGAGCTCCAGCCAGATGGAGGTAGCAGCGGGGCCTACAGGGATCCTCGATCCCTGTAACTTCATCTTTTCGCTGGCCTGCAGGACACAGGAGGCTTAAAAGTCCAAATTTTCACTCTTTTGGAACTTTCTGAGAACCTCCTAAAACTCATTTTCCCCGTTTGCATGTTGGCCTCAGCTTTACAGGAACAGTAGGGAGAATGGCAGGCAGAGGTATTTCAAGCTCTCTGTTCTCCCAGTGACCTTGTCCTGTGCTGCTTTCTAGAGAACAAGACCAATAAAAGATGGTGACAGTAAGTGTTGGCATCTCCTCCTCTCTGTGCCCACAGCCACGACAGCTCTGGTTCCCCGGAGAAAAAAGCAGGATGGCTGCTGACACCTAACTTCCGAGAGGAAGGCAATTTCTGCAGCTAGACGAATGCTGTACTGGAGAAGAAGGGCCTCTTTGAAGGAACCAAGGCTATCAGACGCCATCTTCTCTTCCCAGATCAGGACTCCGTGCTCCATGTGAGAAACAGAGCCTATTCCTCTGTGTCAGGAGGAAAAATGAGCACAGTCAAAAGCAATGGCCCTCAGGGGGTGGGTGAGTTTTCTGCTATTAAAAATTACTATAGGGCTGTGGCCTCCCCTGGGAGGCGGCTTCTGAGGACTGCTGAGGCCCAGGATGGTGCGGGGAGGTAGGGGAGCACCTGGGAGCAGCTTAGTTCAGGCTGCAGTTTGCAGCCTGGTGGCCTCACTAGCAGCTTGGGTTACAACCCTGAAAGTAGGCCAAATGACAGAATGGCTTCTGTTGTAAACAAATTTTCTCTGTTGACTGCATCACCCAGAGAAATGGAGCTTAGGAACCACTGGCTTTGTGCCAGGAAAAGGAGCTGGTTTTCCTAAGGACTGGGGTGGGCAGTGCTCCTGCTGTTTGCTGGGGAGGGACAGGGATGCTAACTTTCCTGTAGCCCAGAGGATGGTCCTGGACCACAAAGAACTGTCCTCCCAAAATGCCCTCATGCTTGGACAGACCTGCTCAAACCCCTACAGGAGGTGCCAAATTCTTCCTACTCTTCACCTCATCCCAAAGTCGCTAATAGCTTGGCCTCCTTTCCCTTCCTCAAAGGGAAACGCAGCTAGCCCCTGCCTCAGGGCCTTCGCATTTGCTCCTTCCTCTTTCTCACTTTATTCAGGTCTCTGCTCCAAGGTCACCTCCTCAAGTGAGGGCTTTGTTGATCACCCTACCTGACATAGCCCCTGTCCCTCCATCCCCTGACCCTGTTTTATTTGTCTGTGGAGCACTCCCCACTACCCAATTTTACATTAAGTATATTTACCTATTGATTTTCTGCCTCCTTTCAGCCCTTGCGATGAGTACCCTGTCTGTTTTACTCAGCCTTATATCTCTAGTGCTGGAACAGTGCCTGACACACAGTACGTGCACAATAAATACATGCATCATGTGTGATGAATTAGACTGAATCAGGTTCTGAGAAGTCAAGAGAACCTAACCCAAAAGGAGATCAAAGGAAGCAACCCTTACATCCTCAGACTCGAAGACGTGGCAGATCATCTTGTACTGCCTTTTCCCATCCTGGGATGGGTGGGACGCTTCCACGTTCTCCTGGGAGTTGGAGCGAGGCATCCGCCGGCGGGCCATCAGCACAACGATGTTCCCAATGTCCGCAATGTAGGAAATGGTCCTCAGAGGGTGGTCCATCATTGTCTCCTGGAGGCAGGAAGAGAGGGCGGGTAAGTCCAGCTCAGCATCTAATGACCTAAGAAAGCGCCTGCCACCTTACAGCCAGTCAAGTATGGTTCGCATGCAGGGTGGGCTCCAGGGCTCACTGCAAAGCCCATGCTGAGGGATCAACGGATACCCACCCAGGCCGGAGGGCATTTCCCTTAGCTAATCAAGAGCAGGAAATGATCTGTGGCAGGTGAAAAGAAATAAGAAATTCCAAACAGTTGAATCTCTTGTGGAGAAGTTTAAAAAAAAAAAAGACAAATCAAAATGGCAGGGCTGTTTCTGTTTTTGTGTGCGTGAATGTAAGAGATTTTAAATAAAATTTCTTAAAAGACAAATTTGTTCACATTAATGAATTCTCTGATTAAAATTTCTGAAAATGCTAAACGTCATCCATGTCTTAGGGGTGTTTTTGGGCTTTAAGAAAGCAATCCCAAACCCCACCCAGCAGCAGGCACTGTGAACACCACCTTCTAGCTCACTGGGGCCCAGAATCTAGGGACAGCTGCTCTACAGACACATGCCTGCTCTACAGACACATGCATCTCTGAGTTACGATGTCACTAAGCTTCACCCTGGGAAAGGTGGAAGCCAGCTGATACCTGTGTGTCGGCGTTCAGCACTTTGATTCTCTGGGTAGAAATGAAGAGATCCACTTCAGTCATTGGCTGAGATTCGCCTTCAGGAGCCTGAGAAGAAAAAATGCACCAAGAGAAAGTTTGACCACACTACCCTGACCCAGATGCAGAAGGAGTAAGGTTAGCTCACACAGAGGCACCACGACACAGTCACCAGAACAGCAATACAGACTCTAGGGTTAAACTGCCAAAGCTGAAGTTACCACACAGAGGATGGACACATGGACAAGAGTTAGCACCTCTAGGTTACAGGGAAAAATGCGGAATCCCCTTTTCTTCTTCCCCTATAGAAGCAGTAACTCACTGCAGTAGATTTCACTCTTTGAACGATGATGGCAAGTGGCCCTCTCTGTAAGGGTTTTGGAGCCCAACAGATTGAAGAAATAGGCCAAAAAGCTCATACCAAAAGACCTTGGGGAAGTCACTTAGAATTTGCCTCTGCTTGAGCTGATAGGAGACAATGTTTATAGCAGCTGCAAATGAAGCCATTTGGATGCAGTTCTGGTAAGAGGGTCTTTATGTTTACATATCACCCAGCAACACAGAAGCAGTCCTGAAGCCACCCCATTAAGAAAGAGCCCCAATGCCTCAACGTCCCAGGAGTAGTAGCTCATAAGCACCTAGAAGCTCCACAACCAAAAAGCGCAGTCTGGTTCATTTAGGGCTTAACTCTGTACATGTGTGGTTATTAGCGAGTTTTCTTTTTTGCATCCAGCAATCTGACAAATCCACAAATCAAGCATAACTATAATCAAACAGACTCAAGTCCCTGCCACATCGATGCTCCTGAATGTTTGGAACTTCCATACTACTATACGATTCATTCAGCGTCTCCAATCTGCTCCCTGTCGTTCCTCTGAAGTGAAATGACTAATGAGCAACAGAAAACGGCCACCTTCGGCAACTGAGTTTTGAGAAACGCTGGCTTATGGGGCGGTTCAAAAAGAAATCTGAACAAAAACTTGCTGGATGCAGAAAACAAAAACACGAAAATATAAAAAGGTAAAACAGAAACGAATGAAAAGAACAGGCA
Source organism: Homo sapiens (assembly GCF_000001405.40). Lineage (NCBI taxonomy): Eukaryota > Metazoa > Chordata > Mammalia > Primates > Hominidae > Homo > Homo sapiens. The sequence continues at coordinate 69,458,122 of NC_000009.12, forward strand.
TAACACCAAGCTGATGAAGTTGTTTGTACTGCACCTTCTTCCTGCTTTTGGCTAATTTCTGGGCCATCTGCTTAGCATGGAACAAACAGAGACAGGAGAATAGTTAGAAAGAATGTGTAGAGACTCAAAGTCAAAAAGGGAATTGACAAACTAATACTGAATAGTGGCATAAAGCGTTTCTGTGGGAGGAGGACTGGCTTTTAAAAATCCCAGTCTAAAGATAATCAATGTCGTAATTCAGAATTTAGTATGTGGGAAGTGGTGAAGTGAGACAAAGGAAATGTGTTGCAGTGCTTCTTATACTTAATTGCAAGTGATCTTTCCAAATAACCAAGTTTTGGTTCTGTTAATTTTCTTTATTGTACGCCTGGTTTTCTATTTCACTGATTTCAGCATAGATCTTTATTTCCTTCTACTTTCTTTGGGTTTAATTTGCTGACTTCTCAGCTTCCTGAGATAAAAACTTAAATTATGGCTTTTCAAACTTTATTCTGATATGCAAAGCTATGAATCTCCCTCTAAGCATTGCTTTGGATGTATTCCACAGATTTTTGTGTTTCAATTTAATCATTGTTCCGTTAAATTTTTTTTCAAATTTCCACTGCAATTTCTTAGAACCTTGGATTATTTGGAATTGTATTATTAATTTTGATACATTTGGGGATTTTCTAGTTATCTTTTCTTTTCTTTTTTTTTTTTTCTGAGATGGAGTTTTGCTCTTGTTGCCCAGGCTGGAGTGCAATGGCATGATCTTGGCTCACCGCAACCTCTGCCTCCCAGGATCAAGAGATTCTCCTGCCTCAGCCTCCCGAGTAGCTGGGATTATAGGCATGCGCCACCACGCCTGGCTAGTTTTTGTATTTTTTAGTAGAGATGGGGTTTCTCCATGTTGGCCAGCCTGGTCTCAAATGATCTCAGGTGATCCATCTGCCTCAGCCTCCCAAAGTGCTGGGATTACAGGCGCGAGCCACCGCGCCTGGCCTCTAGTTATCTTTTTCTGCTGATTTTGGAATTAATTCCACTGTGGTCAGAGAACACAGTCTGTATGTCAATCTTTTGAAATATGCTGAGGCTTAGCTCTATGGTCCAGCACATGACTGCCTTTGGTGGATGTGTCATGTGCACTTCAAAATATGCATTCCGTAGTTGTTAGGGACAGTGTTCAATCAATGACAATTAGGTCAATTAAGGTGGTTAACAGTATTGTTCAAACCTTCTATATACTTGCTGGTTCTTTAATCTCTTGTTCCATCATTTATTGAGTGTGTTAAAACCTCCAGCTGTTATGTGGATTTGTCTGTGTATCCTGATTCTGTCAATCTTTATCTTACAGCTATGTTATAAGGTGCACACACAGGTAGGATGGTATACCTGCTTGGTAAATTGATCCTTTCATTGTTCTCCCTTTTTATCTCCAGTAATACTTCTTGCCTTAAATTTATGTAATATTAATGTAGTTTACACCTAACTAAAAATGGATGTACCATTCTCCCTTTTGCTCACAATTAAAAGACAGCATAGTTGATAAAAGCAGAGCGTGGGGCTGGATTGTCTAAAACCAAGTCCTGGCTCTGCCACTTACTAGCTGTGCAACTTTGAGGCAAGCCACTGAACATCTCTGTGCCTCAGTTTCTTCATCTGTAAAGTGAAGATAAAAATAGTATCTACCTCACAGGGATATTTTGAGGACAAAATGAATACATGCAAAGCTCTTCAAACAGTGCCTCATACATTCTAAGCACTATATTTGTGTTTGCTGTTATATGATTATAATTGACCTAGGTCATGATGCAATTTCTTGCCTTTTGCTAAGACTTGCTATTTATACAGATCTTGTACAAATAATGGCAAGTCAATGGCCAAACTGCAGACGCTATTGTGGTAATGGGATTGGGGTGGAGGAAGAACTGCTCTCTCATATTCCTGGGTACTCACCTGGTAGAAAAGCTCCTCTGCTCTCAGCAGCACATCTCTGTTTCATTAGTGACTAAAATATGTTGCCTATACTACCTCATTGTAGAGAAACTGGATAAGTCAGCCATCCAGACACCACATAGCGAATCTCTGGTACACCCGGGAAACCAGGGCAACCACACTCCCACACAGATGCCCTGCTGTTCTTACTGGTCGCCATGAGTTCACAGTGAATAGTCTGCTCTGAAAAAGTTTGAAGGTAGCAACTCTGTCATCCTGACTGCTGCACATTACAGTGGGAATAGTTCTGCATCTGAGAAGTGACCCTATGCTGATGTTATGCCATGCCACACCACGAGGATTCCCGTGTGGAACCCCAGAGTCTGGCCAGGGATGTTCGGACTGGCATCAGTTATAATCTGCATAACTGACAGCTGGGAGATCTTTAATGTTTGTTTTTTACTTCTCCTGAAATGATATGGCAGTAATATAGGAATTTCCATTACTTTGGATCCCAAACCCTAACAGCTGTTGGTCAAAATTCTTCAACTCTAGGGAACCGATTTGAAATAACTCTTTCAAAAGGAAATAGGTTCCACCATCACTGGAGTACCCAAATTCTTTTTTTTTTTTTTCTGGGACTGGTGTTGAGGAAGAGGATCCAAAAGGCAAACTGAGTTTCATGAAAGGTATTCTGAAACTTTTTTTTTTTGAGACAGAGTCTCGCTCTATCACCCAGGCTAGAGTGCAGTGGTGCCAACTCAGCTTACTGCAACCTCCGCCTCCCAGGTTCAAGCAATTCTCGTGCCTCAGCCTCCTGAGCAGCTGGGATTACAGGCATGTGCCACCACACCCAGCTAATTTTTGTATTTTTCAGTAGCGACGGGGTTTCACCATGTTGACCAGGCTGATTTCAAACTCCTGACCTCAGGTCATCCACCCGCCTTGGCCTCCCATAGTGCTGGGAGTACAGGCGTGAGCCACTGTGCCTGGCCCGAAACAGTTTTTATGAAGTTAAAAATATTCTGTGGATTTAGAGTAATACCATCTTTAAATCACTCATGATATCCAAGTACCCTGCAACAAATTATAATTTAAAATTTAAATATAACATCACAGAAGATGGGAGAGTTGGAGCCAGAATGAGAAATTAGGGTAGCAGAAAGGGGTCCAAGAGAAACATAAGGCCAGCATGCATTTTAAAGCCAGGAATGACAACATCTATTTAAACCCTCGTGTTTCATGGGATTGATCATGGTTTACCACGTGGCGGGGTGTAGTGCAAAGGACAAACTGCAGCACCCCCCACCCCCTTACTCCATCCACAATGTGTACTGAGTTTCTGCCGCTGTTAACACACTCTAGATTAGTCGTGCCAGGGATGCTCCTGACTGTTCTATCTTTTCTCTCCCCACTGACATTTACTGAGAACTTGCTATGTGCCAGAATCCTTCAAAGTATTTCACATAAATCAGTGTAAAAGCTTACAACACCCCTGTGAGCTACTACCCTGCTAGATGGTAAGCCATGATCAATCCCATGAAACACGAGGTTTAAGTAGATGTTGTCATTTCTGCCTATATTATGTTATCCTCATTTTTCAGAAGAGGGAAATGTGGCACAGAGAGGCTAATTAACTTGCCCCAGGTCACACAGCTGTGAAGTGGCAGAATAGAGATTCAAACTCTGGCAATCTCACTCCATTGTAAACCCCTAGTTGTGCAACTGGGGCAAGCATGTCATCTGTAAACTTCTCCATTTGTCTATACCATGGGGTTAACAACACCTACCTCACAATGTTCTCTACCCCATCCATTTTGAGGAGTAAATGAGATTGAGATAATGCATGTGAAGGGCCTAATACTTTACTGATCATAGATTTCTTCAACTAAGCTGGGAAATGCTACAACTTAGGCAAAGCTATAATGATAGACATTTTACTTCTACAATGAAATCATAATTTTGAGAAAATCATAAAAGAATGAAAAAAATCTGATCTTTGGGACAGGCTAGTTAAGATGAATATATGAATATTTGATAATGAATGCAGCTTGCCAAAATGCATGGACCACAAGATACCTATACACCATTTGTAATCTAATCTAATTGCATTAGCTTCACAAATACAGGAAGAATGGAGACACAAACACCACACTCTGGGTGGATGGACATGAAGCAGTCTCTGTGGTTCAGGTAGGGCTCAGCAGGCCACCCTATCTTCTGGTTGAAGAGCAGAGAATGAAGTGGGAATGAGAGTGGAAGGCAAGGTGGAGATGCAGTGGAGAACAAGGAAGACAAATGAGCTCATTGTGCTGGCTTCCAGTCTGGCTTTCTCTAGAAAGGGGTAGGCATGAGTCCCACGTTGTTAGGGGAGAGATGTGTTTCTATCTACGGCACATTAAAGACTGACAGCACATAGGACAAAGCTCTCTCTAGAAGTTTCTCCCAAAACATGTTCCAGAGAATACTACCAATGACAGGTATCTATCACATGGTAACAATGTATTCTGTGCTCAAATAAGTATGGGAGCTGCTAGTTAAAGTGAATGAAATCTTCTTAGTGCAGGACTTCTCAGAGCCTTGAAGAGGAAGACACCTGTAGCAAATGTCCGAAAAGGAGGTCTATTTTCTTGAGCTTATTTGCCAGTGGAACTCTATTAATGACAAGCACTTAGCCTGACTAGAATGCTACAGGGCACAGTGGGAGGAAAGATGCTTCACACACTGGCGGGTCCACCTTTCTCTAAGGCAGTGGTTCCCAAACGCTGGTGCAGAGCAGAATCTCCTGGAGGGTTTGTTAAAACACAGACTCCTGGGTGCCACCTTCTGAGTTTCTGACTCAGTAGGTTTGGGGTTGGGCCTGAAAACCTGTACTTCTAAGAAGTTTGTAGGCAATGCTGATGCTACTGGTCCAGGGATCATGCTTTGAGAACCAGGGCTCTAATGCAATCCCCTAAGGTATATGGGGGCTCTCTGGAAGGATATTACTTCTCAAAAATGATGACCAACAAAGGCAGAATGAACACATTAGGGAGGGACCAAAGACCAAAACAAAACAAAAAAATGTTTAATGACAGATGTCTTCTAATTCTGCTATTGTGCTCAGATATGTCATCTCTTAAATTGTGGTAGATGGAAAAGCCTTTAAATTTCAGAGCCCTCAGCTTACCTTGTATTTTTGTTACCTAACATTCTTTTTGGCTTGTTTTTACTGCAAGTTTCTCAAGCTCAAGAACTGTGTATTGGTTAAATTTATTCCTAAAGGGCCTATCACAGGAGTCTGCACAGCAACAGTTGGCATTTGGGGCCAAATTCCTTTGTTTCTTTTCACATTAAGTAGAAAATACCTGGCCAAACCGCAGCTCCAAATTCTCTCTCCATGTGGCAAAGGAATCTTGTAAATTTTTTGTTAAATTAAGAAAACAGTAATTTTCAAAACCCCAAGTCCAAATCCAATAAGCAATGTTCAATTTTAGTATACAGTTGGTACTACATGAGTGGCGGACACCACAATCGACAAATGGAAGAGAAATTAAAGACTACTTTGAAATGGAAACCTAAGCTTCAAGGTCAGCGTCTGTTCAGAGATAAAGCACCACGAATAACAGGGCGCGTGGTGAGCAGTTCTCATTCACATCCAGTCACATCCATCTGGTCAAACAAACAATGTAGGCAGAGGAAGAGAGGGACAAAACGGGGGTCCCTGCAGGGAGTGAGGGAAGAAGGAGGAATCAGAAAACAAAGGAGGAAACTACCCCCACCTTTGTTTAGGTGAAAGTGCCAAGCCAGAAATTACTAATCAGATTGGGGTTAAGGACATTGCTAAATGGATTGCAAAATAAATCCACAGAGCTTTTCTTTCTCCTTCCTTCCTGGACGGACGCTATAAAGTCTGCAGCTTTGCTGTGCTCTACGTCCTTTCTGTCAAGGTGGCCTAGAATAACTTGTCCTGAAAGGTCAGTCTCTCTTTAGGAAACAGCGTGGCACCATCTTCCTTACAGAGCAGTGTCTCCCAAGCACATGTGGGCACCTGGTGCAAGCTCCTTCCACTTGAGCCCAGCCCAGCCTGCTCAGGATCAGCACTCTTTGCCCCCAGCTTCCCTTTGCATTGATGAAGTCCGTGTACGCTCCCTGACACAGTCACTTTTTGGAGAGTGCTGACTTAAACAGGCATCTCCATTTACACTTGGAAAAGGCTTCTAGCTGGATATAACGTCAACCAATCTGATAAGCATTTTAATGGATGTAAAAGGAACATGAAACAGAAAATATTTAATGACAGGCAACAGTTCCTTCCAATGCATAGATGCACATTGTAAAATGATACTTATAAGTTATAAATGAAATGTAACCATTTAATTTTACCACTCTATAATGAATTCCTCACGCCAGAGTAATTTGCTTGTAAAAATAAATCTATGTTTTCCAAATGCCTATTCTGCTCTAGGCAGGTCTAAAATGTATTTATAATCAGAAAGCCTCTATCTTGGTTGTTCTGATCAACAGAGCCATCTAATTTTTGATTCAAATGAACTGTGGAACTTCGGGATACCAATCCTTTGGAAGCTTTGAAGTAAAATCTCTGATTTCTTATGAGGCAGCTGGACTTTAAAGAAGGAATAACAACTCTATAGGACACCACTTTGGAAATAAGAAAATGTAATTCACAATATAATTGGCACTGACGAGCTTTGGTACAGGGATGCTGTGTACCCCGAACATTGCTTTACGTTCAAGTGATGTGCCCCGTGCCCGCTTTTTCCCTGTAAGGCCATCTCAGCACTACCTAAGTGCCATAAGGGGACTGGAAAGGCATAAATGTTCTGTCTGTAGGAGTCCAAAGCTATCAGAGGGCTAATAAACAAGGTGTCCCAAATGAAACCTGAACCTTAAAATGTTTGAAGCCTTGATGGATAGAACCTAGAAAAAACTAACCTCAAGGCAACGTGCAGTTTTCAACCTCAGAAGTCTTCAGTACTCCTTTGGGGGCAGACTGCTGCTTTATTCTGGAAGATACGCCTGAACGGGCTCTGGGTAGCATTCCTTGATAGGGGCTCTTTGGCATTTTGGTAGAGATAAAATCTTTGTTTTGTGGCTCTGCCCTGGATGTTATAGGGTCTTGAGCACACCTGGCTCTGGCCCAGAAAATGCCCCCAGTCATGGTGACAAGCAGAGGTGCCCCCACTCATTTCCAAACACATCTTATGAAGGCAGTCCCTGTCTATCAGAGACCCCAAGTGAGGCACACCAGGCTTTTGTGCTTCCACCAAACCTGGGGAAGCTAACAGCACCATTCACCTGGAAGCCCAGGTGGCATATCTGGTACCCATGGGGCACGTGGAGTCAGAACTATGTCTCTATGTCTCTTTGATTTAAAGTTCTCTGCTTTATACAAAATAGGACGTGACTTTGCCTGAGAAGCAGCTTGCTCTCTCTGAGAGGTTTGTGGGTTGTTGTTTTGAATGCTGTGCCTGGAAGACAACTAAATTAAGATGGAGAAGACCTTGGGGAGGCTTGCTGGCACAATGTCACTACTTCGTGGAAACAGGAAGACAGTGAAAGGGAACTAGGCCAAGCTTGGATGGGCAGCTCCCCAAGAACATGGTGATGTTCTATCCGTAGCATTGTTTAGTCTCAAAGTCCCAAAAGGTATGAAGGTCAGACTGTCTCCACGGAGTTGTCCTGTTGGGAGCCATGGGGCAAGACACATCTCTTTGGGTAGGGGGTGGGGCTTCCCCTAAAAGAACTGGACCTTCCCACTGTCCATCATTCTGGGAGAGGCTAATTTTAGAAGAAGACAAACACCACAGAAATGGGCCTTATGGCAGCAGGGCCTCTGAGGCACAGGCAAGGTTTGTGTGCCCCAGATGAAGTGGCTGAGTGGATCCCTGACACACGGAAGGAACTAAAAGGTCCTGTCAGTAATCCTGACACTAGGTCTGGCCTAGCAGGGTTGTGACAACAGTCACTCTTGAGGCAGTTGCAAATCACTCCTCCCTGGTTTATAAAAACATCGTAGTCATGTCAAAAGTTACGGCATGGGCTTTACTGTCCTAGGAGGAGTTAAGAGAAGGGCCAGCTCTGAGCTTGGGGGAGAAGCATTTTCTCCAAGTACAGAGAGGTGGTCAGATCAGTGGGTGACACACAGAGGCCCAGCAGCAGGAGCGGCAGTGAGCAGCCTGAGGAGGAAGCCATGAGAGGGACGTGGGGCCATTCACACAGCATCCTGGGAACTGCAGGATAACTGGACAGCTGAGGGTTCAGGCGCATCATATTTACGGTGTTGGTGATGGTATGAGCTATTCACCACATGGCAGAGTCTGGACACGTGACTAACGTAAGAATCAGCTTGGGCATGAGGCCCAAACCAACTGCCTCTCCTCTGCAAGCACCTCTTGGAATTGTTGGTCACTTACTGTTCCTTTCTACCTCTCAGGCAGAAGGCAGTGGTCAGAGGTGTTCGCATCTGCAGGCTTCCCCTGCACTCTGGTGGCACTCGGCCTCTGACACTGTCCTCTCCTTGGGCACACCCCACACACTCCCTGGCTTGCTTTGTCATTCCCTCATTCATACTGCTGAGCTTGAGAACAAGGATCTCACTTTATCAGCTACTGTTTTTCCTCCCTGCCAAGACCCTGCACAGCTCTTCATGCCTAAGTGCTCAAGGAATAATTTTTTCTTTGATTGCGAGATCAAGGATTCTCAGTTACTGCGGTCTACCTGTCCCTCTTTCTCCTTCCACGTTACCACACAAACACCAGGGTGCAACCTGGGAGTGTGTGAGAGAGAAGGTATGAAATATGGAATGGCTCCTTGAGGGAAGAATCCATTTTGACCAGTTGAAACTGGATAAAACAGACTCTTACAAGTTCTAACCTATTCCAACTTGCTGGAAATACCTGGTCCTGGACTTCTACCATGATGCTGTCCCTAGGGCTCTAGGTGACAGTGGCCTCAAGGCTCGGGGAGGCTGCCCAGTGGTTCCAGGTGCTGGTGGCACAATGGCATGTGGATGACATAAACACACCTTAAGTGTTCCTGGAGTCCTGGTTTGCCCATGATTCTAGGTAGTTTTGGTATCGTGGTGGAGATTCTAGAGCTCTGTGTTGCTGCATTTATTCATGGGAATAAACCAGTTCTGGATGGTTCAAACTAGTTGTGAATGACTTAAACCAGATAAGAGTGGTTCCTCCTGGATCAAACAGGCTCGTTCCTTTTATGTCTTGATTAATGAGATTCAAACATGTTATGATTGGCTCAAACTAGTTTAAACTGGATTAGCCTTGCACTGACCTTAGACTAGCCAGGTTAGATTTGATCAAAGGGTTCATTTTCCTTGAAGCAAGCAAGTTCAATCTAGCTTGAACAGGATGGGCTGGTTCAAAAGCAATGCCACCTAGTTTAAACCAACTCTGTAACATGAATGTTTGCCACTGACCTCCAGCTGTCAGTGGAAATCCAGTGGTACATGTCTTGCACTTGAGACATAATACTCAAAACGGCATCCTTCCTCATTACACCAACTTTTCAAAGGTTGTGATCATGAGCACTTCTTCTCAAGACTGGCCATTTATAACAACCTAAATAGATCATGTTTGTATATAAAGACTCCAGTAGATTTTGGAAATTTTTGTTTTGTTAGCAGGCACATGGATAAGCACTGCCTGTGTGATGTCATCTCAAACCACTCTCCTCTAAACTATATGTGGAGTTGTGGCCAGTGTTGTAGACTGCTCCAGTGCCTACACCAGCCCCCTGTCCCTGTTGGAGCACCCAGATGTCCTCACCTTGATCCTGCTTACGGCTTCCTGGGCCTGCATCATGCGCACGTTTTTGGAAGGAGTTTTGTCTGAGAGCAGCTGAGTGGAGCCAAGGTAATTGGCGGCAAAAATGATTCCATCGATCAAGTCTTCGGGGTCGCAGGGTCCCGGAACTGTAACACATAGAGCCACAGTGAGGAAGCCATCCTGGGGTGGGGCCTGCCAACCCCCTCAATGGCACATCTCCCCTCTCCCATGCCTCACTGCTGGCACAGGTGAGGCAGAGCCAACCTGCTGGTCTGAGGCATCTCTCTGTGTCTATCTGCACCCACACCTCATTTTCAAATAGAAGGCACAGTTTCTAAAATATTTTGCTTCTCTAAAACCATTTACTATGGAAAGTGATGCAAATATTTACTTAAACATGGAACATAAAATTCAGCAATAAAGGATACTGTTTCTCCTGTTAGACTGTGAGCTCTTAGGGGACAAGGACCATGTGACATTCACCTCTGACTCTCTTGTCTTACTGTCACCCAGGTGGTATCAACTAGATATTTGCTGGATAAATGCTTAAGTAACTAGATGGCTGTCTTTTTAGAAAAGCTTTTTACAGCAATTCCTATTACTTGCCCCCCCCCATTCATATCTCTTCCTCCATTTAATCCATAATGGAAGAAACAAATTTATAGATCAGAAAAATAGGATATCTGTTTCAGAATGTCTGGATTCCTGTAATGGCTTCTGACCTCAATTGTGCAAGACAGATAATGTGACCTCAAAGCCACAGTCCCATGCTGTCAATCTTGTTCACTTACAGGTTATAATGTTCTTGGCCTGTGCCCACACATAGACAGATTCCAAGGAAAATCAAATTTTCTGTTCTATTTTACCAGCCTTTTAAGTCAAACCTGTTTTAAATATTTTAATTGGGGGCACCTGTTTCTAACCACAATTACTTGTAAACCCTAACTCGAAATTAAAACGTGTCTGTGATTAATATATAACTGTATAACAGTCTACTTAAAAAGGCATTTTAATCTGCAATTGAAACATACGTATTTTATTTTCTTTCTTTTTTTTTTTTGAGACAGGGTCTCACTCTCTCGCTAAGGCTGGAGTACAGTGGTGTGATCTCGGCTCACTGCAACCTCTGCCTCCCAGGTTCAAGGGATCCTCCCACCTCAGCCTCCCAAGTGGCTGAAACTACAGGCACTACCATGCCCAACTAATTTTTGTAGTTTTTGTAGAGATGGGGTTTTGCCATGTTGCCCAGGCTGGTCTTGGACTCCTGGGCTCAAGCAATTTGCCCGCCTCAGCCTCCCAAAGTGCTGAGATTACAGGCATGAACCACCATGCCTAGCCTTGTGTATTTTATTTGACTTGACTGGTACATCTGCAGAGACTAAAATATACATTTTAACCCACTGTTAAAACCTCAGGGTCTTAAATTAGGTAACTTGTAATGGAAACAATTTGCTTTTTCCTCTTGGAAGGCTAATCTGAAATGCTTTTTATTTTTATCCTTAAACATCAAGCTCATCTTGAGTTTACACAGCTGCTTCCTGTGCTGAACTACTTATCAGAGTAAAGATGTAAAATAATCTACTCATTTTTCTAAAACTAAGGTGGTGCTTGAAACAGAGAAATTAAAAGTGTTTTAGGAAAGGCTTTCACAAAGCATCTATGTAGTAATTAAATAAGGAAGCCTGTTATTTGTCTTATTCTCCATTTTTATAAGCAAGACTTTGAAGCTAACACTGTGAGTGGTACACAGACAAATCTGCCTCCACTCCACACCAGTAATTCACACTCTACTCAACAGCCACAGGGGCCCGCTCTGAATCTTTTATAGATGTGAGATGGATTCGGGCTATATATGATATACAGTTTCAGTTGTATAGCAGGGAAGCATACAAAATAATATATGAACAGGTCTGAATCCACATTACACTTTATATAAAGTAAAAGATTGTCAGTTCTTCTATGATAAGTTCCTGGTGATGCATTTATAGTGTTATGGAAACATAATCATTATTGCCAACCAGATATGAAGAAGAACGATCTCATCTGGGATATGAACTTTTAAAAGTCTTCCATCTATTTTTTAAAAATCAATGTTAAAAGAAAACAAAAATTAACTACCTTCTCTACGGGACTTCTAACATCATATATTCTCTGATTTGGCGCTATTCACTGAGAAGGTCCCTTTTTGACTACAGTAAGTGTGGGTATGGGGATATGTTTAAAAGCAATCCAAATTATATTTAAATGACTGTAGAAATGCCAAGCATCCAAGACACACAAATATCAGACCTAAACACCTTTTGAGATATGGTCTTATGTCATTTATCCTTTCAGGAAATTGAATATAATTGAATATCACTGTCATCGCATCACACCCAGAAAAATAAAAGCCCCAATTTCATAAGTTCACTTTGAGCTCAGGGATAGTATATTCTTACAAAGTTAAAAAAAATTAAACCCTTAATGATCCTATGTCAGAGAATTGCAGGTTTTCTTTTGGCCTTTCGGAACATGGTTTCCCTTTAGTGCTGCCTTCGGATTGCTCTGTGGATGAGGGAGCACACATGTGACATCCTCATACTCAGGCTAATGCTGAGCCTGAAAAATCCCTAGGCCTGGGGGATGAATATGAAGACGGGAGCTTTCAAACTTCAGAAAACTTCCCAGAATGCTCTCACAGAATTTCAGGGCCTCACAAAAATGATGCAAATAATTTACGATGATTCAAGA